>NC_000008.11:125714222-126339222 GCF_000001405.40 Homo sapiens
TGGTTCCTTTCTATCCTGACTGTTTGAAGTGTGAATGTTAGCTGGTTTACCTGCTGTGTCTGTTTTACTGTTCTTTTCAAATAATCAGCTTTTGGCTCTTTTTTTTCTCTGTTTTGTATTTTTGTTTCCAATTTACTAACTTTTCCTCTTGTCTTTAGTATGTATTTTCCTCTACTTCTGTGGATTTATTTTGTTGTTAGTTCCCTAAATGTTTGCAAGCTTATCTCATTAATTTTCAATCTTCCCTCTTTTCTAATGTAATATTAAAGGCTATAGTTTCCCTCTAAGTACCACTTTAGGTGAATTCTGCAAGCTCGATGCAGTGTTTTTGCTGTCATTTAGTTCTAAACGTTTTCTGATTTACATTTTGATTTATTCTTTGATCTTTGAAATCTTTAGAAGTGTAACTAAACATTTCTGAATATGATTTTCTTTTGCTATTGTTTTTAAGTTAGCTGCATCGTGCTTGAGAGTGCTTGGTCAGTAGGATTGTCTCTCTTTTTGAGATGTTAGGAAACATTGATGACCACCATCCAGATCAGAGGTCAGCAAACTGTGGTGGCCCATTAGCCAAATCCTGACCACTGCCCGTTTTTGTAAGTAAAGCTTTATTGGAATGCAGCCATACATATTCATTTGTGTATTGTTTATGGCTTCTTTTGAGCAGAGGTGAGTAGTTGCCACAAAGACCATTTAGGCCTGTGAAGCCTAAAATACTATCTGGCCTTTAACAAAAACCTTGTCAAATCTTGGACTGGATCTGTCATTGTAGTAGGGTTGCAAAATGGTGATTCTATATTCCTTCTATATTCCAGTTCTATAACCTTTCTTCATTTAATAGATGGGATCATTTAATAATAAGATATTTTCCCTATTAATTATTTGGTTACCCTTAGGTATTGTTTGCACGAGAAAGGCAGGATGGATGCTTGAGTTTTTCCTTTTTCTTACTAGCTTTCTAAAAATAGAAGTTGATGGCTGGGCGTGGTGGCTCATGCCTGTAATGCCAGCACTTTGAAGGCTGACACAGGTGGATCACCTGAGGTCAGGAGTTCGAGACCAGTGTGGCCAACATGTCAAAACCCCATCTCTACTAAAAATACAAAAAAAAAAATCAGCTGGGTGTGGTGGTGGGTGCCTGTAATTCCAGCTACTCGGGAGGCTGAGGCAGGAGAATTGCTTGAACCTGGGAGGTGGAGGTTGCAGTGAGCCAAGATCGTACCATTGCACTCCAGCCTGGACAATAAGAGTGAATCTCCGTCTCAAAAAAAAAAAAAAAAAAAAAAAAAAAAAAGAAGTAGTTGATTTCCTTATTTTTTTTTGACAGAGTCTGACTCTGTCACCCAGGCTGCAATGCAGTGGCACCATCTCAGCTCACTGCAACCTCCACCTCCTAGGTTCAATCAATCCTCCTGCCTCAGCCACCTGAGTAGCTGGGATTACAGATGTATGCCCCCAAGACCCGCAAAATTTTTATATTTTTATTAGAGACGGGGTTTCACCATGTTGCCCAGGCTGGTCTCAAACTCCTGGCCTCAAGTGATCTGCCTGCCTTGGACTCCCAGAGTGCTGGGATTACAGGTTTGAGCCACTGCACCTGATCAAATATGACCGTTTAAAATTACCATTATAGGACTTGGCATGCTGGTTCACGCTGTAATCTCAGGGGTTTGGGGAGGCTGAGGTGCGAAGATCGCTTGAGGCCAGGAGTTTGAGACCAACCTGGGCAACATATTTTTATTATGAAAATAAATAATTTTATCTTATTTAAAGTAAAATGAAAAATTATTTTTATTTTATTTTATTTAAAAATAAATACCATTATCACTATGATATATTTGAGATGTCACTTAATTGCAGTTTTGCTTACATGTTTGCTAATAGAGTTTATGTTTTGATATTGCAAATGTATTTTCTAGTTTCCATCCATTGCAATTATCCTTACTGATGCATTTTCAAATTGTCCCAACTTTGGCCTGTGGAAGCCTCTTCAAGTGGGATCCTGAATCCTTTTGATGTGACCCCTGTAATCTTTGATAACATTTTTGCTTTCTGGCATAATGTGTTCCAGGCTCATCTTCTATATTTCTTTCCCCAAACCTGGTAACCATTTTGTCTTTAACTGGAGAATTTAGTCCACATTTACTCTGGGTTCCGATCTATTTGGATTTAGTCCTATCACTTCACTTTTCTATTTGCATTGTTAATGCTTTTTTTCTAAATCCCTGTCCCTGTCTTTTAGTTTGATTGCCTTTTCTTTAGTCTTCCCTTTCTCCTCTAACCATTTGGAAGTTATTTTGTGTTTTTAATATTTTAGTGTTTACCCTTAATTTTAACGTGCATCTTAACTAAACATATACTTAAGTTATGTTATATGTCTGGACTCCTCCTGAAAAATGCAAGGACCTTGAGCTGCTTTAACCCTGGGATTCTCTCCTTTTGTCTCATGTGTTATTGTTGTCTACTATTTACTTTTGACTTTGTTTTTATTTCAAATTAATCAACAGGGTTTAATTGATTAATTGATTTATTACTGACTTGCAAATGCTGGATTGGATGTGCCCACTTTTTAAAGTTCAATTTCCTTGTTTTCTATTCTTTCTAGACCCTTTGTTTTGATTTTAATTTCCTTCTAGAAGAAACACATATGTTAGCAATTTTTTTTCAGTGACAATCTGTTAGTGGTAAATTCTTTCAGGTTCCTCCCTTTTAAAAAAGTCTTTAGCTCGGCCTCAGGTCTCCACCTGTCTTCTGTTAGCCTCATCCTCTCTGCACCTACTGGCAAAGATGTCTGCAAACTTGCATTGTCTTCACAGCTGATGATTGCAGAACACCTGTTTCCTGATTATTTTTCTGACCAGGCTTTGATTACTTGGCTCAAGTCACAAGCTTATCTCTCAACCCATCACTTAGCCCGAGATGGAAATGTCCCGGTTGGCCACAGCTAGGTGACCTGTCTTCTGAAGCCTAGGGATGAGGGTAGTGCCATCAGAACAACATGGCTGAGCGTGATGGAGAGGTGGCCCTCCAAGGAGCTGCTGGGGTGACCACAACATCTGCCCACTGGGATGATCACATCAGATACGGCTAACATAACAGGGCAATAGTTTTGTTGCAAGTGTCTTCCCTAAAAGTAAATGAACAGTTTAGTATTGAGTTAGACAAGCATTGGAATCCACAAAAAAAGAACACCAAAGTGTGAATTCCGTGCCCATTCCCTGCTACCTCCCCAGTCATCCATCCAAGTGGAGGAAGCCCATGAGGGTTTGAGACAGCAGGTGGCTCCACTTCTTGAACATCAGGAGAGAACATGCAGGAGAGAACCTTCAGGGAGGAGTCCAGTCAGCTGACTACCGTGGGCCCTCGGAATGCACTGCAGTGTTGGAGCAGCAGCCAAGAGTGAGCACGGAGTGATCCCTAGGGCTGGCCATTTCTACCCAGTGATGGTTTCCTTTCCAGGCCATCTTTGTCCTAGGGCACCTCACTGGGCTGAGTATACCTTCTCACAGATGCACTGCAGTTTGAGGCTCTTCTTACCTGATTTTCTTTCTTCTCCTCTCTGCCTTAATAGATGTCACACCTGAGGCGTGGGCTGAAGTCTCCTTCTACCTACATCTGCTCTTTCTACCCTTTAACTCAAGCTACTTTTCCCTCCAATAAATCTCTCACACTGCTAACTCTGTTTTGGTGTCTCCTTCCTGGAGGACCTGAACTGACATAGGACCTCTCTTAGCAGCCGCCCATTTTCTTCCTTTTCCTTTCTCTTTTTTCCTCTTTTTAAAAGTCCTTGCCTTTACTCCATTTTTTCACTCTCTGTTCTTCCTTTTCTACCTATGAATTACACAAAATGCAATAACTGATCTTATGAGAGGAGAGACGTATGGCTCAATGCATGCTAAAAAATTTCCTCTTGAAAGTTGTTATTATTCAATATTCTCTAGAGAAACAGAACCATTAGGGTGTGTGTGTGTGTGTGTGTGTGTGTGGAGAGAGAGAGAGAGAGAAAGTGAGAGAAAGATGTATTTTAAGGAACTGGTTCATGCAACCATAAAAGCTAGCAAGTTCAAAATCTGCAGAATAAATGAGCAGGCTGGAGATACAGGGAAGCGCTGAGGTTGCAGCTGAAGTCTGAAGGCAGCCTGAAGGTAAAACCCTCTCTTTCTTGGGGGAATCCTCAATCTGTTTTCTTTTAATGCCTCCCACTGATTGGGTGAGGCCCACTCACATGATAAAGGGTAATGTACCGGAGTCTACTGATTTAAATGTTCATTTCATCTAAAAATAACTTTACAGCAACATTCATACTGGTGTTTGACCAAAAGTCTGGATACCATGGTCTAGCAAGGTTGGTATATAGAATTAACTATCATGGAGGCTTGGAGGTCTCTCGTAGAGCAGGAGCACAGTCAGACTTGGAGTAGAGGGGCAGTAGAAATGCAGAGAGTGGGGGGACATTCAAGGCACCTCTGCAGGGTCCTGGAAAGAGTGGGGTGTGGGGGCCTTGGAGGTGGGGGTGAGTGGGCTGTTCTCTCCAATCTCATCTGACTTCTGTTTTCTCTTGGTGGGAGTCATTGTGAGAACAGTGACTATGGGATCTGTCTTTGTGGCTGTGGTAAGAGCAGCACCAATGGATGGTCAGGAAGAGGCCAAACTGGAGCTTCAGATGCCAACAGGCCTTTTCACTGCCAATTAGAGAAATTCTTGAAATGAGGCTTGACACCATCACACCCAGAGCTGATGTGCAATTGGGTACTTGGGTTGGCAGGGAGCAAAGAGGTGATTTCCAAGGTCAAGGGAGGTCGGTGAAGATCCAGATACTTTCACTCAGGTCAACAGCCTGAGATTTCTTCACAGACCCACTGTTCTAACCCAACTGCTGTGGAACATGGACAGACAGCTGGGAAGGCACCAGAGTCTGTGATGGGGGGCCTCCAGTTTGTGATAGTCCTTGCGAGCAAAACACCATCAGCCCATCCCTCCAGGAGGCTGGGTAGCTCATGGCATCTGGAGAGCTGAGCATTGCAAGAATAATTCTACAGTTACTTTTTTTTTTTTTTAAAGAGACAGGGTCTTGCTCTGTTGCCCAGGCTAGAATTCAATGGCACAATCATAGCTCACTATAACCTCAAACTCCTGATGTCAAGCAATCCTTCTGCCTCAGCCTCCCAAAGTGCTAGGATTACAGGCCTGAGCCACAGCATCTCACCTGGCCCCCAACAGCTACTTGTCTTCTCAGTTGGGTTACCCCACTGGGAGCAAGGTGAGAAAACCATTAAACTGTAGGAAAATGGTTCTAGCCAGGGATCAGCCTCCAAAAATTTATTTCTGATCCCTGCTCTCATCATCCTACAATGGTCTTCCCCTCCTCTCCACAGATCTTTGCACATCCCCACTTCAGTCCTGCTCAGAGTCACCTGTTCTGAGAAGCCTTCTTCATTCCACACCTTCTGGGAAATCCCACGTGACCCTTTCTTGGTTCAAGCCCTGGCCTGCCCTCTTCTTTCATCTCTTTTTCTGGCACCAAGACTCAGGATTCAACCTGTTTCTCTACTGCTTTGTAGCCGCCACACTCTAGTGGTCCTTTGGGGTTTTCTCCTCTAAAGATGGAGGGGTGTTCAAGGTAGAGAGTTTCCCAGAAAATGGGAAGAGGAAAGGGGTTGAGGGGAGTTTGGAGGTTTCATGATGGGTGGGGCTCCGTGTCCAAGTCCTGCAGAGGGGTGCAGCTGTCTGTAGAGACTGGCCTGAGAACCTGGGCTTCCAAACTTGGCAAAAGTCCCTGAAGCCAGGCTTGAGGTGATCTTGAATTGTGAGCACATCAAAAGAAGCACCTGGAGGAGAGATCAGTGAGGATTTCTTGGATGCTAGGGACATAAGCCTCCCAGGACCCTCATGTGACCTAAAAGGAGGGGTATAGGAAGAGGATCCCATTGGGGACTGCAATTGAATTCCCTGCTGCTCAGTGGGATAGTTGCTTAAAGCAGATTAAAATTTGATTTAGCAACGTGACATTCCTTATTCCTCATCCTTACAATGTCTGCAATTTACTTTTAGATACTTTAGTATCACAGTGTGATTTCTTATATGTGCCAATTAGTTTAAACCACACCCTAGGTGCAGTCAGTTACCATAAATCAGGAATTCACCTCCCAGGAGTGGCCAGCAAGTAATCTAATTCAGAAAGCTCATCTTATGGAAATGGCTATGACAATCTCTGTTGTTACCTTTTTCCTTTATCAATAACAGGGAATATGCTAATTAGTGCAATGAGTTTAGAAATGAGTTTTCATTGGTATTATATGTGGCTTACTAATTAGCATGATAGATGTTAGAAAAAGACTCTTATTGGCAAAATTAGTCTACTCTACTCACAGTATGTGGATTATCTAAATATTTTAGAGAAAACTCTCCAAACTTGTAAGGACCAAGTCTGGGAATCTAGCAAGCCCTGGAGCCTGTGTTTTTGAACTGGTGCCTCATGCTTGATCTTTAAAGGGTCCTCCCACAGCTAGGTTGATGTTTCTGGTTGCCTGATACTAATAGAAGGGAAACCTAATTCTGACTTGTAGATTATTTTGGCATGCAAAATGGTTCACATAATGGACAGAGAGCAAGGTTCTTCATTGAACTTATAGAACCAGTTGGATGAAAAGTTTTTGCCTTCTTACTAATAGATGCTTGTTTAATACATGACTGTATGTGTAGCACTTTATTAATGTGGGCTTTCCAGGGAAACACAACCAATAGTATGTGTGTCTGTGTATGTATGCATGTAAGTATGTATGTATGTATGTATCTATCTATCTATTCATCCATCTATCTATCTTTGTTTGTACTGCTATAACAAAATATCTGAGACTGGGTAATGTATAAAGAAAGAAATCGATTTCTTACAGTTCTGGAGGCTGGGAAGTCATAAATCAAGGCATTGGCATCTGGTGTCTGGTGAGGACCTTCTTGCTGTATCCTCACATGGTGGAACACAGAAGGGCAAAATCGGGTGAACTGTCTTCATTATACCCTCTTATAAGGGCACATAATCTTATTCAACTGAGGTGACTCAATCACTTCCTAAAGGTCATACTTCCCAATACTGGTAGATTAGGTTAAATTTCAACATGAATTTTGGAAGGGACAAAAACATTTAAATTATAACTGTCTTGCTTTCTCTGTCTGTCTATCTATCTGTCTATCTATCTATCTATCTATCTATCTATCTATCTATCTATCTAATCTATCTATCTATCTGTCTACCTACCTTTCTGTTGATCTATGGATTTATTTTAAGGAATTTGTTAGTAGAGTTGAGGAAGCCATCAAGTCT
This sequence comes from Homo sapiens, assembly GCF_000001405.40. NCBI lineage: Eukaryota > Metazoa > Chordata > Mammalia > Primates > Hominidae > Homo > Homo sapiens. Next base: position 125,721,544 of record NC_000008.11, read on the forward strand.
GAAATCCTTGGGGCAGCCTGGCAAACTGGAGTCCCAGGGAAGAGTTGATTCTGCAGCTCTAGTTTAAAGACAGTCTCTAGACAGAATTCCTTCTTCCTAGGGGGACCTTAGTCTGTTTTCTCTTAAGGCCTTCAACTGTTTGGATGTAGCCCACTCACATTAAGAAGAAAAATGTGCTCTTCCCAAAGTCTACTGATTTAAATGTTAATCTCATCTAAAAATATCTTCGCACCAACATCCAGACTGGTGTTTGACCCAATATATGGATCCCGTGGCTTAACCAAGCTGACACATAACATGAGTCATCACAAGAACTATCTAATCTGAGCCCTGCTTTCATATATCCTGGTGGTGAATGTGTAGGGGAGTAGCTTAATCTGCCTTGATCTTTAACCTTTGGTAATTTCTGAGCTATTATTATTTACTGAAAAAAGCCTAATAGTTGTGCATTTCTAAATTGGCTTCCAGTATCCAGGTGTAAGCTATCAGTTTACAGCATCCAGGTGGTGGAATAAGATACATGCCCAAATGCAGTCAGGATCTCATTGAATCTTCACCATGACTCTGTGTAGTTATAATTTTGATTTTCAGTTGAAAAACCCAAGGTTCTGGTAAATTGTGACTTGCCCAAGACTACGCAACTTTTAATTAGCCAAGCAGACACTTTTCCCCATGATACTAGGATGCTTCCTCAGCTAGGTTTCACAATCCTTATCCTACTTTATGAGAAGATTAAAGTCTGGGGCTCTGGGCTTTGTCAGAAAAGGAAGTAAGCCACTGCCTGGTGGTGCTGTGCTTCCTCACTCTGAGAATTGTCCAGTGTACCTCTGATGGGCTTTTCTAATGTATCGTGGACTCTACTAAGGCTGGCTGTGGCCTACCTTAGACCACTAATGGTATCTACTTTGGTTAGCTTTTAAAAAACACTGGTATTTCGGCCCTACTTTAAACCCATTAAATCAGAATCTTTGGGAGTTGAGCTCAGGCATTGAGATATTTTAAAACACACCTAAATGATTCTAAGGTGCAGATGGAGTTGAGACCCGCTATTGTATTTCTGCAAACTTTCTGTAAAAGGTAAACGGTAAATACTTTGGCCTTACAGGCTGTACACTGTGTTGCAACTACTCAACTCTGTCCTTTTGTAGAAGAGCATCCATGCAAGCCAATGAGCATGCTGTGTTCCAGTAGAACCTTATTGGAACCTTACTTGGATATTTGAATTTTATATAATTTTCACGTGTCACAAATTAGTATTCTTATTTTGATTTTTTCCTCGCTGATTTAAAAATGGGAAAATCATTCTTAGCTTGTGGGTCATACCAAAACAAGAGTGGGCTGATTTGGCACATGCCATATTTTGCTCACCCCTGGTCTATACTGTTGCCATCTCCATCAAAATTTCCCTATTTTGTCTCTCATTCTCCAAGCATCCTACTTATTTCCAGGTGTCAATTAAAATATTTAATAAAACAATCTGTTCTGGTAACTCAAGACTCATATCAGCTTCCTCTGAAAATGTGCATTTTAACTGGTGAGAATTTCTTTCTCAAAAAATGTTATAATGATCAATTTTTTTGGTGCGGGGGTTGGGGAATTGAAGGAGTTCAAGGTGTCACTCTAAAATATGCCACTTTGGAATATTGATGACTTTGACCTGAAGAAACTTGGGAAGCAACAAGCACAGGGAGAAGCTTTTTTCTGATCTCTCCTTAACTGCCTAAAGACAGACAGTTCAAAAAAACCTCAGTTGTCATCAATCTGCTTCCCAGTAGTTTCATCAACCAGGGAAGATTAACTTGTATCACAAGAGAGGAGGCTAGAAGTCAACCTCCCCACCCAGACAGATCTTGTTACAACTTTCCTATCTCCTATTTGTTCTCCTAAGGGCCCACTTACCTTTCCTTAAAATTGTTTATGCTCCCCTAAGTTCCTACATCTCCACTCCACTCTCTTCTATGAAGAGGGTATATAAGCTACCAAATCTCACTGATTTTGGGGGTTATTTGCTTTTTTTTCCTGTGATGCCTTCATACACACAATACATTTGTATATCTATTTTCCTGTTAACCTATTTCTTGTTTGTTTTATAGACCCAGGTTTTGAACCTCAGAGGTAGAAGGAAAGTCATTCCCTCCCCAACTTTTTGTTGGGACATTCTTTTGTCTGGAAGAGGGTTTTGGCACAGGTTGAGTATCTGATCTAAAATGCTTGGGACCAGAAGTGTTTTGGATTTTGGAATGTTTGCATTATATTCATTAGTTGAGCATCTCAAATCTGAAAATCCAAAAATCAGAAATGCTCCAGTGAGCACTTCCTTCAAGAGTCATGTTGGCACTCAAACAGTTTCAAATTTTGGAGCATTTTGGATTCTGGATTTTCATATTTGGGATATTCAACCTATAAGGTATCACAGAACCGTAGACATATAAAGGAGTAGAGCTAGAAGTCACCTGAGATTGTCTCTTTCTAAACAGAAATACACACTTATTAAACAATCTTGGAGCTACACATCTCTGCTAATAATAAAAATGTTTCAGCAAATGGCAGAGTGTTGTCTTTGGTGCTTTCTAAATCAAGACTTCTGCCTTGAAACAGCCTTTCCAGCTCCCTAAACCCTAGGAAATTCTATTTTCCCCTGTAAGCTAAGGGCAGGAGTCAATCCCTTAGGACACCTGACTCTTCTCTCCTCCCAAGATAATTAATTCTTCCCATGGGTTGCCCTGAACCCATCATTTTCCATTTCTGATTCCATTTTATTGGTAAAATGAATCAATGAATCTATTTGCCCTTATCTCTGTCTCCTGCTAGATGCCTAGCATCTTGAGGGCTATCTTATTTATTTCCACATGCCAGAGTCTGTTGTATAGCAGGTGCTTAATAGTTGTGTTAAATTAATTTATTCATTCAACAGATATTTTTAAGCCCGACTATGTACCAGGCACTATTCTATATAGTGAAAAAAAGACACAAATTTCTGTCATCCTAGATCTTCCTATGTAATGGGATAGGAGGTGGGTGACAGATGAGAAACCAAATATGTGAGCAAACTATGTAGAATGTTAGAAGGCAGTAAATGCTATGGAGATTTTTTTTTTCTTTGAGATGGAGTCTCACTCTGTCGCCCAGGCTGGAGTGCAGTGGTGCGATCTGGGCTCACTGCAGCCTCTGCCTCCTGGGTTCAAGCGATTCTCCTTCCTTAGCCTCCCAAGTAGCTGGGACTACAGGCGCACACCACCATGCCTGGCTAATTTTTGTATTTTTAGTAGAGATGGGGTTTCACCATGTTGGCCAGGCTGGTCTTGAACTTCCTGACCTCAAGTGATCTGCCCGCCTCAGCCTCCCAAAGTGCTGGGATTACAGGCGTGAGCCACTGCGCCCGGCCAATGGAAAAAAAATAATCAGGGCAGGGTGAGACAGGAAGTGTGGATGGGGTTGTAATTACAAGTAGGATTGTCAGCAAAGAGTAAACAGTGGTGAGGAGAGAGCCATGTTGCTATCCGGCGGGAGGAAAAGCTAGTGTGAAAGTCCCAGAGCTGGCATGTGTCTGGCATTTCCCAGAAATGGCACAAGGCCAGTGTGGCTGGAGCTGAGTACGCAAATCAAAGAAATAAATTTTATTGGATTGATTTGAAAGATGAAGAGAACATATTCCTTGCCCTCTGGAGACTTAGAGACTAAAAGGGCAACTGAGGCTTGGAGAGATGAATTATTTTCTCAGGATCATATAATACAGCTGGCTGGAGTTTAATCTGAAGTTCTGGGGGCAGACCGCAATTGCTGCCACAGAGCCCCTCCTGGCAGGTGCAGCCCACAGGAAGACCAGCACCCTGGCCACAGAGACAAAAGGTCTTATTGACTTGCAGTAAAAATGTCCTTATAACCTGTCCAGAACAAAAGGGGAGGATAAGGTTCAACCAGACACCGAATTCAGGGAGACAGCATCAGTCAGAGCTTTACCACTGCCAGCAATTTTGAAGCTGCCCATATTTCTGCTCAGGCAAGATGTTTTCTTGCTCTGAAACCTTTTAGCAGATGCAAGGTATTGCTCCGGGTGTATCCCAGAACACAAGTCTTTGCTAAAGTGGGTAGACAGCCACTTTCCTTCAGAGCCAGGGACTGCCCTGGGAGTAAAACCATTTGGAGAGCATTTTATATTTGCAAAATGTTGCTGTGACATGTTATCATTTATTCCTTTCAACAGCGCAGTGAGATTGGAGAGCATCCTCCGATGCACTGTACATTTGGGAGGAAGAGAAAGGATAAGAGCCCTGCTGATTCAGTGGTGGTCATTATCATTGTCAATGGAGCTGTCACTGTTATCGTCATTTTCGTTTGCGGTGAGGTATGTGAGAGGATAAGGCAGGGCTCCTGCCTGCAAGAAATTTACATTCTAGTTGGGTAGATTCATCCACGTATTCATTCACATTCACATATTTATTGCAGAGTGAATAATGCCTCACTCTGCAAGCTTTTATTAAACTCTTGTTATATTTTAGGTAATGATTGAGAGAGATTCACGTGTAGACTCCAAAAATGTCAGGCATGGTTCCTGCCTGTAAGAAGTGTTCAATCCAATTGGGAAGATATGTTCATTCATTCATTCCTTCCTTTTCATGTTTATTCAATAATGCCTTCATTCTACAAGCTCTTACTGAGGTCCTGTTACATACCAGATAATTATTGGAGATCCAAATGTTTACGACTGGCCTTGGGGCAAGTGTTAAGAGAAGGCTTCACAGAGAAGAGAAACTTTGCTTTGTCTTAAAGAATAAACAGAATTGTATATGGAGGGCAGAATAAAAAAGGGGATGCTTAGTTCAGGCCAACGGAGCAGAGGTGCCAAGAGGAAGAGGCAGGAAAAGGTGTGGCCTGTCCAGGAAAGGCTGGGAGTCTGGTGTGGCTGGAACCCTGGAGGCAAGGACGAGAGTGGCTGGAGGTGAGATGGGTGGCACCAGACTGGGGTGGATCTGTATACCATGCTAAACTGCAAGGCACTTTTTCTTCCAGGCAGCTAGGGGAAAGGAGTGACATGATTCCCTATGGGTCTTTAGGAAGACTATTCTGATTGCTAGGATGAGAAGGGCAGAGGGGCAAGTCCATGTGATCCCTCTGGCTACAGCACAGAGCAAGGTTCACAGTAGATGCAGTGTGATGGAAACAGACCCAGAAACATGACACCAGAATAATGTGGTAAGAGGTGAAGTTAGGTTTGGGAGTGGAGGGGAATGTTCCTTCCCCTGCCTGACATTCCCCTCCACATGGAGGGTGCTGCCTTTGAGAAACACCCCTGGCATGTGCCCCTGCTCTGCCCCAGGAACACCCCAGTTTCCTGAAACTGAATGAATAAGTCTAATCCTGGGCATTCTCCAATGTCAGTTTTTAGTCAGTAAATAGATGATGTACTTGTTCTTCACAAGTTGACTCTTTTGTCTTATTTCTGAATGAATTCAGAACTGGGCAGGGGAGGGAGGTATTATTATTGGAACTTCTCAAAGAGTTAAGAGAACAACCTTAATGCTGGCCTTCATGTTTTCAAGCCATTGAACTAATGCCAGCAACCACTTACCTTCAGATCGCTTGATATGTGAGCTAGGTAAAGGACTGCTTTATTTAATTCAGGACTGTACATCAGGCTTTCTGAGAAACTGAGTGAATAGGTTCCTAACTGATACAGGCAGGTCATGACACCATTAAAGCTAGGCCTCCAGAGAGGGTAGGGTTGAAGATTGGGGTTTGGGGGCCATCAGTGTTTAGATAGAAGTGGAAGTCATAATACTAGATATTGTGGGAGCACAGAGGAGGGGCCCCTAACATACACGGGGAGTTGAGGAAATCTTCCTGGAGGAATGATCATCTTAGCCATCTTGAAAAATGAAAACAGAACAAATATACTGGAGTAAGAGAGTGGGGATTTGGCGAGGACAGGATGGGATTGGGAAGGGCTGTAGTCAAGTGGCCAGAGCAGTGAGGAGTGTATACGTGCACATTTGTGTGTGTCTGTGTGTGCACATAAGGAATGGTTTCAGTAAAGACAAGAGAATAGAGAGGGAAGTGGGGGCCAGATACAGAGGGACTTTTCAATATTGTTAATCAGATGAGGAATGATACAGATTTGAATTAAGATCCTCACGGAGGAGACAGGAAGGAAATAATTGATTTGAGAGGGACTTCTGAACAGGAAGTGCAGAATGTGATAACTAATTGGGTGATGGGGTTGAGGGCAAGGATGTGGTCTCAGGAGAATGACAGATTTCAGGGCAGACATTGCTAACCTCTGTGACAATATTAAGGCCTGCTACCATCCTATCTTCCCAGCTAACAGCACCTCAAATGTGCATGGTGCATCTTGCAGTAAGGGCCGCTCTATTACTGGGTTCTGAATTCTCCAGGTGTTCTGGGATGCATCATGCTTTTCCTGATGAAATGGAAACAGACAGCAGGCAATGCTTCCACTCTCTTTCTTACTGCCTCATAGGCAGTAGCTGCATAAAACTTTGAAGCAATAAGCCAGATAGAAAATCAAGAGAACAGCCTTGATTCTGGCCTTGACGTCATCGAGCTATTGAATGAATGCTAGCAATCACTTACCTCCAGACAACCTGTTATGCGAAAAAGATAAAGCTCTGCTTATTTAATTCAGGACGGCACATCAGGCTTTCTGATAAACTGAGTGAATGCATTCCTAACTGATGTAAGAAGGTCATGACACCGTTAAATCTAGCCCCCCAGAAAAGATAGGGCTAAAGATTAGGGTTTGGGGAGCATCAGTGCTTAGACGGAAGTGGAAGTCATGAATGGAATACATATAGAGTGACAAGTGACAAATCCAGGGATGTCTGACTTTTTGAGAGTCAGAAGCCTGGGAAAAATTACCAAAGGAGGTCAAATGTGAATTCTATCACAGGGAACCTGATGGATGTCAGGACGTGTTCTCTCTGGGTTTCCTATCATTCATTCAACGCTCGTTTACTTAGGGACAATGCTTTTCTTGAGCACCAGTGCCCGTTTAAAAAATGGTCCTCCTGGGAATGGGGTTCTCTGATTTCTGAGATTGTCATCAAGCTTTTCCTTGTGTTGGGGAGAGGACCTGCTCCATTTCTAAATAAACCATCAGGCATGGGTCTGTGCAGATGATCCTTGTGGAATAGTGTACTGGGCACCGTGCAGTGTAGGAAATATTAGATGCCATTTGGCCTTAAGCAGTCCAAAAGTTCAACTGTGTGGAGTCCAGGAGTCTTTGAAAAAACCGTGGAGCATATACAAGTTCTACACCTGCCTTTGGAGATGTTATTTGAGTTTTCTCTATAGCTGGTAAAAGTGAGCAGATAGTGATGCTGCTAATAATTTTTCTTTATGGAGCACCCCAGCGGCTTCCTTTCCCTCCTGATGTTGAAGACATTAGGAGATGTGACTAGAGGGGAGGACCTGCAATAGAGATCTTCAGAGTTTTAGTTTTTAGTTCACCAGAGGCAGAGAAATGTTGTAGTTAGGAAACTCTAGCTGTGGCACCAACACTCCTGGACACAGGTTCTGAGACCTGAGCCCAGTTAAGGAGCCTCCTTTGTAAAGTGGGGATGATACTAACCTACATTATCATGCTGCTTGGCACAACAGCTTGGTAGTAATGGCCATTAAGCTCCATCCCTATTTCCTACAGCCTTCTGTGAAACACCTTTAACTGAAAGTTGGGAGTCTCAAATTCAAGCTTACCTTCAACAATCTGTTTGGTCTTTTGAAAGTCTCCTATCTCTCAGGGCCTCAGTTTCCCCCTTCGTAAAATGAGAGGTTTGACTCAGGAAATGATTTCTGCAGGTCCATTTGATTAGAACTGCTTCTTTGAATGTTGGTTTCAAATTCTGCAATTTATAGTTTTTCTTTTAGCCAGAAGGTGGTGCTATTGAGTCCTTGCTGTTATTACGAAGTGCTTCAAGTTCTGGGCAATCCAAATTGGCCTACCTTTGATGCTTTGAATGTAAACTTGTAGTTGAAGGGATCTCTTTGTGGGTCCTGACTATTAATCGCCCCCTGTCCTTTCCAAGCCCTGCCAACCCAGGCTTCAATCTGGTCCAGTGCTTTTCAACAAACTGGTCTGTTTCGTCTCAGCTCCAATGGCCTCAGTTCAGGGCCACAGGAGAGAGGTTGGGAGCCTCCAGACAATTCCAGGGCATGAGGATGGCAGGTGTCTGAGGTTTTGTTCCCAGGACTATGGCTGGTGCAGGTTACACCTGAGCTCAAGCCAGCTGAGAGCCTTGGAGAAACAGTGTTTGGCCTTGACTATGACTCCCAAGACCATTTCCTACTCTGCACCCCAGACCTCCATGTCCCCAAGTCCCTTTTACTCCTTGTCTATTGGAGCATCTTCTTATTATTTAAACTCTTGGGCCTGATTCTCCACCTACAATTAAAGGATCAGACTTCAGACTGTGGCCAAAAGTCTCATGTCACCCTAGATTTGGGTGGGTTTGAGGGTTTGGGTGTCACTGAGGCAACCACTGACGTGTTTTAGCTGTCTCTCCCCAGCAGCGGGCCCCAGCAGGCAGTCTCAGTGTCCTGCCACAAGAAGGGTGGACTTTTGATGGCATAGACCACACTGTTGCCTATCAGCAACAATCAATGTCACTTCCTCTTAGACACATAATATTAATAAGGATGGAGCTGCCGAAAAAACCAAAGTCATGTGAAAACCTGTGATCAAATCAGGAAGTGATTCTCACTCAGGGCCCAGTACCCAGGGTCCCTGCCTGTCTTGGTGCTGGTCTCTGAAACTCATCAGCTTCCCTCCCCTTCAGGAGATGTTCCCATCTTCCAGGTCCCTGCCCTGTGGGAAGTTTCTCCCCTCAAGCCCAGCTGAGGAACCTGCCATGGTCAAACCAAACTGTGTGTCCTTGCTCCCCACTGGGACGAATCCCAGGAACTTTGAGTTTCAGGTTTTTGCAGTGGGTCACTTAGGAGAATCAGATAACCGATGTCTTCAAAACAGTGAACATATCATAGGAGAGAGAGCATAAGCTCTGGAAATGCAGGGACAGGATCGGAGTCCCAGCTCTACTACCACTGCCTGGCACTGGAGCTGCCTACAGGTTATTTACTTGCTTGGCTATGCATCAGTTTCTTTATCAGTAAAATGGGTAATAGCACCTACCTCATAGGATTAGATGAGATAACTTTGAGTAAAGTAATGATTTTATTGAAAATTTACTCTGTTCTAGGTACTGTGTTAAGCACCTTATATAGCAGTGTTGTCCAATAAAAATATAATGTGAGCTACATATGTAACTTAAACATTTTTGTTTGAAACACTAACATTGTAAATTACCACATATTAATATAACATAACATGTCTGTTAACATTAACATAAAATTTTTATATTAATAATATGAAAAAACAGATGAAATTAATTTTAATAGTATATTTTATGTAACCCCATACATGGAAAACATTTGAACATGTGGCACCAACAAATGCTCAAAAGCTACATGTAGACAGTGGCTATCATTTATATTACATGTGTAATATGTATAACAAATGTGTACTATATATATTCATGTGTAATACATATAACAAATGTGTACTATATATATTTTACATTTTTATGCAATATTTTGAAAGTTCTGTAATTATTTGAGAAACACATCCAATAGAATGTTACAGTGATACTTAATACTTGTTCACCATTATGTGCCAAGAACCATGCTAAGTATTCATTTATATTAACTTAGTGAATTGTCATAAACATTCTGGGGATCAGGAACAGAGGGATGGGAAAAGTGATATGGAAGGAGGGAAAGCCAATCCCATGGGTGCATTCTTGAGCAGGTCACTGCTGCGGGCAGTTGTGTTGCCGCTATGGGCAACAGTTGGGATGCCGCCTTGAAATTGTTAACGGAAGACGTAGAAAACTGTGTTTTAGTTTTCATTCGTCATGTAGGGTCCTGGAGGTGCGATTGTGCTTGCACTTCTGGTTTGCACATGCACCAGAGTGGCTGACCAGACTCCAGCATGCAGCTCATAAGGTGAGAGGCCCCAGACAGAAAGCAAGAGATGCCTGCAGCAGAGGCAGGGTGCTATCACTAGTTGCTATGATAATGGCCGGAGCACAGTGGTGGCTGAGAGGATGAGAGATGGGGATCAAAGGTGTCTGACACATCGTGTTGCTGGTGTGCAGCCCGTGGGGTGGGTTGCCAGGGCGAGAGACGTGAGTGTGTCTATGGAGGAACTGGGAGATATTTTAGAGTGCATCTCTCACATTAGGAAATAGTGCAGTGGAGAGACCCCAGAGGGCTTCCTATGTGCACCCGTGGGACAGCGAGCATTGGAGTACCAACTACTTGGAGCTCATAGGTGGCCTACAATGATCCGTCAAGTAAAATAACTTTTTCCTTCCTCCCTGGAGAAGACATCTCCCTTCCCTGGAGACGGAGACGGGGGAGGGAAGGACGGAATGTAGCAGCCCCTCCTCTCTCCAATTTCTTCAGGACAAGATACAGTGAGCACTGAGAGGAGGGGGCAATGCGAAGGCCAAATTAAACAGGACACTGTGTCTTCAGGTGGACTGAGGAGGAGGCTTAACATAGCCACATTGAAGGCAACAATTAGAGTAAATGTTTCATGTTTATACTTCACCAAGTTTAGAATGTTCAAACAAGGGCCACATTGTTATTTAGCTATTTATCTCATAAGACAACTGAATTAGCAATACTTCCTTTACTTGGTAGGAGACTCCTTGGTTTGGGTACTGTCAGGTATGCATGCCACCTGCAATGTTAAGAGTATTTTATGATGGTAGTGTTAGCCTCCAATGCCCTCAGGAGCCAGACAGACGCTGGAGTGCCTCCTATGTGTGAAGGAAGCAGACCTGATTGGGGCTGATGAACCAGAGATCCACATCCTATTTAAAGGAGTGCAGGCACTGTTCTGCTCCAGCATGTGGCCTTGCAGAAACAGCAAGGTAAAGAATTGGGATTGTTGGACATGTATGCAAAACACCTGGCTTAATTGCTCTTCCTCCTCCTTCCTGGTATTGGAGGAATTAATGCCATCAATTCTTTACCCTTCTCTGTATCCAGCTCTTTTTCATGTAATTTTGCAATGTCCTTCCACTGTGGTCAGCCACACTTCCTCACTTCTTGTCTCTGGGCTCGTCTCATTCTTAGGGCTTGTTTTGTCCAATGGCTTGTTAGTGAGTGAGCACAGATGGAGGCTTGGGATGCACTTGAGTGACTGGGCTTGTCTATTTCCTTGCACCTCTGCCATTACCACAAGGGGAACATGCTTGAGCTAACAGCTGATCCCAGTAGGGGAAGGAGAGAGGCCTGCAGACCTGAGCCACACCAGCCAAACTCATTCTCCATCAGCCCGCCCTCAGCTGGCCTAAAGATTGCAAGTGTACATGATGGCTGTTGTAAGCTCCTGGGTGCAGCAGACACTGATAATGTGGCACTCTTTCTTGCTGAGCCTCAAGATGGCCCCAGATTCTTCTCCTGCACAGCAATCCAGGCAGCCACTATTATTCTGTGAGTGAACTGTGTGCCAGGCCTGCAAATAAATAAACTGTTTGCCAGGCCTGCAGAGGGGACGGGGAGCCTGGGACAGTGAGCTTGGGACGGCTGGCCTGGGTGTTTGGGTGTGCTCTTGGTGCCCCTGGGTGCCCCCTTTTCCTTTCTTTGTTCTGTCTGTGCTTGTTCCCAGAGAGTAGGCGGCTCAGCCACACGGAGCTGTTCGCCACTGACAGGGCATCTGATGCAGTCTGTTTGGTCCCTTTTCTTAGTATTTGTACTCTGGGCTTTTTACAACTTCAAAGAGCTTCTCACCCATATTCACTAATTAATTCATTACTCCTGTGAGTAAAACCTGAAGCAGTGAGAAGAGAATGTCATTAGCAAGAATACCAGAGGCTCATTATTTAAAAGAGGTTGCCCAAAGCCAGGCTCCCTCCGACTGAGCAGTTAACCTGTTTGCCGCTGACAGGGGCTCAGCAGGGAATGTGTATCAGGGTGGGGACCCATTAGGTGCTCAGCAGTCACTAAGCACCTACTGTGTGTTCAGCTAGCTAGGTGCCATGGGATATAAGAAGTTGTAAAGTGTGGCTTCTAACCACAAAGACCTCCAGTCTAGTGAAAATAGGGGCTTTGGAGTCATGTAGACCTGGGTTTGAATTCTGGCAATTTATAAGCCGTGTGACCTTGTGCTAAGTCCCGCTAAGCTTCAGCTTCCACATCTGTAAAATGGGATGCTAATGCCTCTTTAGGGTCTAAGTGAGGATAACGAACATAATGCAAATGAAAGCTCCAGTCAAGGGCCTGGCACACAGTGAGCACTCCATAAACCATAGCTATTACTGATCTCACCCAGACAATGGCTTCCTGCACCTCTCTCATGTTCCATGCCTAGAGGACAGAGCGGTGGAAGAAAGAGGGCTGGCAGAAGGTGGAAGTTTGGGGGACACCCTTATATCACAGAGAAGATGAAGAAGAGGGAAGAGAGAAGGAAATAGAAGGGCTAAAGAGGTAGGAGGGAAACCAGGAGGATGCAATGCAAGTACACAGAGGCCAAGGGACAGCTTCAGGATTGGTGAGGGAGGAATGTGGCTGTCATCCATGTCCTGTGCTAAGGAGAGATAGAGCGGGATGTTGAACGAGAACATTCACTCATTCAATCACCCATTCAATCACTCAATAGTTATTAAGTGCCTGGAATGGACATGAAAATGCTCCACCCAGCTGTCCATCAGAGGGGGTTGTGACTGGCAGCCCAGCCTCTGACCTTCTGAATGGCTCATGCATTGTGCCAGGACACATGTCTCCTGGGGCACATTTCCCAGCCAGTGGTTGAATATGGCTCTCTATTCTTGTGGTATGTGGGACTTCTCTACTGGACCCTGCAGTGGGCAGGCTGAGACTTTCCTAGAACTGTGCTGCAGTCTAAGACTCTGCCTACTCAGCCCTCTCCCTTCCCCTCTTCCTGCTCAGCTATCAGAGCTCATTAAGACCCCTTTATCTTTCATAGGTGGCGCCCATACATCTCTTGCTCTTTTACCTATATCTTGGCATTGGTTTCTTCCATGATCCAAACTAATACAAACTCATACAGTGCCTAAGGAGTGCCATGCATTGCATTATGCCCTGGTGATAGTGACAGGAGGCAGTCAAATGCCTAGGCAGATGGGGTGGGTTCCCAGTAAAACCCCACCTTCAAGCCAAAAACAGCCTGAAGGCTGAAAGACCAGACTGCTGGTCCCAGATGAAACCCACTATCTAGAGTGAGAACTTCGGTTCCTGTTTGCCCACCCTTTCTGATTGGTTCTTTCTTTCCTTTTTTTTTTTTTTTTTGAGATGGAGTCTCGCTCTGTTGCCCAGGCTGGAGTGCAGTGGCGCGATATTGGCTCACTGCAAGCTCCGCCTCCCAGGTTCACGCCATTCTCTTGCCTCAGCCTGCTGAGTAGTTGGGACTACTGGCACCCGCCACCACGCCTGGCTAATTTTTTTTTTTTTTTTTTGTATTTTTAGTAGAGACAGGGTTTCACCATGTTAGCCAGGATGGTCTCGATCTCCTGACTTTGTGATCCACCTGCCTCAGCCTCCCAAAGTGCTGGGATTACAGGCATGAGCCACCGTGCCCAGCCTTGATTGGTTCTTTCTTAATAATGCCTTTTAACCAGTTGAATGTTGCCTTTTCCAGTACTACCTATGGCCTGTCCTTCCCTGATTCTGAGCCCATAAAAGCCCTGGACTCAGTCCTATCAGGGGGACTTCCCTGCCTTTGGGTAGGGGGACCACCCCCGTGTTCCCTCTGTGCTGAAAGCTGTTTCATCACTCAATAAAACCCCCTGTCTTGCTCATTCTTTGATTGTCAGTGCATCCTCATTCTTCTTGGGTGGGGGACAAGAACTTGGGAACTGGTGCACAAGCCAGACTTGGCCCAGGAAGGCTGAGTGGGCGGGCTGTCTCCTATAGCAGGTAGCGTAGCTGAGCAAGGCCCAGGTCTCACCAGTTGGAGATCCTGATTTGCAAAGTGATTGAGAAGAAAATCCTGTGTCACTGGGTAGTGTAGTGGTGACCAAGACAAACATTCTTAGCATCACACAGCTGGCAGTGAAGGAGGTAAAGATGACAGGGAATAAATAGGTAAACCAAAAAGTGCTAATTTTAAACAGTAAAACTTGCCACATACACACAAATGAAATAAAAAAGGCAGGCTACTTTAGACTGGGTGTAAGGGAGGGTCATTGACATAGTCATATTTGACTTGAGACCAGAAAGTTGAAGCGGCAACTATGCAAGCAATGGAGTCAGGGTGTGTGATGGTTAATTTTGTCTGTCAACTTGGCTGGGCCACAGTGCCCAGATGTGTGGCATATGTTCAGGGATATTTTTGTGAGGGTGCTTTTGGGTGTGATTAACATTTATTTTATTATTTATTAGTGCATTTTTGTTAAAAATTTTAAGTAAAAGTCTATCCAAATGAAAGACTAATCCAGGTGGTAGAAATTTTAGAGAGAGATAAAACTAAGAGTCCACAAAGATTTGGAGAAATGACTACTCACATGTGCTGCTATAGGAGCATGAATTAGTGTCATCATTTTGGAAAAAGTTTGGCATTATTAATGACAATGAAAGATATGTCCCCTTCTAACAATCTACTCAACAGAAATGAGTGCTGACATTATTCCAAAACCATTGACAAAAATGCTGCAACCACCATTACTTGTGATAGCTGCAACTTTTTTTTATATTCTTGACCATTTTATATACTTTATTGAAGGAAATAAAGACATGCATTAGCAAATTTTTAACTTTTATAGCCAACACTTTGTTCTTCCACCTGATTTTTTTTTATTTCAATAGGTTTTTGGGGAACAGGAGGTATTAGGTTACACTGATAAGTTCTTTTGTGGTGATTTCTGAGATTTGGTGCACCCATCACCCGATCAGTGTACACTGTACCCAGTGTGTATTCTTTTATCCCTCACCCTCCTCCCACCCTACCTTCCCAAGTCCCAGAGATTAACATTCAAATCAGTGGACTTTGAGTAAAGCAGATGGCCCTCCATGATGTGAGTGGGCCTCATCCAATCAGTTGAAGGCCTGAGGAGAAAGAACAAAAGACTGACCTCCCTTGAGCAAGAGTGAATT
The DNA here is from genome assembly GCF_000001405.40 of Homo sapiens. Classification (NCBI taxonomy): domain Eukaryota; kingdom Metazoa; phylum Chordata; class Mammalia; order Primates; family Hominidae; genus Homo; species Homo sapiens. The sequence goes on from NC_000008.11 coordinate 125,736,679, forward strand.
CCAGCTCTCCTGGGTCTCCAGCCTGAGAGCCCCCCTGCAGGTTTTGGACTTGTCAGCTTTCATAATCACATGTAACAATTCTTTAAGTACATCTCTTTCCATATACATGCTTATCCTGTTGGTTCTGTGTCTCAGGAGAACCCTGACTAATACAGGGGGGGAGAATATTCTGGGCAGAGAGAACAGCAACTCTTGAAATAGGAAATGAGCCTTCAAGTCAACATGAAGGCTGGTGTGGCTAGGACTGGGTGGAGGAGGGGGCACCGGACAGATGAGGCCTCATGGAAAGAAGCTATGGGAATAGACCACTGCACTGTTGTTGGTGACCTGGGAGAGGACTGCCAGTCCAGTAGTGAGGGCAGAAGCCGGGTGCCACGGCATGAAGATGCAGGTGGGTGGTGAGGAAGGTGGAGCTGCTCTGGAGATAACTCTTTAAGGGTTTTAGTGTTTACAGAATGAAAAGAAGCACATGAGGGGGATTTTAAAGAAAGAGAATCTTACTCATGAGTATGGCAGACTAATGAGAGAGACTGACATGGGAAGATAATTGGTGACAGGACATTCCTGACATTGGTGAGTGGAAGGTTAGGGCATTGTAGTGGGTTGAATGGTGCTTGCCCAAATGTATCCACATCCCAATTCCCAGACTCTCTGAATGTGACCTTATGTGGGAAAGGAGTCTTTGCAGGTATAATTAAAGATCTTGATATGAGATCATCTTGGATTACCTGATAAGGTTCTAAACCCAGTAAGAAGCGTTTTTTCTGTTTGTTTGTTTGAGACAGGGTCTCACTCTGTTGACCAGACTGGAATACAGTGGTACAATCTTGGCTCACTGCAGCCTTGACCTCCTGGGCTCAAGTGATCTTCCCACTTCAGCCTCCCGAGTAGCTGGGATTACAGGTGCATAGTGACACACCTGGCTAATTTTTAAAATTTTTGTAGAGATGGGTTCTCACTATGCTGCCCAGGCTGGCCTCGAACTCCTGGGTTCAAGTGATCCACTCGCCTCTGCCTCTCAAAGTGCTGGGATCACAGGCCTGTGCTACCGCACCCACAAGCATTTTTAAAATCCAGAGACACATGAAGAGCAACTTAACGGTGGAAGCAGAGATTGAGTGATGCTTTCAAAGAAGCCAAGAATTGCTGGGAGCCACCAGAGCCTCTGGAGAGAGCACAGCCCTGCTGACAACTTAGTTTAGGACTTCCAGACTTCAGAGCACTGACAAAATACATTTCTGTTGTTCTAGAGCACCAAGTGGTAATATGTTATGGTGGCCCAAGGAAACTCATACAGTCATGACCAACCCAAAATGACATTCCTTCCTCCAAAAGTGTGGAGTTGTCACCAGTCTGGGGACCATGCTCTGCCCTGGAATATCTCATTTACTGTTGGCTCTGTTCCCACTCTTGTTTTTGAACATTCTACATGTTTCCATTTTAGGAGGTCAAGTGGTGCAGGGAAATGACATGGCCTTGGGAGGCAGGCATACTGGATTTTGAAACACAGCCTCTCCATACTCCTGCTGTGTGATCTCTGAGCCTCAGTCTTTATCAGGTATCCTTGAGGACTGAAGGTTCTAATCTACATAAAATACTTACCATGGGCCCTGGGACCTGGTATGTGCTGGACAAATGTCCCTTCACTTATCTCAACTTGGGAATCTGTTAAGGCCAGAAACTGGGTGATATTCATCTTTGCACCCTTTTAAGAGTTCCTGGATGTAATAAATTCACAATGAATTTTTTTGATTTGTTGCTGGCTGATTGGTGGTAGAAGTATCTATCTATTGGGTAATTGCTGTATGGTAGACATTCATCTCAGTATATAAATGACTTACTTAATTCTTCAAGCAATTCCAAGATACAGGTTTTATTCTGTTTGTTTTACAGGCGAGAAAAAATAGGTGAAGCCAGATGTGGTTCCTGGGTTGGCTATCTCATTCTGATCAGGAGACCCCTTAGTCAAGAACATTGAATCCATCTATGTTCTTTTTTTTATTTATTTATTTTTTATTTTATTATTATTATACTTTAAGTTTTAGGGTACATGTGCACAATGTGCAGGTTAGTTACATATGTATACATGTGCCATGCTGGTGTGCTGCACCCATTAACTCGTCATTTAGCATTAGGTATATCTCCTAAAGCTATCCCCCCCTCCCCCCACCCCACAACAGTCCCCAGAGTGTGATGTTCCCCTTCCTGTGTGCATGTGTTCTCATTGTTCAATTCCCACCTATGAGTGAGAATATGTGGTGTTTGGTTTTTTGTTCTTGTGATAGTTTACTGAGAATGATGATTTCCTATTTCATCCATGTCCCTACAAAGGACATGAACTCATCATTTTTTATGGTTGCATAGTATTCCATGGTGTATATGTGCCACATTTTCTTAATCCAGTCTATCATTGTTGGACATTTGGGTTGGTTCCAAGTCTTTGCTATTGTGAATAGTGCCACAATAAACATACATGTGCATGTGTCTTTATAGCAGCATGATTTATAATCCTTTGGGTATATACCCAGTAATGGGATGGCTGGGTCAAATGGTATTTCTAGCTCTAGATCCCTGAGGAATCGCCACACTGACTTCCACTAGGGTTGAACTAGTTTACAGTCCCACCAACAGTGTAAAAGTGTTCCTATTTCTCCACATCCTCTCCAGCACCTGTTGTTTCCTGACTTTTTAATGATTGCCATTCTAACTGGCATGAGATGGTATCTCACTGTGGTTTTGATTTGCATTTCTCTGATGGCCAGTGATGGTGAGCATTTTTTCATGTGTTTTTTGGCTGCATAAATGTCTTCTTTTGAGAAGTGTCTGTTCATGTCCTTTGCCCACTTTTTGATGGGGTTGTTCATTTTTTTCTTGTAAATTTGTTTGTGTTCATTGTAGATTCTAGATATTAGCCCTTTGTCAGATGAGTAGGTTGTGAAAATTTTCTCCCATTTTGTAGGTTGCCTGTTCACTCTGATGGTAATTTCTTTTGCTGTGCAGAAGCTCTTTAGTTTAATTAGATCCCATTTGTCAATTTTGGCTTTTGTTGCCATTGCTTTTGGTGTTTTAGACATGAAGTCCTTGCCCATGCCTATGTCCTGAATGGTAATGCCTAGGTTTTCTTCTAGGGTTTTTATGGTTTTAGGTCTAATGTTTAAGTCTTTAATCCATCTTGAATTAATTTTTCTATAAGGTGTAAGGAAGGGATCCAGTTTCAGCTTTCTACATATGGCTAGCCAGTTTTCCCAGCACCATTTATTAACTAGAGAATCCTTTCCCCATTGCTTGTTTTTCTCAGGTTTGTCAAAGATCAGATAGTTGTAGATATGCGGCGTTATTTCTGGGGGCTCTGTTCTGTTCCATTGATCTATATCTCTGTTTTGGTACCAGTACCATGCTGTTTTGGTTACTGTAGGCTTGTAGTAGAGTTTGAAGTCAGGTAGCGTGATGCCTCCAGCTTTGTTCTTTTGGCTTAGGATTGACTTGGTGATGAGGGCTCTTTTTTGGTTCCATATGAACTTTAAAGTAGTTTTTTCCAATTCTGTGAAGAAAGTCATTGGTAGCTTGATGGGGATGGCATTGAATCTATAAATTACCTTGGGCAGTATGGCCATTTTCATGATATTGATTCTTCCTACCCATGAGCATGGAATGTTCTTCCATTTCTTTGTATCCTCTTTTATTTCATTGAGCAGTGGTTTGTAGTTCTCCTTGAAGAGGTCCTTCACGTCCCATGTAAGTTGGGTTCCTAGGTATTTTATTCTCTTTGAAGCAATTGTGAATGGGAGTTCACTCATGATTTGGCTCTCTGTTTGTCTGTTATTAGTGTATAAGAATGCTTGTGATTTTTGTACATTGATTTTGTATCCTGAGACTTTGCTGAAGTTGCTTATCAGCTTGAGGAGATTTTGGGCTGAGACGATGGGGTTTTCTAGATATACAATCATGTCATCTGCAAACAGGGACAATTTGACTTCCTCTTTTCCTAATTGAATACCCTTTATTTCTTTCTCCTGCCTAATTGCCCTGGCCAGAACTTCCAACACTATGTTGAATAGGAGTGGTGAGAGAGGGCATCCCTGTCTTATGCCAGTTTTCAAAGGGAATGCTTCCAATTTTTGCCCATTCAGTATGATATTGGCTGTGGGTTTGTCATAGATAGCTCTTACTATTTTGAGATACGTCCCATCAATACCTAATTTATTGACAGTTTTTAGCATGAAGCGTTGTTGAATTTTGTCAAAGGCCTTTTCTGCATCTATTGAGATAATCATGTGGTTTTTGTCTTTGGTTCTGTTTATATACTGGATTACATTTATTGATTTGCATATATTGAACCAGCCTTGCATCCCAGGGATGAAGCCCACTTGATCATGGTGGATAAGCTTTTTGATGTGCTGCTGGATTCAGTTTGCCAGTATTTTATTGAGGATTTTTGCATCAATGTTCATCAAGGATATTGGTCTAAAATTCTCTTTTTTGGTTGTGTCTCTGCCAGGCTTTGGTATCAGGATGATGCTGGCCTCATAAAATGAGTTAGGGAGGATTCCCTCTTTTTCTATTGATTGGAATAGTTTCAGAAGGAATGGTACCAGCTCCTCTTTGTACCTCTGGTAGAATTCGGCTGTGAATCCGTCTGGTCCTGGACTCTTTTTGGATGGTAAGCTATTGATTATTGCCACAATTTCAGAGCCTGTTTTTGGTCTATTCAGAGAGTCAACTTCTTCCTGGTTTAGTCTTGGGAGGGTGTATGTGTCGAGGAATTTATCCATTTCTTCTAGATTTTCTAGTTTATTTGCGTAGAGGTGTTTATAGTATTCTCTGATGGTAGTTTGTATTTCTGTGGGATCGATGGTGATATCCCCTTTATAATTTTTTATTGTGTCTATTTGATTCTTCTCTCTTTTCTTCTTTATTAGTCTTGCTAGTGGTCTATCAATTTTGTTGATCCTTTCAAAAAACCAGCTCCTGGATTCATTAATTTTTTGAAGGGTTTTTTGTGTCTCTATTTCCTTCAGTTCTGCTCTGATTTTAGTTATTTCTTGCCTTCTGCTAGCTTTTGAATGTGTTTGCTCTTGCTTTTCTAGTTCTTTTAATTGTGATGTTAGGGTGTCAATTTTGGATCTTTCCTGCTTTCTTTTGTGGGCATTTGGTGCTATAAATTTCCCTCTACACACTGCTTTGAATGTGTCCCAGAGATTCTGGTATGTTGTGTCTTTGTTCTCGTTGGTTTCAACGAACATCTTTATTTCTGCCTTCATTTCGTTATGTACCCAGTAGTCATTCAGGAGCAGGTTGTTCAGTTTCCATGTAGTTGAGCGGTTTTGAGTTAGTTTCTTAATACTGAGTTCTAGTTTGATTGCACTGTGGTCTGAGAGACAGTTTGTTACAATTTCTGATCTTTTACATTTGCTGAGGAGAGCTTTACTTCCAAGTATGTGGTCAATTTTGGAATAGATGTGGTGTGGTGCTGTACATTCTGTTGATTTGGGGTGGAGAGTTCTGTAGATGTCCATTAGGTCCGCTTGGTGCAGAGCTGAGTTCAATTCCTGGGTATCCTTGTTAACTTTCTGTCTCGTTGATCTGTCTAATGTTGGCAGTGGGGTGTTAAAGTCTCCCATTATTATTGTGTGGGAGTCTAAGTCTCTTTGTAGGTCACTCAGGACTTGCTTTATGAATCTGGGTGCTCCTGTATTGGGTGCATATATATTTAGGATGGTTAGTTCTTCTTGTTGAATTGATCCCTTTACCATTATGTAATGGCCTTCTTTGTCTCTTTTGATCTTTGTTGGTTTAAAGTCTGTTTTGAATCCATCTATGTTCTTGCCATGAGCTTCCTGGGAGGTAGCCAAAATCCTTCCTGCTGCAGTCTGTCTGCATTCCCCACAGCCAAACCCTGTCCTGGTTCCAGTTTGGCTTTCTCGCCCAGCGTTTGTCTTTCTTTTTCTTTTCCCACAGTGGGTGTGAGGTTAAAGCTTATTACTAAAACGGTGTCTCTTCCTGGATCTTTTCACATAACATTTAATCGCTGGTAATGACTGTGACCCCAGAGGCAGTCATCTAGTGAACTTCAAGTTGGCATTTCAATTAGCTGTACTGATTGCTGGGTTTGGGCATTTCATATATTAGTGAGGAAGCTTAGCCCAAGAGCAGTCAGCTGAGGGACTTATTACCACAGTGCTTCTCGGAAGGAATAAATAACCTCATTAAAGCTTCTTTTGCTCTGGTTGAGAGAAAGGAAGAAAAGTTGAATCTCTTAGGCACTTGTTTGCATGGGGAGGAGCTCGGTGCCCAAGGCTGCCTGTGACAAGCAGGAGGGGTTTTCTCCCCTCCACTCTCCTGTCTCCCTCCTTCTTATCTCCTCTCCCTCTCTCCCTCATTTTTTTCCCCTCTCCTCTTCTTTTCTTCCTTCCATTCTTCATTTCTTTCTTTCCTTTGGTAAAGCCATTGGTGGCCATAATAGTAACGCAATGTCCCCAAGCCTGGCTAATCCCTGGCTAGTCCAAATGCTCATGTGTACTCTTGCCACCTGTGAAGATTGTCTCTTCCTTCCTCAGGTGTCCCTGGGAGTCCCCCCAGCTGTCTCACAGGTGCTTACAAGTCAGTTGCCCTGTGGGTCTGCCATGTTCTTCCTCTCCTACAGGGGCATTCTTTCATGGTGTCCTCTTCTTGCCAGGTTCCCTGGGGCACCTCATTGTGGCCAGCACTGCTGGCACCCTTGGTGGGAGGATGGCACCCCCTGGAAGCACAACGTCTCTTGCTGCTTGCTCAGCTTGGCCGTCCTGGGTGGGGTCACCTGGAGCCTCCCAGGGTCAAAGCGTGACATAGGGTTGACCTGGTTCCTGGTACACAGAGGCTTATTCCTGTTTGTCCTCCATTTCCCCCTGTCTTCTCTCCTCTGGATGCCTGAGTCTCCGCCCCTCTTCCCTGCCCCTTGGTCCATTCAGCCAAGTAAACAAATAAAACAAAAAGCCAAGCAAACCAATGCCAGTAAACTCAGGTGGACACCCAGGTGCCACATAGGCTCAACTGGGATCTGCTGCCACTTTAAAAAAGAATCACTAAAAATGGGAGCTCATTTTAAAATTTTAATGTACTTGACTCCACACTCTCTCTCCTCAATCATGACCACTGCTATGTGTTACTACATCCCCAAAATGAACACCGGTGTGGTCCCTGGAAACAGCTGTGGATTTGGTGAAATGAGAGACACGGATTTCAATCCCTCATGCTTGCCTTAACCTCTCCTGCATTCCTGCCAGGCTCCCTGGACTTTCTTCAGTGCGTTGAGTTGGGAAAGCCAGAGATTTATGACAAATCTGAATCTATTTTCCATTCTGCAGTAAGGAATGAATGAGATGATGACTGTAAAGTCACTGGCATGTGCAGGGGGCTCAGTGTAGCTGGTCTTCCTCCTCATTGCGGGACTGTCCACATCACCTTTCTTCCAGGTCTGGTTCAAGCTCCATCAGGGTCTGAGTCTGGACTTCTGGGGTCAGGAAGCCATGGAGGATCTCTGACAAGTTCATAGGAGGGACTCCCAAGACCATGCTAAGAGAGCTGTTTCTAGACATCATGAAAAAATGCAGTGTCAGTGAGAAGGATGCATTTGAATAGAGGAGTGAGAAAACGAGGTAGTCAATGTTGAGTGAATGCTGACAGTGCGATGTAATGCTTAAAACTGCCCTTGGAGATGGCCTTTGTTATTATTCCCATTTGGCAAATGAAGAGATGGAGGGGAGCCAGCACTTCACAGCTGGGAGGCTGTCTTGAGAGTTCAGAGTCTCAACTGATGCTCTGAAATGGTGGACTAGGTCCTGAAGAGGCCAGAGACACAGACCAAAAATCAGGTTGGAGGACAGGCAGAAGAGGCATCAGCACAGGCTACATGGTCACAGTGAGGGTGGCACCAACTCGGCCCCTGCGTGGCTGATACACATATAACCTAGCTGATTGGACAGGTATATCAATATCCTTTTGACTTGACTTTCTGGATTACTCCTTCTCCCTCCCTGGATAAAATCATGGGGAGTTTCCTTAGCTTTTTCAATCACTATTAGAAAATAAATGAATAACACCTTTGTTTTAACATAAAAAAACCCAGCCCAGTAAAATTTGCATAACTCCAGAATAGTCCCATGTAATAATGTAACTCCAGTGCAGTCTAGTATAATCATTGACACCCTATGTTCTTATCCAGTTTAAAACTTTTTCATCCCTCTCTTCTTCAGCCTAGGTCACCTGCAAGAGAGCGAGGAATGGCAGCCATATGAAGATATACTAGAGAGAATGCTTTTGATCCATTCAAATGCTTTTAATTAAAATATCAGAATACTGAACACTTAAAATGGGCTTAAACAATAAAGAAGTTGTTATCTCAGAAAACAATAGGTACAATAATTTTAGGATTGCTAGCGTTTTGATGATGGCTTCTTCTCATATTTACAAGAAGGCAGCAGGAGCTCCAGACATCACATTTTCACCTACCTATGCTCAGAGCCCAAAATAAGCAGTCCCTGTTTTGCTTATTTTTAAGAGTGAGAAAAGTGTGTCCAGAACCCCTTCAGCTTGATTCTTCTTTTCTCATATGGACTGTGGCTGTGGCATGTGCCTATTTCTAAGCCAATCATTGGCAAGGAGGATAGAATTAACATGATGGGCTTGAACCAGTCAACACTGGCGCTGAGGAGGAACCATGAATCACATGGACCCTAATTCCTGAAGCAAAACTGGGATTCGCTCAGCAAGGAAGAGAGTGTGGGTGATAGTTATTTGGGGAAACCACATCTGAATGACTGTGACTGTTTGATGTCATGTGGGTTCATGTAAGTGAACCATCTGTTATCCACACCACAGAACAGGTTTCATTATTTCCATTCTACAGGAAAGTCAAACTCAAAGATAATAATTCACTTGAGGGCACAGAGCCAGTTCATTGGAAAATCAACCCTAGGGGTCATATTTTTTAACTATATCTTTACTGGAGCATGATTCTTTTCTCATTCTAACCCTAACTTTTGAAATATCAATTTTCCAAACACATGCTAGCCAATGGCCGTGGGATGAGAAAACATGCGCTTTAGAACTAAAGAGAGTTGGGCTTAAATCCCTGCTTCAGTATTTATTAACTCTGTGACCTGGACATGTACTTAAAACTCTCTCAGTTTTTTCATTTATAAAATGGGAATAATAAATCCTATATCATAGAATTGTCAGACAAGACAGTAGATGTGTAAAGAGCTTAGCATGGTTTAAGAGCTCAATAATTGGTATGCATTGTTATTATTAGTCTTAGTCAAAATATCGTGGAGTTCTTTATCTTCAATGATGTCCAGCCGTCTGTATATCTGTCCTTCCTTTTTTCTTTTCTTCTCTCTTTCTTTTCTTCTTTCTTTGCTTTCATTTTGTTTCTCCTACAAGTCTTTACTGATAACTTTTTAAAGTCATTACCTCTAAGCATAAACACTTCCTTTCCACACTTAGCCTTGTGATTCTGGGGCTGGGACTTTGCAGACCACACATCAAGCCTGGAGGAGGAAGAGGAGACTTGTTCCTTCCCATCTGTTTCCGAGGGCTTCCTGTTGGCTCACAGTTCCTGTGGGCATCACCCTGGAAGCAGCAGCTCCCTGTGTAGCAGCGGGTAACTCTAGTTTGCAGTTTTTCCAGCACTTACAGAGCCAGCCTCACCACACCCCACCCTGAAGACATCAGTGGGGCAGTGACCCCTTCTCAGATCTGGGTTTCAGGCCTATGAGGGCTTCTCTGACCTCAGAGACACCAGCATCAGCCAGGCATTGACCCCTCCCCAGAGGTCTGAGTTTCAGCTCCACGGAGTCCATTATTCAAGTTTTCACGTTTTAGTAATTTCAACGTTTTCCCTAGGTAGTTACTTTGAGTTCTCTTTTTAGTCTTTGAGCTATCAGTTCAATAACTTTATGGCTGGTTAATATATTTTAATTCTTTCTGTTTAAATTGCCAGTATTGGCTTGACTGGATCCTGATTTACACAAGTGCTTCTCATAGACCAGCCACTGTTTTAGGCATTGTGGAGAGAACAGTAAACAAAACAGTGGAAATACTCACCTCAAGGAGGCTACATTCTGCCAGGCAAAACAGAAAATGAACACATACATAACACAAACATGATCTGTCAGAGGGTGGTAAGCTCTACAGTGAAAAAACACCAGGGGAGGGGTGGGTGTGGGTGTGCCGATGCGGGGGTGAGTTGCCCTTTAAGCTGTCATGTTTAAATGATACCACTCATCATATATGTGAGAATATCTTGTTGCCCCAAATACTGGAAATCACTTTGTTTCATTTATAGCACAGTCTTATGAATCTTGGAGATTTTGTAAAACCAGAGGGTGTATAGAATTAATAGGGCTCTAAATGGATATCATACCTAGAAAAAAAAAAGAACAGCGTTTTAATTGGGTGGATAACAAGTGTGTGTATGTGGTATTTTGTCTGAACTGACAGCATCATCATTGAATCCAGCAATCTTCCTTAGAACAGATACTGGCTTATTTTAAACCATAGGTGCTACAGCCCAGAAGGGGTCTCCATTTTTCAAATCAAAGCTCTTGGAATTTTCCTCCTCATTTCCTGATTCTGAAAGGATTCCAATCAAATTTGTCTGCACATATTTCTCATTTATTTTCCTGACCACCAAGAAGGCCTCTTGAATTGGAGAATCCCACTGTTGAGGGTTTTCATTTGTATGATTTGCCCAGAGTGTGGCTTTTTGCTTCTAGGAGTCACAGAAAAGAGGGAAGACCTGAGCACAGTCTTCAGGACAGAAGGCCATGGTCACTGGTCATAACTAATTCTACCAGCCAGGAGAGGAAACGTGACTTACAATGACCAGCCTGATTTCTTGCTGATAGATGTTGTAATAGCTTTTATTATTATTATTTTTTAACAGTGCTTTTACTCAAGCCTGGGAAAAACCTGAATTCAAATTGGTACATCTTTTGATTTTGCAGAACAATCTTTTATGTTGGTTGGAACACTAGGTGGTGAAGCCAAAAAATAAAATTGCAGATGTGGTTTCCATTGAGAGGTGTACCAGGCAGGTGCATCTGGAATTGGTTTTCTTCCTGGGTGTTTACACAGCAGAGGATTCCTCATATCTTTGCTTTGGAAGAAGTCACAAGATTTTTCTCTTTGACTTTCCAAAAATGTCCCTGAGCTGCATGGAATGCTTTCATTATTACCAAGGAGGAGAAATGGATTAGTCTTTTCTTTCCTAGTTATAGTCACAGTTCAAAGTTAGAGAAAGTTTATTTTAATTCTGCTGTGAAGGGACCAGTTAGGGTCTAAGTAATTCCTGCTTCTGGGATTCAGAGATGTCAGATAAGTTGGTGGGGCAGGTGGCCCACAGGATATTAAAATGATATTGAGTGTTTGGTTTGTGCCTGGAATGTTGTTAAGGACTTTTTATGCATTTATCACATTTAATCAACACAACCATTCTATAAGATAGATATATTATTATTATCTTTATTTTACACAAAAAGAAAGAAGCTTAGAGACAGTGTCATAATCTGTTCCTGCTGCTATAACAAAATACCATATACCGGGTAGTTTATAAACAACAGAGTTTTATTTTTTGTAGTTCTAGAGGCTGTGAAGTCCAAGATGAAGGTGCTAACAGATTTGGTGCCTGGTGAGGGCCCATTTCCTGGTTCATGGGTAGTGCCTTCTTGCTATGTCCTCACATGGTAAAGGGGCAAGGCAGATTTCTGGGGCCTGTTTTATAAGGGCACTAATCCCATTCATGAAGACTCTGCCTTCATGATCTAATCACTTAGGATTTCAAACATAATTTTTTTGGGGAAAACAAACATTCATACCATAGCAGATGCTAATAACTCATGGTTATGCAGCTAGTAAGGGTTAGAAGTAGAACTCCAACCTGGGTCTCTTTGAGAAAGATTTGCAAGAGATATTTACATGAGGTGGGTGGGAGAAAAGACAGTTTCTGAGACAAAATCACTTCATGCTAATTTAAGCTACTCAATGTTTAAAAAAAGCTAGTCTATGATAAAGGTCATTTTTGCTTTGTATTAAGACAACCCAGATCAAATCCAATCTAAAGTTATTTATTGAATAGCTCTACTCGTCCAGGTATTACCCTAAGCGCTTTTAAATACCTGATTTTATTAAATTTTCTCAATTTCATGCAGGATAGAGATTTAGATCCCCATTTCTCAGGTGGGGTCACTCAGGTTAAGCTTGAATTAACCTGCACTGTCTACTTAGTTTCAGTCTTCCTAAAACCACGTTGAATGTTTCTAATCTCTTCTGTGAGATTAGCAGGCTGCTGTTTTGGTTATCTATTGCTATGAACAAACCACTCTAAAATTAAGTGGCATAAAATAACAATCATTTTATTATGTTCATACCGTTGTTGGTCATGAATTCAGGCAACACATAGCAAGGATAGATTTTTGTTGGGGAGTATTCAGCTGGAGTAGCGCTAACTGTTGGTGGTGTCTGGGTTGGTCACCTGGAGGTGTATATCTAGGGCTGTCGGTGAGTTTTTTTCGGTTCTTCACGTCATTTCTACTGGGAATGGGATGCCCGTCTTCATTCACTGTCTGGCATCTGGGCTGGTATGGCTGCCACAGTTGGAGCTGTTCAGGTGTTTTCTCTCCTTCCATGTGGTCTGTGCACACAGTAAGCATGGATTTCCTCATAACGTAATGATTTTAGGGCAGCTGGCTTTCCCCACAGCTGAGTTTCTCAGCCCTGGCACTGTTGACATTTTGAGCCAGACCATACTTTGTTGGGATTGAGGTGTCGTGTGTAACAGAATGTTTATCAGCATCCCTGGACTCTACCCACTAGATACCAGCAGCACCCTCTGACCTCCCCAGTTATAACAATAATAACAACGAAAATCTCAGACATTGCCAAATATTTCCTGGGGCATGCGAATTCCACACCCTCTTCCCCATTAACAATCCATAGCAAGGCTTCCAAGAAGCCTACAAAACTTATGACCTAGCCTTGGAAATTCCAGAACTTTATTTCTGCCACTTTATATTAGTCAAGAAAGTCTCAAAGGCTAGCCTGATTTCAAGGGGAGGAGAATTAGACTCCACTTCTCAATGAGAGAGATAGAAAATAATTTGCAGCCACTTTTTAAAATATACTGTGATAAAATACACATAACAAAATAAAAATATACATATATAAAATACACATGAAATTTACCATGTTAGCCACTTTTTATGTGGCATCAAGTACATTCACATTGTTGCACGACCATCACCACCATCCATCTTCAGAACATTTTTCGTCTTCCCAAACTGAAATTTCCTACTCATTAAGCAATAACTACTTCTCTCTCCTTCCACCCACCTGGCAGCCACAGCTCTACTTTCTGTCTTTATAAGTTTGACTACTCTGGATGCCTCATAGTGGAATCATAATGAGGCAGAAGAATTGGGTATGGAGGCAGGGAACCTAAGGCTGATTCATGCTGACTACATATCAGAGGCTACTCCCTTCTCAACTCCTTTTTCTGCATGGTAATTGCTGTGTGGCAGCGGCAACCCCTCCATTTTCTGTGTGGCAGTTGAAAAATGAAAATACCTCTGATTGGTCCTCTCTCACAACCAATCAGACTGGTTACAGGCCTACTCTTCATTCTGATTGGTCCCCTCCCACAACCAATCAGACTGGTCAGAGGTCAATGAGAACCCTCTAGAGGTGCATTGAAACTACAGAAAATTCTGTAACCAGCCCTCTTGCTTGAACCTGCTCCCACCCTGTGGAGTATACTTTTGCTTAAAATAAATCTCTGCTTTCTCTGCCATGCTTTGTTTGTGTGTTTTGCCTAATTCTTTGCTCAAAATGCCAAGAACCTGGACAACTACCCTCCACTGGTAACAGAGTGTTTGTCCTTTTGTGTCTGGTTTATTTCACTTAGCATAATGATTTCAAGGCTCCTCCATGTTGTAGGATGTCAGAATTTCCTTCCTTTTTAAAAACTAAATAATATTGCAAACATCTTTAATTGACCACAGCTACTCAAGTTCAAATTTTCATTGGTCTACAAAATAATGGAAGACAATTCTAGTTTAACTTGGGATTTTCTCTTGGAAATGTTTGCTCAGGCCTAAAATCTGATTTGTGCTAAGTCAGTCATGAGCAGACAGCTCAGGCTGACCTAATAAAACGATACCTGGGATTCTGCTTTGTATTATTGTGTGATGCAGATGTAAAATAAAATTGGACAGCTCTAAAACCAAGTGGTTTCACTGTTCTGGAGAAAAATGTGCTACATACATTTAAAATATTCTTACTAGTGTGTTTGCAACCAGGTGACAGGCGGTGGTGGGGAGGTGGGACAAGGGAAAAAAGAGAGGCAAAGTCACTGGCTCGAGGTCCGGAGTGAGCTAAAGTCTCTAAGGTCATACAATGTCAGAGCTTGAAGTGAGCTTGGAGTTATCTAGTCCCGATGATTCATTTCACTGACAATAATAACAATGACCTTACATTTAATAACTATTTAGAATTTTCTAATAGCTTTCACCCCTACTCCATTACTGGATTTTGATACAAACAGCACTGTATGTTAGGATGTGCTATGCTATCTATAGTTTGAGGAAACTAAGTCACATATTCCAGTCAACTGGAGTCCAGCTCTCCTAAGCTCCAGCCTTTCTACCTCACTGAGCCACACTTAAATTTGAATGACCGTTGTTAAAATCATGGGCTCAGTCCCTAGGCCTCTGTCATGTACTTCTCTCCAGGTGTTTTTTTGTTTGTTTGTTTTTTGTTTTTTGAGACGGAGTCTCGCTTTGTCACCCAGGCTGGAGTGAAGTGGTGCGATCTGGGATCACTGCAACCTCCGCCTCCTGGGTTCAAGCAATTCTCCTGCCCCAACCTCCCGAGTAGCTGGGATTACAGGCATGCGCCACCACGCCCGGCTAATTATTTTGAATTTTTAGTAGAGATGGGGTTTCACCATATTGGCCAGGCTGGTCTTAAACTCTTGACTTTGTGATCTACCCGCCTTGGCCTCCCAAAGTGTTGGGATCACAGGCGTGAGCCACTGGGCCTGGCTCCCAGGCCTCTTTTAGAAAGCAAATGCCTGCTATGCAGGGCACTATAACATTGAACAATGTTGTAGAAGGGAATGTAAAAACGCCCTTATTTATATAATCCTATGTATCACACAGTATTCTAGGCATTGTACATATAAAATCTTTTAAAGTTTTCTAAATAATCCCATGAAGATAACATCCGTATTTTACAGTTAGCAATGCTGAGACTTACACAGATCAGGTAACTTGCCCGTCTTGGTCAGGGTAACAAAGATCTTGGAGAGACTGGGGCCCTAAACATGTCAGCATTATGAGAAATGCAAGGGTTAAATTGTGAACTAACCCTAGAGCTGTTCTATTCCTTCCCACTTATGATATCTATTTTCTTCTGCGTTTTTGAAGGTCATGTCTCTGTACAACTTTAACTTTTCTCCTCATGCTGCCTAATAACATTTGGGAGCTTGGGAAAAGCTTTTTCTAATATTTACCAAGCCCTTCAAAGTCGCTAGGCAATCACGGCAGGTCTCTTCACAGAGGGTGAACCTGCTGACAACTTGGGGAAGCCTGGTGCAATATCTTCAGAGCACTTGTTTCTGTGAAATTCTTGTTTCTCAGCGTTGATCTTCATGGGTTGGAAATGAATAAAGGTTGTAGGTGAGGCTGTTGTAGGTTCAGAATGTGTAGTACCTGAGCCATAGAGTGAAAGAGTGGTCATTATTTCTGGGCATGTGACAAGGCTGAAGTCTAGACATCATGATAGACTGTCACTGCAGGTTCAAATCAAGGATGCTTTTGTAAGGAAAGGGGAGGGGGTTTAGAAGAAGAGTTTGAGTCATAAGGAATACAAGTTTGGTGTTTTGCTACATCAACTGCTAAGTAACACACAGTCCCTAGATTCCCAAAGTCTTTAAGTCTTTATTTGAAAACGACAACGTCAATTTAATAATATGGATCATGGAGATTGGCTTTAGGGTGACTCTGGGAGAATACAAGAAGGTTCTACTACTTATGCTGCCACAAATTGTGATTCAATAGATCCCCAAAATCCAGTAGGTGTTCAAGAAATATTGGTTAAATGAATGCAAGAGGCTGCAATTGGTTCCAAGAGCTGAAATTGTACATTGCAAGTGTTGATAGTGGAGAAGACAGTATATTCTCAATTACAACCCTCATTATTACAGGGACTTACATAATCCAGTCTCAGAAAGGGCTCATGTTAAAGGATACACCATCCAAATAGCTAAAAAATACCCACAGCCAAAAGTAATTTATATTCATGTTTTACTTGACTGCCTCAGGGAATGTCAGAGAGGAGGGCCATCCCATCTATGGAAACACGACGTAATATTCCCCAACCTGTCAAGTCTTCTCCTGAGTGCTTCAGCTCATAACCTTTTTTCCCTTCTCTGAATCCCTTAAGTGCTTTTATTTTGACTTCTTATGCATATTAAATGCAGGCTTGTTGTTCTGTTGCTTGACCAAGTCATGTCGTGTCTCCTATTAATTCATTCATTGTTTTTTACCAAGCCCCTGCCACATGCCAGGTACTATTCTAGTTGCTGGGCATATAGCAATGAATGAAATAGAAAAGAAAATCCTGTCATAGTAAAGCGTAAATTCTGATGTGGAATAACAGATGATGAACAAATCAATATGTTATATAATATATTAGATGACCACAAGAATAGTGGAAAATTAAGCAGGAAAAGCAGAGAGAGTGCCAAATGGGAGGGAGTGTGGGAAGGTGGTCAGGGAGGACCTCATTAAGAGCAAACACCTGAAGGAAGGGAGGGAAGAACATATGTGAATATCTGGGGCAAGAGCATTCCAAGAAGAAGAAAGAGCAAGTGCAAAAGCACTGAGGCAGCAATCAGCCATGAGTGTGAAGGAACAGCAAGAAGGCCCTTCTCTTTTTCAAACCCTGGAGAGCTGGAATCATGTGTTATATATCCTGTGTCCCTCCTGTATCATCTAACTCAGGACTGGGCACTTTGCAGACATGAGTAGAATCACAGAATAATAAACCTTAGAAGAAGCTTTGAATGCCCTCGTTTTGCAAATAAAAAACCTGAGGCCCAGAAAGTGAACCTGACTTGCCCAATTGTTGATACCTCTACTGTTTCTGCTCCCATGGCTGCCACTGTTATGACTATTATTTTTAATACACTATTACTAGTACTCAGATCCCACGGCTCTACATCATTCCTCTCTGGTGCACTGTCACACTCAAAGAAATGCATTCCAACAAGGAAAAGTCTTTGCAAAGCACTTGCAGTCTTTACCCAGTTCTCTTGAAGAATATGAAAGAATCCATCTCAAAATGCAGAGCCACATGCTGCTTTCCTTTCTTGCTCCCCATGGTCTCATTCTCCAAAGCTGTCCCATACCTCCCCCTCCTCGGACCCTTTTCTCTGTCTTCTCCAGGACAAGTGACGTTGGTCTTTTCCCCTCCTGCCTCTTCCTCTGGCTACTGTGGTTCCTTGCTCTCATTTTCCTATTCTGAACTACAGAGAATAGCCCAGAAATGGCCAGCAAAGATAGAACAGCATAGGGGATGGGGAGAAGCCATGTGCACAATGCAAATGTCATCTTTAGCTTTCAGGGGGAGAAGAATTAGTATTTGTCCTTGTCAAACTGATATTTCTAGCTGGATGCAATGGCTCATGCCTGTATTCCCAGAACTTTGGGAGGCTGAGGCAGGAGGATTGCTTGAGACCAGGAATTCACGGCAACATAGTGAGACTCTATGACTGCCAGAAATTAAAAAAAATTAGCCATGGTGGCATGTGCCTGTGGGAAGCTGAGGCGGGAGGATCACCTGAGCCCAGGAGTTTGAGGTTGCAGTCAGCTATGATTGCACCACTGTACTTCAGCCTGGGTTACAGAGTGAGGTCTTATCTCTTAAAAAAAAATTATTTCTATTTTTATGGGGTCTATTGACAGCCACTTTCACTGTGTTTCATTTCTTATTTTACAAAGACATTTCATAGTCAAGATTTAATTGGATTTGGACTTGGAAACTATGTCTTATGAAGGCCAAGCCTCCATTCTTTCTATGAAATATTGGTTAAATAAATGGTGTAGTAAATTAATGAAATGAGTGTCCATTCCCAGGGCTGCCCTTAAAATATGTAGGAGCCCCAGGAGATATTTTTTTTGAGTTATCCCAAATCAACATGTCAGCACCATTTTGATGGGCACATCTTGCATAATTTCTGCAAAAGAAATAATACACTGGACAGTAGGAGGAATACCCATGCTAGGACACTCTTCTGGATCTGGGGTTTAGCCATAAGGCTCCTGAACAATTTAGTAGAAGTCCTGGAGCATCATGGGACATCTGGTCAACCACATATTGAGGGTGGGAACAGAAGGTTGGAGAGCAACCCAAAAGGGAGAAACAGAGCCTAGAGGCTAGTCTGGTTCGGGCTTGGTGTACCTCTCACCTGATGGCATTCCTTGACCAAGACCCGTTTTAGGCAACAGAAATGTCTTTAGAAAATTACAAGGAGAACACCTTAAATGATGTGGTACCCCTTGCCCTAGTCTAAGGGACATTAATTGATATCGTTCCACTAATAGCTAATTATAACTGTGCTTTACCCATGTACCAGGCTCTAAGCTAAATGCTTTATAGTGAGCTAGATATTACCATTATCCTGTTTTACAGATGCAAAAGTTGTGCTTAGATGCTAACAGACTGGCTTGCTCAGGTAGTGTGATGTGGAGCCTATGCTTTAATCACTTCTGTTTCTGTGCCTTAGCTTCAGAGTGAATGCTCCTCTAGGTTTTTTGTCTCCATCCAGGAGGTCTTCCTTCCACTTACCTTTTATTTTTATTCTTCCTTTTTTCAACTTTTACTTTAGATTCAGGGAGTACATGTGCAGGTTTGTTACCAAGGAGGTATATTGCGTGATGTTCAGGTGTGGAGTGCGATTGAACCCATCACCCAGGTAGTGAGCATAGTACCAAGTAGGTAGTTTTTGAATCCTTGCTCATCTCCTTTCTTCTTCCTCTTGTATTCTCCAGCATCTATTGTTTCCATCTTTATACCCATGTGTACCCAATGTTCAGCTCTCATTTATAAGTTAGAACATGTCATATTTGGTTTTCCTTTTCTGCATTAGTTTGCTTAGGATTATTACCTCCAGTTGCATCCATGTTGCTACAAAGGACGTGATTTCATTCTCTTTATGGCTATGTTGTATTCCATGGTATGTATGTGTTAGTGGAAAGGGGTCCTGATCCAGACCCCAAGAGAGGGTTCTTGGATCTCAGGCACGAAAGAATTTGGGGTGAGTCCAGAAAGTAAAGTGAAAACTAGTTTATTAAGAAAGTAAAGGAATGAAAGAATGGCTACTCCATAGACAGAGCAGCCCCAAGGGCTGGTGGTTGTGCATTTTTTATGGTTATTTCTTGACTATATGCTAAACAAGGGGTGGATTATTAATGTCTCCCCTTTTTAGACCATATAGGGTAACTTCCTGACATTGCCATGGCATTTGTAAACTGTCATGGCACTGGTGGGAGTGTAGCAGTGAGGCCCACCAGAGGTCACTTTCATTGCCATCTTGGTTTTGGTGTTTTTCGCCTGCTTTTTTACTGCAACCTGTTTTATCAGAAAGGTCTTTATGAACCTGTATCTTTTGCTGACCTCTTATTTTATTCTGTGACTTAGAATACCTAACCATTTGAGAATGCAGCCCAGCAGGTCTCAGCCTTATTTTATCCAGCCCCTATTCGAGATGGAGTTGCTCTTGTTCAAATGCTCTGACATATGTATCACATTTTCTTTATCTAATCTACTGTTGATGGGCACCTGGGTTGATTCCAAGTCTTTGCTATTGTGAATAATTATGCAATGAACGTATGAGTGGATGTGTCTTTTTGGTAGAACAATTTATTTTCCTTTGGGTGCATATTCAGTAATGGGATTGGTGGGTTGAATGGTAGTTCAACTCTTAGTTCTTTGAGAAATTTCCAAACTGCTTTCCACAGTGGCTGAACTAATTTACATTTCTACCAGCAGTGTATAAGTGTTCCCTTTTCTCTGCAGCCCTGCCAGCCTCCATTATTTTTTGACTTTTTGATAAAAGCCATTCTGACTGGTGTGAGATGGTGTCTCATTGTGGTTTTGATTTGCATTTTTCTGATGATTAGTGATGATGAACATTTTTTCATATGTTTATTGGCTGCTTGTATGCTTTCTTTTAAGAAGTGTCCGTTTATGTCCTTTGACTGCTTTTTAATGGGGTTATTTGTTTTTTGCTTGTTGATTTAAGTTCTTATTCTGGATATCAGATCTTTATTGGATGCCTTGTATGTGAATATTTTCTCCCATTCTTTAGGTTGTCTGTTTACTCTGTTGATAGTTTCTTTTGCTCTGTAGAAATTCTTTAGTTTAATTAGATCCTACTTGTCAATTTTTGTTTTTGTTGCAATTGCTTTTGAAGACTTAGCCATAAATTCTTTGCCATCACTTGACTTTTAAGACTCTTTTACCTCCAGAGGTTTCCCATGTGTGTTATTTTCCCTTAGGTGTCTGATTTGCATCAGCATGCAACACTACCTCACTTGTTGATGACCTCCGTTCCAGTCCATTCCTTTGATGGCATTTCATATTACAAATGTCTCCTCAAATTCAAAAAGACCTTTTCAAACAACATTTAATTATGGTTGTAGAATGTTTCATTGCAGTAGGTTGACTCTGAACATGGTACAAACAGCAGGGCACCACTCAGCCACAAAGGACCACTCTCCCTCTGTGCAGGCCTGCTTAGCACTTTGGTTTTTGAATAGCTGTCCCCAAGAGCTTTGAAAAATGTTTTATCCCCTCCATTATTTTCCAAAGGAATTGCCAAATGAGCATATAATTCTCAAAGAAGCATCTCTAAATAAAAATATGTAATTGGCTATAGGGGGTCTCTTCCATGACTCCTGATCTTATTACAAGGTATTTACTCACTCCATTACCTGCTGAGATATACAATAATGGAAGTTAAATAGCAAAATGAAAAAATGTTGAAGTCTGTAGTCATTTCCAAATTGCTACATTTTCCCTAAAATTTTTAAAAAATGATGTTAAAGGGTGCCAACTGATTCCCCTCCTTCACACTCCCACAAAACGTATTTGGAAATACAGTCAGAAAGTGAAATTGGTCTTTATCTATATAATATTGCATATCATTTTGGTGTGCAATTTGCATATACATTGAAATAATGGGACTGTTAGTCCACCATTGGTCAGAGGGGTTTGTATTATGTAGGAGTCAGTAAGAAACGTGCCATTCTCTTATGAAAGAAACCTTATTTTATTTGCTTTGCATTGCTAAAGATGGTATGTAAGAGAGCTGAAAGCCTGGCATTCAGCCACAGAGTCTGTGGCTTGAATATTTTATATCTGTCAATGGGATTCCTTTTGGCATCTTATCTGAACACAATGAATTTGATTTTGGAGCGGCAGGAGATCCTATATATCGTTTTTCTTGCAACAGAAACATCCTTTGTGAGACCCAATGAGCTAGTTTGAATTCCTCTATCTCATGGTTCTGTCTTCAATTGTCAAACAGTTATACTTTCTTCAACTTTTGACATTTCCATTTTATGTAATCCTATTGAAAGAGAATTGCAGCACCCAAGATTGAATTTAAAGCCTGTTTATTGTACTAAGCAGACACTGTGAGGGCTACTAGTTTGAATCTCTTCAGGGCTGAATTTGAAAAAATACAAAGATTTAGCAATAAGCCAGGAGAATTGGCCACAGCAGAGATAGGAGAGCTGTGGAAAAAAGGGCATTGGTTTATTATCATAGTCCAGCCTGGAGTACCGTTAGGTAGGGAAACAAAAAGCCTGTACAGAGTGCAAAATCAGGACCAATGCATACAGAATGTGTGAGAAGCAGTTTTTCTCTTAAACCAACAACAATCTTCCTATCAATTCCATTTGTCCTACAACAGAATGGGCTGCCTCAATGAGGTACATAGTCCAGGCCTTCACCCGCAAAAACCCTGTGTGCTAGGTAATGCAACAGCATTTAACCAACAAGGCATCTATCACCCAGAGAGGCTGTTATCAGTCTGTGATCACAAAGCTAGTGTGTGTTGGATTTCAAAGCCCAGTTCATCTGACCTCAAACCCTTTTCTTTCTCCATTATGACAACCTATTCCACTCTGATCCCAGTGAACTCCACATCATGGGAGGCCAGGCAGAGACAGGTTGGCAGGAGAAATTTGTATCTTGGGTAGAAGATTAAGTTGGATGACCTTTCATGTCACTTCAACTTCAAGGTTAGTGATTTTATGATCTTGTGACTCTGGCAGTCTCCTCGTTGAGACAAGATAAAAAAAGAGGAACCATATATTATTTTAATGCCAGTACAGAGACTTTAACACTTTTTAGTCCCTTTCCTGAGCCAGTTTCTTCTTTCTTGGGGCTCTCAAACACCATGGCTAGATCACCTTCAGCACTTAACACACTGGACAGATTTAATTTGTACCCTTGTCTGCCTCTCCTGCTAGATGTTAGGAGCCATCTCTGGGTATCTTGTTCTTTACCTGTAGCTTCTTTCCCACTTCCATCTATGGTGCAGCCCATGCCTGGCACTTCAGTGTTCTTGGAAAAAGTGAACAGATATGGTGGTTTATTTTGTTAAAGCATCTTTTATTAATACCACCAAGCTAGGTGATGTTGTAAAAATTTCAGAGGAAATGTGATTATGCCCCTCTGACCAACGACTTCAAATAGGGAGACGACGCCATCTCTGGGAGGTGTGCAAGAGGATCTCTCATTGTATAAGATACAGATGATCTTAATGCATCAGAAAGAGTAAGCTAAAGCTTTGTAAAGGTGCTAAGAAAAATTAAAAGAGGAGTTTAGCTATGTGTAGAGTAGGAAAGATAACAAGGAATTCCCACATATTCCCACAGCTCGTGTCAGGTGATATGGTAAGAACATGGCAGAAGGAGACAGAGGTGCTAGTACTTGTTTGCTTTTATCTTTTTTTTGTGTGTGTGTGACCAACTCCTGAGCTTTTCTGTTTAACCCCCTTTTCTAGAAATTTTACATATCTTTGACCAAATGATTTACGTGGGGTTTGTCATAAAACTATAACATGGCCTGCTTCCCTGGCCCAGTTGACTTGTCTAGCAATGGACTCTTTGCTCAGGCGTGGGCAATGAATCCCTTTCCAGGAGCTTTTGGAATTGGGGAAAAATAGATCTGTCAATTTTGGGCGACCAATTCCACATGATAGAAAATGTGGGACCATTCACTGACCATATTTCCCATTAATGTAAAGATCAGTGTCAGGTGGTAGAAGCAAAGGCAGCACAGAGAGGGGAGCCAGGATCCAGGTGAGTTCCAGTGCTCCTCAGACCCTGTGACACCCATACCCTTCTCCGCTTGGTTACTTAACTTCCTTGTTTCCTTTGCAGAGGCAAGTTAGAGTTCACTTTCTGTTACTTACAACCAGAAGACTTTTAACAAGTATACTGTCTGTCAAGATGAATGGCAATCAACTGGAAATGTTAGAGACCTCTATGTAACCAAGGGAAACAGAAGCCCAAGTAGATTAAGGAAAGTCGAAGAAAAGACTGAAAGTGTTCAAATGTCTCAGCCCAGAACACTTCCATCCAAGGGCTTTAAGAGTACTTGTCAGTGCGAAGCAGCTCTCTCTGTGAGCAATCTCTCAGGAATCATGGAGGATGTGGGAGGGGTCAGATGAATGGAAATAGACATCTATTTCCTAAAGGATACTGAGAGTTTCTTTACCATTTTCCTTCTTTGCATCCCAATTCACATATTCTTCTGTGATCTTTAGTTCCCTTTTCTGTAAAATACAGATACTATAACACCTCTCTGCCTTCCTTGTACACCATGAGATGCACGTGAGTATTAGAAAGTGCTTTGTACATCTATATTTTCCTAGAAAGGCCAAGGATTGCTATCACCATTAAGCTGACTAAAATAATAAATAGAAAGTAGTTGATAGTCTTTTTTATTACCAAGCTAGAGTCAGGTAATAGCTGCTAACGACATTTTTGGCACTACTCTATACCAAATATTGATGAATTGTCAACTGAAAATTCTAAATTAGCTTATTTTTCTGGATTAAGCTACTATCTTGTATAATAGTTATTTTACTAGGGTTGGATAGAATTTGTAGCCATTTTCATCTTAAAGAAAATCTTGTACAACTTGTTGTCTATTGGGTTACAAACACTAGCATAGCCCTGAAATAAACTAGGCCATTCCTCACTCTACAAACTTCTTTAATCACTTATGCTATGAAAAGTAAGCTAACTCTTTAGCATGGCAGAGAATAAGATTTCAGAGAGGCACAGAATGGCCATGTTGTATAAGCTCACAGAAATCCAGGGAGGAAAGAATTTAGGAAGATGATCTCAAAACTAACAAATGTGAAGATATTAAAGACTGGATTTGTAAATTGAAAAGGCATCCAGTCATTCATCAAGTCTTAGTGATTCTACCTCTTTAATATGTGTAAATTCCAGCTCTCTCTTTAAATCCCTATTGGCAGTTACCAAAGTCCTAGTCTCTATTAACTTTTTCTAAATTACTGCAACCAGATCCTAACTGGTTCCCCAGAATCTCCATCAACTTAGGAAACACTTTTTCTCCACTCTGGAACTTTGACTTGGAGACAGAGTTTGATAGAGGAGATTGATAGAGGGTTTCCTAATGACCTTCTTCCTTTATCTCTACCTTCCATCTTTTCCCATCTTTCACTGGGATAGAAAAGGGAAGTTTTCCCTAATCTTTTCTTCTTATTGGATTGGGACTGCCCTTATGCAAAAGGGTAATACCAATTATGCCAGGACAATCTCTTGATAATAGTAAAGGAAGGAGAGAAAGTAATTTAGAAAAATCTCTTTCTTGACAAAACCTGCATTTCAATACTGTTGTCTGGTTGCAACTTCCTATTTTGTATATTTGCTCAGCATAGTAATTCTTTCCTTTCTCCTTGAAGACCTATTGTAATTTTCTTACCTCCATCTCAAGGCAAGGCAGATTAGTAATTCAGATTGATTACACAGATTATGTACACAGAAATGCAAAGGAGAAAAGCTCATTAATTGCTTAAAATATGATGATAGCAATCCTTGGCCTGATAATTATTCTTATTTTATGGAAGAGGAATCTGAGGTTCAGAGAAGTTAAGTGACTTTTCTGAGTCACAGAGTTAGTAAATGGCAGAGGCAAGATTAAAATCTCAGGAATATTCCATTTTCAAGGGGGTGCTGTGGAATGCTGAATGGCTCTGATTAATGGAGTGAGAAGAATTTGGAGTTCCCAGGCAAGGAGGAGTAATGATTTGAGAGAGAAGTCAGAAGAGGGATGGAGACAGCGTGTAGATAAGGTGAAAGTGGTGAATTCCCTTTCTTCCTGCATTACCCCCTCCCCCCATCATTTTGCATTCATTCATCACAGTTGATGGTATCTGCTACGTTTTAAATTTGCTGGATCACTTGCATGTGCTTCGTCTCCCCTCTCTGTCCCATACATTTGCAGTGAATTTTATATATGTACCAATTCTTAGTGCTGAGTAAATTTTCTGGGGTGGGAGGGATGCGGGGGAAGGAAGGGCCTCTTAAAAGGGGCTAAGTTTCACATCTGAGGGGCCCCCTTGACACAGGCACAGAGAAATCCTGGAGTAGTAGACAGTAGAGGAGGTCATAATTTTGGAGTGAGATCTTTGGTGTCATTTGTAGAAATTTTGTGGGGAGGACGTGAATCTATGGAACAGATGGAATTGAGAGTTTTGAGCCTATTTTATCTAGCTCTCCTCGGGGCACGCAAACCCCAGGTGATCTCTGGGTTGTATCTTTTCTTGCCCCTGTTCCATATGCTTCTGGAATGTAAGGACCATGTGACTATCCTATTCCCTTCCATCTCTGAACCTCACGTGATTCCTGCTTCATAACAATCATAAATAATTTGTTTGAGACGACTAGCTCTGTAAGGCCTTGGGGACAGTAGTATGAATGAAAAAGTTTCAGTAGAAAGTCTGAGATGGGAGCATAGAAGCAGGAGATGTTGGTCACATGTCCAAGATACTGAGCAGTGGTAGCTAAAATAAACAGCATGATTGAATAAATGTATTATTTTTGTTTGAAGATGAAAATACATGGCTTAAAAATGTTAGTGGGCAGAGGGGAAGGAAAGGATTCTCATTTTAGAATAGATTTTTTCTCCCTGATTACATATTCACTATATAAAATAATTTATGTTAAACAGTCATCTGAACATCAGCAACTCATTGCCTCATCTGCAACGGCTGTTGTTACATAATGTTCCTTCCTCAAATCTTTCAGGACCTTCCAGAACCTTCTGTGTACAGTTTGTCGTTTAAAACATGGTGATCCAAGAATGTAGAAATTAATCTACATATCTATAGCCAACTAATTTTTGACAAAGGCACCAAGAACATTCACTGGGTACAGGACAGTTGTTTCAATAAATGGTGCTAGTAAAACTGGATATTCATATACAGAAGAATAAAATTTTAGGCCCCCACCTCTCTCACCTTATACAAAAATCACTCAAAATGGATTAAAGACCTAAATGTAAGGTGTGAAACTATAAAAGTACTAGAAGAAAAAAAACAGGAGAAGCTCTTCAGGACATTGGTGTGGGGAAAGATTTTGCGAATAAGACTCAAAAATATAAGCAACAAAAACAAAATTAAACAAATGGGATTACATCAAGCTAAAAAAATTCTGCACTACAAAGAAATCAACAGAGTGAAAATATAACTTACGGAATGGGAGAAAATATTTGGAAACTATTCATTTGACAGGAGATTAATATCCAGAATATACACGAAACTTAAACATCTCAACAGCCAAAAAAAAAAAAAAAAAAATCCAGTTTAAAAACATGGGCGAATAATCTGAACAGTCATTTTGTCAAAAGAAGACATACAAATTGCCAACAAGTATATGAAAAAACATTCAACGTCACTAATCATCAGGGAAATGCAAATCAAAACCACAATGAGATATCATTTCACCTTAGTTAGAATGATTGTTATCAAAAAGACAAAAAACAAAAACAAAAAACAAATGCTGGCAAGAATGTGGAGAAAAGGAAATGCTTATATACTGTTGGTGGGAATGTAAACTAGCACAGAGAACACTATGGAGGTTCCTCAAAAAACTACATGTAACACTACCATTTGATTCAGCAACCCCATTACTGGGCATTCATCCAAAGCAAAGGAAATTAGTATATCAAAGAGGCATCTAGATCTCCACGTTTATTGCAGCCTTATTCACAATAACCAAGATAGGAATCAACCCAACTGTCCAACAACAGATGAATAGATATAGAAAATGTGGTATATATACACAATGGAATATTATGTAGCCATACAAAAGAGTGAAACCTTGTCATTACAGTAACATGGATGGAACAAGAGGACATTATGTTAAGTGAAATAAGTCAAGCACAGAAAGACAAATATTGCATTGTTCTAACTCACATGTGGGAATTTAAAAAGTGAATCTCATAAAGATAGCGAAAGATTGGTGGTTACCAGAGGCCAGGAAGGGTAGGGGAGAGGAGAGTATGAAGAGAGGTTGATTAAGGAGTAGAAATATATAGTTAGATAGAAGAAATAATGGCTGGCTGCGGTGGCTCATGCCTGTAATCCCAGCACTTTGGGAGGCCAAAGTGGGTGGTGGATCACTTGAGGTCAGGAGTTTGACCTGGCCAACATGGTGAAACCTCGGTTCTAGTAAAAATACAAAAATTAGCTGGGCTGGGTGGCACACGCCTGTAATCCCAGCTACTCAGGAGGCTAAGGCAGGAGAATTGCTTGAACCCAGGAGGCAGAGTTTGCAGTGAGCCAAGATCATACTACTGCACTGTAGCCTGGGCCACAGAGTGAGACTCCATCTCAAAAAAAAAACCAAGTTTTTGGTAGAACAGTGGAGTGACTATAGTTAACAATAATCTATAGAGCATTTCAAAATAGCTAGAAGAGAATAATTTGAATGTTCCTAGCATAAAGCAAAAATGAATATTTCATTTAAATATGAAAAATTGGATATCTCAGTCCCCCTGATTTGATCTTTACAAATTATATGGATGTATAACATTATCAGAAAATACATACATCTATTATGTATCAATAAAAAACTTAAAATATATAAAACACTAAAAATGTTGATGTCATAGAAGTAAAAAGTAGAATAGAGTATACTAGAGGCTGGGAAGGGTAGGAGGGATAGAGGAGAGATTTTTTAAAGATAGAAAAGTACAGCTAGGTAAGAGGAATAAGTTCTAGCGTTCTATAGCACTGTAGGATGACTACAGTTAATACATACTTTCAAACAGCTGGAAGAAAAATACTGAATGTTTCCAACACAAAGAAGTGACAGATGTTTGAGAGGATGGATAAGCTAATTTTGCTGATCTGATTACTATACATTGTATGTATTGAAACATCACTATGTACCCCATAAATGCATACAATTATTATGTGCCAGTTACAAACAATTTTTAAAGAAAAAATAAAATAAAATATGATTTTACATTTACAAAAAAAAAAAAAAATACCAAACAAACATGGTGACCCTACTTGACCTGGCTCCTGCTTCCTTCTCCAGCCTTATATTCATCCACTCTGTAGGATGCAGGATCCACTCTGTAGGACACCACATTCCAGAGGTATTTAATCACCTGACACTTCTGGAAGGCATCATGCTCTTTTATACAAATTATCTGCCTTCCAGCAATGTTCTCTCCACCTGAAGTTTTCTTTCTCACTCCTTTTCTGCTTAGAAAAGTTCTCCTCTTAGCACAGATATTGATTCCTTCAGAAAGCCTTTCCTGGCCTCAGCCATCTTAGTGCTTGCCATGGTTTGAATGTTTGTTTCCTCCAAAACTCATATTGAAATTTAATTGATATTATACAAGTATTAAGAGGTGAGACCCTTAAGAAGTGATTAAGCCATGAGGGCTTTCCTCTCATAAATGGACTTAATGCTGCTTCATGGAAATGGGTTTGTTATTGCAGGAGTGTGTTTGCTGTAAAAATGTGGTAACTTTGGCCCAGTTTGCCCTTTCTCTCCTGCCCTTCTGTCTTCCACCATGGGCTAATGCAGGAAGAAGGCCCTCACCAGATGCTGGCGACTTGGCCTTGGACTTCCCAGCCTCCAGAATGGTGAAGAAATAGATTTCTGTTCTTTATAAAGTACCTAGTCTCAGATTTTTTGTTATAGCAGCACAAACAGACTAAGAAAGTGCTCCCAAGGAAAACTGCACTTTCCTCTTTGCTAATCTCTTGTCATATCATGCAGTGATTTACTGTTTGGTAGCTATCTAAATTCTGAGTTTTTGATGGTAAAGACCATTGCCTTTTGTCTCTGTGTCCCTGTTTCTTAGCCTGCCACCCCACCAAATGGGACTGCAGTAATTTGCTATTGGCTGAATGAAGTAAGAGCAAAGAACACTTAGCCATTTATAGCACTAATTATTTCAAAATTCTACTTTAAAACTTTTTTTTGTGATTTATTATTTTTATGGCTGTTTGATTCTAAATTCTACTCTTCCCTCACATCATTGTGTGGTCCATTTCAGATCTGTACAGTTCTTGGAGGCAGTGGTGATAACAGTAACACACAATACTGCCTTCTTTCTTCTTATCTTGGATAATTTATCCAAATTGATATTTCTGGATCAAAGAGTATATATATATATATATATATATATATATATATATATATATATTCTCTTTTTTTTTTTTTTTTTTGAGACAGAGTTTCGCTCTTGTTGCCTAGGCTGGAGTGCGATGGCATGATCTCGGCTCACTGCAACCTCCGCCTCCAGGGTTCAAGTGATTCTCCTGCCTCAGCCTCCTGAGTAGCGGGGATTACAGGCATGCACCACCATGCCCGGCTAACTTTGTATTTTTAGTAGAGACAGAGTTTCTCCATGTTGGTCAGGCTGGTCTCGAGCTCCCGACCTCAGGTGATCTGCCTGCCTCAGCCTCCCAAAGTGCTGGGATTACAGGCGTGAGTCACACGCCCGGCTCAAAGACTATATATTCTTTCATGACTCTTTTCACCATTTGCTAAATTGTTTTCTGCAAAGATGTGCCACTTTATAGTGCCACCATCATATCTATTTTTTCCTCAACTTTCCTGATGGAGTTTTGCCATTTGAAAAAAAGAATAAATTAATAGATATAATTTTATTATTTCAGTAGATAAAAAGTAGATGTTCAGAATGTTTTAGTGTGTATTTTTATAACTATTAGTAAGAAAGAGAATTTTCCTGTGTTTCTTATTCACATTTTTCTTATATCAATTACCCACAAATATGAAGAGAAATAACTTTGAAGGCAGAAAAAGAGTAAATACTAATACTGAAAAAAGCTGAGATAATTGGTGGAGAGTAACCCCCAAAGTTCCTGGAGAACAGGAGATGAGTTTATTCCTGTAAAGATGGAGGAGAACAGTTTCTCCTAAGAGAAGCATAAAAGAAAATAAGATAGGTAAGGGGCAGAGATACAATAATAGAGAATATTAACTAACCTTTTTTTGAGCATTTAATGTGTAAAAATTGTGCTAATTGCTTTTCATAAATTCCTTCTTTTAATCTTCAGAACCATTCATTTCACGGATGGGGAAACTGAGGATACATGAAGTTAGGAGACATGTTCATGGACACTTAGAAAGTCCACGCAGAGCTTGAATTCAGAGTCAAGTCTGTACCCTTAACCACTATCCTGCACTTCATAGCTGAGTTGGAGGGGGAGAAGATGAGGTCTTTTTTTTGTCATCTTGATTCAGTAAAAGAGAAGGGGGAGATGCTCTTCTGAGAAGGGCCATACTGAAGGGAGTGTTCTAGGGACACGAGCTGATAGCAATTTTGGGCAGCATCCTGGTATGAATCTGGCTGGCCTGTTTCTGTGATGCTTTTTAGTAGTATTCTGGGCTTTGGGAAGAAGATCAGACAAAAGGCAGAGAGGCATGTTTAGGTTTGTGTGCTGCTGGGCTCAGCTGGAGCTAGGGAGGTGGCCCCAGCAGTGTAGTGTCAGTAGGGCAACATTAAAGTGGTTGTCAAAGTTGTCCAGGACAGACAGGGACCCACACATGGCTATGGGGATTACCTGTCTGAATTATTGATGCCACTTCTTTCACTGCTACAGCTATTATGACCATGACTCCCAACTGTCAGAAAGCATTGATTGATCACCCACATGGTGCCAGTGCCTGCAATCTCTTTGGCGTACTGGCTGTTGGGTAGGTTGAAGAGGGTTGTCGCCAGCAGTAGCTGTGTCTTTTTCATGGCTCCAGCTCCCAACACCAGCCTCTCCCGTTATGATCCTAGAGTAGCAGGTCTGTGGCTCCAGCTCCTGCCTATGTGACTGTTGTGATTACTGTTCTCGTTTAGCATATGAGAACACCAAGGTGCAGAGAGAAGTGACTTTCCCAAGAACCCCAGCTGCTAAGCGAGGAAGCTGGTATACAATCTGGGGTAGTCCGATGAGGGAACTGAGTCAAGGAACAAGTCCAGAGTCACACTGCTGGTAGGTGATAGAGTCAGAATCCCAGTGCAGGCTGTCTGAAAGGGGAGGAGTGGCAGATGAGGAGTGAGAGGGTGATCCAGATGCAGAAAGCCTCCTTATTCTTGATTTTGCTGCTCTTGGGCATGAAAGCGAAGCTAACACCTCCTGGAAGAGGAAGGCAAGAAGGGAGAGGAAGAAAGGGAGGAGGTAGAGAAGGAGGAGGAGGACCCAGGGCTTTGGCCTTGGCTTTGACTGTGTCTGAATGGGCAAATCCACACAGTGGCATCAGAGGCTCTTTGTCTCCCCAGCAGCTAGCCCCGATTAGCTTCAGGCCTCAGTCCTTCTCCAAAGCCACCACCCATCAGGGGCTGGTTCTCTTGCCCTTTGCCCGGGCTTTTGATCAGAGGGCACCAGGCACTAAAGGCACAGCTAGGAAGCTCTTCCTTAGGGATTCCTGGGACGGCTTCAAAGGTCGGAAAGCAATTTGCAGCTTTTGTGTGGAAGACCACAGGGTTTGGGGAGGGAGCGCTCCAGTTGGTGGGGAGCTAATTAGGGCCAGTAACTGGCCACTTCGCTCTCACTTGAAAGCTCTCTGGATGATGTGGTGGGGAGCACGGAGACCACTTTGTTCTCAGCAGGCAGCTGGCTGCCACTGTGTAAGTGGCAGGTTTGGGAAACGCGGTCTGGAAAGACTGGTACTTAATAACCCTCAGGAGATTTGTGAAATGGACTCTCCATGAGTGGTTGTCCTGTATTTACATTTTGCAGTATGTTGCACCAAGGCTACAGTACTCTAATGCAACATTTTTTTTTTCCGGGATGCCTTTCTATGTATGACTACTAATTATGGATCACATATACTGTTGTATCCTTATTAATAAAAGATATTCCCTCTCATCAATGAATTAACTGTTGCCATAGTGACTAATGCACTTTACAAGAGTGAAATTGGAATATTCTAAAAGCGGATCCCCTAAGGAAATGCCGGAAAAGTAAAAAGACATTTGGATTATTTATAAACCACAATTCTGCTAGGTTTTTTTGGGAGAAGGGGCACAGAAAGATATGCTATTAGACCAGTTTGGGGGCATAGAGGTTGTATGTAGAGCTATAGCCAAAGGCTTCATTTCTAAGGTTGGCGAGTCCTGATTCTAATTTTGAATTTTCTGCCTATTAGATGTGTGAGTCTACACAGGTGAGTTGCACTCTCAGTTTCAGTTTCCTCATGGGGATAATTGTGGGATGTCATAAGATTGTGAATAATAAATCAATGACTCAGCCAGTAGGCCACATAGAAAGTGTTTGGTATAGATCAGTGGTTGTTATTGTTATATAAACATTCATTAGTACTTGTTACCATCTGATTCCCACCATACTGGTCGGCAACTGGTGGTTACCAACCAGTAACCACCATAGTTCAGCCACTAGCTATCTAATTCTTCAGTCTCCCCTCTCCACCTAGTAAGCAGCATACAGAAACATTCAATTCATTCCTGTTTTGTCACCAGAAGATTGTACAGTAATTTCTGTTGCTATCCTCATTAGTGCCCATTTGGTCTTTAATTGGGACAAAAATGACTGGATAAATGTACACAGATTTGTTAAAGAATTGGATTATGTATTATAATCTAATTATGCCAGGGGCTGTTAATGATTCTTTAGGCCAGTGATGTCTTTCTTTGTGTCCTTTATGTTTTGATCTACTTTCTGCTTTTGTTCTTTTGATGTTCTTGTAGCAACCTCACAAGACCCTTCTGAATCTACCCAGGGCCTAAGTATTCTGTTGAAAGGGCTTTGTTGTCCTAACTGCAAATCCTCATAAGCTGGCATGCTTCCTTTTCCCTGGGTAGCTTTTCTGTCCTGTGCTCCTTAAGCAACAGCGTTTACAGAGTGAATTTGTGCATAGTGAGCAGCAAGGCATAGCTATTTCATGGTCTTGCCTTTTCAAGTATTATGCATTGTAGTCTTGAATAAATGGGGTAAGTACAATTCAATACTTACTGGAGAGCATTTATGGTCTATCAGGTACTCTGCTCCTTGGTTTATGGGTATTAATAAACAATAATTTGGTTTAATTAACACAAAATTCTGAAAGGTAGGAAATAGTGGGGTCAAAACACTGGAACTGGAATTCTGGTTCTATTTACACTTGATCCTTGAACAACATGGGTTTGAACTGGGAGGGTCCACTTATACACAGATTATTTGCCATTAATGCAGTTGGCCCTCGGTATTGGCATGTTCCGCATCTGCAACCAAACCTGAGGCTGGAAGATTCCACATTTACAGGATTCAAAACTTGCTTATACAGAGGACTGGCTGTTCCTTTCCTATCCTCAAGTTCCGAAGGACCTACTGTGACACTTGAGTATGCGTGCACTGTGGTATGTGCAGGTGGTCCTAAAACCAATCCCCCAAGGATACTGAGAGATGACTATACTAGCTTTGTGATGATGCACAAGTCACTATGGCCTCAGTTTCCTCATCTTTAAAATGCCAATCCTGATAATTGCTTTAGGGGATTATTGAGAGAATAAGTGAGATGTCATATTTAAAAATGCAGATCAGGTAAAATAAATGTGACTTATTTTCCTCTATTTAACATTCTGTTGAATAAGTTCTGCAGGTATTTATCCCTCGAAAAACTGTCCTGCATTTGTGTGTTTTTGTTTTTGGCTTCCTTTGTCTCCTTTTTCACCCACTCTGACATATCCCCTTTGTCCATTCGGCCATAGAGCCTGAACTGAAGTCCACGTGTGCCTTCTGTGGTTTTGCTTCTTAGCGGTTTGTTCCTGAACTTCCTGTTTGTTTCCTTTAGGAAAACTCCTTTAGTTTAGGTGAAAAAAAAAAAAGGATTGATTTCCTCATAAAGCTTTCCTAGGAAGACCTATCCCCAGGCAGTTTTAGAATTTTAGCGTTTACATTTAGGTCTATTATCCATTTTTCTCTGAGTTACTTAGTTATGGTGTGAGATAAGGGTTTAAGGTGTCTTACTCTTTTATTTCTTATGAATGCCCTTCACCATTGAATTGCCTTGGAAACATGGAAAATAATTGACCCTGAGTAGGGTTAATTTCTGGACCTTTTTGTTCCTTGGTCTCTAATTATATTTTTATGTCAATATCATACTGTCTTGATTACTGTACCTTTATAATATGTTTTGAAATTGGGTAGTGTGTAGCCTGAAAAATGGTCCTCCAAAAGATATTCATATCCTAATCCCTAGAACCTATTTATGTTATCTTATATGGCAAAAAAAAGGGTCTTTGCAGACATGATTAATTTGAGGGTTTTAAGATGGAGGAGATTATCTGGATTTTCTGGAATGACTTTAAATGCAATTATAATTATCCTTATGAAAAGGAGGCAGAGGGAGATTTCACACACATACATATGTGTACACACACATAGACACACACACATACATGTACACAGAAGGCGATGTGAAAATGGAGCAAAGTGAGATCTAAAGATGTTGACCTTGAAGATTTGAGTGATTTGGTCACAAATCAAGGAATGGCAGCAGCCACCAGAAACTAGAAGAGGCAAAAAATACAGATTCTTTTCTAGAGCCTCCACCCTGCTGATACCTTGATTTCGGCCAAGTGATACTGATTTCAAGTTTCTGGTCTTCAGAACTGAGAGAAAATACATTTCTGCTGTTTTAAGCCACCACATTTGTGGTTATTTGTTACAGGAGCCATAAGAAACTAAACTACGTAGTACAAGCTTTCAAGATTTTCGTCTTTGGCTTTTAGCAGTTTGATTTTGACATGTTTAGATGTGGATCTATTTGTGTTTATTATATTTCTGGTTGTTGAGCTTCTTGGATCCCCAGATTAATATTTTTTATAAAATTTGGAAAGCTTTGGCTATTATTTTAAAAAGGTATTTTTTCCACTCTTTTCTCTCTCCTCTCCTTCTGAGACTCATATTACATGTATGTTGGTATACTTGATGGTGTCCCAGAGGTCTCTGAGACTGTGTTTATTTCTTCTTCAATCTTTTTTTCTTCTGATTGGGTAATTTCTACTGATTTACATGTAAGTTCACGATTATTTCTTCTGCTGTTTTAAATATGATGTTGAGCCCATATGGTGAATGTTTTATTCCAGCTACTGTACTTTTCAACTGTAGAACTTCTTTTTGATTCTTTTAAAAAGAGTTTCTATTTCTCTATTGATATTTCTTATTTTGAATCATTGTCAAAATATTTTCATTTAATTCTTTAAACAAAATTTCCTGTAATTGTTTGAACATACTTCTAATAGCTACTTTGTAGTCTTTGTCTACTAAATCCAATATCTAGATCTCCTCAAGAGTGTTTTATTGAAGAATGGGTATGTGCTTTGGGTAGGGAGGAAAGTTTTGGTAATACAAGGAAGGTTGGAGAGAGCTGGCCTCATGCAATGCCAGGGTGTACTCAGGGAAGGAAACTGAAAGGCACATCAGAGGCAGAGTCAACAGATTTAAAGAATATTAATTTTCTGACATTCTAAGTGCTGCATATTTGATAATTATCCTGTTTCATATTGTTCTCCAGAGGTTTGTGTTATGGTTTTGTTTTCTCCCAGATTAAAACTTTTGTCAAAGATAGGGCCTATTTTATTTTTCTTTAATGTATTCCTCAATGTCTAACCTACTGCTATAATTGTGGTGGCACTTTAATTTACATTTATCAACTTGATTTAAATAGCATAAGTCTGTCTTGAAATTCTGATCTTGCTTCCAACTTGCTTTGTAGCCTCAGAAAAATCAAATTGCTTTTCTAGTCTTTACTCTTTTCATCTTGTCAATGGGAACAATAATTATAGAGTAATAATGTTAATAGGAATAATGACTCATTTTGCAACAGGAATGTGATAAAGAATAATAGATAAGCCTGAGGTGAATATAATTGGCAAACTTTAAATGTACTCTGAATGATACCCTAAGTTCTTCCAAGGATAGGCTTACAAAGGGTGTTACATACAGATTATTTTCCATCTTTGCATCACTAGGATGGTAAGAGCAGATATCTGACCTCATCATGTTTCCAAAAATGCCTAATGGTTTTCAAAAAGCTGTGTGTTATGTGTGGGAATGCCCATTTCAAATAGAGGCAATAAACCACAAGTTGGTCTTCAATATCTTTAAAAAAAAAAAGCAAGTAGACTTTAAGTTCGCACAAAATTAACACATCCATTATTTTTCACAGTGAGACCTGAAGGGGGTTGTTTTTTTGTTTTGCTTTGTAGATATGCTCTCAAGGCATTGAGAAGACCCTTTTTAGAAGTGAGAAAAAGCCAGTCTGTAATGGCATTGGGATCTTCACAAGTTTTATGTCAAATGAAACTTGTTTTCTCCACATTACTGGTTGTAGCAGTCACAACTTCATAAAATAATCTCAGATGCAAGTGAAATATGAAATTCACTAGGTGTCCTGAGCAAGCTCTTGAGGGTCAGAAAGCACTGAGATGTGGTAGAAATGCCCCAAATAGACATAGTATCCAGACTTAACTCTAGGCTCTTTCTGGCCAACTATACCTGTGACTCCATTTTCTTCTCTCTCAGAGAAGCATAAGTCTATTAAGCCTTATGTTAGTTATTAACATATGTTAGTTATTACTAACTAACATACTAACTTATTAACATACTAACATATTAACTAACATACTAACATATTAACATAACTAACATATGGTACACTTATTTTAAAATAATTATCTTTTTATATTTTTTAGGGCTCAATAACCTGGAATAAAATGAAAAAATAAATAAAAATAAATTCATTTCCTTTGGTCAAATCCAGTGATGTACTGAATGGTAAGAAGTAGAACTAAGGCTCCTGAATGGAAAGATACTAGTCATGCCAGACAGTCTAGCCTTTTGTAGAAATATTTTAAAGTATGGATAACCTCTGTCTGCCCAAACTGTAGTTTGGAACATAAAAGGGAAGACAGGCCAAGCCATTCCAGTCCTTGGCTGCTAAAGCCTGTGACTGCTGCTGCCAGGCATCTTCCAGGCTTGGTGTCAGCTCCAGCTGGAGCTGAGATGTTTCCCTCTATACAACCGCAGGTGGTTATATAATTAGCAGTATACACTTGTAGGGCTGTAAAGAGAAGTCTGGTAACAAATCCATCCTTGGTGCACATCTGTTGGGTGTTACAATTGACTGGAAAATGGTCTGTTCTTGAAATAAATAGATCAAAACACTTTTTTTTTATTTCTGAAAATTAAAAAAAATTTTCTTAACTTTTAAGTTCAGGGGTACATATGCAGGTTTGTTACATAGGTAAACTTGTATCACGGGGGTTTGTTGTACAGATTATTTCATTACTCAGGTATTAAGCCTAGTACCCATTAGTTATTTTTTCCTGATTCCCTCCATCCTCCTGCCATTCAGCCTCTGATAGGCCCCAGTGTGTGTCGTTCCCCTCTGTGTGTCCATGTGTTATCATCATTTCACTCCCACTTATAAATGAGAACATGTGGTATTTGGTTTTCTGTCCCTGTGTTAGTTTGCTAAGGATAAGGGCCTCCAGCTCCATCCATGTGCCTGAAAAGGACACAGTCTTATTCTTTTTTATGGCTGCATAGTATTCCAAGGTGTATATGTACCACATTTTCTTTATCCAGTCTACCATTGATGAGAATTTAGGTTGATTCCTGGAAGACAGTGTGGCGATTCCTCAAAGACCTAAAGACAGAAATTCGACCAAGAAATCCCATTACCAATAACCAAAGGAATATAAATCATTCTGTTATAAAGACGCATGCATGGGTATGTTCATTGCAACATTATTCACTTTTGTATTTTAAATATTCTGAGGTTGATTATTTAGGCAAAGTCACCACTGAAGCCTAAATGACTGAAATGGCAGTGACAAGCAAGCTTGAAGTGTATCTATATCCTCTGCTATCCACTCAGTTTGAGCATTTTCTGCATCTTTCAGAAGCCTTCTGGAGCCACAGATGCCCTCTGGACGGGTCACTTTGCAAGAGAACCTGTTGCACTTCCTATCTTCTGCCTTGTACTAAGGAATCTGATCTTGTCATAGTATTTGACTTATTTCTCACCCCTCTCGACCATGTGGATACACATTTCCATTTACATACCTGCCAAAAGTGTGGACATACTTGGACATACTTCCAATTGGATGCCACTCAAATAAAAGACAATTTATTACTTTTAACCAAAAATTCATTTATTCAAAAGCTGTACCAAAGATATCAGTGAAAATAAAGTCCCAGCTTAGCAGAGAATCAAAGTTCTATTAAGCACCTCTCTTTTCTCTGCACAGTTATTGATTTCCATAGCGCATGCAAGAAAGAGAACTTGGAATCCAGACTTTGATCCCAAATTAATATATGTGTTAGGATGGGAGAGGTATATTTCGGTCCTCCACATGCTCTTCAGTATCTGACTGTTTAACTTGTTCAGAACTAGGTGAAGAAGAGAGGTGTTGGGTGCTCCCTGAAAACTCCCAACAAGGTTGTTTTAATTTCTCTGCTACTAGTGACTTCTCCAGTCTCGGTTTAGGTCCTCTTTATAGTTTTAGCTAAACTGAAAATGACTAAAACTGGAAGTGACCATAAACTAAAAATAACCCTTAATCTTTATTTCATGGTCACTTTTCTCACACAGTAAATGGCTCTTCCAATCACCAGCTAGCAAAAAGCTAGCTGGACATCAGGAGTGAAGGGTCATGTTGGCTATGGGCTGTGGTTCTATTAATTGTCATCCAAATGGGCACGGAATTTAAAATTAAAATTTTCTTAAAAGCCTGGAAAGGCCCAGAGTAACAACACAGCCCCTGTTTTTTAACATGTGCTGAGGTGTCCTCCTAATGGTTTTCAGGACTGAGAACAAAACCCCTTATCAGGATAAAGGGCAGGATTGACATGTCATCCAGGGCATGGACAGAGGCAGAAACCAGATCTTCGTGTGTGCATGTGTCTGTGCATTAATCATCCACAGCATGCTTTGTGGACCACCATACCTAAGAAGGTTTTGCAAACTATCTGGCAAGATGAGATAATGTGTTTCCACATTTAGCATTTTGGCTCTCCAGGCATCAGAACTTTGTAGCTTTAACTCAAAAGCTTATCACTATAGAAATAAAAATAATTTAAGTTTCCAATAGTAAGGGGAAGAAGACTTCTTAAAAGTCTCTTATGAAGCAGAATAATAAGTGAAAAGTAAGAGAAATGAGACTGGTTGGATTTTTACACTTTACAAAGTCAGAAGAGGGAATTTTCTGAATGCCTTTTGCCAACAGCAAGTCCTTGAAACTCAGCTCAAGATTTGAGCAAAGCTAGATTGGCTTGTCTCTAATTTAGGATAGAAAAGAGAAAAAATGAAAAAGTTAAACCCCAGGGACCCAAGGGAAATTTCTAAAAGCTTCTTATATTTTGATACTGTGTTCCTGGTTTTAATCCTCTTTTCGAATCTAGTTAGTTCATGGCTGCCAGATTAATCTTCCTGAAATATCATTTTGTATACGACACTTTCCATGCTCGGAAATTTACAAGAGTGGTTTATTTTCCCCAGGAGGGGATAAAAGTTAGTAGCCTGGCATTCGAAGGCCATTTGTGCTGGCCTCTGCCCACCTGCCAGACTCTTCCTCCACAGCTACAGCCATAGGATTCTCCCTGGTCTTTTTCTGAGCATCCCATGCACATTCTCCTTTCTTGTTTTTTCCTTACATGTGGTTGTCAAACTCTGGTATGCATGAGAATTACTTTAAATGCTTGTTAAAAATACCAACATCACCATCATCCTATTCTACCAAATAGGATAGACTGTTTACACTCAGCTCTGCTTGTTAAGTCTTAG
Organism: Homo sapiens; assembly: GCF_000001405.40. Lineage (NCBI taxonomy): Eukaryota > Metazoa > Chordata > Mammalia > Primates > Hominidae > Homo > Homo sapiens. Next base: position 125,777,094 of record NC_000008.11, read on the forward strand.
TCTTCTTCTTAGCCAAGCCTAGGTTCAGAGTTGCCAGAAGCCCAGCTTAGATAAGAACTTTGAAAAGAGAAAGGCATCCTAGGCAGGGGGAGAAACCAGGCAAAACTGGAAATGTTTGGAAACCATCAGTCAAAATTTGGATTAGCAGATTGAGTCTAAATGACTTAGCATTGCCTAATGTGACTGCACGGAGGAATTCTAATGCCTTTTATTGAAAAGGTGCCTGTTTCAAGGCTGGAGAGAATTGAGTCTAAGTCCTCACTTATTTGCTGATACTGGGCTGGCTTGGACAAGTGCCTTGTTTCTCTGACATCTACTTCATTCACTTGGAAAATGGACTACATGTTTTCTTTATTGTAGAGGTAAGATGTTATAACGTGTGCAATGCATTTGGCACATAGTGGGTACTTAATAAATGTTGGCTCCCTTCACTTCTGTCTGGGTGGCTGAGACAGGCTGAAGAGCCAGCTGCTGTGACACAGTGGCGAATTCCCATTTTCAGCTAACGACTCCTGCATTTCTACGTGTAAGAATTTCCTCTCTGAGACATGCTTTTCATGTCCGTGTGCTAGGCTGGACATACCAGAGAATTAATCCTCTTCAGGAACAGCTCTCAACCAATGACTAATGGGAATGGTTGTAACTCAGCTTCCTCATCCCTTGGGTGTGATAACTCAGAGTGACTGCATGGGATTAAACTCCAGGCAGCTGTAGTGGTAGCTGGCTTAAGAATTGGCCAATTAAAGATAAACTCTTAACTGACTGCCTTCTCTCCCTTGTGTCATCCACTCCCCAACTAGTCTTTATTTCACCTCTCAAATAAACTAATTGTTTCCTCATGCCCATCTCAGGGACTGCTTCTTTTGAAAGAATGCAAACTGAAACAGACTGTTAGTCTGCTTTCCTCTTCACAACTTCTCCCAGTAGAGCTGGTCTAGCAGCTCCCAAATGTTTTATGAATCTGGGTGGCAGAATAGGTATATAATCTCAGTCTTTATAAGCCATGTTGTCATCGTGGAACACAAGAAATGTGACAGTGGCAATAACACGCTACATCTCAGTCACCCTAATGTATAAACTAATACAACAGTTGGGTACATTCCATGTCTCTGATATTAAATGATGACTGAATTATTGATAACCAGTTCCACACGCCCTTGAATCAAATATTCATATAGCAATATCTTGCATGTGGCAACTGGATTCCTTCTGAATGATTTTTATCACTCAGAAACCTGCCCACATCTTTCCCCTCATACAAGATGAATTGGTTGCATTCCAGAAAGATAACTTGTGGAGATGAGATGTTTAAACATTGACTGTTGTGTTCTATCATAGTTGACACACAGCAGGGTTTTCCTGGGACAAGTGTCAAGCACCAAAGAAAGATATCAATGGTCTGAGACTTTCATTAGGGTCTATTACAGAGTTTGTTTTTGCTGGCCTATTTCATGATAATCTTGAAATGGGAAACACAAAACTCAGGCATGGAAGAACTGGAATGGGCTTTCCATTAGCACATTTGCTGCACATTTATATTTACTATATGGTTGCAAGAATTTCTGTTTATGTAATCTCACACTTCTCTGGATTCTTGTAGCACTTTTAGTCTGTATTGCTCTTAGGCACTTATATAAGTCTTGTATTACACATTTATTGGTGTATGTCTTCTCTTTTCTATTGGATCATATTCTCCTTGAAATCATGGTATTCAGTGTTTTTGACATTGAGATGTTTTCTCCCCTAGGTCCTTATATCTTACCTATTCTTGCATTCTCAGCACTTAGTTAAGAATCTAAAATATTGTAGGTGCTTCATAAATGCTTGTTGAATGACAACATTTGACACCAAATGCATGCAATATTGATACCTCAGATACAAAAGACCTATCATCTCAGTAAGGTTTGTGTGCCATGGGGTGCATAGTTTGTATCCTCATTATCTGTCTTCTGGATCTAGTCTCTTTAAAGATTTCTGAAGAAAAAATTATGCTAAGAGATCTCTTTGGAAGACGTTAAAAGGGCATGTTAGCTTTTATTAATTTTGTTAATGTTGCAGACACTCAGTGCCATACCTTGTCATTCAATAGCATTTATGGAAACTTATTATGGTTTGGGCTCTTTACTGGCTTCTTGGAATATTTAGTTTTTCAAAACATTTTGCCACTCATTGCTATGTGCATTTTGATAATTACAAGTCATTGATGAACATGCACAAGGGTCATAAATAATTATACAATTTTTATAGTGTGTTGTAAAGATAGGAATTAGCTGGTGATACCATTACTGAAAAAATATGCTTTTATTTTATGTAAAATATAAAATTAAAAAAATAACACTGACCAATTTCCAGATACTAGCCACTATGATGTAATGAATTAACTGTGCCAAGCAAATACTGACTCATGTAAACACTTGCAACAATCCTATGAAGTATGTATTGTCTTCCTTTTATTTTCCCAATAAGCGAACTTACCTGGGGCCAGACACAGAGCCAGGAAGTAGCATATTTGGGATAGAATACAGGAAATCTGACTCCAAAATTTGCTCACTTAACCAGTGTAATGCTGTTTCTCATAGCTAGTTGTTTCTCATTTTATTTTGGCTGCCAGGATGTTTAGAGACAAATTTATCATTGAACTTTACATTTACATTTAACTTTGACTTGAATTTCTTGGCATTTGTTTTCCTTTTGATCTCATCTTCCTCTATTTTGCTGTTGCCTTGATTTTTGAAAATTTCTATTTTTTAAATCTTATTGCTTTATATGTGTGGGTGACAACAATATCATTGGCTATAACGCAACTTTCATTATTGATATCATTAGGCAGAAGATATCCGGTAATTCTATAGCCAGTCACTTTCTTAGGAAATGATGATCTGGATAGGTGAAGTAACTTGTTCTGGTTCACATAGCTATTGAGTGGTCACTCTGTTGGAAGAATCCATCTCCCCTTGCTTCTGATCTAATGTATGGTTTTCTTTTTTTTTTATTATTATTATACTTTAAGTTCTAGGGTACATGTACACAACGTGCAGGTTTGTTACGTATGTATACATGTGCCATGTTGGTGTGCTGCACCCATTAACTCATCATTTGCATTAGGAGATATACCTAATGTATGGTTTTCTGCCACACCGTACTGTCCCACGTCATTTCATGCTCATTTATGACAAAAGATCATTTCTCAATCATTTCCTATGTTTTCTTCACTTCCTAGAATATATTTAATCTTATATCTTAAGAAATAATTTAGTGTATTAAGAAAGTTATGGCCCCAGAAGTCAGGAATCCCTGTGACACTAGAAAAATTATGGAAATTCTTTGGGCTTTGTTTCTCTCACTTATATTGATCAATATGCTAATGTCTGAGGCGCTTTTTGTACATGGATGTAAATACTCACTAACATTTATAATTTATTTCACATGCAATTTATTAAGCTCATATATCTAAGAATTAAACTTTGAAAAAAATTCATGAATATTAAAATTACTGATTTAAATTTTGATCAATTAAATTCTCTCAAATAATTGATTGCAACTTCCAATTTAGTATAACATTCTTTTAAATGCTGCACACAAATTAAACTGCAGGCAAAACACAAACAGAATAATTATAAAATACTTTATTATACCTATATTCAAACCTATTCTAACTCTTCATTATAGTTTCAATGGATTTTCTTGTTAGCTTTATACAGATGCTCCTCGACTTACAATGGAATTATGTCCTGATAAACCCACTGTAGGTAGAAAATATTGTAAGTTAAAATGCATTTAATACATATAACCTACAAAACATCATAGCTTAGCCTAGCCTAGCTTAAATGTGCTGTAACACATTAGTCTACAGTTGGGCAAAATCATCTAACACAGTGCCTATTTTTATAACAGTGTTGCATATCTCATGCAATTTATTGAGTACTGTACTGAAAGTGAAAACTAGAATGGTTGTAAGGGTACTTGAAGTACAGTTTCTACTGAATGGGTATTGCTTTTGCACCATTGTAAAGTAAAAAAGTCTTAAGTCAAACCATCGTAAAGTTGAAAAGTCCTAAATTGAAGCATTGTAAGTCAGGGGCTATCTGTATTTTGTTTTATATTTTCTAAGGGTTATTTATTCATGTAGTTGGGGTATCTCTGGACCTTCATTAATAATAATTTGGAATATAGGAAAGCAGTAATCTTACCAGATGCCAAAGAAAAAGAATATATTTGTGGACTATTTAAGATTTCAGTACTTAGGTTTTAGGTCAGTTGATCCTCAGTCAAGAGCACAAGAACGTCTGGCTTGCCCAAGGCCATTCAAATATACGTCACCGACCAGTAGAGATAAACTTATGCTAATAAGGCTTTTTAGATGCACCCCTTCCATATTTGCAATTTGGTATTTCCCTACAAAATGATGTACATATTTTTCTTTAATTTTTATTTTATTGTATTTTTTCTCTATTAAACTTTATTGAGATGTAATTTATGTACAAAAATGCATCCATTTTAAGTGTACAGTTTAATGAATTTTCACAAATAAATACTACTTTATGTAAACAACAACACAACCAATACACACAATATTTCCATTATCACACAAATTTCCCTCGTGCCTTTTGCTGGTGAAACCCCCCCATGACCCCAGACCTGACCCCTGCAACCACTGATCTGAATTTTTACTTTTTTAGAGTTTTGAATAAGCAAGGTCATATAATATGTATTCATTTCTATCTGTATTCTTTTGCTCAGCAAAATATTTTTGAGATTATTTCATGTTGTGTATATCAGTAACTTATTACTTTTTATTGCTGAGGCATAGTAGTAATAGTAGTTGTATTAATAACAGATACACGACTTGTTTATCTACTCACCAGTCGATGAACATCTGGGATGTTTGCAGTTTTGGGTGATTGCAAATAAAGGTGCTATGTACATTAGCATACAGACCTCTGGGTGAATATACATTTTCATATTTCTTTACCAAAGGGGTGAAATTTCTGGGTTCTATGGTTAAGCGTATATTTAACATTTTAATAAACTACACAAATTTTTAAAGTGGTTTTACCATTTTATTTTCCCAACATCAGCATAAGAGGGTTCTAGTGGCTCCACGTTTGTGAAAACTTTGGCACTGTCAGTTTTTCTTTTTAAATTTCAACTATTCTACTTGGTGTTCAGTAGTTCCTCATTGTAACTTTAATCTACAATTCCCTGATAATTAATGATGGTGACCACTTCTTCATATGATCATTGCCCATTCATGTATTTTTCCTGGTAAAGCGTCTATTTCATTTTTTGCCTATTGAAAAAGATGGTTTTTTTTTTCTGTTTTCTTATAGAGTTGTAAGAGTCTTAAGATATATTTTGGATATAAGGGCTTTTTCAGATACATATTGGGAATATTTGTGTGGGGAATATTTTCTCTCAGTCTGCTGTGTGCCTTTTCTTATTTGAAAAAAACAGAAGTTTTAATTATGCTGGGATTCAGTTTTATATCTTTAAATCCATTGACCTTTTCTTCTCCAGTATCTACTATGCTATTAGTTTCATCTAGTTTAATATTTAGTTTTATTATTTTATTTTTGACCTCTAGAAGTTCCATTTGGTTATTTTTATTATATCTTCCACTTTTTTTCTTCTTATGCTCATCTTTTTCAATTACATCCTTGAGGATATGAAGAAACATATTTACAATAGCTGTTCTTAATGTCCTGTCTGCTGATTCTATCATTGCTGCCATTATATGTCTGTTTCAACTGGCTGACATTTTTCCAGTTATGCATTACAATTTTCTGTTTTTTGGTATGTCTATTTTTTTAATTGAACACAACGTGTACTGAATGTTGTAAATTTTATGTTTTTGATGGCTGAATTTTGTTATACTTAAAGAATGTTAGGTTTTCTTCTGTCAGAAAGTTAAGTTACTTGTAGATCGGTTGATTCTTTCAAGATTTGTTTAAAAGGTACTTTAGGGTACATCTAGAATTACTATTACTTCATGGCTAATTTATCCTCACTTCTGATGCACGAGCTTCTGAAAACTCTACAGATAGATTACCTCTTCTATTCACTGAGGTCTCTCTCCATTGGCTAGTGGAATCTCTAATGATTCTTGGCCCTATGTGAGCTCCTGGAATTTTTTGACTTACAGCTGTTGAATAATATTTTTTTCCTTGAAAGCTGTTCCTTGCCCGGCCTCATGAAGTTTTACCCTATGCATGTGTAGACTGGTATTAAGCCGAGGACTCAAGTATTATATGGACTTCTGCAATTCTTTTTCTGCATAGATTTCTCCTGTTAGGTAAGCTGCCCCACCAATTCTAATCACTTTGGCTTCCCTGAACTCTGAATCTGTCTCTACACCTTTGCAAGATTGTTGTGTTCTGTATGGATTTTCCTCCCTTGTGCCACAGTTTTAGAAATTACTTGTAGGCAGAAAGCCTGGATGATGGTAGGGCTCATATTTGTTTTTACTTTTCCAGAGATTACAATCCATTATGCATGTTATCCAATAAGAGTTTTCTCTTATATTCCAGTTTTCTTGTTTCTTTTTGTAAATAGTGTGAAGGTAATTTCAGACTCTTTTACTTCCTCATGGATAGAAACAGAAGTCATGATGTATATTTAATATCTCACTTGGCCTGTGTTGCATAACATATTGACTTTTGCGATATATTAACCTGGTCTATTTGCATTATTAAAAATGTATGTCATCAATATGTGTTTTATAGTGTTTAATTAAATTTCAAACATTTGTTCTTAGAGATGAGAAAATGAGTTTGCATAGTTAATAATCCTCTTTAAGAATGTAAGCCTTATTTATAATTTTGGAACATATTTCAAGCTGCTTTTATACTTGGTTACTGTATATATTCTCTAGGAGTATTTTTCTCAACCTGTTCATTGTATTCATTTTTTTCACCCTACAAAGAGAAATAGCACAGATTGAAACTTTATAAATAGACTTGTACTGAATAGAAGAAACAAAATATGCATATATGTCTGTACTCTAAACTTCCTAAAAAGAAGTAAAATTAAATATACCTTATTATATTCACCATTCTTTTATTTTTACACCTGCATTAAAAATACTTTATGTTTAAATTCATTTTTTGGGATATCATTATGAACTAATGGGCTTTCACGGGTACAAACTGTTTCAATTAACCATAAAACTTTAATGCTTATTTGGGATGCTGAAATTTTCACAGGTTGGTGGTGCTAGACCCTCTAATTAGAATCTTTTATTCTTTAGGCAGTGTTCCATAATTACTTTTAAGCTCCACTCATTATTTCTTCTCCAGACTTGCCCAAATGTGTAATATGGAGTGAATAAAAGCCTTCAGTGTTTTTCCTTTGTGAGTCTTTGAATATAATTTCGAGTGTTTCAAAGAGTTGATTATGCTCCCATTACTATTGCTGTAACTCGTGGTAACGTCTCCCGCCTTGCTATCCTCCACTCCTGTTTTCCATAATTGTGCTGGCTTATTCTCCATTTGATGCTTATCCCCATGCCCGCTAATTCATTTTCTATTTTTGCGTTTCCTGCTCAGCTCTCTGTGTGCTGGTGATATGGAAGGGGGGCAGGGAAGTCGTGGGAAAGGAAGGGCATGGTCCCCGGTGAGGGCTCCTCCCCGGCCTGTGCCCATGGACTTAGGTGAGGACAGGCACTCCTGCCTTTGTGCCCAAATGTTGCATTTCTCAAGACCCCATGCTGTGCCTATAAAAATCCCGAGACCCTAGCAGGCTGACATACAGGCAGCTGGATGTCGACAGGAGCACATCAGCAGAGGAACACATGGGCGGCTGGATGTCGAGAGGAACTCACCAGCATAGGAGCACACTGGCATGTTGGTAGGCCATCTACCAAGAAAATGACTTGGAGTTTGGCCAGGGCAGTCAGAGGAGAGCCCGGGCTGCTGAGTGGCCCGACTCCAGGGGAAAACCATCTCCCTTCTTGCTCCCCCATCTGCTGAGAGCTACTTCCACTCAATAAAACCTTGCACTCATTCTCCAAGACCACGTGTGATCTGATTCTTCTGGTACACCAAGGCAAGAACCCCGGGATATAGAAAGCCCTCTGTCCTTGTGATAAGGCAAGGGTCTAATGGAGCTGACTCACGCAAGCCACCTACGGACGGCTATATTAAAAGAGCACCCTGTAACACATGCCCACTGGGGCTTCATCTGTAAATATCCAACCCTAGACACTTATGTGGGGTCGGAATCCCACAGCCTGCCCATTTGTATGCTCCCCTAGAGGTATGAGCAGCGGGACACTGAAGAAGTGAGCCACACCCTCATTGCACGTCCTGCTAGGGGACAAGGGAACTTTTCTTGTTTCACTGGAGACTGATGTGTTTGGACTATATTAAGAGCTTTGTTGGTTCCCTGGTTTATGGTTTGACTTGGCCAATGGAAGACATCATCTGGAGATTGGGGTGTTTGGAGGGTTTGAGGAGAGAGGATTTGGGATACTTACACTCCTGCCCCTCCCTGTTTCAGTGTTGCAATTTGGTAGTGGTGGCATCTTTTGACACTAGAATTCCTGCAGAGAGTTTTCTTCTCTCTCCTTCTGTGCTCACCAGACTACGGTAACAGTATTTCCTCCCACTGTCCTTTCCTCGCAGGGTAATGACTTATCGCTATTGCTAGTCTCCGAGTGCCTCCACATCATTAATTCCCTTATTTTTATCAATGGTCATAAATTATCTTTTGTTAAATCCTTTTGAGTAGAATTCCATTTCCTGCCTGGACACTAATGCAGTGATTATTACAAAGTCCTCACGTTACTGTTGGCAAAGCTTGAGCTCTCAACTTAGAGCAGACAGGGCTCTTGTGTTGTTTAATAAGTGTTGATAAACCAAAATGTGGTGAGGATACGTGGTTCACCTTCTACTCTTGGAAATATTAGAGTTACAATGAGTGTTACTCTGAAGGAGGATGGACTTTAATGCATCTAATAAGCAGCTTCTTACCATCTATCTAATCACTCTGCTTCTGAAACAAGAAAATAAAAATACAGCAGGATATCTCAATTTCAGACTTTTGTGAACCTGAAGTTACTTTTATTACTTTTCAGCTCTTGACAGTGGTTTTTAATCTTAATTCTTCAGATAGGAAAGCGGAAAGTCACTAGGATCTCACAGGCTGAAGATAAAAGATAAAGGGTTGCTAAAATCAGAGTATCAGGACAATGCCATAAAATGTTTAATTGGCCTTATTTATAAAACAAGAAATAAAGCAAACTGCTTTTTTATATCTCTGTTTTTACCCCCCGTGTTGTCATGTCCACATTCAGATCCCTTCCGTAGAGGTGGAGGTGGCTTCTATCTTCTTTAACCTGGTTTGGTCATTCAGCTTCGGATGTGGTAGCTGTGACCTGTTGGCTCCTTTAGAAGTAGAGAATGTCATGTCTACTTCCACTCCAGGATTCCCATTACTGTTTCCTTCTCATCCCTTCACTTTGGTTCTGATCTGATTCATCCCAGAATGCATGAAGCCAGCACTGAGTCATTTTGGCTGTTTGTGTCTGAGAGTTGTTTACCAAAGTGAGTGACCAAATGTTCCCCTTCTTCTGGCTCCTGGGGAGTGACTGTGGGCTCTCTTCCAAGATTGTGGCTGGGGAAAGCCAGCTTAGTCCTCTGAGAGGGCACACAAGTTGATTCCTCTAAACTTTGTATAGTGTTTTGGTAGAGGATGAGATGTGTGGATGAAGTTCTTTTATAGGGTGGTGTTGGTGTCTCTTTATAAAGGCTCATCTCTAGCTTATTTTCTGTATTTTCTAAATATTTTAACCTCTAGCAGGTAGGAAAGCTGTGACTATGGAATGTTACATTTCAAGCTTATTGTGATGGTCTGCTACATTAATGGCCCCTGTTGATCCATGCCTTCTTGTATTTATGTTCTTGGCTGGTCTCTTCTCCTTCAAAGAGGCCTAGCTTGGTGACCCTTTTAAACCAATGGAATACAGTGAAGTGGTGCCATGCAAGTTCTGGGTTTAAGTCCTAAGAAAGCCGTAAATCTCCTGCTTTTGCTTTCTTGGGACCTCTGAGCTACCACGTAGAAATTCAGATTACATTACTGGAGAAAGCATGTGGGGAAGAAACATGGAGAAGCCACATAAAAAAGAAGAGGCCTTGAGATGATACGGAGAGGGTGTGAGAGAGAATCCTAGCTATCCCAAAGTCTCCAGCTGAAGCCAGCCCCTAGCTAATTCACCAACTGAATGCAATCACAAGAATGCCTGCTAGCTAGATGAGCAAAAGAACCACTCAGCTGAGCCTAGACTGTTATGTGTAAACATTCAACATGCTACTAAATGCACAAGGGTGACAGAATGGAAACACTCACATACTACAACTTGTATCCATATGATCTAGAGCACATGCCCCTACAGACTGCTCCCTAGCTGAGCTCATTTCTCCCCTACTACCCAGTGGGCAAGTTTAAGCATGTCCCAAAGTCCAGATGCAAGGCCAGAGGCCCAGAGAGAGACCAGGGTACCCACTTTTACTTAAGGTTCCCCTTATGAGTTCTAGTTTCCTAGTTGAGCAGTTTACCCTCTGACTTCAATATTTACCATACTAAAGACAAAAAAGACTCTCTATATTAATTCAAATCTAAGGGATGGAGTGAGGTCACATTTTGTTTCACCATCACCAGTGGTTGCCCCTCTTCTTCAGAGCAGGTAGTCGTTCCTAAAGATGACAGTGCATGAGATCTTCACAAAACCCTGGGCAAGTTCTTTGTTGGCACAGTCATTAGTGCTGTTTGCTAAGGATTCTCGTTCTTCCATTTCTGGGCATAATCAAGGCTTGCACCCTCTTGTGGTCAGGTGGCCCACACACTGGAATGGAAGTGATGTGTGTTACTTCTGGGCTGGATCTTTTTAACGGAGATGTGAGACTATCCAAAGCTCTCTTGCTTTCTGCCAGAGTTGGCATTGGTGGCCACTTCATCAGTCAAGTTCCTGGGGTCAGGTGATATGGAGCAAAGCTTTCTTGCCAACTCTTAGTAGATGATGCAACATGAGCAAGAGTAATGTTTTGAACCACTGATGCTTTGGTGTTTTGGTAATCGGAGCATAACCCAGCCTATCCTGATTGACCCATTTGCTGATATAAGAGAAAGCTCTTGCTATAGAAACCCTACTCTACCTTTATCTCTCATGTTTGTCTTCGTGATTAGAGCTTTCCTTAATGGAAACCATACAGTCTTGTTTTTTATTTTTTTTTTTTTGAGACAGAGTCTTGCTCTGTCACCAGGCTGGAGTGCAGTGACGCCATCTCGGTTCACTGCAATTTCCACCTCCTGGGTTCAAGCGATTCTCCTGCCTCAGCCTCCTGAGTAGCTGGGACTACAAGTGCTCAGCTAATTTTTGTATTTCTAGTAGAGATGGGTTTTCACCATGTTGGCCAGAATGGTCTCAATCTCTTGACCTCGTGATCTGCCCACCTCGGCCTCCAAAAGTGTGGGATTACAGGTGTGAGCCACTGCGCCTGGCCTAATCTTGTCTTCTTATTGTTGACTCTCCTAATCTTATCTTCTTATTGTATATTAGGTCTAAAATACAATACAAAGGCCAAAACCTTTCAGCTAACATTTGGGGCTTTCCCACATTTTGACCCAGCCTTTTTTCCTATATGTCTCTTATCATTCATGTTAAAAAACTCTAAACCCCAACCAAGCTGGGCTATTCACAGTTTGCCATACACGTCCTGTATTTATTTTCTTCTGTTCTTAGCAAAGTGATTCAGAGCAGGTGCTTACAAGTCAGATAAGTTAGGCCCAAACTGTGGCTTCAGCTCTCATTGTGTAACCACCAGCAAGTCATTTAATCTTTCAGAGGCAGTTTCTTCTTCTGTAAACGGGAGATATAATATCTTCCTTGCAGTATTAGGATAAGAAGTAATGAGAAAATGTTTGAAGTATTTATCACAATATTTGACTCGTAGTAGGCTCTCAAAACCTGAAAGTTTAACTATACTTTCATTCATTTCTTCTGGATGGAATCTCCTAGCAGTGACCCTAACTCAGTCCTTCAAGGACAGTTTGCAGGCTTTGTCATACAACCTGTGTGTTGTTATATCCAGCCCACAATTCTTTCTTCATTGGTAGCAACTTTATATCATCTTTTATCTTCTGAGATTCCAAAATAATTATTGGCACCACTTCTAGGTCACAAATTATGACCTGACATACTCTTTAATATTTTGAATATATGTCTTTTATCATGTATTAGACTTGAAATCTTCCTGAGGTTAGAATCTGTCAGTTTCTCAATTTTGTATGTCTCACCACATCCCATACTGGTCCTATAAACCACACCATGTAAGAATTTAATAATGATTTTTTTTGATGAATAACGAATAAAAATTTGCCACATCTGTCTTGGGTCACACCACAGCCATTTTTTCATTTTACAAGTCTTTAGTTTCTACTGAATACTTTATTTACAACAGGAAGGACAGGGAGAAAGAGGCAAACTTTGGAACACCTACTGAGCTAGGTACATTACAAACATTGCCTAACTGAGTTTTCATTTTAGCCCTTTGAGGCAAGTATTTGTTAAGCCATGCATCCAGGGCCACACAGGTGGTAACTAGCAGAGCTGGTGTGTTGATGTCTAGAAGCCATGCTGTTTTCATTATAGGATATTCATTTTTGAATTAGGCTTTGTAACAATTTTTACATTGTTATTAAGCCCTCAGGCCAACTTATTTACTGTGCTGACTTTATTAAACGGGATGGAGACACTTAAATATGCAGTTCTTAAACACATTGCAATTTTTTTCTTTCAGACCTGGAGACAGCTTTCGAGATTGAGACAGGGATACTCGGGGTGACTGCTCATGGTGGGTCAATCCCTAATGAGGAGCAGCTGTCCTGAAATAACCTTGGGAGTTCATTGGAAAATCGGTTGGATTTACACAAACATCTCCCCAGGACCCCATAAGGCAACCTATAGGTTAAGCACAGTCTATAGAGGATCATTTCTTATGGCATCCATGGTCACAAAAAGAAAGTAACAAATAAACTCAGCTAAATTTGATGAGATGCAGGACAATGTTATCATATTCCCAAAGTAAGAAGAAAGGGCCTTTCCACCTGCATCACCTCCAAAATCAAATACATCTCTTGGTAGCTAATGGCTGCCATTAGAATTTGCTGAACAAATAGGATGAGAAAAGGCTTTGGGAAGTTGTGAGAAGGGGAGGGTTGGTGGGGGGAAGTGCTGTCTTATTACCCTTGGCCAGGAAATGCTGTTCATTGATTTGGTACCCAGCCACCTGCTAGGCTTGTCTCAGCCAAAATAAGGTCTAGCCAGGATGTTAATTGCAGAGGAATGCATTATTTTATTTGGGCCAAATCCAACCTGAACGTCCCAGATAAGGCCCTATGACTCTAAGGCTGTGATTTGATTCCAAATCATGCCCCCAAACTTAAAAATGATCTTTCTACTCCCATTTTGGCTTTTGCTCCTGCTTCATATGGTAGGTGGGCTCCTGTCAATCCAAGTTTGACTTCAATTCTTGTACAAACTGGCAAATTTTCCTAACCATCGAAATTTCGAAGCCATACATGAGAAAATTCCCAGGTAGAATTAATTCCTTATTTCTCTCTGTTTCTCATTAACTGATAGGTACTTTTTTGTAGCATTTTTAAAAAATTAAAATGATGGGTTAATTGCTTATGTAGTTATCTCCTTTACCTGATTTATTGAGAGACATATATAAACACACATGTACATGTATCTATTTATGTGTGTGATATATATGTATTCATCACACACATGTGTATATATATGTATCTGTTGTGTATATATATATTAATAAATATTTGTTGAATTACACTGAAATGTTGGAAAAACTTGCTTATCTAATTTGTTCTACACATTATTTCATCACCCAGGCATTAAGCCTAGTACCCATTGGTTATTTTTTCTGATCCTCTCCCTCCTCCCACCCTCCATCCTCTGATAGGTCCCAGTGTGTGTTTTCCCCTCTATGTGTCCATGAGTTATCATCATTTAGCTCTTATAAGTGAGAACATGTGGTATTTGGTTTTCTGTCCCGGTGTTAGTTTGCTAAAGATAAGGACCTTCAGCTCCATTCATGTCCCTGCAAAGGACATGATCTTATTCCTTTTAATGGCTACATTGTGTATACGTACCACATTTTTCTTTATCAAGTCTATCATTGATGGGCATTTAGGTTGATTCCATGTCTTTGTTATTTTGAATAGTCTGCATGGAGATATGTTGATAATTCTAATACCTAAGGTGGTATTAGGAGATGGGGGCTTTGGGAGGTAATTAGGTCATAAGGACAGAGGCCTCATGATGAGGATTAGTGTCCTTATAAAAGAGATTCTAAGTGACCTTACCCCTTCCAGCATGTAGGAACATAGTGAGAAGGTACCATTTATGAACAAGAAAGCAGGTCCTCACTAGACACCAAATCCGCTGGTACCTTTATCTTGGACTTCCCAGCCTCCAGAACAGAGAAATAAATTTCTATTGTTCAAGGCTGGACCGTGGCTTACGCCCATAATCCCAGCACTTTGGGAGGCCAAGGCGGGAAGATTTTTTGGGACCAGTGTTAAAGACCAGCCCTGGTGATGTAGCAAGACTCCATCTCTACAAAGAAAAAATTATATGTTCATAAGCTACCTAAAGAATTTTGTTGTAACAATCCAAACGGACTAAGACAAAGGGAGATAAGTTAATCACAGATGGGCAAATCATTCCTTCCAAATTTTGAAATACTACCAGCTATAGGAATTTACACCCATATAAACATACACATTTTACTCATTCATTCATTCATCATTCAGTAAATATGTTGACTGCCAATATGTTTATACATGCTAAATATTTGGGATAGGAGTGCTGGGTGCATGTGTGTGTGCACACGGGCTAAGATATGCAGGTATTTTTTCGTTATCTTCGAGTCACGAACTTTCTGTTTATTTAAGGGAATCCCAAATCTTGCTTTGGGCTTATCTCTGATTCTTTCATCCTGTGGTATTTTCCTCAGGAAGAAGAAAAGCGGAGGTAAGATGGTCTCAGAAAATCCACTTACATAGTTGAATGTTGCACTGAAGGTGCCGATTAGTTTGCAAAGTCAACTTCCCTTTTTAGTTAGAGCTGCTCGTACTCAGCCTCTGGAGGTGGTTGCCCTCTGTGCCTCCTAACCTGTCCCCAGCCATAGCTGACTGGACCAGGGAAAAACATGTGACCCAAGGCATACTAATATACAGGTGAAGGAAGAGACACAGAGTACATTTAATTTCCAATATCTGGAAGTCCTGTGGAGTTGGGCCTTCGGTATTGGGTTCTGTCCTGACCAAAGGAGAGAGCTAAGAGAGAATGGAGCTAATGTCACAGAGAAGCAGACATTAGTGAGACCATTAGTGAGACCATTAGTGAGACCAAATGGTTTCTGAGAGATAGAAAGAGTAGCTAAAATCTCCAACTTCCCAGCTCCACCCCTGTGACATCTGTGTTAGTTAAAGTCTTGGGTTTTCTGTGAGGCTCCCAGTTAGATCTTCTCCCTGCCCCAGCAAACAAACGAAAACAAAACAAAACAAACAAACAAACAAACAAAACACAGGTACTTTAAAATAGCTTCAGTGCATTTCTTTTCCCTGACACGAAATGACCTTTGACTTGAATAAGCATTGACTCATCTCTTCTGCAATGAGGAAACCTGTGGGACATTTCTTTGGTCCAAGAACTGTATATAGTTGGACTCATAATTAAGACTCTCTAGCCCAAGAACGATGGGGTTGGTTCCATGTTGTTATTGGTTCTAGGTGTCATCAGACTTCCACTTCTCTTTGGGTAAAAATGTCGACCACCCCACAACCTTCACTTCCTTGTGTCCATGAGCACTGCACAGTGATATTTAACCATGACCCCAAAGAATGGATATAATGTTGAGAAGGGTCAATCCCTTGAAGTTAGTTTGACCCTTCCCAACATTGTATCCACTTGAAACTCTGGTTTCAGTGGTGGGGCAGGACATGCCAGTTTCACTCCTTGGTTGCTGGAATGCTGCTGTGGAATGGATGCATCTCAAATTATGCCCAGGTCTATCGTATTGAGTGGTTCCTCAAAATCAGTGTAAGCAACTGGGTAAACTAATACAAATAATTAAAGTAGCTTTGAATCGAAGGTTAAATGAAAGTCCTAGAACAATCAGATGGTGTGACCCTTCCTTGGTAGGTGGGTTTGGGAATTTCTCTAGCCCTTTAAGTACCTGCTGATGCACAGACAAGTAGAAAGGTTGTAGGGGATGGCTATCTGCCTCGCTGCCCTCAATGTTCTTATCTCCAAAGTGGGGTAATGAGAATTAGATTAGTTGATCTATAAGGCTTCTTTCAGCTTTATTATTTACTACGAATGGAGGCAGAGCCATCATAGCAAAGTCAACAGTTAAAACATCCAAAAACAGGTATTTTTAAATGATATTTGAGCGAAGGGGCCAGTAAGTAATGATGAGTTGGTGGTTTTTATGGGTTGAATGATGGGGAAATTCAGTTCATATTGTTAAAAATATCACTCTGTCATTTCGTGCATGGATTTTCCAGCAAAATAAAATTTCCACTATAGGTGCAGCCAGGGTGGGGACCTGTTAGAAGAAATTAAGATTAAAGATTGAGAGGGGAAGGATAATTTGGATTAAATGAAGCAATGAGTCTAAAGTTTTTAGCCTACAGCCTTTCATTTGGAAGGTGCTTGGCACAAGCAAATTCTTTCCTTTCTTCTTCCCCTTCTCTCCTATTTTTAGTTTTCCAAGCCTCTGCTTCTTAAGAGCCATATAACCATACGCTGGATATTTTAACTTGTATCCTTAGGAAGTTAGTTAAACTTTCCTAGTTGAATTAGTTAAACTCTTTCCTAGTATCAAGAAACGATAGTGGGAGAGGATAAAGAAATTCTTTGGGGGAATAATTTAATGGACTCTCAGAAGCAAGATTCATTATGGATAAATGCTTATTGACTGACCACAGAAATGAAATGCACATACAGATATTTTGAGGATGAGATGAAACACAGTGGGTGAAAAGGAAGTGAATGCTAGTCCAAGCTGGGATGAAGTAATAATATTTCTCATTTAATTAAGGGGGAGGATTCTAATAGTAGAATCAACTTCACTGTGTTATGTGCTTAAGAGGCCAGGAGATACTACAATAATACAATGATTCAGGACAAGATAATGAAAAGCATTTCATGAGAATGATAGCGTAGCATATCATTCAGAAAATACATGAAGGTAATTTTTGCTTTTCAGAGAATAATCTATTTTTTACTGGGGGAGGGGTATGCATAGCTTGAGACCCAGCTTTGGAGCTAACAGGATAAAATACAATGAGGATACTGGGGAATGATACTCACTGTTTCATCTCCCTGGCAGCAAATATCTTGATATCCTGCAGTCATTCATCTTTTGCAATAAAATTAAATTCTGTCTTTCTCCAGGAATTGAGAACTCCACTTGTCAAGACCTCATAATCGTAGACTTGATTTTAATGTTTGCTCTTTGCTGGAATCCTAACGTAGTGATGAATGCATGGGAACTCACAAAAACACACATCGGACACAAGGCACATAGCTGTTCTCCAAATAAAGATTTACTTTCTTCAATGTGCCACCCTCTGAATTGTATTTAATGCTTAAAATTACCTTGGAAGGCAGGAATTCATCACTTTTGGATGGGAAACTGGGGCTCAGAATTTAAGTGACTTTTTCAAATGACCCGATAAAGTAGAAATTTAAAATTTCTGCAGCCAAACTCAGTTTTCTTTTCTTCAACACCTGCCTCTATTGATTAAAACTTCTTCAAGGGCTTTAAGGCTTATCCGTACTATGAAAAATCATTATATTAAGAAAACTTGGTTTGTCCTGCTTGCCGCTGCTGTCCTCATTTCCTGCTAACAGGCTAATAAATAGTTCTGCAATGGTCCATTTCAGTAATTTTCTAACTTTAGGTTGCAAAGGAATCACTGAACATATTTTTTGAAATTCGTATTTCTTGGTTTCATTTCCAAAAATTCTGAGTCAGTAGGTTTGAGGAGGGCCAGGGAATCTGCATTTTAATTATATCCTATGCAATTCAGTTTCTGGCTAGGTGATTCTGTTTCTGGTGATGGATCACACTTTGAAAACACAGTTCACATTTTTTTTCTACTTAATGATGCAATATTAAATGGAGATCTAGATAATTTGGTGTTTGCTCATGTTTTGTCTCTGAATTCATAATGCTTTATCATCTCTTAATTCTCCCAACGTGTTCATCCCAGAATCAAGATTCTGCCCCTGAATTTTGCAACTTAAAAAAAAATAACTCAATATGATCAAAAGTTTTCTTAGACTCATTTTGCTCTGGGTAGTCCTATCAGATTTCTCATGTTGTGGTCACAGAGACCTATGAAATCTTTGATCAATTATAATTCTTCTAGCTTGAGCAGCTTTGAAGACCCTGGTGTAATAAGAAGTGTCCAAAATTTAGAGTTATAAGATATAATTTTCAATTACTGTTTCACCAAGCATGCACTGTGTGATTCTGGTAATTAACTTAACCTCTCTGAGCCTTTGGGTTCCTCATCTGTGTCATGAGAGTAATGACATTTACTTTACAGAATTGTTATGGAAATTAAATTAGATAAGGTATGCTGATTTCATAAACTTGAAACACTGCAGGAATTCCTGTTAATTTAATTGGTATTTGCTTCAGACTACAGTATTACCATTGACTTTTTTCAGAAGGATGGTGTTCCTGAAACAAAACTAGGTTTCAGAGACTGGTTTTATCCAATGCACTGATCAGTCTAGCCCCAGCCCCACCCCAAGTTTCTCTGTGCACAAGCCTCATGAGCAAATGGTTTTAGGACAGGTGACAGAAGAGACAGCAAGACTACAAAGACAAGCCAGACATCCATTTCCTAAGACTGCTGTGGGGGCTCTGCCTGATTCCTAGGTAGAGTCCTTGTGTTATCCAGATGAAGAGATTATGTCCCCCAGAGTTGCAGAGGGGCACACTTTCATTTGTGCATCAAAGTTAGTGTGGCTGGATCAATACAGTGAAGACTGAGGAAGCTGTAGGTCACCTCAGGAGTCTTTGGGTTTGGGAACAACAGGAAGCTCTAGGGAGAAAAGCCACAGTGAGTTCTCATAGGGGGTACCAGCAGCAATGGCAGTTACCTTCTCCAAAAGTCTAGTCAGCAGAGAAATATCACAGCTGAGTCACCACTGGGGATCCAGAGCAAGTGTCACAGAATCCTCCATGTGTTGCTTTGCCAGCCAGAAACTTCCATGGATGGCAGCACCTCTGCTTGAGTTTTGCTCACACTCACTAGGCTCATTCTGCCCAGCAGTTGTTCCAGTAGACTGTGCTTCACTTGTGCTACCAGCCTGGATCCCATGCCTGCCAAGGACAAGCCAGGTGCAGAGTGGTAAGGGGAGTGTGAGCAAACTAGCATGGGGTCCAGCATGCTGGCTGCTGTGGTGGGCCAGGCACTGGTGCCAGCTCTGTACAAGGCTGTGGCTGGACCAGATATACTGCAAGTGGCTTCTGCTGCAGCCATCCCTATCTGGACAAAGGCAACGTGATGGTGCTTGAAACCTCAGAGACACCAGGAACCGCAGAGCCCCAAAGAGGTTGTTACAGCATGTCACAGCCCTGGCTCAGGGAGCCTGGAGGTCTGGGCTCCCTGAAGGGCCACAGCTCTTCTCTGCTCATCACCTGCAGTGTAACAAGTTGCGGGTGTGTGTGTCAGGGTGGCATGTTTCAGCCCATTTGTGTTACAGCTCTTTCAGTCCCACCACCTCACTCCAGCCTGCGGCTCTTGGGCTGGCTCAGCCCAGCCACTGTTTCCCGTTGTGTGGGGCAGCTACCCAGTGCATGTGGAGGGCAGGAGGGCTGCAGTGTTATAGCTTTGCCTTGGGGAATCCCAAGGTCTGGGCCCCCAGAAGGGTCTCCACTCTTTGCTCCACAGTCTGGGAGCATGTCACTGTCTGCAGCTTGGCAAGCCAGCCAGGAAAGCATTATAGCTCCTTTCACTCTTGCTGTTCAGTCAATCCTGAGTGCTTGTCCCGCATCCATGAAGAATGAGGTTACATGGAAAACTGGAGGGTGAGCAAGGTGAAGAGGAGCTTTATTGAGTGATAGAACAGCTCTCAGGAGACCTGAAGTAGGTAGCCCCTATCTGCAGGCGGGTTGTCCTGAAAGAGTAGAGGAGACCTGAAATGGGTAGCTCCTATCCACAGGCAGGTTGTTCTGAAGAGTGTTTGAGTCTGCTGAGTCTGGGGTTTTTATGATCTCAGAAGGGAGGAAGCGCGTGCTGATTGGTCCATGGGTGGCCATGGGTGGGCCTGGAAAAGGCACCATAAATTCTTTCTCCAGGTTGTGGACTCCACCCAGAACTGGCAGCCTGACTCCCAGGCTTCAGTTGGGAGTCCCTGGCTTGAAGGTGAGTTTTTACAGGGGACCCACCCCTTCCCACCTAGGAACCTATCTGCTTCCTGCAACCATCAACATGCCATCCACAGCACCCAGGCTGTCCATGCTGAGGGGTGCCCACAGGCCTGTGCCAAGCTGCCTCAGCCCCCTGGCCTCCCTCCCATGCTTGTTGTTGCCCAAAGTCCAGAGAGGGCTGAGGTGGCAGGGGGCTGGTGTGTCAGCACCCCCAAGTGAATGCACATCTGGCTAGGCTGTGATAGCACCTGGGCTTGGCCACAACTTCGCTCTGCACTGGAGCAGGCACTGCCCAAGGGCAGGAGCAGCCAATTCTGAGCCAGTGGGGACAGGGGACTTCCTGGGCCCCCAAGAGTGCAGAGATGCCCAGATCTGGAGCCACAGTTGGGCAACTGCAGCTGTGCCCAGGAGCATGGGGCTCCTGCTGCATCAACTTGGTGGGGCATAGGGGCTCCTGCTGGGATCACCAATTTCTGGCTCCTGCAGGATCCATGAGCATGCAGCCCCAGGCACACCTCCCTTGCTGCAGCTGGTTTCCTCACAGCAGCTGTTCCAGATGGGTTGCCGCCACCATCACAAGGACTGGGGAGACTTGGGGAGTGACATAGTGTGCTTGGCTGCTGAAATTGTGCAGATGGAGATTCTTTAGGCTCATTTCTCACCTGAATTTTCTCCTCATTCTACATCAGTCTTGTCCAACCTGTGGCCCATGGCCTCCATGTGGCCCAGGGTGGCTTTGAATGTGGTCCAACACAAATTTGTAAAATTTCTTAAAACTTTATGAGATTTTATTGAGTTGTTTTCTTTTTCTCATCTGCTATTGTTAGTGTCAGTGTATTTTATGTGTGGCTCAAGACAATTCTTCTTCCAAAGTGGCCCAGGGAAACCAAAAGTTTGGACACCCCTGTTCTATACCTTCTTTCAAATAAATTCCCTTCTCTATGTTGATGCCACTCAGAAAACATCTCTTCAGTTGAGATTTGTTTTCCAAACTCTGAATGGGCACATATGCTGCCTGATCAAACAGCTCCCTTCATGTCTTAATGTCTTATAGGTGCCTCAAGCTCAACATGTCCCCAAACACATGCCAACCAACTCTGCACCCTGATTCTAGTCTCAAATTCCTTGGATCAGTTTATGATCCCACATCCATTTGGTTGTACTAGTCATTTCCTTTTTCTTTTTGTCATTTTGTTTAAACCATTATTAAGTTCTGCCAATTTTACTGCTAAATACTCATGATTCAGTGTATGTATGTTTCTCCATCCCACAGCCATCAGTGTGGTTAAAGCCACCATATCTTTCAACTAAACTGCTCCTTGGAATGCTGGTTGGCTTTCCAAAATCCTTTCTTGCCTTTCTTATTTTATTCTCAAACAGCTGCCAGAAGAATCTTTTAAAAAGGCAAATCTTATTGCATCATTCCCTAGTTTAGAACCCTTCAATGACTCTGTGTTCTTTTTAAGGTTAAGGTTACAATTCTCAATGTGGCCAGGATGGCCAAGTACACTGGGACCATGCTGCCACCAACTCCTTCTGCTCTCTTGGCTGCAGCCCCCAGTGTCTTTCTTTAGTTCTTCAGAAGTGCCCAGCTCAGTCCCACCCCAGGGGCTTTTCATCTGTGTGTCTGTTGGTCATAAAGACTCTTCTCCTTCTTCTTCATCTAGTTGACACCGAGGTTTACACGCCAGTCAGAGAATATCAGTGGTGTATGAGAAACAAAACAAAAAGCTCTTACTCTGTGCTGCATCTCCTTAACACCGTAACTTCTTCTGCTTCTCCATCACACTATTTATCACATATGTCTATATCTTCCTGTAAGATGTGACCTCTTTTGGGGAAGAAGTGTGTCCATCTCATTCACTTTTATGTCACCAGTGCCTAGCACAGATGCCATAAGACCAAGTATGTACTCAGTAAAAACTCATTTAGTGATTAAACAAATATGAACTCCTGAAACGATTTCTTCCCAAGTATGTCATAGAGCTCTCATTTTCAGCCAGATTCTACCCAGTGACGCATCAAACCTCCATGTCAATGGGCCAGGACTGTGCTAGGCATCTGAGATTGTTAACTAAAAAGCACATTTCTTTCTTTCCTCTAAAAGTAATTACTGGTTGCTAAATATTCAAACATACATTGAAAAAGCAGCTCATTAAATTATGTTAAGAAATAAATTACTATTCCTAATTGCTTTGAGTAGTTAATTATTTCTAATTATTAGTCTGAGTAATAAATTATTGCTTCTGATTATGTTGTGGGCACAGTTGGAACATTCAAAAATGCAGTTCTCACAGTTGTTTACATCAGAACATGTTTATGGAATTATAGAGCCATAATTGCCCTGAAATAACTGGTACCAAAAAATAATAAAAATTTGATAAATTCAATCAAAATACATCACTTCTTTGTCAGCTTATTTAGGAGATCAAGCATTAAAATGAAACAACCATGCTTGACTTTTCCAGTCTCTTCAGGGGGTAGCAATATTTTTAAATTGGGATTTTTGTTTTGTTTTGGTTGAATAAGAACTAAATTAGAATTTCTTTTGTTATTTAAAACAAGGAAAATAATCAGGCCTCTAAGAGTGTTAAAAATTAGGTTACACCACCAGCATACCATTCACAGGAGGAAATAAGCTGTGGCTTCTTAAAGAGAAACTGTAAGAAACAGTAAAAAACTCCAGGGCTATTTTATTGAATTGTAACATACCTAAAGTGCACAAATCTTATAGAGCTTTAAAACTTCTCACCCTTTGGCTTGAATCTGTCATTCTACTTACCAGTTTATCAAGTCAATGACAGAAGTAGGTACCCTATGGCAAGCTGTGGGCTGGCTTTCTTAATACCCCCGACTAATTGCTACAACTACACATCATCACTCATCTTTTCCTTCATGGGTTTCTGTCACCATCTCCTGCATGCTGGACAGACTTTTAAGATGTCCCCAAGACCTTTATCTCCTGGTGACTCCCTTGTGTAATTTCTTCCCCTGGAGTATGGGCAAAACCTATGACTTACTTCTAGCTGAGATGATGGGATGGACATGATTGAATGGGCATGATGATGTGATTAATTATATAAGATTGTAGAGCCTGCTGGTCCCTCTTGCTGGCTTTGAAGAAGCCATGTTGGGAACCCCATGTGTCAAGGAACTATGCCCAGCATCTGGAAGCTGAGGGTGGCCTCTGCCAACAATCAGTGAAAGCCGAAGTTCTCAGTGCTACAACCATGAGGAACTGAATTCTGCCTACAGCCTGTGTGAGCTTGGAAACAGGTCTTTTCCAGTAGAGCCTCAGATGACATGGCAGCCCCAGCTGACACCAAAATCACATCCTCGTGAGACTCTAAACAGAGACCCCGGTAAAGCCATGCCTAGACTCCCACTGCATAGAAATTGTGAGATCATAAATACGTGATATTTTAAGCTGCTAAATTTGAGGTAATATTAGAATTTAAAAGTGCCTCCATTCTCTTTTCCTATTGTAACTGACAACTAGAGAATCCTGAGAGAGATCTTTATATCAAGATTATGAAGAGCTAGCTGCCCACACTAGCTCTCAAATAATCACAATCTGTGGTTCAGTAAATTGAGCACAGAACTTGGAGCAGAAGACCTATTAGATTGAAGCATGCAAAATTTCCATTTTAGAGGCCTAGAATTAAATGTCAGCAATTTCAACTTAAGCTCTTCTTGACTCCTCTACTAACAGCAATTTAGCTTCAAGTAAGTCACTTCATTTTATTGTTTCTTCCTTTCCTTACCTGTCAAATCTAAAATAATAATAATTAAGATGTTTTAGTATTTTGCCTACTTTATCTCACTCTACCCTCAGAATTGCTTATTGCAGGTATTAATTGCCCTATTTTTCAGATGAGGAAATTTAGGCTTGGAGAGGCAACATAACTTGATAAAGTCACACAGTAGGGTAGGCAAAATTCAAAAGGGGCTAAGCTGACTCCAGAGCTCATGCTTTTGACTTCATTATGCTACAGCTTTTCCCTTACAGTAACAATCCAGTTGGGGTCAAACAGAGGCATACTTTACAGCCAGACAGGTAGGTATGTGAATTCAAATTTTACTTCTGTCAGTGTTTGAGAAAATTACTTTACTTCTCTGGGCCTCAACTGGCTAGTCTAAAATATGTGAAAAATAGTAGTTACTTCATAAGAGCATTTTGATTATTAATTGAGATTATACTGCAAGCAAAAAGCATCGTAAACATTCAACAATTTTATTTTTACTAATATCATGAAGCCAAAAATGAGTTCAAATGAGAGCATTTTTGAACTAGATAGCTTGGTATATTAACATTTATTGCAAGAATGTAGTCTTTAAGTATTTAGAAAGTATAGAGCTACTTCCTAAAATTAACTCGAATTACCATAATGATCAACTAATTAAGTAGTAGGTCCAAGATAATTGTTCAAAGAAAGTAAAAGAGCAGAGCATTTGGCTGTCATCAGAGCAGATGAACATTTTGTAAGCAAAAATAAACACGTTTTTGATCTGGTTAAGCCCCAGACCAGAATGAACACCTTGGGACTTCCTAGTGATCACCGAATACCAGAGTCCACCATTTTCTTCCCTGTTCAGCTTATAATTAGTTGTGTAGCCAAGGCTTATCAGAAAAATAATTTGGAAGAAGTTGTGAGCAGAGGAGTGACTTCATCTGATTTGAGTTTTAAAATGATACTCTGCCTGCAGGGTTGAGAACAGACAGCAGGGAGACAAAGTTGGAAACAGGAGGCAGAAAGTTATTATAACCGTCTAAGAAAGTAATGGGCTAATGTGGCTGTAGTAGAGGGGGTGACGATTGTTTGGGCTTGGAGCCACTTTAAAGGTAAAGGGAACAGAATATGCTGATGGATTGTATATGGGGAAAGGAAGGAAGAGAAAGAAAGAGGAAAGAAGGGGGAGAGAGAAGGAGAAGGGGAGAGGTGGAAACGCGAGAGAGACAGAGAAGGATGATCCTAGATTTTGGTCTGAGCCACTAGAAGGTTAGAGTTACTATTTACTGAGATAGAGAAAACTGCTGGAGAGCTGGGTGGAAGAGGAAGACTTGGAGTTCAGATGTGTGCCTGATAACTTTTAGACAACTGTGAACCTTCATGTAGTGATGCTGAACAGATGGTGGAGAAGAAGAGTCTGGGCCTCAGGGGAGGGTCTGGGTTGGGGGTGCACATTTGGCAGTTGTCATGTATAGACGGATGATGTTTAAAATGATGAGACTTGAGAAGATCTCCAGGGGATGGGACATACAGGGAGAGGTGATGATGTCTCGCAGGTGGGTGGTAGAGGTAGAAGTGGTGAGAAGGGGTTAAATTGTGACTGGAGTTAATGAGGATGACAGAAAAAGGTGTCAGTGGAGGATTCAAAGGTTTTTTACTTGAGGCATGGGAAAATGGCATTGGCAGTTGCTGAGATGCGGGTGACTGCAGGAGGAGCAGGTATGGGAGTGTTAATCTGGACTCACCTAGTATGTGGGCATGGCCATGGTGGGGGAGGATGGAGCAGGGCAGTTGCAAGTGAGCAAAGCTGAGTGGAAGAGGCTTCACCAGGTAGCACGAATGAAGGCCCTAATTTCCTAAAGTGAGAACCTAAGAGGCAGGGATGGTGGATTAGCCTAGGGCCTGTACAGGGAAGCATTTGCTCTCTAAGGCCATAAATCCCAATACTCGGTCTTTAGGGCTGCTGCTCTCCCTTTTCCTTAAAGTTTCATTTACTCCACACAGCACAGGTAGTAGTAAGCAAGTAGAGTGAAAGATGATGTCGTCAAGGGTGCTCGATAGCAATGGCAAATAAACGCAGAGTAGCATGTGCTAGATCAAGTGGCTCCTGTCATAGAGTTCCCTCTCTTTTTAGTTTGAAGGGTAGTTCAAAGTTCTCTTTGTCAAAATCTACAGGTGTCTCCATGTGGCAAATGGCAAAGGCCATCATTTTGCTCCTACCTTGGGGCGCCCGCCAGCAAGTCTACAAGCCTCGAAGTTGATATTACCACTAGGGAATGTATCCAAGTCACATGGCACCGAAGTATGTTAGCAGCAGTGAGTCCATATGGGTCTGCAGCAGCCTCAATTATTTGCTTTCTCAGAAGAAAGAATTCAACCAAGAGGCATAAGGCAGAGGGAGAGACAGAGACAAGTTTTAGAGCAGGAGCAAGAATGAGCAAGAAAGAGCAATTACAGAGCAAGAATGAAAGGGAGTAAAGCACACTTGGAAAAGGGCCAAGCTGGTGACTTGAGATTCAAGTGCACGGTTTTGACCTTCGACTTAGGGTCTTACATGTTGGCATGCTTTTGGGATTGCATTACTTCTCCCCTGATCCTTCTTTTGGGGTGGACTTTTGCATGCCCAGTGGCCTGCCAGCACTTGGGAGGGGTCACATGCACAGTGTGTTTACTGAAGTTGTATGCTTGCTCACTTGAGGCACTCTTCTCTTACCAGTTGAGTGTTCCTAGAGGAAGGTCATATACCAGGTAAACTCTGCCATTTGTCTCTTAGTGAGCATGCTTGAGCCATTCATCCAGCTTCTGAGATCTTTCTGGGAAGCTGCTGATCACCAGTTTCAGGTGTTTCTGTCTATTGGGAGACTGCCTTTCCCTGGCACCAGCTGTGACCAATTATTATTTTAGAGAGAGAGTGTAACAACTGCTTCACCATCACCTGATGGTGACACCATAACATCAGGTGACAAGAATGTCACCTGACATTCTTGTTTGGTGGGTGTGGTGGGGGGGGAGCTGTAATTGCCTAAGGAATTCTTCCTGCCCACTGCATAAAGATAAACCATGACACTGTAGTAAAGAAATAATTTAATAGACATGAGGCTGGCCATGCTACATGGGAGATAAAGTCCATACTCAAAACATCTTGTTCAAAGCTTGCAGGTTAAGGGTTTTTCAAAGGCAGTTTTGAGGAAGGGGTGGAGGGGCCAGGTAGCAGGTGTTTGCTGTTGATTGTCTGGGGTGGAGATGAGATAAAGGGGGTCAAAGCTGTCTTTCTACAGGCTGAATTGCTTCTGGTTGAGGCCACAGGAATGGGATTGGTGGGTGCAGGTGAAACCATCGGGACTAGGTAGAGTTATGAGTGTCAGACATACAAAAAACCTGAAAAGATATCTCAAAAGGCCAGTCTACAATAGTGGTGTTATCTGCAGGAATAACTGGAGAAGGTGCATATCTTATAACCTCCGGAATAATGGCTGACAATTGTTCATGTCCATGCCTCAGCAGGACCCAGGCTCCTCTCCTTCCAGCCTGATGGCCTCCCATTAGCTTTATAAAAATCTGTTGAGTTTTAGGACAAGGCCTATTATTTAAACTATAGCCTAGATGTCTTCCAATGTTAGCTTGGCCCAATAGTCCAGAAATAATTAAGGGAAAGGCAAGATGGGGGGTAGGTTAGCTCAGCTTACTGCTATAATTTTTCTCACTGATGTAATTTTTGCAAAGGTGGCTTCAGAGCCCTCTCCTGCCCTGCTCATGTATGACTAACTACCTACTGTAACATTGAGACTCCAGCAAGGGAATCTCAAAGAAAGACAGGAGAGCCCCTTCCAACTGGTTTCAGGCCCACCTTCCAAGTTCCACTTTCTTTTTCTCAGGTGACCGACACTGGGAGTCTCTACCTCTGTCTGAGCTAATTCAGAGGTGACTCTGTGACTTTCTCAAGGGTTGCGTGCTTTATGGCTAAGCCAGTGTAAACCAAAAATAGAATTCTAAGTTCACCAACTGACTGAACAAGCTCCTCTCTTAACCAAGGGGGTCCCAAAGAAACCTGAAAAACTAGTTCAGGCCATGATGGGAAGGGAGGTCGGACATGCCTCATTATACCCTCTCCCTTAGAAGTTTAGGCACAACTGACCAGCAGTGACATTAACATACAGATACTAAGACTGATAAAACAGAGTTGTTGTGGGAATAAGATATGAAATTTCAATCTGACTCTGGTATAACATCACAGGACAGATAGCAGACCTCGAAGGAGATCACAGTATTTTACCCCAAAATACATTTCTTTGACATATTTTGAAATATGTCTTGCAAAATCATCTCTTGTAGAGGAAATCTGCATTCCATAGAGAATCTCCTTCCCTCTCTATGTCTTTTCTGGATTGTGGAGAGATTTAACTATGAATATGTCACCTTTTTTAAGGTCCAAAAAGAGACATTTACCACCTCTTCTCTCTGAAGCCTGCTATTTTAGAGGCTTCATCCATATAACAAGAACTTTGGTTTTCATAACCTCCCTTATCCTAACTTAAGCATTTTTTCCTACTTGCTTCAACTCTTTAGGCAAAGTTTAACTCTTTCATCCAAATGCCAATCAGAAAATCTATGAATCCATCTATGACATATAAGCACCCTTCCATTCACCAGATGTCTTGCCTTTCTAGGTCGAACAGATGTATACTTTACATGTATTGATGCATATCTTTGCCTGTAACTTCTGTCTATCTAAAGTGTATAAAACCAAGCTGTAGCCCAACCACCTAGGGTATATGTTCTCAGGACCTCTTGAGGCTGTATCCTCATCCATGGTCACTCATATTTGGCTTAGAATAAATTGCCTTAAACATTTTACAGAGTTTGGCTTTTTTCTTTGTCAACACAAGGGATCAGGAAACTATGGTTCTTGGTCCAAATATGGCTCACCACTGATTTTTATAGATTAAGTTTATTGAAACACCATTACATCCATTTATTTCTAGCTACTTTTGTTCCATAACAGCAGAGTGGAGTGGTTGTAACAGAGAGTGTATGGCCCTCAAAACCTACAATTTTTACTATCTAGCTCTTTAAGGAAAATGTTTTCCAATTTCTGGCCTAAACATAACTAGTATAACTGACTTCAAGCTAGTTACCCTAAAAATTTTCCATGTATTATCCACATATACATACAGAAGCAAAATGGTTATTGGACTTCACAGTCTAACTCCAAACTCATAGGACAATAGCAGACATAATCCTAACAGAGTTTGGATTCAGTAGGTATGAAGTATTTTTGAGTGAAGAAAAAGTTTCAACATAGTTTTGGGGGAACGAGATTTATTTGTGCCGGTGCCTTTTGAAAAAGTGTGTCCTGCTTTAACGTGGACACCTGTGTTTCTATAAAAGTCCCTGTCCTGTATAGAGTTTGTTGACATTATCAAACACTTACAACCCTTGGAAATACCTGTGTTAGAGATATTGTGTGTTTGTGCTAGGTTGCTAGGTATTGGTCTCAACATGTATGTGTGTGCATGTACATGTGTGTGTGTGCATGGGTGTATATGTGTCTCTGTGTGTGCATGTTTGTGGGTGAGAGAGAGAGGACAGAGAAAAAGAGCCAGAGAAGAGAGAGAGAGAGGCTAGGAGAGAAAAAAAAATCAAGAAAAACTGGGAAGCAGTTGGGTAAAGGCAAAACCCAGCTGGCTCCACTATTTTGGGATTTGAAGACATCTAATACATCCAAACTTTGGAAAACACTGTATGAAAATTTGTTGGAACATGAGAAAAAAAGAAAGGCTTCGGGGGTATTATGCTCATAATAAGGAATTACTGTGATCACCATAGATGACTTCAGCATCAATGACCTCTTCAACAAATCTGACCTGTGGGTCATCTTGAGTCCTTCTCAGTTGTGCACAGGCTCACTCGCCCTTATTCTTGTCATCATTTGGAACTGCCTGATGTGTGCATCATGAATAGTAATCAGTTCAAGCTGTGCAAATGTGGGAATTGCTTTCTTGAGGCTGTGCTTTCTTCCCTGGCTTGAAGAGTGTACAAGCAGAAGGCGGGCAGTTCCTCATTACAGATGCTGTGGATGTCACTTGATCATTGCCTGGTATAGAGTTGGTACTAAAAAAAAATTTACCGGATGATAAAACAAAGGGAGTGAGAATAGATAACACTTAAAGCCTGTTCAAGCCAATCCTGTAAATCTAATCCCACTAAACTCTTTTGTGGCATTTTAAATGTGACAAATACCATAGAGATGTTCACCAAGTCTGTTTCCTTTTCCTGGGCACATGGAAGGCCTTGTTCAGCCTTCTCTGAACCCTGAAAGATCTGTTCTTTCTTTTGTTTCTATGGCTACCAGAAAGCCAGCTTCAAAGATGTTGGTGTCACAAGATGGAAGGTGTGGGGGTCCCTGAGTCATGTCTTGGAGAAGAGCTGCCCAGCAGAGCTACCCATTTGCATACAACTGCGGTGTGAGCAGAAAATAAAACTTAATGCCACTCTGGTTTGGTGTTGTTTGTTGCGGCAGTTAATGTTCATTTTCTATCTTGATGCATTTGTACTACATGGCTAAATTAGACAAAAGTAATTAATTTTAGGAAAGGAATACCTTGAGTTGAAAAATTACTTTCTGTAGAGCACTGAAAAATAAATGAACTATACCCACATGCACACAGTTGTAAACATATGTTGGGCAAAAAATGTGACTCACACAAAAATGCATGCCATATGATGCCATTTATATAAAGCTCAAAATACAAACAAAACTAAACAATATATTGTTTAGTAATACTGACATATGTATTAAAATCAAAAAGCAAAGCAAAATGCAAGCTAGCGTTAACCTAGGGTAGGCCAGATGGAGGAATGCTAGCAGGAAGGGTAACACAGAAATTTAAAACTCTTGGCAAAGTCCAATTTCTTAAAGCTATTTGGAACTACAACATTGTTTACTTAATAATTTTGTAGCATAAATATTAATATATTCTGTATATATGAAAAATATGATGGCATCAAATCCTGTGCACATCTAACTTGCAGATTCAATCATACATGTATACTGAATATTCAATTATATATAATTATATGTCATATATTCAATTTTAGTTTGTGCAAATATACTTGATTATGTGCTGCATATTGCTGCCTCTTGCTACAGATTTATGGACATATTACTGTAGAAGATTGTATAGACTCTATCTACAAAACCTTGGATCTAGGAGATTTAAGGGGTTTTCAAAGATAATTTGGACAAATGCAGATGTTTTCTTACTTGCTAACATTGAAGCCCAAGCCTTATAAGATGTGACTCTCATGTACGATATGAATCATATTGGGAAGCATTTCCTAACTTGGGTCCCCAAATCTCTATAGATTCACAAGCTAGTTTTGGAATTTTGAAATCATAAGGAGTTATTGTCCGTTTGCTTGCAAGTGAGAGCTCTAAGCTAACAGGTTATTGTATTTGTTTTAGCCTGGAATTAAACAACTCAGGGTTGTTAAGATACGTATTTCATGCTGTTCAGAAGTGCTGGTAAGCAATTTATCTGTCTTTGATTAATTAAACATAGGAAAACCCAATTTGTCACTAGTCTCAGCTTGGAAGATGAAATTTATCAAAGCATGAGGCCCATGGGAAGAAATTAATAAAAGGAATCCCTACTGGTGAAAAGGTTTAGAAACAATGTCCTGTATTAATTCAAATTCAAGTGCATTTGTATTCATTCCTTGTTATGTTGTCCAT
This sequence comes from Homo sapiens, assembly GCF_000001405.40. Taxonomy (NCBI): domain Eukaryota; kingdom Metazoa; phylum Chordata; class Mammalia; order Primates; family Hominidae; genus Homo; species Homo sapiens. The sequence continues at coordinate 125,809,034 of NC_000008.11, forward strand.
TCAGTCAACCAATATTTACTGAGTGAAAACTCTGTGGCAGTTAGTTCTGAACACGGCGGGTAGGAGAGTGAGCAGATCCAGTATTCCTAACTACCAGTATAGGCTGGGTCTTAGTGGGGAAGTGGTTAGTACTGCTGTCAAAAAGAAGGGGACTAAGTTACATATTGGGAGGCATAGAACACAGTGGTCAAAAGCACCACTCATAGGGTCAAACACATCCAGATTGAAGTCCCTTCTTAGTTATTTAACAACTGCAGAATTTTAGGCTTGGAACTTAAATTCTTGAAGCCTCAGTTTTACCTTCTGTGGAATAGGATAGCTGTATGTGCCTCACAGGGTTATTGCCAGGAGTCAACGAGCTTGTAAACACTTGGCAGAGTGTCTGCATGTAGACCGGCCTCAATATGTTATCTATCACATATGTCAGTTCAAACATCTGTTAAAGCAAACTAAATACGGCCTGAGAAGCATTCTGTACTTTCATATTTGAGTCCTTGTGGATGAACTGTAACCCAGCTTAATAGACAAAACTGAAAACCTAAATTAACAGTATGCACCTGTAACAATGGCTGAGTGTTGGCTAATGCCGGCGGCCATACTTCAACCACTCATAGACTGCTGAATGTTCAAACTGCGTTTCTGTACTTCACCTCCGATTCCTGTACATCACTTTAATTTTTTTGTCTATAAATTTATTCTGACCATGAGGCACCCTTGGAGCCTATGTGAATCTGCTGTGATTCTGGGGGCTGCCCGATTCACAAATTGTTCATTGCTCAGTTAAACTCCTTTACATTTAACTCAGCTGAAGTTTGTCTTTTATCACATCTCATCTAATCCTCAAGATAAAACTGAGTGGGTATTTTTTTTTCACTTGTCTTCTTGAAATGTGAAAACTGGGGTCAGCGTGGTGAGACAACTTTTCTTAGGTGATACTGGGCCTCAAGAGCAGAGCTGCTGGAACTTGGACCCAGGTCTGTCCACTATCAAGGCCAGGGTTGTCTCTACTGTCCAGTAGCTCCTCTACGCATCCTAACAGAGAAAGCTGTAAGAGTGGAACATATATCTTTTAGGTCAAAACTTCTGATGTGACCCTTTCCTCCCAGTCAATGATTCCCAACCTTGCATGGGTTACCTCGGGGAGGTGTATCATAGTCCCTGGGACATGGGGATAGCCAAGTTTGAAAAAGTATATAATTACTTTGACTTGACTTTGTAAAGAAACAGATAATATCTTAGCATTGGCTTTGTCCACTCCATAATTTAAGAAGGAAAAAGCAGTTTATGGTTACACAAAAAAGCATGGTTTAAAAAAATAGCCTCTGCTCTCCTGCAGTTTCTTCAAGGACAGGTTCATCTCTTGGGCCTTTTTGCAGCTGCTGGATCTAGTCTAGAGAGCTCATGGGAAGATTCTGTAGAACCCAAATGTGGCTTAACAGTTGTGGTTTTAATATAGCTAACAGAAACTGTAAGCGAATATAGATGTCTGCTGCATTTCCATATGCATGGCATTGGGTAGGAGTAGCTGCCTATAATATTGTAGTTAGTCTTCTCCAAGTGAGTAATAGAGAACTACATTTCTGCTAATTATCATAACCAATTAGTTGAATTCAGAATGAAAAATCTTCAGGGCAAAATAACTGGATCCCACTGTTAAAGAATTACTAAATTATAAGACATGTGATGGTAGTTTCATGACCCACAGAGAAGAGACCAGGGAAAGTCCCCAGCAATAGAGTGTACATCTCACCTCAGAGAACCAGACCTGAGGACAACTGAGGATAGTAGGCTGGGTGCGAGGGGGTGCACAGAGCATGAGGCCTCTGCTTTGAGTGAAAAAAGAATGGCAGAGGCAAGACTGCTTTGGCTGTGGAGACTCCAGGAGCCCATGGTATCATGTTCTATTGCCTTGCAGGTGGGTGTAGAAGCTGCACATATGCTAGGGGCTAATGAGGTCAGTGGAGGTATTTCTTGCAAGGATGCAAATGATGACTCTGAGAACTACAGAGCCCAGGACAAGAAATTCAAACCTTGTAGGACTAGAAAGTGTCAATAAGTCCATTTTCCAGATGAGGAAACTGAGACTCAGAGTGGGAAAATGATGAAAGGCACAGCAGGTAGTGAGGCTCTGGAAGTCGAACCCAGACTCTAAATTCTTCCCCTAGTGCTCTTCCTTCTTTGTCATTAATGCTTTAGTTTCCAGGAAAATCTGTGCCAGAAGCCCAGAAACCTACTTATGTCACACTCTGAGAATTCAATGTCAGTCCACAGCCAGGCAGGAAAACAGGACCATGCCCGGTAGTTCAATGTGGGGAACTAATCAGAGTGGGGTGTGCAGAGTGGGAAGTGGGAAGTGAGACAACTCAGAGATTCAAAATTGCAGGAAATCACATTATTCTTAAGGTTGTGACTAAGGGAGGAAAGTTTCTGACTGGAATCCGAGAGCTGTGCCACCTGCCAGGACCTGTAATCTTGGAGGAGGAACCAGCCAGGGAGAACTAGAACCAAAGGCAGGGACACTGTCTGGGGGAAGCTGGACCACGGAGGAATTGCAGCCAGGTTGGGGAGTCACTCCCAAAGTGGAGAGTGGGAGAAATATCCTGACTTCTTCCCTTCTCTAACCTCCAGATTTCATGTCAGTGTTTTCCTCTGGGTGAAATTATGGAGAAACTAGTGAGTGAGGGATGCCAAGAAGTGTGGTTTGCAGTGATCAGAGCAGAGGAAGGAAAGGGCAAGAACTGGCACTGAGAAAACAGGCAAATGGGCCTCCCAACAACTGCTTGTCCTTATTGTGAGGGCTTTTTAAAGAGTTAACTCACAGATGAGATTGGGACATTTGTGAAAATTGGCAGGATAGTCCTAGAAGCATTGAACCAGCGATTTATGGGGTTGGGATAGCAACAGTAACTAGCACAGGCATGCTGTGCCACAGAGCAGAATGGCACATTAGAATGAACACAACGGTGGTATCAGTCGGACCTGGATCCAAGTTTAGGCTCTTTCACTTCACTCGGGTGACTATGGGAAAGAAAGTCAACCACTGTGTATTCCAGTTTGTTTATCTTTATGATGGAGAAACTGAAACCTTCCTTGGAGAGCTTTTGTGATATATTGATGATGCAGTGAACACAGCATCTTCAACTCTGTTTGTTGTGTATAGGTATTTAATAAAGAGTAGCTCAGGCTTCAGCAGGGCTAACCTCCTATAACACTAACAAAAGGTGAATGCCATTTTGCATAATACTTGTACATGTCTCTGATTATTTTATGGGATAAAATAATGCAGAGATGAGCAATTCTTCTATTCGTTTATGTTCTTAGTAGCACTATTTTATGAGTGACCACTTTTATACACTTGCATTAATTCTGAGTATTATCATTTCCAAATGCCTTCATGTTAACTGTTTTTTTTGGTGGGTCAGGTTCACGATCGCTGACTTGGACAAGTTAGTGTACAGGCAAAAACTGAGTAGAAGGTTACCTTGGCCATTGGTAATAATCAATTATAAGCATATTGTGATAGTTAATATTGAGTGTCAACTTGATTGGATTGAAGGATACAAACTATTGATCCTGGGTGTGTCTGTGAGGGTGTTTCAGAAGGAGATTAACATTTGAGTCAGTGGGCTGGGAAAGGCAGACTCACCCTTAATCTGGGTGGGCACAGTCTAATCAGCTGCCAGTGTGGCTAGAATTTAAGCAGGCAGAAAAATGTGAAAAGGGAGACTGGCCTAGCCTCCTAGCCTACATCTTTCTCCCATGCTGGATGCTTCCTGCCCTCAAACATCAGACTCCAAATTCTTCAGTTTTGGAACTCAGACTGACTCTCCTTGCTCCTCAGCCTGCAGACGGCCCATTGTGGGGCCTTGTGATCATGTGAGTAAATACTTAATAAACTCATATATATATATACACACACACACACATACACATATATTCCATTATTTCTGTCCCTCTAGAGAACCCTGACTAGGAAAGATTTGGGTACCAGGAGTCGGGTATTGCTGAAAAGATACCCAAAAATATGGAAATGACTTTAGAACTGGGTAGCAGGCAGAGGTTGGAACAGTTTGGAGTGCTCAGAAGAAGACAAGAAAATGTGGGAAAGTTTGGAACTCCCTAGAGACTTGTTGAATTGCTTTGACTAAAATGCTGATAATAATATGAAGAATGAAATCCAGACTAAGGTTGTCTCAGATGGAGATGAGGAACTTGTTGGGAACTGAAGCAAAGGTGACTTTTGTTATGTTTTAGCAAAGAGACTGGTGGCATTTTGTCCCTGCCCTAGAGATTTGTGGAATTTGGAACTTGAGGAAGATAATTTAGGGGATCTGGTGGAAGAAATTTCTAATCAGCAGAGCATTCAAGAGGTGACTTGCGTGCTGTTAAAGGCATTTAGTTTTATAAGGGAAGTGGAGCATAAAAATTTGGAGAATTGCAGTCTGACAATGTGATGGAAAAGAAAATCCCATTTTCTGAGGAGAAATCCAAGCCTGCTGCAGAAATTTGAATAAGTAATGAGAAATAATGGGAAAAATGTCCCCATGGCATGTCAGAGGTCTTGATGGCAGCCCCTCCCATCACAGGCCCTGGAGGCCTAGGAGGAGAAAGTTGTTTTGTGGGCCCCATGCTGTGTGCAGTCTAGGGATTTGGTGTCCTGTGTCCCAGCCATTCCAGCAATGACTAAAAGGGGCCAATGTAGAGCTTGGGCTGTGGCTTCAGAGGGTGTAAGCCCCAAACTTTGGCAGCTTCCACGTAGTGTTGAGCCTGTGAGTGCACAGAGGTCAAGAATTAGGATTTGGGAACCTCCACCTAGATTTCAGAAGATGTATGGAAATGCCTGGATGCCCAGGCAGAAGTTTGCCACAGGGGCGGGGCTCTCATGGAGAACCTCTGCTAGGGCAGTGCAAAAGGGAAATGTGGGGTCAGAGCCCCCACACAGAGTCCCCACTGCAACACCGCCTAGTGGAGCCGTGAGAAGAGGGCCATCATCTTCCAGTCCCCAGAATGGTAGATCCACTGACAGCTTGCACCATGTGCCTGGAAAAGCCACAGACAACACCAGCCCATGAAAGCAGCTGGGAGGGAGGCTGCACCCTGGAGAGCCAAGGGGGTGGAGCTGTCCAAGACCATGTAACCCACCTCTTGCATCAGTGTGACCCAGATGCAAGACATAGAGTCAAAGGAGATCATTTTGGAGCTTTAAGATTTGACTGCCCTGCTGGATTTTGGACTCGCATGGGGCCTGTAACCCCTTTGTTTTGGTCAATTTCTCCCATTTGGAATGGCTATATTTACCCAAAGCCTGTACCCCATTGTATTTAGGAAGTGCCTAACTTGCTTTTGATTTTACAGGCTCATAGGTGGAAGTGACTTACCTTGTCTCAGATGAGACGTTGGACTGTGGACTTTGAGTTAATGCTGAAATGAGTTAAGACTTTGGGGTACTGTTGCTAAGGCATGATTGGTTTTGTAATGTCAGGACATGAGATTTGGGAGGGGCTGGGGTGGAATGATGGTTTGGCTGTGTCCCCACCCAAGTCTCATATTGAATTGTAACTCCCACAATTCCCACATGTCATGGAAGGAACCTGGTGGGAGGTGATTGAATTATGGGGATGGGTCTTTCCTGTGCTGTTCTTGTGATAGTGAATGAGTCTCATGAGATCTGATGGTTTTAAAAATGGTAGTTTCCCTGCACAAACTCTCTCTCTTTTTGCCTGCTGCCATTCATGTAAGACATGACTTGCCTTCTGCCATGATTGTGAGGCTTTCCCAGCCACGTGAAACTGTAAGTCCAATTAAACCTCTTTCTTTTGTAAATTGCCCAGTCTCAGGTATGTCTTTACCAGCAGTGTGAAAACAGACTAATAGATATATGTAGTGTCTGGAGTAAAATATAGGCCATTCATTTAATCATTTATTATATTAATATTTTTGAAGTCTCTCCCAAGTGTGAAGTACTTGTCTTAATACTACCTTCTTGAAAGAATAATAATAATAGTTATTGCTTCTCTAGTGTTTATTATGTCCTGGGCACTGTCCTTAGTGGTTTAAAATATTAACTCATCACAATCATCCAGTGATATAGTTTCCATTATTACTGTCCTTTTACAGATAAAGAAACAAGGTCCATAGAGGTAAAATAACTTGCTGAAGGTTATGCAGTTAGGAAGTGACCAAGCCAACATTCAAACTCAGGCAGTGTGGCTCAAGAACCAGTGCCTTTGTTCTGTATACTCATCCTCTCAGAAACTTACCTTAGGAGTAGTCTAAATTCTATTTTCCTCTCACTCTATTCCTCATCTCCTCTGATGCCATTTTTGCAGGTGCTTCTTTCTTTAACTCATTTCAGCATTAACTCAAAGTCCACAGTCCAACGTCTTGTCTGAGACAAGGCAAGTCACTTCCACCTATGAGACTGTAAAATCAAAAGCAAGTTAGTTACTTCCTAGATACAATGGGGTACAGGCTTTGGGTAAGTTATGGAAATAGTTTAAATCAATAGAGATAATTCACAATTTAAGTGAACTCTGCAAATTATACACATGATAAAATCCTACATCATCAGATTTATGGGTGAAACATAGAGTCAGTGGAGAGGAACAGGAGCGTACATATGGGACAATCTTCATTTCCTGCAGAGTTACAGCTTTATTTCTGGGCTCTTTGTTAATCTGTCATCTATGAAAAATTTTAATCTATGTTCATGATGTCGGCATCATTGTCATCTCTACTGAGTTCATGCTCAATATTATTTCCCATATTTTTCCATCACTCCAGGGGTGCACAATGGTGTTAGTGTTCAGCACTTCTGTGTCAACTTCTAATTTACTTACATGTGTGGCTGATGAAATTTTAGTGTCACCCATGAGGTGACACGGTTTGGCTTGATCCTGTACTCACTGTTGATGAAACCTTCAAATTCTTTATCTGCAGGTTCTTTCTCAAACTTCTCTGTAGTCCAAAGCCTGTGACAAGGCATGTGTAAATGTTGATGTATTAATATTGTGCCCAGCATTAGCTGCTATAGAAATGGCCTCCTCAACTCTTTTAGCATGTCTGAGATTCCCAGGCTTCTGTTAATTACAGCAAACATACAGCTACAGGAAAAAAAAAAAAAGTAGAGAGGAGTCTACGGTTGCCCTCCATGGAGTGTAAAATTTCTTGGCCCACAAGGCTGTGTTATAGATATAACATTGAGGGGCACACTAAATGCTAAAACATTATTTTCCCCAATAAGTTTAGGAAGAGAATGTGTGGATCAATGATCTGGGACAATAAAACTACGTTTTTTTTCCAGTCCAGGTTGCCAGCAATGAACTTAAGCCATGGGGCAAAAGCAGGTATTGAATCAGTCAGAAAGTTTTTATCTGTTCACTCAAACTTTCTTGTCTGCATAGCGACAATAGGTGAGTTTTGTACATCATTTAAATATCTCAGATGTTTGCTCTTCCCAGTCAGTCAACCTAATTTTTCCTGTAGAATTGACACATCTGAAAACACTCGCTCTGGCTCTGTGTCCTTAAAACTTGCTGGAATTCTCTTGTCAGTCATTGCTGAGGTTTTCCTAGAAACATTGATCGCACCAGTATAGAGCTGTTTCATCAGGATTTGCAAATTTGTTCAGGATTAAGGTTTTTACCACACATGATCCTAGCAAATTTATACATGTAATTCTCAGCTGCTTCATGATCAAGAGAAGCCTTTTCACCACATATTTTCAAATATTTTACCCCATGATACTTGTGAAGCTTCCGCAGTCAACTTTCTGAATATTTATATTCACCTTCAATGTTCACTCCCTCATGGAATAGCCTAGCTGGTTACATGATTAGTAAATAATTCAGTGACACACATCTTTTTTTATTGTTTTCAAATCTAATAAACACAAAACCAAGATCTTTGTATTTTCCCCAATGTAAGATTTCACTAATTTTTTTCTAGCTCTTGGTTGTCATTGTTGCTGTAAAACATCAACAAATCGTCTTTTAGTTTTAAAAAATTGTATATGGTAGAGGTTCCTGCATTATATTGTAGTGGATACCTCACATATACACCATTACTTCTGCAAAAGCTCCCCTTTCTTTGTTATCGACCAAAATAACACTTCTTCACAAAAATAACACTTCTTCCTTTTTGGTCTCTATTATTGGTAGAGTTATCTTGGCTTTTGTTGTTTGACATTTTCAGAGTGCAGTTAAAAGCTGCAAAACTCCCACAATACATCAAACACATCAGCTAGCAACAAAGGCACATGCAACTCATAGAAGTACTGAGATAAAACTGGCATCAAATGTCAGTTCTGGTCTTGTTTTGTCACCATATTAGTTTTGTCACCAAACTTGCAAACAGCAACAATACCAACACCACTTAGTTTTCAGGTATTTTTGGATTCTGGAATTGTGAACAGAGGATTATAGGTCATGGTTTCATTTGACGAATGTAGAAATTGAGGATTGGCAAGATTATCTGGTTTGGATATTTCTAGGAATTCCTCATTACAGTTCAGTTTTGAAGTTAGACAGACTGAATTTTGAATGATACACTTACACACTTCATTAAGCTTTGTGATTTGGGCACATTGTTCACACTTTATGTGCCTATTTCTTCAACAGTAAAATGGAAATGCTAATTCTTACCTTGAGAATTACCAAAAGTATTGAATCACATAACATATTTCAGTGCATAATCTGATTATTAACAGACGTAATGCTCTCTTTGCTCAGAACGGTTCTTCCATATTCAGGAATCAATGAGAACTTATACACTAACTAGAAGGATGAAATCAGGCGAGTAGCTGAATGGACTTTTAACATCTCCTATTGGATATCATAGTTTCAGAAGTCAAGCCTTTCTTTTGAGGAAGTCAGGCTTTTGGAGAGAGTTGTAGTTTTCTTCTAGGATAAAACCCTATCTTTGATTATCGAAAGCCAAACAGCAGAGACGACTAATCTATAAAGCATATATTTTATTCCATAGGTAACAGCATGTTATGAAGGGAGGATGGTAGAAGAACATTTTCTCCCTAAAGCCATAATAAATAACCCCAAAGAATATCCCCCCCCCCACCAAAAGCAAAAGACTTGAGCAATGGTGAACATTTCTGAGAGGACTTTGAGTCTCATTCCTGGGCTGAATCTATTTGTACTGGGGGGAAAGGAAATTGAAACTTAGGATAGTTTTGGGGGACTTGGGAACAGATGGACCTTGTGTGTGAACTGTCATGATGCAGAAAACCCAAAAAGTTATTGAGAACTTTGTATCAGCAAAAACATCACAAGCTTGTACTGAAATAGAGTACTACCTAAGACAGTTGGCCTTCAAAATTCTACTGGCTGGAAACAAGCTGATAAAATGACTCAGCTATAAGCAGGTGCTCTCTTTTATGGAAAACTAAAGATCTCTGAGAAGATGGAGCTTGAAGCCCAGAGGGGCAGGCTTGAATGCAGAGAGTAGAGCCAAGATCCCAGAGGGAGGAGCCACAAGACTCAGAAAATGCTTCACAGGCTTTGAAACCTGTTGGAGTTAGCCTGGCTGGAATTCAAAGTTGTTTGACTTCTTTTTCCCTTCCATTTTCCCCTACTTTTATAAACAGTAATGTTTATAAATGTTATTTTGGCTTTCTCAGCATTGTATTTTGGGAACAGACAAGTTTCTTGAGTTTCACAGATCCAAGAGCAGATTTGATTTAAATGAGATTTTGAACTTTGAGTTGATACTGTAATGGACTGAAGTTTTGGGTATCTTGGAATAAGGTGAATGCATTTTGCATGTGATATGGTTGTGAATCTTTTGGGCCAAAGGCAAAGTGTAGTTAGGCTGAATAATGGGTCCTCAGAGATGTTCCCATCCTAATCCCTAGAACCAGAGAATTATTATCGTACGTGGCAGAAGGACATTGCAGATGTAATGGACACTCACGTTAAGAGATTATCTTATTGGGGTCAATCTAATCACATGGGTTCTTAAAGCAGAGATCATTTTCTGACCTTGCTCAGAAAAAGAGACGTGGTGATGGAAGCAGGGTTAGAGAGAGGTTACGCAGCTGGCTCGGAAGGTGAAGCAAGGGGGCTGCGGGCTAAGGAATGAAGACAGCCTCTAGAAGCGGGAGAAGGCAAGGAAGTAGATCTCCCCTAGAACATCCAGAAAGAAATGCAGCCCTGTCGACACTTTGATTTTAGCCAGTAAGATCTATTTTTGACTTCTGACCTCCAGAACCGTAAGATAATAACTTTGTGTTAAGTCCCTAAACATATGGTAATTGGTTATGGCAGCAATAAAAAGCGAATGCCCCTGCAAAGGACATGAACTCATCCTTTTTTATGGCTGCATATTATTCCATGGTGTATATGTGCCACATTTTCTTTATCCAGTCTATCACTGATGGGCATTTGGGTTGTTTCCAAGTCGTTGCTATTGTGAACAATGCTGCAAAAAGCTTACGTGTGCAGGTGTCTTTAGCTGGAAACCATCATTCTTAGCAAACTAACACAAAAACAGAAAACCAAACACTGCATGTTCTCACTCATAAGTAGGAGCTGAACAATGAGAACACATGGACACAGGGTGGGGAACATTACCACACAGGGGCCTGTCAGCAGGTGGGGGCTAGGGGAGGGATAGCGTTAGGAGAAATACGTAATGTAGATGACGGGTTGGTGGGTGCAGCAAACCTATGTAACAAACCTGCACATTCTGCACATGTATCTCAGAACTTAAAGTATAATAATAAAAATAAAAAATAAAAAAAGCGAATGCCAGTCATACCAGTGTATTTCTCATTGGGATCTTGCCCTTTGGAAAGCAGGTAAAAGCCATCACTAAAGATGTTTGGAATTGAGAGATTCCAATCAAAGACTCCATGGAATAAGTATGATATGAGCTGGGCACAGGCATAACTGACAGAGGAGACTTTCTGGTGTAATCAAAGACACAGTGGTTTGGACAGATGTGCAGGGTGCAGGGAGGGAATCAGTGGTAACCTGGAGTGTTATCCATTAAAAGGGCCAGACACTTTCTGCCTGCTGCTTGGAGACCCTTTTAGTTACTGTGCCTCTGGGACTAGGAACTTCAAAATATGTTCCAGTCAGAGTTCTTAAATCACACTGCTCATTATCATTGCCCTTGGGAGGCTTGTTGATTTTCATGCACACAGTGAAGACTCTATGAACTATTACTCCCTGAGATGTCATTCTTGGTCTTAGTTCCTTTGTCAACTTCTGAGTAACCTTGGGCAAATCATCGACCATCTCCGGAACTCCTGGGTTTAACTTTCTTCTTTAAAAGGATAGCAGAATCAATCTCCTTCTCTTCCCTTTTTATTTTTTATTTTTGCCACTCTTGCATTTTCCCCAATGTTCTACTTCCCAGCTCCTGAGAAAGTGAGATTATGATTTAGGAACTATCTATTAAAGGCTTTATACTTTTGTGTTGGTGATTCTCCGACTTATTTGGAAGGTAGTGCCTCCGAAAGGCATGACACTCTTTGAAGAACACCATTAAACACTGATATATTTAATTCCAGTATATGCAATAGGAACAGTTTTACTTCCAGACAATATGACAATCTGTGTACAATTTAAAAACCACAGTCCTGAGTACACACGTCCATGAAAAGAACAAGCTGTTGGTCTAAACATGGTCAGCTGCATCTGAGTTTTCCTGGTAATATTTCTATGCTTATTCACTTATTTTGTCATCTGCCAGTACTTTAGGTAGCAGATGTCTAAAATCTAATAAAAATATATCTGGGAAGAAAACTTGAAATAAAAAATTATGGTAGTAAATTATTTATTCTTCCTGAGAATTGAAAAAAATGAGCATTTTTTTTTTTTTTGGTTTCATGGCAGAACTTCTGGGTCAAGTATTCAGAGACCTGGCATTCAGGAGACACATGTTTGGGAATTCTCATTACACTGAGTTCGTAATGAGATTCCTGAGTGGGAAAGGCCAATATCCTATTTCTCTCTGTGTTTCTGAATAAGTTTGAAATGTTACTGTCTCTCCTCACTATTTAATAATAGTTAATACTGAACACTCACTGTTTCTCAGATGCTGTGCTAATTTCTGAGTTCAGATTGGGATACTATTATTATTATCCCAGTCTTATAGAAGAGATAGTGAATCTCATAAAAATTATCTGCTCTAGATTACAGAGCTAGTATGGGGGCCAGGCACTGTGGCTCACACCTATAATCCCAGCACTTTGAGAGGCTAATGTAGGAGGATTGCTTGAAGCCAGGAGTTCAAGACCTGAGTAACATAGTGAGACTCCATCTCTACAAAAAAATGTTAGCTGGGCATGGTGGCACACGTTTATACTGCTGGCTACTGGGGATACTGAGGTGAAAGAAACACTTGAGCCCAGAAGTTCAAGGCTACAGTGAGCTATAATTGAGCCACTGTACTCCAGTCTGGGTGACAGAGCGAGATCCTCTGTCCAAAAAATAAAAATAAAAATAAAAAAATAAAGAGGTAGCATTTAAATGTATTAGTCTGTTCTCACACTGCTATAAAGATACTACATGAGACTGAGTAATTTATAAACAAAAGAGGCTTAATTGACTCACAGTTCCACATGGCTGAGGAGGCTTCAGGAAACTTAAAATCATGTCAGAAGATGAAGGGGAAGAAAGGCACGTCTTACATGGTGGAGAGAGAGAGCAAGGGGGAAAGTGCCATACTTTAAAACCATCAGATTTCACTACAACTCCCTCACTATCATGGGAACAGCAAGGAGAAAATCTGGCCCATGATCTAATCACCTGCCACCAAGTCCCTCCCTCAACATGTGGGGATTACAATTCGAGATGAGGTTTGGATGGGGACACAGAGCCAAACCATATCAGCAGGGGAGCCAAGATGCAAACCCCGGGCCTGATTCCAGAGCCCAATCCTAGAGCCTTGAACCCCTGCTCTCTACTCCCTACTTCTAAAGCTGTGTCTCATTTCTTCCCTCTTGGTGAAGCCTCTCCCTATGTCCATCCACGTCCACACCCCACCCCAGGTGCACTAACCTCTCCCAACCTGAGATGTGCCTGGTTTACCCTCTCTCTCCCCAGCCTATATGGCACCTCCTGTAGGTAACTCCACTGGCAGCTCCTGGACCATCAAGCAATGTATGACCCTATGGGTCACATTGTGAGCTGGAGAGCAGAGTGGAGTAGCAGAGAGAGAACCGACTTTGCCAAAGGGGGCCCCTCTTTCTCTTTGCCTGGTTGACTCAGTTTCAGTGCACATGTCAACTTTTCGGAGAGTCATTCTCAGATCTTACCACCTGATAATGTCTCTTTCCCCACATACCACTCTGTTTCATTTCTCCCATAGCACATATGACTACCAGGAAGTTCTTACTTACTCATGTGTTGTCTGATTCTACTTCCCAAGAATGAAACCTCCCAGGGAACAAGGACCTAAGTGATCTTGCTCACATCTCTACCTTCAGTGCCTAGAGCAATAAGTGTCATATAAAATGTACTCAAGCATTTGTGGAAGAAATGCATGAATAAATATTCTAAAATGTTTTTGAAATGCTTTATTTATTAAATAAACATTGAGTATCTACTTTGTGCTGGGCATTCTAGGTGTCAGCAATACAGCTGTGAACTTTGTAAGCCAAACTACTTTAAAAAAATACTGACTCTGTATCTTCAAATAATCAACAATCTGACCATTTTTCAAAATTGTGGTGAACATAACATTTCAGTTGCTGAGATCTACGCTTTTGTCCTGACATAAGCATAAATAGTGCTCTTTTGACTCTCAAAATGCCCTGGGCCCTGGCTGGGATGATAAATTATGTGATCACCCTAGTTAAACCTGAGGTATTAATGCACTACAAACTAGTAGGCAAAGTAAAACCGTGGTATGAGTTAGTCAAACGGTGGATCTGGTTATTGTGCATGAAATTCATCTTGTGATGTTGCAGTTGAAGGTGAAACAACTCAGACTGGCCTAAGCAAAGGTATAAAGGGGAGTTGATGGGTCTGCATACCTGAAAAGTCTGTCTCAGACATGGTGGGACCGAGTTCTCAAATTCCAAGTTGCCTTCCTCATCCCTGAGAAGCTCCAGGCTCATTTCTGCTAACGCAAATGGTGGCAGCAGCCCCTGTCTCATCTCATTCAGTTGAAGTTCACCAGAAAAAAAGCCAGAGCCTTTTCCAGGATCCCTTGTAGGAGTACTGACCTTCACTTTGTATTATGCAGCTTGGGTCATTTACTCCTCTTCGTCTCCCAAGGAAAGATATGTTGATTGACTAAGGTGTGGGTTATGCTTTCCATTCTTGTAGCTGAATGTGGATTCCTACCTAGACCATGCATCCTAAGGTTGGAGGAGCAGTAAGCCCAAAAATGGAAATCAAGAGATTTGTCAGAGGAAAAGAGAATGTATTCAGAATATCAGTAAGGAATCCAAAGCGTCATCTATAATGTGTGTGTTTGTATGTTTGTGTATGTCTGCATGTGTACACATATATGTTTTAGGACTAATCAGCTATCTTACTAAGCTTGAGCAGTGCCTTCAATCAACAATCTTGTATCTGGACAATGTTTTTCTCAGGTTGCTGTTTTATAGATCTGAATAAAGCTTCATTTTTCCATCCTATCACCACCTCATGTAAGAATCCTTTACTATCCTTATAGCATATGGCACACACATCTAGTATATTTAAACACATAGGTTCACTCAAAGCACTTCCATGTACAGATATTCAAGTAGTGCACCACACATAAACTATGATGTGAGTTGTGCAATATGGTGGCCCTGTGTAATCTTCATAGAAACTCTCTTAGCAGATACAGAAAATGAGTTCAGTCAAGTTAATTGATTTCCTCAAGGTCATCCTCCAAATCCTGTTCTCTTTTACTTAGAGAATCTGGTCAACTCCAACCAGTTTGGAGCAATAAAGAGCTCTCATTTGTTTTACCTGGGAAAGAAGCAATTACTGTTTACCATTAGGTCCTCTCTGTACCTTTAAACACAAATTTTCACTGAAGACTTGGAAATTATAATAAGGTGTTCTCATTTTCACTTTACATTTAGACATATTAAGCAGAAAACAAGTTTAAAGAATTAGTGAGCCATCTGTGTTGTTCATACCCTTAAGTACAGAAGTTCATAGACATAATTAATTCTCTGAAGAAGTATGTAAGGCACTGGAATTTCTGAATTTTTCTGGGATCTCTTTGTTCCCAGACCTAGGCATTTCACAGTTCTCAAAATCAAACAGGGAAAGAAACCTGAGATTTTAGAGATGTGGTTCTGGAATATCAGTGCTCTTAATAATCACTATGAGTACTATTTAAAAATAGAAATTTCCAGTCTTTATTCCAAGGGATTATGATTCAATAAGTGTCTGAAATCTGCATTTTAAAGAAGCCCTCTGGTGACTGTGATGTGATGATTCCACAAACGTTCTTTTAGAAATAGGGGTTTTGAAATATAATTTTCCAACAAAAATGAGATAAGTCACTCTCCTTTTCTGCATGCATTCAATATCCACTGAATACTAGATGCTAATAATGGTCACAGTCCTAGGCGTGCATAGTTTTTGGATTTCCAAAACAGTCTGTCATTTTCTTTTCAGTATTCACTTGAATAATGGTTTAGAAAAAGTTCTCTCTTTCAAAAGCAGACAAATATGTAAAGGCCAGAGGAGTGAAGGCCCTGGGTTCCAGGGAAGGTTTTTGGACTCAATGTGTCTTTCCTTCTGAGATATCCATTAGGATGAAAGAGGCAAGCTGGAGCTCAGGCATATGGTCTTTTATCTTTATATAGAAGTGACAGCAGAGAGATACTTATGTCGACATCAGCAAAGAAGAGGTGGGAAGCATTCTGGTGCATCAATAGCGCATCCCTCTGCTTTCTTACTTCCCTGTCAAACCAAGAGGCAGCAATTTTCCCTCTAAAGGTGTTGCACGAGAATGGCAAAGCAAATATAAAAACTCTGCCACAGCCTTGGATGAAAGATAGAAAAGGAGCTAATATTGATTTTGTGTCTCCTTTGTAACACACGGGGAAACTGAGGCTCTGATAGATTAAGTAGCTTAACCAGGATCATATAGCTAGCATTCCCAGTTATCTCTTATTGCTAATTAACCACTCTAGAACTTAGGGCCTTAAAATGGCAATGCATTATCACATGTCCGAGTTCTGTGGGTTGGCTGAGCTGAGCTGGGTGGTTTCTTCCTTGAGGTTTCTCACATTTTGTGGTCAGATGGCAAAGGGGGCTAGAGCCATTTGAAGGCTCAGCTGAGATAGAGGCCCAAGATGTCTTTTCACTCACATGTGTGCTGGCTTGGTGTTCTTTGCCCTTTTCCTATGTCACATCTCATCCTCCAAGGTCTTGGTTTGGACTTCTTATAGCACAGTGGACTCAGGGTGGTCACACTACTTATGTTATGGCTAGCTTTCAAGATAGAAGAAAGAAGAAGCTCTTAGGCCAGTTAGGGCTATGCTTGGGGCTAAAAGATTATTTCTACCAATCTTATTGGTCAAAGCTGTCACAGTGTTATTCCAGCTCCAAGGCGGTGGAGAAATACACCCTCTCTCGATGAGAGGCTAGCAAGCTCACATTGCAGAAGAGCATGTGCGACGGGAGATATTGTTGCAGCTATCTTGAGATAAGTTCAGTTTGCATGTGAGAAGGATGCAATTGATAACCAGAACATCTAGTAGTAATAATTACTAACTCTAGACACTCTACTAGGTGTATCATATGTATCTATATTATTTACCTATTTTATATATATATCTCAATATAATACAGTAACCCTACAAAATTAGAATTCATACTATTACCCTATTTTATAGATGAATAAATCAAGTTATAAAGGAGTTAATAACTTGCTCTAGGAACCCACCATGTGGTAGACCTAGAATTCAAGATAAGTAGCCATGCTCATTTAGGTCTGAGTCCAAAGCCCATGCTCTTCCCCTGTTTCACACTGCTTGGTCATTCCCTAGCCTTGGCTCATATGAACCAATTAAGACCTTTGTAAATATAACAGAACTCTTTCAGGGTGCAATTATGGAGGAGGAGCAGGGATGAGCTCAGTTTGTAGAAAAATACATGAACTGGTTGGGAGGTGGATTTGGGGATGCAGGAGGGCTGGGGTTCCAATTACTTCTCTCTATTCTCTTCTAAATTTTCCAGACTCTTAACTGGGACTGAACTGAGAACAGGTCCTGTGTGAAAGTGGGAGGAGCCCCCAAAAGCTCATTTGAGCTGGTGTGTAGAACTGCAACTTGAGCAGTTATGATTTCATAAGACCACAGGGGCAACCACAGAGAAGACGGTAGATCACAGAAGTTGGTTCTGTGCCTCAGGGCTTGGAAAGAGCTCATTCCACCTGTCATTGGATGTTCTAAAAGCTTCTGAAAAGAATAACTGGGTAACTGGATGGCTGGACTGGCTCATGCCCTGAGACTTTTTGCAGCTGCAAGCAAATGCCTTGAATTTTGATTTTCACTTTAGAAAGAGGAGAGACAATGGCCAGGATATCTATCAAATGAATGAGATTGCTCTGGCTTTGCCAACTGGCTGGCTAAACTTCCATACTCCATTAGCAGAATGAAATTACATTATCGGCCTCAGTACTTTTGGAAGGCTTATGATATTATTTGGATGTTTTTTCTCTCCAAATCTCATGTTGGATTGTGAACACCAGTGTTGGAGGTGGGTCTGGTGGGAGGTATTTGGGTCATGGGAGCAGACCCTTCATGAATGGTATATTAGTCTATTTTCATGCTGGTGATAAAGACATACCTGAGACTGGGTAATTTACAAAAGAAAGAGGTTTAATTGGACTTACAGTTCCACATGGCTGGGGAAGCCTCACAATCATGGCAGAAGGCAAGGAAGAGTAAGTCATTTCTTACATGGATGGCAGGAGGCAAAGAGAGAGAGCTTGTGCAGGGGAATTCCTCTTTTTAAAACCATCAGATCTCATGAGACTTATTCACTATCAAGAGAACAGCACGGGAAAACTTGCCTCCATGATTCAATTACCTCCTACCGAGTCCCTCTCATAATGCATGGGAATTCAAGATGACATTTTGGTGGGGACACAGCCAAACCATATCAAATGTCATGGTGCCCTCTCTGTGGTAATGAGTGAGTTCTTGCTCTATGAGTTCACATGAAATCTGGTTGTTGAAAACAGACTGGCACGTCTTTCTCTTTCTCTCTTGCTTTCTTGCTCACCATGTGATGCACCTGCTCCCCCTTCACTTTCTGCCATAATTAGAAGCTTCCCAATGCATCACCAAGAGCGGATGCCAGCACCATGATTCTCGTACGGTCTGCAGAACCATGAGCCAGAATAAACCTTTTTTTTTTTTTTTTTTTTTAATAAATTACCCAGTCTCAGGTATTTCTTTACAACAATGAAGAACAAACTAATACAGCTTCCATGGTTCCTTGTGGGGTTTTCTTTTCTCTTTCTTGTGCTTTTGCATTATCTTTGCCTGGATAAGCCAGTGTCTAGAAGAGTGACTAAGATGTAGTTTAGCCCTCAATAAACGTTGGCCATATAAACAAACTCCTCTATCTTCTACTTTGCAACATTCAGCAATATTCACTAGGTAATATGTGGCTTTCCTTCCAATTCCCAGGGCTGATGATTGCCTAGTAGTCACCAGTACAAGAGTCTTTGTTGTTAACAGTCAGAATTTTAATTGGGACAATACTATACCTGGCCACTGTTAAATATTTTGAACATCAAGTCTGCCTCCACCTACAGACCTCTTTGCTCCCTCATAAATCTTTCATCTCAGTAGCACAGTGCAATGGAAATCTTCTTAAAAAGTTAACATTACAGGGTGACAATATATTAATGCCATATCCAATTAATTATCAGCAACTTAGTATGTTGAGCACCTGATAGGTGTTTAATATTTTCCTGCAAAGGAGAAGTTGGTGGTGGTTGGGTCACCAGCTTGCTGCTTTTTGATACAAAGGCCATAAATTCAAAAACTGAGGAGACTTGTGTATATTTTAAGTACCTGAAAAAATACTTACCAGTTATTCGTTTGTCCAAACACTAGCTTAAGCACTTGGCATAAGCATGACAGGAGGCATTAATAAAATGGTAAAATCCAAGTTTTAGAGTTAATCAGGCCTGGAATTTAAATTGAACTCTGCTTCAAATTAGCTCTGTGACCAGGACCAAATGACAACTTCAGGGAGTCTTGGGTTCTTCATCTGCCAAATGGGAATAAGTAAAATGATCTTTATTATTACTATTTTATTAAAACATGGTTTCTGCCCTGGAAGGACTTATAGTCTGTTTCAGGAGGTAAAATTATATTTTCAATATGAAACATCAAATTTCCAAGGAGATATTCTGTCCCTTGCAGAACAGAGTACACCTAACGGAGTTCAGAGGACTATCTTCTTGTAATTCTCTGATTTCCTTGCTCCTGACCCACTCAACCACTCTTTCCTTGCATTCAAGCTTTTCTGCTTTGCTCTCAACAGACACCTTCTTATTTGTAGCCTCTTCTTGGCCTGTTCCCTTCATTTTCCACCTTAAGTAAAACCTGGCTGTGTCATGGGCCACATGAATGACTGTATACACAGTGGGGTGCATTAGAGGAGAGGAGCCCCGAGTTTAGGGAACCTGAATCTTGTATAATGGACAGTAAGCATTTCTGCCCTGTTCTCTGGAGGACATCCAAGACTGTTTATTACAAAAACATGCTGGAAAAGATAGTTCAGAACACAGAGCAGTTAGTGCTTTGCCCATAAGGTGTGCAGAAATGGGAGAGACCTATAGAGGAATTGTCTCCCCAAAAGACCTTTTTCTCCTCCTTAAAATCCTCCTCTTGTTTCTTGCCTACCTTTCTGGCCAGCCTCTCTCGGTCTAATTTTTAGGCTCATCCTTCTCCACCTGGTGGTAGATATTGGAACTCCTTGAGGCTTTGTCCTAGGCTCTTTCCTCTTCTCATTCCAAATGCTTTACCTTGGCAATCTTATCAAAGATTACAACTTTGATTTCCATTGCATGTCAATGGCCTTTTCCAATTAATATCTCCAGATAATATTCCTCTCTGAACTCCAGGCCCATGAGATCCCTGCTTAGATATTTGAAAAGCAACTCAAACACCACATGCTCAAGGCTGAATTTATAATTTTTCCCTTGCTTCCACTGTCACAGTCTTGGTTCCCTTTCATAGTTTCTACTTTAGTGAAAGGCAGTTGCAAAATCCAGAAACTGATGAGTCATTCTTGCCATTCCCCCTCTCTCTCAGTCCTATATCCAATTCAACGGCAATTACTGTTTAATTTAAATTCCTAAATATTACTTCAATCATTTTTATTTCCCTTTAAATACACTTCTCCCACCTCAGTCTGATCCACTATAATTTCTCAACTGTAGGTCACTTTTCAGTGGGTCATTTCTAATCTTTCAATCCTCCCCTTACCCTCCAACCCCCTAAAAAAACCTCTTGTTCTTTCCATCATCTCTTAACCTGATTTATTATTTATCCATCCCATCCGTCACCATCTGAAATAGTAAACAGCTACAAGGTTGTTATCTATTGACTTCCTTTTCATAAGAACATAAACCCTGTGATGGTTAATTTTATGTGTCAACATGACTGGGCTATGGGATGTCCAGATAGTTGGTTGAGTGGTATATCTGGATGTGTCTGTGATGATGTTTCAGGAAGAAATTAGCATTTTAATTGGTGGACTGAGTAAAGCAGATGACCCTCCGCAGTGTAGGTGGATATCACCCAATCCATGATATATATAGCCAAGACTATATAGCCTTGGGCAGTCGGTTAACATCTTAAGTCCTCAGTTTACAAATTTATAGAGTAGGGGCAATGAAAGTAATAGTGCTTACCTTGTAGAGGTGTTGTGAGGACTAAATGAGTTAATCCAGGCAGAGTGCTGAGAGTTGTACCTGGCACAGAGACATTTAGTCACTGTTGGGCAATCATATCTTTGCACTCTCATCTCTCTATCTGTGCTTCTTACTCATGATCTTTTTTTTCAGTTCTTTAAAAAATTGTTATTGATGCATGATAATTGTACATATTTATGGGATATATGTGATATTTTGATACATGCATATAGTATGTAGTGATCAAAAATCAGGATATTTAGGATATCCAGCACTTTGAACATTTGTTACTTCTTTTTTGTGTTTGGAACATTTCAAATCTTCTTTCCTAGCTGTTTTGAAATATGCAATATATTGTTGTTAACTCCAGTCATCCTATTGTGCTATTGAACACTAGAACTTATTTCTTCTATTTAACTATATGTTTGTACCATATAACCAACATCTCTTCATCCTCCCCTATCCACACACTCTTTCCAACCTCTTATAACCATCACTCTACCCTTTACTTCCATGAGATCAACTTTTTTAGCTCCCACATATGAATGACAACATGTGACATTTGTCTTTCTATGCCTGGCTTATTTCACTTCACATAAATTTGTCCAGTTCTATCCATATTCCTGTAAATAACAGAATTTCCTTCTTTTTTATGGCTGAACAGTATTCCATTTGTATCTATACCACGTTTTCTTTATCCATTCATCTATTGATGGGCACTTAGGTGATTCCATATCTTTACTATTGTGAACAGTGCTGCAATAAAAATAGGAATGCAGATATACTTTTGTTACACTGATTTCCTTTCCTTTGAAGAAATACACAGAAATGAAATTGCTGGATCATACAGCAGTGCTGCTTTTAGTTTTCTCTGGGAAACTTCCGTACTGTTTTTCATAATGGCGGTACCAATTTACATTCCCACTTTCAGTGTATAAAAGCTCTCTTTTCTCTGCATCCTTGCCAGCATTTATTACTTTTTGTCTTTTTGGTAATAACCATTCTAACTGGGGTAAGATGATACCTCATTGTGGTTTTGACTTGAATTTTCCTGATTATTAGTGATATTGAGCCTTTTTCCATATACTTCTTGGCCATTTGTATGTCTTCTTTTGAGAAATGTGTAATCAAATCCTTTGCCTAATTTTTAATGACACCTATCCCTTCTTAGGGCTTTTCTCCTGCTGATCTTATTGCCTCCTGGTTTCCCTCCTGCAACTCACTGTGCCTACTTAACTCCTACTCATCCTTCTGATCCTAGATCAAGAGGCCTTTTTTTGGGCAAGTCTTTTTTGATACCTTCAGGCTGGGTCAGCTCCTCTTAAAAAGCCCTCATATGACCTTTTTCCTTTCTCACACAGCACTTGCCAATATTATAATTGTATATCCAAAACGTGATTTTTTTTAAAGTTAATATTTGTCTTCTTTCGGATGTAAATTCCAAGAAAGCATGTATTTTATATATTTCAGCCTTCATCCCAAGCTCAGTGCCTGCCTGACTGACAGTGGTAGCCTATAAATCTTTGTTGAACAAAGATTACCGAAATAAATTTCAGGTTCCTAAGGCAGCCACGTGGAAAAACAGTGCTCACCTGGATGTAACAGTGTGACCACACTTAATTAAAATCAGTTTCCTTACTTCTTGGTCAAAGCTCAAATTCCATGCGTTTGAAGAACAATGGCAGGAAACAAGGATCATGTAGCATGGCTATCCTATTACACATATACGATAAATCCTCATATAAACCATGAGGTTTAGATACAATCACTCTTATTTCTCTTATTTTGCGGTTGAAGGAGCCAAGGTCTTACAGTTAAAGGTGAGGGAGCAGAAATTGACAATTTTTGTCTTATATACAGGTGGCATAGTCAAATTATACACATATACACAAATTTGCATATGTATACATGTAGATATATATGTATTTGATCAATTTCATTAATTTCAATGATCTATATATATGCATTACTTTGGGAACTTACAAAATTGCTTTGAAAAATTATAAAATTCAATGTGCTAAAAGAGGAATAATAAATAACACTGGGAGAGTTGGAGGAGGATAAAGGAAATGAATCATTTGAATATATAAAATATCTGGAAATGGCATGGGTATCCTGTATGTTAGCACATTAAACAGACCTATAAAATCCTTTGACTTATTTTATAAAGAAAATGAAGAATGTAAATGCATGCAAATAAAGTCACGAAGTGAGACCAAATGTGGAACTCTGAGAGAGGAGTTTGAGATAAATATGATATTTTGTTTCACACACCCAGCTACAAAGCGGCATGGCAACTGAGAGACATGTTCAAAGGGGCGTGGGATTCCCAGTGAAAAGTCTACAAATAAAGGGACACTGAACAGAATATGAGAGTGGGGAGAGGTAGTGAAAATTAGTACAACCACAGTTCCTTCATCTCTGAGACAATTGTGACAGAGGTCTTCTCTTTTATGTTGTCAAAAATCATAACTAGGTATGACTCCTCTGTAGAGTAGAAATGTCAGGGAAGATCATAATTTCAAAAGAATAAAAATCAATAAATAGTTGTTTTCTTATTTTTTACTGTGATGAAATTGTGTCAACACAAAGTGCAGTAAATGGTTGTACAATTATTCTGTAAATTGGTGCTTTATAGATCAATGGTTTAAAACTTATTTTTTTTTTAAGTAGAAAAACTGGCCGGGCACAGTGGCTCATGCCTGTAATCCCTGCACTTTGGGAGGCTGAGGTGGGAGGATCACTTGAGGTTAGGAGTTCGAGACCAGCCTGGCCAACATGGTGAAACCCTGTCTCTACTAAAAAAAATACAAATACAAAAAATAACTGGGCTTGGTGGCGGGCACCTGTAATCCCAGCTACTGGGCAGGCTGAGGCAGGAGAATTGCTTGAACCTGGGAGGCAGAAGTTGCAGTGAACCGAGATCGCCGCTATTGCACTCCAGCCTGGGCGACAAGAGTGAAACTCTATCCCCCCCGAAAAAAAGGAGAAAAATAACACATAGGTAATAACTTCAGTAAAATCTCACAGAAAATACTAATGCAGAAAACATGAGAGATGACATTCTGGTTGGAACAAGGGTGGAGGGCCTGGGCCCTTGTCTGCTTTCAGTCCTCCTCTCACTCTAGGGTGGTTTATGTGCCAGTACCCCTGAGAAACCCGAGGGCTCTGTGAAACTCAGCTTGAAAACCAGCTCAGAAGATCAGTAAGTTGAGTAGTGAATACTCGCGTACCCTGTTTCTAGTTGCATGCAGCAACATCTGGATAATTCTTTGTCCCTCTTTACTCTGCGTAAGCAGGATTGACCAACTGATTCAGGAGACCAGCCAGGTATTTACTCTGTGGTCTGTGAGTCACCCGCACGTTCTCACTTTTCATTGGTTGGGTTGTGGGAGAGAAGAGTGAACAAACTATGCACACACTCAAATCTATAGCTTTTCCCATAGTGTTTTTTTTTTTTGCCTGGAATGTCTTTCATTGTCTCTCAATAAACTGAAGAAAATTCTTCAGGGTTCAACCCAATAGTTCTTTCTATGTAGCTTTTCTCACCCACAGTGGAAAAATAACAACTTCCCCCACATCACTGAAGCCTGTTATATACATGCTGCTATACTCCATGGCATGGTAATAGTTGTGTACCGATACTACCTACTCATTCACTAATTCATTCAAAAATATTAAGTGAGCACCACTATGTTCTAGGCACTGTTCCAGGTGCTGGAGAGTCAGCAATAAACAAAATACACAAAACTTATGAGGCCAAGAGTCCCTCAAAAGGAGAAGTCCTGTCATATTTGCTTCAGTAACCCCAGAACTCACATCTGGCTCAATCGGCCAAGATGAAATAACGTAAGATCTGTCATTGCCGCACCACTTATGGCCTATACATCCAGGAAAGATGGTGGCTTTGAGATAGGATGATATTTCTCTATTTACAATATATTTTGGAAATCATCCAACCTTCAGCATGAAAGGCATGAGGGTTCATCATCTGCTGGATTCACTTTTGTTTTATTTATGTCATAAAATAACTTTGATAAAGATAAACTCTCTAGCTGCCAAGATTGTACTATTAGGGGGTCTGAGGAAGAAAGCACTGTTGACATTTCAGTTAGCTTTGTTTATTTTTGTGGTAGAGAGAGCCACTCATACTACTTCAAGGAAAAGGGTGATTAGATACATAGAAATGGGGTCAGGAATTTGAAAACCACCAGGATTAGAGGCAGTGCAAGGTATAGAAGATTCTATTTGTCTTTCTTCTATGGTCTCCTTGGCTTCTTCCTGCATATCTGCTCTCTTCTACTCTCTACTGAGTGGCTTCCTCAGTTCACTTCCACTTTTGCTCCTTCGAAACTCTAGATTGCATGTTGACCATTAGAGCATTATTTTGCTTCAGGAAATTTTCAATTTTTTGGTTCTGTTTTTTTTAAAACTAATAAACTTGTTTATGTATTTATTTATTTATGAGACAGGGTATTGTTCTTTCACGCAGACTAGAGTGCAGTGACATGATGGTTGCTCACTGTGGCCTCCACCTCCTAGGCTCAAGTGATCCTCCCACCTCAGCTTCCCGAGTAGCTGGGACTACAGGCGTGCACAACCATGCCTGGCTAATTTTTGTATTTTTTGTAGGAGTGGGTTTTACCATGTTGCCCAGGGTGGTCTCGAACTTCTGGGCTCCAGCCATCTGCCCACCTTGGCCTCCCAAAGTGCTGGGATTACAGGCACAAGCCACTGGCACTTGCCCCAAATTTGTTTATGGAAGTATAGTATACGCACAAAAAACTTCACACGTTTTCAGTGTAGAGTTTAATTATTTTTCCCAAAGTGAACATACTCCAATTGCCACCACCCTCATGTAGAAATGGAACATTACCAGCATTCCAGAGTTCCTTCCTCCCACTTCCCATTTATTACCACTTCCCCATGGTAACAAGTGATATGGCTTCTAATACCACAGATTAGTTTTTCCTGTTTTGACATTTATAAAAATGTAACCATAAAGTGTCTACTCTTTTGAGTACTGCTTCCTAGCACTCAGTGCAACATTTGTGATATTCATTCATGTTGTTCTGTGTAGCAATGGCTCATTCATTTTAATTATGGCATAGTCATCCCTTGTATGACCGTAGCATACACAATGTATTTATCCATTCTACTATTGTTAGCCGTTATCAATTCATAATACTGCTGTAATACTGCTATGTGAATTTTTATATCTTTGGTTGACTTATGTACATATTTTTTGTTGTATATCTACTTGAGAGTAGACATTGATGCATCATACATATATGTTTGACTTTTGTATACTCCCAAAGAGTTTTTTTAAAGTGATTGCCACAATGTATAGGTCCCCCAGCAGTGTATGAGAGTTCTAGGTACTCTGTCTCCTCACAGACAGTTGGTATCGCCATTCTTTTTTATTTTAGTCATTCTGATGGGGTGTGGAAGTATCTCATTGCAGTTTTAATTTGCATTTCCTGGGTAACCAATGAGGTTAAGTATCTTTTCATATATTTAATGTGATTTGGGTAGGGTGTCCATACATTGTAGTTTGCGTGGGTCAGTTCTGGCTTATTGTTGTTGTCCTGGAATAATTATGAGCAGGATTCCTTTCATTCTCAAAAGTGGTCCCAGTTTAGATGATATGTCATGTAGTCACCCTGCATAGCAGATGCTTCTTTGTGAAGTATCTGTTCAAATCTGTTGATCATTTTTCTATTGTGTTGTCTGCTTTTTTCTCACTGATATCTAAAAACTATTTATACAATCCAGATATAAGTTCTTTGTTGGTTATATGTATTGTAGATATTTATTCTACCCTCTGTCTTGACAGAGGAATTTCTTAATCATTATTTTTTGTTTTGTTTCCCATACCTGACTAACTCAGTCTCTCAGTTATTTGTTAGATCAAATAATAAAAATAATATGAATGGCTTAATTAATCTTTTTATATAGGACGTGGCCATGGCTTAGATGCCAAAATCCTATTCAACAACTTGCACCCAAAAGATGGAGAGAGGAGTCAAGTCTGATGGTATAAAACATGACTACTCATTGCTGTCCCCTGCAAAGTGGCTTTGGTAGGGCAACTTCCTGCAGAATTAGAAGTAAACAAAGGAAATATCTGGGTTTTCATTTTGCCTCTGCCATTCAGCTGGTGACCAATTTGTGTTTCGGTTACTTTATCCCTAAAAGGGAAAAAGGTATTTATTTTTCAGGATTCTTATCAAGATTAAGTGGCATATGTTCTAGAAAGGTACACAGCACCATGCATGCGTAATAGATGTTCAATATGTACACATTTATTCTTTCTTTTTCCTCTCCGTGTTTTCTTTCTTCCCTTTTCTTCTTCCTTTTTTGCTTTCTCTCTTTCCTTTTACATGTATCATAAAGAAAATAGAAGGCCTTAGACCTACAAGCTTGCTGGAGATACATGATTTAGTATACATAAAACAATGCACAACACAAGAGAGTAAATAATCAAGTACAAAAGGGGAGGATTAGAGGCTGTAAGTCTTATCAAAGTTCAAGGATAGGAAATACCGAATGCATTCCATGAAAAACAACAGGGACAAATTCTTTCAAGCACCTTTAAAAAAGGAATGTTAATCAAATCTCTAATACAACTGCTTTATGGGAGACATTTGGCTATGCTTCAAGTAAGTGCCTTGAAATTTCAGTTGTTTACCCATTAGAAATACACATCTGCAATTTAAGGAGTACAAACAAGTTTCACATTATTATCCTCCAAGTCTTTTCTTCTGTCTCTTTGTGATGCACTGGTAAAACCAGGCCAGTCAATGACATGCCACTCTAATTGATTTTAATTAGTTTTACATTAAAGAAGCCAGATAAAAGATCACTTTGAGAGCATGTACCCAGGTGGAATCTGTGAGCACAGTTGAATTTGTGGTTTCCTGGGTATCTATAGAAAATAAAGATGGATTACAGCAGCTTTGATGAAAACATAGTCATACATTTTACTTTATTATATATTCATTAAGCAGTCTTCTAAATCATTTGGGATGTGGATAACTGTTATGTGATCTATGAACAAATGGAGGACAAATAGCTTATTTTGTCTTCCAACATAATTCCAAACCAAGTTATAAATGGGAGTTCCTCTCCTTATGCATGCTTCTTCATCTGGAAAACTCTCACTGATTTTTCAAGATTCAGGAGAACATTGACTTTTTCCTTAAGGCGTTTGCCCATTTATTGTAGAAAAATTAAGTACTCTGATCTCTGTTTCAGGTCATTTAACAAATATTACTGAGCTCCTCATCTGTGCCAGGTGTGGTGGTGGTTTCTAGGTACACAAGACAAAAAATGTAGTCAAGATCACTGTATGAGGGGATGAAGCCTACCCAGTTATAATAATCATTACATTGTTTTAAAATCATCTGTTCATAAGACTTTCTTCTCATCTGGTGTGAAAAGTTTTTAAGACAGAGATTATGATTATCCATGTCTGTATATGTATTATCCAGTGTGGTGCTGGAACTCAATAAACATTGAGTGAATTATTTGAATTGATGCTGGACATTCTTATAACCAGTCTTTTACGTATGTGTGTTTGTGTGTGCGGTACCCATTAGAACACTTTTCTTGCTTTTTCTCTTTCAATCAATCCTTCAAGCAACTCTATTTTAGATATCATTCAGGCTGGGATTGTAGGGGAAGACAAATTTTTAAAAAAGGACGCACTTTAGAGACATATGCCATCTGAGATAGATAGTACTTGTCTAGAGCTGTGTGGGAAAAGATTCTAAATTTTCCTAACAATACAAGGAAAAGAGTGCTGTGATTGATTAGTGATGTCTGTCAAGAAAAGAGGACAGACAGGAGGTAGGACGCATGGCATGTATTTGTGATTTCTGCTTTCTGCTTGGAGACTGAAGCTTGAGAAGGGAAGAAAGGAATATGGGAAGACTATAGATTTGCAAATGGCAGAGATAAGAAGAAGCATGAATTTGCCACACTCACTATCATGTGTCTTGGGTGAGATAGTTGGGAGTCTTCAAGTCAGAAAGCTGGGTCTTTATCTGTGTTAGTTATCATTTATCATAGACACTGAATAACTATTTGTTGCAGAAATTGTACAGATAAGAGTTCAAGTCATGTGATCTCTCTTCCGTGGGTCATTATATTCCTTGTCCCAGTAATTTAAAGTTCTCTAATTTTCTCAACTCCTCTAAGAAATGAGGTAAATCCAAAGCCCATCCCCACTCATATCCCAATCAGGAAGATTAGTTATGGAATTGGGACTTGAAATTATAATAACTTACCCTGCAAGGTTAAGAGTGAACTTCAGGTGGCCAAGATACCTGATTAGAAGCAGGTAGTGTGTCCTGCTCTCATCGAGAGAAGAAAAAGTGGCAAGTGAACACTAGTTCTTCAACTGGATTATCCAGCTGGACATGTTGGGATTCATCAAGGAAGCAACATGACCCATAAAGAACAGAGAAGAGCAAAGTAGGACAGCCACCCACTGAGGACTGGGACAGAGCCAGGGCAGGCTCTCCACCACAGGAAAACGGTGAGTGAGTGAGAGCCCCTAAAGACACACACTTCTGCCATGGACTTTTGCAACCCTTGGCTTAGGAGATCCCCTGTGACCCCCCTCATTGGGGCCCCCAAACTGTCATGAAGAGCTATGTGGAATGTGATTGGAGCCACCACTCAGGCGCAAGTGGAGTCCTGGGGGCCATGGATCTCTGGGTACCCCAGCACTAGCTCTGACAATGAGAGAGGCCAGGTTCCCTCACATGCCCCCAGGGTAGGGGTTGATTTCTTGGGGCTGAGGAGTGGATGGACTTCAGGACTTGCCTCCACTACACTTTGCTAAACAAGGCCCGCTGGCCTGGGACCCTAGCATGGCCACTTGGCCCCACTTTAGCTTTTGACCCAGTAGCAGACCTGCACTTCCCTGGGATGGAGCTTCCAGAGGGAGCAGGTAGACCTGGCATTTTTGCTGCACTGCAGCTCCTGCCCCTACTGCCCTCAGACTTGGGAGGAAGTGAAGTGGTTAAGGACTAATGTGTGCCCCCAGACCATTTTCCACACAGGTCCTTGCCTCTGTTACTCGTTACTGGGCAGAGCCTCTTGACCTTGGCCCCCAGCACAATCACCATGCCTGGATCTGAACACTTAAGTTGATGGTGGCTCTGGGATTCTCTGGCGAGGAAATCCCAGAGACAATCCACAGCCCCTCTCATTGTAGCTACGGAGCAACCAGCCCCCGCCCCTGACATGCCCCACAACAACTGTGCATTCCCACTCTTAGTGACTTGGTGTTTCCCTGGGGTGGAGCTTCGAGAGGCACCTGACAGCCTCTCTGCCACTGACACTGCAGTGGTTCTGACTGTGCTGCCCTCAGACTGGAGAAGAAACAAAGAGCCTGAAGGCTTTACGTGTGCTTCCAGCATGCCAGTTGCCAAATAGAGAGGAGCCTAGTCTCTCTTCCCTTTGAGCCTCTGACCCCTTGCTCTCCATCAAGCAGGGCCCCCAGCACAGGCCACAGTGCAGCTGCCCCACCCCATGACTGAATCCCATAGCAGAGCCTCCCCATTGGCTGAGTCTCTGCTTTTCTCTGGAGTGGAGCCCCCAGAGGCAACCGAAAGCTCCTCTGTCACTGCCATTGCAGTGGTACTGCCCTTGCTGCCCTTGCACTGCAGAAGGAATAAAGACCCGGAAGGCTTTACTATACCTCTAGCATGCCACAGCTGCCCTAAAGAGAAGAGGACAGGACAGTCTGTCTTCCCCATGAGACTCCTGCACCTCTGACCATTACCAGGTAGGGCCCCCTGGCTTGGGCCCACAATGCAGATGCCCCATAAGGGTGACTGCTCCAACTGGTAGCAGTTCTGTGTTTCTCTAGAGTGGCACCCCAAGAGGCAAGTGAAAGGCCCTCTGCCATTGCCACTGCCAAGGTCCCTGCCACTGCTAACCCCAAGCTGGGGAGAAAACATAAAGCCTGAGCTTGCCTCAGGGCTGTAATGTGTAGCCTGGGAGTGGCAAGCCAAGATCTGCAGTCAATACTTGAGTAGGAGAGGAGCTCACACCCTCAGAACACTGAGAAGGAGCATGACCGCAATTGTGAGGAAATACATAGGCACCACATGGCTGAGAAGAAGCCTATCTACTGGCCACTATGCTTAAGTGCCACCTAATGGGCCACAGCTCAAATTTCAATAAAAAAATACTTTGCTAATATACCTGCAGTGAAACCTAGGACAAGAATTCAGCTACAAATAAAGAAATAGCACAAAGGCTTGGCCCTCTGAAAACACCCAGAAACAAAGTCAAGTGACTATACTCAAATTGCACCGCAGTTAAAGGAACATCAGTTCACACAGATGAGAAGGAACCAGCTCAAGAAGTCTGGTGACTCAAAAGGCCAGAATGTCTTCTTTCCTCTAAATGACTGCACTAGTTCCCCAGAAATGGTTATTGATCAGGCTGAAATGGGTGAAACCATAGACATATAATGCAGAATATGGATGGGAATGAGGATCATCAAGATCAGGAGAAATTTGAAATCCAATATAAGAAATCTAAGGATTACAATAAAATGATACAGTAGTTGAAAGACAAAAATGGCCATTTTAAGAACAAACCAAACTGATCTGATGGAGCTGAAAAATACACTTCAAGAATTTCATAATACAATCACAAGTATTAACAGCAGAATAGACCAAGCTGAAGAGAGAGTCTCAGAACTTGAAGACTGGTTCTCCATACTAACTCAGTCAGGCAAAAGTAAAGAAAAGGGAATGAAAAAGAATGAAAAAAATCTCCAAAAAATGTGAGATTATGTAAAGAGACAAAATCTATGTCTCACTGACATCCCTGAAAGAGAAGGAGAGAAAAGAAGCAACTTGGAAAACACATTTGAAGATATTGTCATGAAAATTTCCCCAACCTTGCTAGAAAGGGTAACATTCAAATTCAGGAAATGCAGAGAACCCCTGAAAGATACTATACAAGATGACCAACCCCAAGACACTCGTCTTCAGAATCTTCAAGGTCAACATGAAAGAAAAAGTATTAAAGGCAGCTAGGGAGACAGGACAGGTCACCTACAAAGTGAACCCCATCAGGCTAACAGTGGACCTTTCAATAGAAGCCCTACAAGCAAGCAGAGATTGGAAGCCTACATTCAGCATTCTTAAAGAGAAGAAGCTCCAACCAAGAATTTTATAACCTGTCAAGCTAAGCTTCATAAGTGAAGAAGAAATAAGACCCTTTTCAGACAAGCAAATGTTAAGGGAATTTGTTACTACCAGACCTGCCTTACAAGACATCCTTAACAGAGTGCTAAATATGGAAATGAAGGCTATTACTGGCCACGAGAAAAACAATACACTTAAATACATAGACTACTGACACTATAAAGCAACTACACAATCAAGTCTGCATAATAACCAGCTAACATGGTGACAGGATCAAATCCACACATATCAATGTTAAACTTTAATGTAAACAGGATAAATGCCCCAATTAAAAGACACAGAGTGGCAAATTGGATAAAGAGGTGTGACCCAACTGTATGTTGCCTTCAAAAGACCCATCTTACATGTAATGACACCCATAAGCTCAAAGTAAAGGGAAGAAGTATCTACCAAGCAAATGAAACAAAACAAAACAAAACAGACAAAAAAAATCAGGGATTGCTATTCTAATTTCAGACAAAACAGACTCTAAACCATCAATGATCACAGAGGACAAAGAAGGGCATTATATTATGGTAAAGGGTTCAATTCATCAAGAAGACTTAACTATCCCAAATATATATGCATTCAACACAGGAGCACTCAGATTCATAAAACAAGTTCTTGGCCACCTATGAAGGGACTTAGATAACCATACAATACCAATGGGAGACCTCAACATCCCACTGACTGTGTTAGACAGATCATCAAGACAGAAAACTAACAAAGATATTTGGGACCTCAAATATCAGTTGTCAATCTGTCAGTTGTCAGTCAACAACTGACACTTGGCTTTTTATTGCAAATCAACAAATGTGATTCATCAAATAAATATCAAAAAGCTCATCCACCATGATCAAGTAGGCCTTATCCCTGGTATGCAAGGTTGACTGAACATATGCAAATCAATAGATGTGATTTATCACATAAACAGAACTAAAAACAAAAACTGCATGATTATCTCAATAGATGGAGAAAAGCTTTTAATAAAATTCAGTATCACTTCATGTTAAAAGCCCTCAACAAACTAGTACTATTCACAATAACAAAAATGTGGAATCAACCTAAATGTCAATCAACAATAGATAAAGAAAATATGGTACATACACACCATGGAATACTATGTACACATAAAAAAGAGTGAGCTAATGTCCTTTGCAGCAACGTGGATGAAGCTGGAGGCCATTATCTTAAGCAAATTAATGCAGGAATGGAAAATCAAACACCACATTTCTCACTTGTAAGTGAGAGCTAAATGTTGAGTACACATGGACACAAAGAAGGGAACAATAGACACCAGGGCCTACTTGAGGGTGGGAGTGGGAGTGGGGTGAGGATTAAAAAACTACCTATTGGGTACTATACTTATTACCTGAATGACAAAATAATATGTACACCAAACTCCCACAACATGCAATTTATCCATAGGACCAATCTGCCAATGTATCCCTGAAACTAAGTTAAAAAACAATAGTGGACTGGGCGCGGTGGCTCATGTCTGTAATCCCAGCACTTTGGGAGGCCGAGGCAGGAGGATCACAAGGTCAGGAGATTGAGACCATCCTGGCTAACATGGTGAAACCCTGTCTTTACTAAAAATACAAAAAATTAGCCAGGCGTGGTGGTGGGCACCTGTAGTCCCAGCTACGTTGGGAGGCTGAGGCAGGAGAATGGCATGAACCTGGGAGGCGGAGCTTGCAGTGAGCCAAGATTGTGCCACTGCACTCCAGCCTGGGCGATAGAGGGAGACTCTGTCTCAAAAACAACAACAACAACAAAAATAGTGGATGTCAGCTGTCTAACACACACTTCCTGTATAACTTTGAGTAAATCAGTGTATTGTTCTACATCTTAGTTTTCTCATATATAAATTGATGTGGTTAGATAAAATAATGTTGAAAGTTCTTTTCAAATTTAATATTCTCTGTTCAGCTCAAGAGTGAGACATGCTGCTGTTCTGTTGAAGACTCTTTGGCTGATACCACCTCATGGTGGCTTTTTATTGCTAGGAACTGACATGACACTAGGTTAGGATAAAGAAATAGCAGCAGATTTATTTGATCACTAAAGAAGGGTTAAGTTTTTGAGGGCAGGACCTATGTCTAATGCATCTTCATATCTCCATACTCGACAGGTATGTTTTGAATCAATGAAGCAAAACTTTTACTGGAAGAAAGACTCTGCAGGAATTTATGAGTTGTACAGAATCTGGTGAATACAGCACTATTCACAAAAATTATTTTGGTAATTAACATCAGCTTTGGATTGCATGGCAGCAACTGAATCTGCTGTTTAAAAGATTACACAAAATCTGCTGTCCAGGACGTGGACTGGTTATAAGTTGTGGTTATTGCTGTTTTAGTAAAAGACTTTTTAATAAAAGTCTTTGCTTCCAACAAAAAAACCTTCATGAATGTGCTTGATTGCTCTGTGTCATCCATACATTTTCTGACTAGATATTCATGCCATGCACATAGTGAGGATGCCTAAAGGGAGGAGCAGAGAAAAGGCAATAAATTGAACAGCAGCGATTTCTCTTTTCTTATTCCTGCCCCAACTTCAGCACAGTTCAGGCAAGAATGAGTTCAGAGCTTTACGTACCTGGAAAGAGATCTTAATTTTCAGCCTGACAGGTACAAGGAGTGAGCCTATACATAAGATTAATTCTTAATAGCCTCCAGATGGGGACATTTCTTTCCATCCCTCTCTCCTTGCACCTAAACACCATAACTGGAATTCTGATGATTTGTCTATGGCTGTAGCAGAGGGATTTTTATTTTAAATTACAGGTTCCCAGATCTATCCACCAGAGAGTCAGATTTAATTGATATGGCAAGTGTGGTGAGTGTCTGGGAATTTGTGTTTTTACAAAGTTCCCCCAGGTAATTCTGATAACCAGTCAGGTTTAGGATCCACTGATCTGCTAAATAAGGGCAGAGACGTCTTATAGAATGGCAGTGAAGGCCCTTTGTAATAGTTCCTCCAATCCTCTTTCCTTTTTCCAGCTTATTTCTAGTTATTCCTTCTGTGCCATTCCTGCCTTTATGCCCAACCAGATCACGTGTGGCTACCCAAACACGACAGGTTCTGTGCATCTCCATCCTTTTTTTGCTCACCCTGTATCCCGTGCTATAAGACTTCTGCGTCAGGTGTCTGTTTTGTGAACTTAACATCTTTCAATGGCCAGTTTAACTTACACTTTACATCTCTGAGTTTCCTAGTAACCATCCATCTGCCTGAAGAATTAATTAATCCTTTTTTTGTGTTCTCATAATACATTGAACATTCTGTCTCTATTATAAATACAGCGACATATTTTTTCTACTCACTAAATCGGCACAAACAGCCAAATAGTGGGATGGGATATTTTAAATAGAACAGAGTATTTAAAATTATTTTTTGGCCTCGATTTTGAAGTTTTTAGCCAAGATAAAAATAAAACTTGTTAAATCAAGTAATACAGAAGTGAGTTTATAATAGCCCTTTCCTCTATCCCCCCTAAAACAAAATAAAATAAAACCCTCCCACTTTGCTTTCCCTGGCCTAGTCCTAATTTTCTGGGGCAATAGTTTAAAAAAAATCAGTTTTTTTCTCCAGTTAATACAAAATGTAGTAGAATCAAAGAAGGCAGCTCCTGCTTCTGTCCCCAGCTGCCACCTCTTTCTCCTCTCCAGAGATCCACACTGTCACTAGTTTCTTACATTTCTCCTAAGACAGTCTATGAGTTTTCAAATGTATATTCAAACACACAGACACACACACAGAACCAAACTGTATTACTGCACATATATTGCATCTTGCTTTTATTTTTTAACAATTTATCTTGGAGATTTACTCCATATTTGTGAATAAAGATATATCTCATTCCTTTTGCTGGCATATCATTTCATTATTATTAGCTATACTGTGGTTTACTTAGCTAGTCCTCTACTCACGGAAATTTAGGATGCTGCATAGCTTTTGCTACGACAGATAATTCTGTAGTGTACATATATCATTTTTTTAAGGTTCAAGAATACCTGTGGATAAATTCCAAAGAATGGAATTGTTGGTGTGTACATTTTTATATTTAATAGATATTTCCAAGTTCCTCTTTATAGGGCAGACATGAACTAGTGCTGCCTCCACAAATGACTTTGTCAAACCGTTGTGTTATTAAACTGTTTTACTTTCTGACAATCTGGTATTTAAGGAACGGTATCTACTTACAGTTTTCATTTGCATAACCCATTATATTGGGACTGCGCATCTTTCCGTATGGTTAAGGGCTAGTTGTATTTTCTTTTCTGTGAACAATGTCTTCCTTTTCATAATTCATTTTAAAAAGTAATCAAAATTGTCATGTTTTCTCCTTTATAGTCTCTGGAATTTACGTCATACTTAGAAAAATGTCTATTTTGCAGAGATTATTTTCAAAAACTAGCTCTAAAGTTTCACTAAGTATTTTTCCCTTGAAATTTATGATTACATCAAATTTATACATTTTATCTGGAATCAGAATAATTGACATATTTATCATATTGTGTGTTTATATCCAATAATACATTCTACTTTTCTTTGGCTTAAGTTTTTTTGTATGTATATGTTTTTTGGAGTATTTTGAAGTTTCTTAATACAGATGTTACAGATTTTTCGTGAAGCATATTATAGGAGAAGGCATTGTTATCACAGGAGATGACCGTTTCATCCGTGTTACTGACCCTGAAGACTTTTTTGTGGGACAAGATGTGGAGGTGGAAGACAGTGACAATGATGAGTTTGTGTAGGCCTATGCTAATATGTGTGTTTTTGTCTTAGTTTTTAACAAAAAAGTTGAAAAGTTAAGAAAAAATTAAAAACTTTAAATTAGAAATATGCTTATAGAATAAGGTTATAAAAAAGAAAGTATTTTTGTACCTGTACAATGTGTGCTTTAAGCTAAGTGTGATTACAAAGGAGTCAAAAAAGTAAAAAAAAATTAAGAAGTTTATAAAGTGAAATAGTTACAGTAAGCAAAAGTTAATTTATTATTGGGAAAAGAAACATTTTTTATATCAATTGAGTGTAGTCTATGTGTATAGTGTTTATAAAGCTTACAGTAGTGTACAATAATGCCCTAGCCTTCACATTTACTCTCCACTCACTCACTGATTCACCCAGAGCAACTTCCAGTCCTGCAAGCTCCATTCATAGTAAGTACCTTATACAGGTGTACCATTTTTTTCACTTAAATTCTTTTTTTTTTTTTCTTTTTTTTTTGAGGCAGAATCTTGCTCTGTTACCCAGGCTGGAGTGCAGTGGTGCGATCTCCGCTCACTGCAACCTCTGCCTCTCGAGTTCAAGCGATTCTCCCGCCTCAGCTCCCGAGTAGCTGAGATTACAGGCATGTGCCACCATGCCTGGCTAATTTTTATATTTTTAGTAGAGGTGGGGTTTTGCCATGTTGACCAGGTTGGTCTCCAACTCCTGACCTCAGGTGATCCACCCTCCCCGGCCTCCCAAAGTGCTGGGATTACAGGTGTGAGCCACCACACCTGACCTTAAATTCTATTTTTACTGTATCTTTTCTATGTTTTAATACCCAAATACTTACCATTGTGTTACAATTGCCTACAATATGCAGTATAGTCACATGCTTTACAGGTTTGTAGCCTAGAAGCAATAGGCTATACCATATAGCCTAGGTGTATAGTAGGCTCTATAATCTAGGTGTGTGTAAGTTCACTTATGATGTTTGCACAAGGAAATCTCTTAACAATATATTTCCCAGAACGTATCCCCATTGTTAAGTTATATATGCGTGCACTTGCTTTACTTGTGTCATGTGGCCAAATTAAGAAAGGATATATAAGTGATAAAGCCATCCAGACCTGGGAGGACAACTGTGGTAAGAATATCTCTAACCGTCTCTTCTTCATTTTATTTTAAGAACATCTCACTTCCATTTGAAAATAGCCTGTGTGATATGATCTTACTTTGGGCTTGTAGTCAACCATCTATTTTTTATCATTTTATAATTAGGGTATTAATTATTCCTATGAGATCTTACATTTTGGTTTTCATGGGGAAAGACACTTAACAAATCTCATTGACTTCTCTTTGAAATTCTAGTGATGCCATTCTAGAGCCAGTCATGCAACAACCGAATGACAAGGGGCTATCTGGGGATCTGAATTCTTGGGAGTGGATTGATGTTATTACAAGGATAGGATGCTCCTTAGGGTGTGCACAGACAGGTTTGTAGAAAGGATGTGAATTCTGCAGGTGTTTTTTGCTCCATTGAAATGCAGGGATAACAGAAGGGAAGAAAAAAGTGTTAGAAGAGTGTATTCTTTGATCAGGGACATTAAAATGACATATATAAACTTCCAGATTTGATTCTGGATTTATATTTGTACTTTCCCATCCCTGGCCTTGGGCTTTGCAAAAAGACTTATGATTCCAAAAAGGAGCGATTTCCTCTGAGTCATTTAGGATTATGGTTAAATTTATTGGGGAAGTTTATGTGTTACTTACCAGAAAGCAATTTTGACTTCCTGGGTCTGGAAGCATTTTCAAGGGAACAAAAAATCAAGACCAGTAGTCAAAATAAAAACCAATATCCTGGAAAATTCATGCTAAATTTTTTTTTTAAAAATCTACTCTCAACTGCTATTAATTATTTTTTTTTCCCAATGTTCCTTTTCAGACATTGTTCACATATAGTCCTATGTTAAGAAAGTGGATACAAGCTGTTATACCTTTCACAGTCATCTTTATTTGCTTTATAGTCTATCACAAATATTTTCTATGATGAATTGTTTCTTCATAATTTTACATTTTAGTGGCTGCATAAAAATGCACTGAGTTATAGTACCACAACTTTAAAAATCATTTTTCTGATACCAGATTTTGGGCAGTTTTTGCTCACAATTAATGCCACAATAAATAACTTCACAGGTTCACATGTTTTCTTTTCTTTTGTTAAGATATTTATTTAAAAGTGGGATTTTTGAACTAAAGGAGGGTAGATACTTATTTAGAGTGGGATTTTTGAACTAAAGGAGGGTAGATACTTATTTAGAGTGGGATTTTTGAACTAAAGGAAGATAGATATTTCCAACAGTCTTGATACACATTGTCAAACTGCTTGAAAAAGGATTCTCCAGCTATCCACATTTCCCAAGAATGGAGTGGAGCCGTTGTTCCCACATTCCTAGTAGTTACCATTAGCAGAAGTGCCCAAGTAGATGCCCCTTGATTCATTCTATTGCTGCCACTCTAGTATAAGTGCTTGCCTGGATTATGCCAATTGCCTCCTCGCTGGTGTACCATGGCTTTCACTCTTGCCTTTTCTAAAACCTTTTCTTTACATATCTCTTAAAGTATAATTATAATAACACTCATCTACTTTAGCCTTTTTCTCTATATTTAGAATGGAATCTAAAGTCCCTTCCATGGCCTAAAAAGCATTTTGTGGTCCGGCTCAGCCCACCTCTCCAACCCCATCCCCTAACACTCTTCTCTTACTCATTACTTCCCAGCCACACTGGTCTTCTTCTGTTTTAAAACATACCAAGTTCATTTCCATCTCAGGGTCTTTGCACTTGTCCTTTGCTTGCCTATGCATCTTCTTCCAGACATTCACATGGCTTGCTCTTCCGTATTTTTTAGGTTTCAGCTCAAGTGATACTTCCTTGGACATGTTCTCTCTGACAACCTTGGCCACAGTAGCATTCACCCTGCCCATTTTCTAGCTCTTCTTTACCCCTTCATAAGCTCTGTTAAGGACTGTATCTGTTTTTTTTTTTTTTTTCACTTATTGTATTATGGCTAAAACCAAATAAATGCCATTGGAATGAATGAATGAACAAACAGACTCCCTTTCATGGAGACTGGGAGGTAGGGTCCCATTTTTATTGTAAACTTAGGAAGGATGACTAAAATGCTCTATAATTCCATATCTCGTATCTTATTTGCATGTACTGGGTTCTGAAATTCTCAGTGGAATGTCTAGAATCAAGAGGAAAATTGTAGGTTTTGGGTTTAAGTGAAGAATGTCACCTCCCAGGTTGTATCCTCTTGTTTCTTCGAGTTCTTTCTTTGAGCAGGTTTTTTTTTGTTTTGTTTTTTTGTTTTTTGTTTTTTGTTTTTTTTGCTACTGTTATGGGAACAGCACTGGATTTGACACTGAGAAACACATCCAAGAAGTGTGAGAAGTATTTCTTGCCTTTTAGGAACATATAATTTAATTGTGAAGACAGTGAAATATGTAGACATGCATGCATTCTTCTCCCAATACACACACACACTGACTGCAGTAAAATATAAACGAGTATTAATAAAAATAACCAATAATTTTGAATATTAAGAATATCAGGCACTTTGCTAAATATCTGATGTGTATATGACATGCAATCCTCACACTAACCATATATGGTTGGCATTATTATTTTCCTCATCTTTAAGACGAGGAAACTGGGATTCACTTAGTAACTTGCCCAAGATTACAGACTCAGCAAATGGGGGAGCCCTACTCGAAATCTTGCTTAAAATCATCATCTATTCAGTAACATTTTGGATATAGGATAAGCACTGGGTATATTTTGAAGAATTTCCAGATTTTACAAAAACAAAAAAGGTAAGAAAAGGTACTTGGACTGGGAACACAATGTAAACAAGATCCGACTACTAAAATGTGAAATGCAATTCTCAGGTTAAAGCCATTGGAATAGAAAATTCTAGAACCTACCTTCTCTGTGTCTAGAGACCTACTCACACCTGGAGTGACTGAATTTTTATACATATAGAATCAGGCCTGCTCAGTTCAGGGACATGTATCAATACTTTCATGTCTACCCTTTTGCTGTAAAAAAGAGTCATAAACTGTTCTTCACCTTCTGAATCAGAGTCTGAGCCTGCCTGCCTTCTTTCCTTCCTTCTTTCCTTCCTTCCTTCCTTCTTCCCTCCCTCCCTCTCCCACTTCCTCCCTCCTTCCTTCCCCTTCCTTCCTTCCTCTTTTTTCTCTCTCCCTTCTTCCCTCCCTCCCTCCCTTCCTTCCTTCCTTTCTTCCGTCCTTCCTTCTTTCCTTCCTTCCCTCCTTTCATTTTACACGAATTGATAACCTAGTATGTGCCAGTTCTCTTGCTAGATACCATTAAGAAACACTTGACCAGGTGTGGTGGCTCATGCCTGTAATCACAGCACTTTGGGAGGCCAAAGCAGTAGGATCACTTGGGGCCAGGAGTTCAAGACCAGCCTGGTCAACATAGAGAGACCTCATCTCTACATACACACACACACACACACACACACACACACACACACACACACACACACACACAAAATTAAAAATTAGCTGGGCATGCTGGCATGTACCTGTGGTCCCAGCTACTTGGAAGGTTGAGGTGGGAGGATTGGTTGACCCTAGGTGGTTGAGATTGCAGTGAGCTGTGATTGCACCCCAGTCTGTGTGACAGAGGGAGATCCTGTCTCAAAAAAAGAAACTTACGGCATATTTGTAAAATAATATAATCTTGACCAAAATGAACACATTTGTATAGATTTGTGACATTACGACTTGTTACTGATTTGTCTGTTATTGTCTTCTAGCTTCATAAACAGAAACAAATAAACAGAAAATCCTTCTCAGCAAGCTAGCACAGGAACAGAAAACCAAACCCCACAGGTTCTCACTTATAAGTGGGAGTTGAACAATGAGAACACGTGGACACAGAGAGGGGAGCATCACACACCAGGGCCAGTTGGGGGTTGGGGGCGAGGGGAGGGAGAGCATTAGAACAAATAGCTAAGGCATGTGGGCTTCAAACCTAGATGACAGGTTGATAGGTGCATCAAACCACCATGGCACATGTGCACCTATGTAACAAACCTACACGTTCTGCACTTGTATTCCAAAACTTAAAGTAAAATTTAAAAAAAGAAAAAGAAAATCCTGTTACCACAAGTATCATGGGTGCTTAACTTCATTATGTTACCATGGCAACTCCAAGGACCATAACTTTTCAAGGGCAGATTGATACCAGTAAAATATTATGATAATCTCATGACAGGGCAGGCTCATGATAATCTGGATGATGCTCTCTTCTCTGTTGATGAATTTTTTCCCATTTGAGATGGATTTAAGCTGTTTAATTGCTTGCTCCTAGTTTGCCTGTGTTATAAGAGTAAATATGATTATCTACGGGAAGGATATTATAATTATCATCTACTTTTTATAGATAAAGAAATGGAGGCTTAAAGAAGTCAGAGGAATGGATGTAATCACTCCACTAATAAACTACATTATGTAGAAATAAATTTATGTTATGTGAGGATGACACTATCAGAAGTTTTTAGATGCATAGGAAAAGTTTACAGTGCTCATTGGTAGAATAATAATCACATGGCCAAATTTCACAGGAGGAAGTTAAAGCCCCAGATGGATGGGTGATAGGGGCTTTAAAATGCAGCAGATAAAGGATTCTTCCATAGGTCCACATTTAGGTCTTGTTACATAGACTTCACATGTTTAATGCCCAGTAACATAACAACTATGCAGCCTCTGGACAATTTAGCAAGAGGAAGCTGGTGGTGTAATGAGAACTTCTACTTAGGTGGATGCTAGGTTTAGGTGCTGAAACTTGCCAGCAATGTGCAATAATCATGCAGGAGTCTCAGAGGGATGCGGTTGGGGATAAAAGTCCACTGTGGCTTCCTACTGCATAGAATACTAGTGGCACCACGTCTTCTATCAGAAAACCAGAGGACATGTAGCAAAAGTATTCACTAAACTTCTCAGTCCTGGTGTACTCTCATATCCCTTTCTTAAAACATGTATCTGTTGAGCTCACTGACACAGTTTGGATGTTTGTTCCCTCCAAATCTCATGTTGAAATTTGATCTCCAATATTGGAGATGGGGCCTAGAGGGAGGTGTTTGGGTCATGGGGTCAAGGGAGTTCCCTCATGAATAAGTGAGTTCTCAGTCTAGTCATTCACATAAGAGCTGGTTGCTTAAAAGAGCC
This sequence comes from Homo sapiens, assembly GCF_000001405.40. Lineage (NCBI taxonomy): Eukaryota > Metazoa > Chordata > Mammalia > Primates > Hominidae > Homo > Homo sapiens. Next base: position 125,852,090 of record NC_000008.11, read on the forward strand.
TGGCACCTCCTCCCCTCTCTCTTGGTGTTTTCTTATCTCTTGTTTCCTCTCTCACCATGTAATACACTGGCTCCCCCTGCCCTCCATCAGGAATAAAAAATTTTCTGAAATCTCACCAGAAGCCAAGCAGAAGCCAGCACCATGCTTCTTGTACAGCCTGCAGAATGATGAGCCTTTGTCCTTTTAAATAAACCTTCGTCCTTTATAAATTACCCAGCCTCAGGATTCCTTGAAATCAATGCAAAATAAACTAGTGCACTCACTATAGCAAAATTCAACCTGTATATGATTTATGTGCTCATTGTCACCAAACCTCAAACTTTGGAAAGAAATAAACACTTCTGCTTAGTCTCATATGATATAAAAAACTTCATTAGGCAGAAACTAAGCCTATTTTATGCAGTGGTATACAATGATGATTATCTAGAATTTAGAATAGTGACTGGCACATAGATTGCCCCTCAATACAAATTTATGATTAGAAGTGATGATACTGTTATCAGTCAATATTTGCAATACACATAACAGAACTTAATCAGTCCAAGTGGCTTGAGGAAATTAGGACAATCTTAAATGATATTGTACATCTTACAAAATTTCTGGGAAGGTCAGAAAATCATGATTGGAGGCCTAATCTTTGGGAAAAAAAACCCTTCAAGTTATACTCTCTGACTGTTCCCATTGAGACTCAGTTGCTGCTGCCAGTGGACATAGACATTGCGGCTTCCATAGATGACACTAGCCACGGACAACACCACCCGGATTCCCACCACTGCCACCTCTCAATGCTGCATGCCACTCCAACATCCCTCTTTCTAGTGGGCTTGGTGTGATGCCTTCTTTCCTCACTCTCTTACAAAGTACAACATCATCCAAATGCACCTGATGGATGGAGCCTAGGTCACTTTGAGGGTTATTTGAGAAGAGGCTGTGAAGATGAGTCTATGACTTCTTTGAGGTGGAGGGATTCAAAAGTTATGAATTCAGTCACATATGGAGACAAAGTCTGAAAAATGGCCACTAAAGGCTCAAGTTCATTATTATAGAATGTGGATTGTTATAATGGCAGAGAGTCAGGCTTAAGAGGGAAGAGACTGGAGAAGATGTAATATGAGAGAAAAAGCTTAGTCTGTATAAGCTGCACTAAGTGAGGCTTGAGGGGCCGTATTGTGTGCTCTTTATCAGTCAGGGGAATTATGTGATCCATAAACTTCCCTAAGACCACCCTGGGTCTCCATTTTACTATTTGGTATCAGAGATCCCGTGGCTACCCAGCAGGAAGGGGATTGAGATAGTCATACAACACACTGACTCTCTCAAATAATTAGGAATTGAGAAGATTTTGTGGAAGTTATAAAGGCATGTTCAGAGATAATTTGGAAAGGAGTAAAAAGCAAAAGATCTGATGGATGTAAAATCTTTCCATGTATCCTTTGGTAAATATGATATAAATTTTAGGGCTTCAAATTATCAGACTGAATGAAATTAGTTAAAATTAATTGAACTATTTTGATGAAAATTCTTAGTGTTTAATTTGATGCCTGTGGTTTTGAACTGATGGATTTCAGAATGACATTGAATTTCAACAGAATATGTTAATAGGTGCAGAACTGCATGAAGCTGATGGAAATAGATTGTCAAAAATCACCTCAAAAACACATTGGCAGTGTTCCTGGAGCTTGCTTTAATAGCCTCATCAAAAAGCAGGCATTGTCCAACAACTAATAAAACAGGAAAAAGATTGAGCTTAATGTTAATGACCATCAACTTGTTGATTTGAGCTGCAATTCTCCTCTGTGTCAGTGCATTTATACTCTTGAAAACAAAAGAAGGGAGGTGGCCACGGTACATTTGTAAGCCAGAGACACAGGCCCCATGCACAGGCTAGATTAGTATTTTTATATTACCCATAATTCTGCAGGAGAAGGAAAATTTAAGCACATCAGAAGTTACAAAGGCATTAATCATTTTGTATTGAGCATGGCTTAAAATCCACTGATTTCACTCTCAACTATTTATTGAGCCTTTGCCTGAGGTGGGTGCTATGTTAGTGCCAGGGCACACAATGGTGAACAGAACTCAGTAAGTCTCTCAGCCCCACTAGAAATAATTGGAGTCAAACGTCACTCAAATAGGCACGTACATGAACTGAAAATCAGGAGCAATGCATCAGACTAAGAAGGTTTATGGAAATGGCATTTAACCTTGTCATAAGATCAGGGAAGCCTTCTTTGAAAAGAAGATGCTTTATCTGAAATCTGAAAGGTGATCAGGAGGTGACCAGATGGGAAATGAAGGAAGAACATTTCAAGGAGAGGGAGCACCATGTGAAAAGTCTACCTGGCTGGACAAAAGCATGAAGAGAATAAGGAGCACGGTGAAATCTATGTGGGAGTCTGAGAGCTCAGAGGTGTGGGTAGGTATAATGGGGTGTGAGCAATTTGGTGGCACAAGCATGGGATTTGAGAATATAATAGGGCTGGAGACATATGTAGGGGACAGACCTCCAAGGACTTATAAAGGATTTGGTATCTATAATGATGGCAATGAGAAGGCAATGAAATGTATTAAGTAGTGGGGTGTCTTGATCTGTTTATTTTTTCCTTTTTTTCAGGCCACTTTGGTTGCATTATGCACTGTCACATGAAAATATCTTGTGCAGCTGACTTTTCTCAGATTTATCTGGGCTAACAATTGTGAATGCTTGGAGGTGACAGTGACTGAAGGGAGACCCTTGGTGTCTATCCTATTTTACACATTTACAACATATGAATCACAGCCAGAGTTGGAGCTGTAGCCTTGGTTTAAAGAAACCGTCTGGCACACATGCAAACTGTGCTCTCAGAGAAGCCACATTGCACTGCCATGAGCTACTGGGTATGGTCAGCTGATATTACCAGAGGTCATCAGGCTGCCACATGTTTGGTGAGTCTGTTTCTCAATTGTGACCATGCTTAGAGGCTGGAAATAATATTCTGCCCATTCAACAATGGCTCATATAGCCCCTTATATCTTCAACTACATCATCCTGAAGCTTGAGTTTGTTGCCTCATGTGGTTGTAAACTCTGCCACATTGCAAAGCATCACCTGAATCATTTCGTCAAGATCTGGGTAAAATTTCCCACCAAACCACTAGTGCCGATTTGAACCATTATCCTCAGTTGTATAACGACTAGGCATTTGCATGTGCAGTTAGAGAGCCTGCAATACAGATCAGCCTGTGGGCACGTGCAGCCAGTATCTACAAGATCCAGAAGGTCCAGCAGGCCAGGCTATGACAGAAATGACCAGCTTTGTAAAACTTGAAAAATTTTGATGAATGAATTTAACTCTAACAATAACTCTAATAATAACAAGACTGGCAAGGCGACATAATTGTTTTCATTTTATAGATGATGACCCACATGTTTTTGGTCTTTGATGAAATGATTGTTTCATTCAAAGCTATTTTGAATAAAGGTCACAGAATTCCACTCAAAATTTTTTAAACAAGAAAGGATATTTATTATAAAATCACAGAAATAATTATCATTAGTTAATTCATTAATTCATTCATCTTCTTATTGTTTGTCTATGATGTTGCAGAGTCTATGTTAGGCTTTGAAAATAAAAGGATAAACTAAAGTGCACACAGACTCTGCTTTCATACAACTTACAGTCTGGTAAAAAAGGATAGATACTATTCAAACAATCACACAAAGGTAAAATTTGAATTTTGTACTTACTGTGACAAGTAACATGAAGAAGACTGGATTGATGCTATGAAGGCCCAGGTTAGTGGAGTTGACCAGCCCAAGCTGAGATCTGAAAAGGAGTTAATTAGGAGGAGACGGGACAGAAGAGAGTCCCAGGCTGAGGGAACAGCATAGGCAAATGTGCCTGGTTTTCAGGAAGCATGGAAAGAACTGCAGACCAAAGAAGGACAATGTGGCTGAAGAAGGCAAGGCGACAAAAAACGAAAGGGAGGTGAAGCAGAGGAGGACAAAAGCCAGATGATCAGAAAGAACACTAGACATAATACTAATATACATACTTTATGCAAATTGTATCAGTATTTCCACTAATATTCCTTTTCTGGTGCAGGGTCGAATCTAGGATTACAGAATGCATTTAGCTGTCATGTCTCCTTGGTCTCTCCAATCTGTGACAGTTCCTTGGTCTTTTCTTTCATGACTTTGACACTTTTGAAGAGTCCTATCTAGTTCTTTGTCAAGAATGCCCCTCAGTCTGGTTTGTCTGATATTTCTTTATAATTAAATTCAGGTTATGCATTTTTGGCAAGAACACTGCACAAGTGATAATGTGTCATTCTCATGGCGTTGAATTAGGAGGCAAATGATGTCAATTTGTCCCCAAAATGTTAACTTTGATCATTTTGCTAAGGCGGTAACTGCCAGACTTCTCCCCTCTATAGTAACTGTTTTCTCTTTATAATTAATGGGTATCTTTCCAAGAGATATTTTGACACTATATTACTACCCTATTTCTCAGGATATTTTCACCCATTCATTATATTCATAGATGATCCTTGCCTAAAACAATGATTACCTGGTATTTGTCACATGGTGATTTTGTATTTATTTCTTCTACTTTTATTCACTGAAATTCTACTTTAAGACGGAGCTTTCTCTTTCCACTTTTATTTATTTGCTCTATTATTTATTTATATCATTAGGTACTCATGAAATATTATTTTGTATTGATTAGAATCCATTCTGTCATTGTGTATTTTGATTATCAAATTGTCCCTGATTTGGCCATAGCTAGCCCCATCAAGTTGGCTTCTGTGTCTTTTTTAATTTTCCTGGTCATTTTTTTTGAGAGCTTCCTGGCTTTTCTGAACTACAAAGATGCTCCATCCTCATCTTATATTTCACCTTGCCCCAGTCCTTGAGATCAACTCTTTTCTTTGAGGCTTGAAGAATGACATTGAAAAATCAAGGGCTTCTTGTGGGGGTTAGAGTGTCATTGTTTGTGATCTTCTCTGTGGACAGTTATGTCTGTTTCTATACTCATCTATCTGTACATATATTTAAAAACATGAGTTTATACTGATGCTTCCAATTTCAGTCCAACACCACAGGACTCATGCTAGCTTTCCCCCTTTCCTTATTTATAACTCCATTTCCAACAGTAAGAAACCTGGCTCTCATTATCTATGATATATTAACTTATTTGCTCAATCCCAGAATACACATAAGTAGTTTCAAAATTGCCAACCATACCCCTGTGAAAAATGAAGTTCCTAACTAGAGCACAATATTTGTGTATAGTTCTTTTCATCTTTAACATTAGAGTACAGTCAATACTTATTTTTTAAAATCATATTAAAGTGAACTCATATTCCTATAAAAACAAACCTACTAACTAGAGGATCATATTTATATACAGTTATTCTTTTTGCGTTTATCCTTAGAATACATAGTCAATACTTATTTTCTTGAAATCGTGTTACATACAAATTCAGGCCTCTGTCTGGGTTAGCTGATAATAAATTCAATCACAGACATTATTAGGGCTTCCTTTCCTTAGCCCCACATTTTTACAGAGGTCCTAACCATCTTAAGAAGGGAGAAACCCTCTGGGGAAAATTCTCCAGTCTTTGGACCACACAGCATGGGCAGGAGGTATTTTTCTGAAGGCAAGGACATAGATCCCAACCATGTCAATCCCTAACCTGCAATTTGACAGTATTTGGAGATAGGGCATTTAGAGAAGTAATTAAGGTGAAATGAGATCCTAAGGATGGGACCCTCATCTGATAGGGCTGAGGTCCCTATAAGAAGAGAAAGAGACCCCAGAGCTCTCTCTCTCTTTCTGTCTGCACACACACACAGAGAAGAAATCATGTGGGAACACAGTGAGAAGGTGGCTATATATAAGCCAGGAAGAAGGCCTTACCAAGAACTAACCCTTATCGCATCTTGATTGCAATGTTTGAAACTTCTAGCTTCCAGAACCGTGAGAAAATACATTTCTGTTGTTTAAACCACCCAGTCTGTGGTATTTTGTTATGGCAGCTGAGCAAATGAATATAGGAGGGAACAGTTACAACTGAAAATATTCCAAATACTATTTGTAGAGAGGTTCTAGGATGTATTGCTTTCATAAAACAAGAATACGCTCCTGGGAAATTGCAACTTTCTGTGACTAAAAATATTCTTAGAAATTTAAAATCTGATTTACAAACTAAAATATTCAATAGAAGGGCTAGAATACAATATTGAGAAAATCTCCAAGGGCAAAAAGTAAAATGAAAGAGAGAAAAAAATATTAAGAATAAGGCTAGAGATATATAACATTAAGGTCAAATAAGTATCCAATTCCTTATTAATAGGATTTCAAAATACATCAAGAGAAATGGAAAGGAGAAAGAAAATATTTTTTAAAAAATAGATAAACTCATCTTAAAGCTGAAGAAATATACAAGTGCTGACTAGAAAGAATAAAAAGAGACACATACCTAGGTAAACTCTCATGAAATTTCATAGACCCGAAGATAAATATAACCTGGAGCTTCCAGACAGAAAATAAAAAGTCTCTTACCAAGGAAAAAAAGTAATACCAACATCAAAACAGCAATACTAGATGCTAGAAGGGCCTTCAAAGTTCTGAGAGGAAATAATATTACATATTATTAACATGAAGAACTAACATTTATTGAATGTCATGTGCTAGACATTATTATAGATGCTTTATATAAATTATTTTATTTAACTCTCTCAACAATCCTTTGAAATAGATATTATTATTAAACACATTTTCCAGATGAGGAAACTGAGGCAGAAAGGTTAAGTGACATTCTTTAGTTAGAGCTACTGAGAGTTCTATGTTCAGCTAAATTATTATCCAGGTATGACAGCAATGAAAAGAACATTCAGAAATTTAAGATCTTAAAAAAATAAAATCTCTTTAAAAATTGCATTAGAGTATATTCTCAAAACAGATCAGCAAATGCACAAACACAAATAAAACAGAAGATATCCCCAAAGGAAGAAGAGAGGAGCTCCAAGAAATAGCTGAATTCACCCAGCTAATGAGAAAAAATCCTAGGAAGGTTTGAGAGTAGTTTAATTTAGTCCCAGTCACATGATATTAGTGATGTGGTGAGTTAGGCATGTGTTTCTTTTGTCAATAAGAAAAAGAAAGACCATTAGAACCTTCAGGCAAAACAAAACTCTTTATAAGCAAGCGATGTTTCAAATATAAAACAAGCTATGACGTAGTAAGATTTGGATCACATATGTTAGATATAAGCAATGAGACTCCATTGAATGCAAACCTTTGGAGCTTTGTCCTTTGAGTCATGTAGATTTGGTAACATAGGATTATATGATTTATTTTAACGACGTCGGGAGATCGAGACCATCCTGGCTAACACCGTGAAACCCCGTCTCTACTAAAAAAATACAAAAAAAAAATTAGCCTCACGTGGTGGCAGGCGCCTGTAGTCCCAGCTACTCGGGAGGCTGAGGCAGGAGAATGACGTGAACCCGGGAGGCGGAGGTTGCAGTGAGCCGAGATCACGCCAGTGCACTCCAGCCTGGGCGACAGAGCGAGACTCCATCTCAAAAAAAAAAAAAAAAAAAAAATACTATTACATAAGTATAGTATCGCAAATACTGTTTATTGTTTTTCAGTTTTTAGAACATGCATATTATGTATATTTACACAATCAAAGCATAACATTTAAATATACATTTTGGAGATAAACATTAATACGGACTGGCAATATAGAAATCATGGTATAGTAGAAAGAATCAGAAATCAGAAAGTGATGGCAGGGGCTTAGGGAAGGAAGACAGTTAGAAGGTGATATAAGAAGGTGAATTGCATTATCTTATACAATGTAAAATCAAGATGCTGTGTCTGTTGGGTCCTCTGGGAAGTAGACACTGAGATGGAGTTGGGGATACACGAGGTTTATTGGAGGGTAATGCCGTGAACCATGGAGGGAGTGGAAACAGGATTGGGCTAGGAAAGCCTTCAGAGTGTCAAACAGAGAAGACGTCCAAGAATGGAAAGGTAGATGGAAGCGGGATTAGGCAAGGAGAACTTCAGACCAGGATGCCGATCTGACTATGGCTCAGTCAAATCAACAGGGCACTCTGGAGCAAAGACTGCTCAACAGAAGAGACCTGGAAGGGCAGAAATGGCCCAGTCATAGGATTCCCACTACATACACTTCATCGTTGGCTGAGACCTGGCTGGGACAAGCTTGGCGTTGGCTCAAAAGCTGAAATGAATCCTAAACAGGCTGCAACCGAAGACTGTCAATTAACTGCATTTCTTGAACTGAATGGCAAATTTTTCTTGACGGGAGTATGAATGGTACACGCAGGGCCAGTTTCATGGGTGTGGAACCTGTGTAGTCATACAAAGCCTTATGCTTAGAAGGGTCCTTTCCTTGGTTTAATGCTCTGCTGTTGCTGTCTTAAAATTCTTAATAATTTTTGAATAAGGGACCAACATTTTCAGTTTTTACAGAGCCCTGCAAATTACATAGCTGGTCCTAGGTGTACTACCATGGATGCAAAGAGATTTGTCTAGAAGTTTTTGGAAATAGAAATTGAGGTTTAAGTGTATCTTAAAATAGTAAAGGAAAGCAAATAAAAAACAAAAGTAAGATAACTAACAAAATTGGTTACCTGATTGAAATGTGAGAAGACATTATGAACATCCAACTTGACGAGACGAATTCCTTATCTGCAAAGGTGCAAAGGTGAAGCATCACTAAATACTAAGTAAGTTTTTGGAGTCAAGAAGTAGAGGTGGAAGTGTGTTATTTAGAATTATTGTGAAAATCTCCAGGTGGACTTAAACAGACACACTTATTTTTGGGAAATGGAATTAAATGAAGGAAAGGGTTTTATGGTGGAAAATTTTCATTTTTCATTTTAATATATTTTACCCCTCAATCCTTCATCTACATGCATTTTAAAATTCAGAAATGAAACTCTTAGGTCAACTAGTGGATAGACCATATGTGTTTAAATTTACTTCCTGAAACCTCATTAAAATGAGAATAAAGGACAAAAGAGGCATACATTCTCAAAAAGAGAGAGAACAGAATGAAGCCCATTAAAAGATAAGAAAATTTAATACATCTAGGAATTAATAGAAAGTGATAGCTAATGCTCAGGACACATAACCCTCAGCTAGAAAGTGGGAAGTGTGTGCGCTGACCAGGAACATAACTGATCTGATGAACCCTGGAGAGGCTCTGGAGATGGTATGGAGGAGGGGAAGAGTAGGGCATGTGGCTGGAGGCTGGAAGATTCAGGAAAAGCCTATTTATAGCACAGTTGACCTAGCTACACTCCGTTTTCTACATTTGGAAGGCTCAGTGGTCTTGCATTTAGCCCTCAGAAAAAACAACAAACTTGAGCCTCTGAAGACATTGTGAACATTGGCATCTCAGAACAAAACCTCCATATGCTGGCATTTAAGAGGCCACTAGTATGATAGCTATCTACATATCAGCTTGCCCTGGGGGGAAGGCTGCCAGTCTATATGCCTCCTCCATGGACACAGGGCTCACCATTAGCTGTTACAGTGCCCAACCTCATATGGGAAATTGAGAACCAAGGAACACCAGATATTTGAACAAAGATAACGAGATAAAAAAAGAAAGATCATAAAGGAATAGAAAAAATTACTCCCAAAGAAACACATATAATTCAGGGAAAGGAAGACAGTCTCATAAATTTAAAACAACTACAGAACCATCATTTGTATCTTAAGAGATTTAACAAGCTAGTAATATTCTATTCATAAAGTAAGATAGACTCTTATGAAGAGAGAAACTAGTGAACAAATAGAGAACTTGGAAGTTAAAGATAGACTGCTAAAATGAAGAAAGGGAAGAAGTAACTCTGGGTGTGTGTGTGTGTGTGTGTGTGTGTGTGTGTGTGTGTGTGTGAGAGAGAGAGAGAGAGAGAGAGAGAGAGAGAATATAAGAGAAAATGTATGAGCATAGAAGATTAATTTAGGAAGTCCTGCATCAACATAATATGAAGTCCAGAGAAGAAAATAAAGGATCAAGAACATCATTTAAATTTAAAAATTACTCAATACTGAAACTTAAATAGTAGGAATACATTGAGAAAAAGCTTAATGGGGGTGGTGTGTCTGTGAGGTGTCTTACCAAAGACTGTAATGTAAGAATCGCCACCACATACAACTTAGTGAAATAGAAATTGTTGATGTTTTATGGTGACAACAAGAAGCAAGAACTAAAGAAAAGTGAGGGAAATATTACACTGGGGAGAGAAATGGAAATCTTGATTTTGGGTTTATTAGGTTTTAAAGCAACCATGTAACCATATGCCAAGGGCTGGCTTATGAATCATGAAACCAGCCAGGCTATTCCATGAAAAAGTGAATATTGAAGGTGAATATGAATATTCAGAAAGTTGGCTGCAGAAACTTAACACGTGTAAAATATTTGAAAATATGTGACAAAAGCTTCTGTTGATCAAGAAGCAGCTGAGAATTACATGTATAAATTGCTAAGATCATAACTGAAAGAAAGTCTTAATCCTGAACAAGTTTGCAAATGCTGACGAAACAGCTCTATACTGGTGCAATGTTCCTAGAAAAATCTTAGCAATGACTGGCAAGAGAACCCCAGCAGGTGTTAAGGATATGGAGCCCTAGGTGACTGTCACTAGATGTGCCAATTCTACAGGAGAAATTAGGTTGACAGTGATGGGAAAAAGCCAACATCTGAGATATTTAAATAGCGTACACAACTTATCTGTCATTATTGTGCAACAAGAAAATATGGATGAGCAGAAAAATACTTTCTGACTAATTCAATTCTCACTTTGCACCCATGGCTTGAGTTCACTGCAGGCAACCTAAGCTGGAAAAAACTAGATTTTATTGCTTCTGGCCACTACTCCACACATCCTATTCTGAACTTCTTGGGGAAAATAATATTTTTGGCCTTTACTTTTCCCCTCAAGGTTACATCTGTTATACAGTTTTGTTAGCCAAGACATTTATACTACGTGGAAGGCAAGTATAAGTAGGATTAATCTATGCCTCCTCCTCCTTACTTTTGTTTTTTTCTTTAGTTGTATCATTGCTGAGGTTAACAGATACTTAAGAATTTCAAACATACTTAAAAGAAATGATTTAAAAGGGTGCCGTTTCTTCAGTAGCTAATGCTTGGAATAATGTTGATACAGAACACAAATGCTTTCAGCCTTGACAATGTGTAAACCCAAACTGCACAGTGTATGAGTGGAAATGTGGATGAGGGCAAGGAGAAGTGAAGGAAAGGCAGGATTGCTAATGCATTCATCATAAAAGTTACTTGTTGAAAGATAATGTCAATATTTGATAAATAAAAAATGAAGGATCAAGTATAGTGTTTAAATTTAAAAGTTAATAACTAAACTGAAAATTGTGATATAAGCGTATTGGGAAAAATGGAAATTGGGGTGGTGTGAATTGATGCTCATCTATCTGTGAATAGTTTACTCAGGTTAGATGTGAGACATATAAAAAATCAAAAGTACTGATGGGCAATAATAAAATGCAGTATTCCCCAGTCCCCTCCTTACTCCGTCTCCCCTTAACTCTCAACTTGAAGGATCTACTTTAGACATTTAACAACTGAATGGATATTTGGATCTTTTGATGGTTATCTCTATCATTCTGGGTTAAATTAGCAAAAAAAAAGTAGATAAATTGGAATAGGGTTCAATCTTAAGAGAGAAGAGAGATACTAATAATACAGTTTTACATAATTTTGTTATTTTTTAAAATAATTTTTACTGTGTATATGTAAGGTATACAACATGGTGTTATAAGATAAAGATCGTATCCATTCGTCATCTCACTTAGCTACATATTTTCCCCCCATGTAGCAATAATAGTTATAATCTACTCATTTAGCAAAAATCCTGACTACAATACACTATTATTAATTACAGTTCTCATGTTGTACATTAGATCCTTGGATTTGTTCATTATACATATTTGCTACTTTGTATCTTTTCACCCACGTCTCAACATTTCCTTCCCCCTCTATCTGGGCCCTGGTAACTACTATTTTATTCTCTATCTCTGCATATCAGACTTTTTTTTTTTTTAGCTTACACATATAAGTGAGATCAGGCAATATTTTCCTTTGCGTCTGGCTTATTTCTCTTAGCATAATATCCTCCAGGTCTGCCTATGTTATGGTAAATGGCAGAACATCCTCTTTTAAAGGTTGAATACATTTATGTAGAGCAGTTTCTTTATCCATTCATCCGCTGATGGACACCAAGGTTGTTTCCATATCTTGGCTACTGTAAATAATGCTGCAGTGAACATGGGAATGCAGATATCTTTATGAGGTGGTGATTTCATTTCATTTGTATATATACTCAGAAGAGGAATTATGGGGTCATATATGGTAAATCTATTTTTAATTTCTTTAGGAACTTCCATGCTGTTTTCCATAATGGCTGAATCAATCTACATTCCCATCGAAGTGTACAGGGCTTCCCTTTTCTCTACATCCTCGCCAACACTTGTTATCTTTTGTCATTTTGATGATAGCTATCCAAAAAGGTGTGAGGCAGTAACTCATAGTGGTTTTGCTTTGCATTTCCCTAATAATTAGTGATTTTAGGCACCTTTTCATGTACCTATTGGCTATTTTTTACATCATCTTTGGTGAAATGTTGATTCAAGTCCTTTGCCTGTTTTTAAATTGGGTTATAAGTTTTCTTGCTATTGAGATAATATAAGTTCTTTATAAATCTGGGCTATTAACCCCTTATCTGATATATGGTGTGTAAATATTTTTTTTCACAAACTGTAAATTGCCTTTCATTTTGCTGATTATTTCCTTTGCTGTGAGAAGCTTTTTAGTTTGGTGTAGTCCTTGTTATCTATCTTTGCTTTTGTAGCGTGAGCTTTTGGTGTGATACCCAAGAAATTATTGCCAAGGCCAAGCTAATGTCAAGGGGCTTTTCCCCTGTGTTTACTTCTAGGAGTATTATGATTTCAGGTTTTACATTGAGGTCTTTTATCCATTTTGAGTTGATTTTTGTGTATGGTGTAAGACAAGGGTCCAATTTCATGCTTTTGTTTGTGGAAATCTAGTTTCTCTAGCACCATTTATTCAAGAGATTATCTTTACCCCATCCTGTCTTTTTGGCGCCCTTGCTGAAAAGCAGTTAACGATAGATGTCTGGGTTTATTTCTGGGCTCTCTGTTCTTTCCCACTGGTTCTTGTGTCTGTTTTTATGCCAGTACCATATTGTTTTGTTTCTATAGCTTCATAGTATAATTTTATGTTAAAAAGTGTGATGCCTCCAACTTGTTTTTGTTTTTGTTTTTCTTCTGAGAATGGCTTTGGCTATTTGCAGTCTTTTGTGGTTTTGTACAAATTTTAAAATTGTTTTTCTGTGAAGAATGATGTTGGAATTTTGATATGAATGCACTAATCTATATATTGCTTTAGATTAATGGACGATTTAACAATATTAACTCTCCAGATTCATGTGCATAAAATCTTTCCTTGTATTTGTGTCCTCATGAATTTCATCCACCAATGTTTTATAGTTTTAGTATATGGGTATTTTATCTCATTGGTTAAATTTATTCCTAAATATTTTTCTTTTTTTATGCTATCAAAATGAGATTATTTTCTTGATTTCTTTTTCTGGCTAGGTCATTATTTGTGCATAGAAATGCCATAGATGTTTGTATGTTGGTTTTATATCCTGCAACTTTAATGATTTTATTTATTAGATCTAACAGTTAATTTGGTGGAATCTTTGGTATGTTTTACATACAGAGTCATGTCATTTGCAGAGATAATTTTTCTTCTTTCTGATTTGATACCTTTTATTTCTTTTTTTTGTCTAATTGCTCTTGATGGTACTTATAGTATTATGTTGAATAAAAGTGGTGAGAGTAGGTATTCTTGCCTTAGAGATAGATATCAGATCTTAGAGGAAAAGCTTTTTGTTTCTGCCCATTGATTATATTAGCTGTAGGTTTTTTAATAAATGGGCTTTAGTAGGTTGAGGAACTGTCCTTCTATACCTAAACTGTTCAGAGTATTTATCAAGTAAGGATGTTGAACTTTGTTGAATGCTTTTCTGTATCAGTTGATAGCATTGTGTGGTTTTGTCTTTCAGGCTGTTAAGTGTGATATATCACAGTGATTGATTTGCATATGTTAAATTAGTCTCAGAAATAAAAATGATCATAAGGGACTACAGACTTACGATGGTTTGACCTATGATATTTTGACTTTATGATAGGTTTATTGGGGGCATTAAGTACGTTTCAACAATATATTTTGGACTTAGATTTTTTTTTCTGGGGATATAACACCCATCATAAGTTCAGGAGTATCTGTAGTATGAACAATTATATGCTGTCAAATTTAATAACCTAGAGGAAACGGATGAATTCTTAGAAAAATACAACCTACCAAGGTTAAATCGGAAGAGATAGAAAGCCTGAACAGACTTATGACAAATAAAGAGATTGAAGTTGTAATTAAAAATCCCCCACAAAGAAAAACCCAGGACCAGATGGCTTTGCAACTGAATTCAACGAAACTTCCAAAAAGGAATACTAATACTTCTGAACTCTTCCAAATAAAGGAGCTAGAGGGAGTATTTCCTAACATATTTTATAAGGCCAGCACCACCTTGATACTTAAGCCAGATAGACACCACACACACGAAAAGAAAACTACAGACCAATATCTCTGATGAATATTGAGGCAAAACTCATCAATAAAATATTAGCAAATTGAATTTAACAACACGTCAAAATGATTATACTGCATAGTCAAATGAAACAAAACCCATTATTTTAGAGCATGTTTTTACATAATCTATTTCATTTGGTTTTCCTGGGGATTTTGTGAGTTTGGCAGCCTTCACATCATCAAATCATTTTAACGACTGGAGATCTAAGCACAGAGATGACTAATTTGTACAACATCCTGTGTATGTTAAAGTGTAGATACTGCAGTCTGAGCCTAAATCATGTTCTTCCATTCTTGCCCTTATTTCTGTCTATCAGTGGTTCCCAACCACTGGTCTTTGGAGCACACTGGACCAGAAAGACATTTTTATCAGCCCAGTGCTTTTCTTTCGGCAAGTTCCTGGGTGTCTTCCTTTGACCTTGAGCACCCTGAGCTGTGTAGCTTTAAGGATAAGTAGATCAGGAAAAAACTCTAATCCTTTTCTTGAAGTTCTTGTGACCGGCTCAACTTTTAGCCTCCTGTGTCTTGAAAATATCCAGGATGGAGAGATGAAGTGTGACCTTCACTTTTCCAAGTATCTCTCTGTCATTTTGGGGGCAGTTTTTTAGAGATGACTTTTGCAGAGTATAAATGTCCCTGTGACATTAAGATTTACATTTCTAGGTTCTTGTATCCTCTGGGGTTTGTACTGTGATGATTGTTCTCAAAAGGACATGTCAGTTTCTGTAGATTTGTTGAGATGGCATTTCAGCTTTCTTCACATGTTTTTGGAATTGGACTCTGACTGACAATTTGTTCTTTGAATTTAAGCACAGATTCAGAATGCACTGTTTCTTTTCCACTTAAATCTCACATCAAATCCTTTTTACAACCCTTATTGTCCATTTCACTAAAATCACATTGGTTTTCCCCAATCAAAGTCCTAGGGTAGAATTTTGTTTGAGAGGTTCTGCTTTTATTTTTCCCACAGAATTCCTTCTCTTCTTTGGCAGTGGGCTGTTTATTAAAATAATCAATCCCCAAATATCTGATGTATAGACTTTACTTCTTTTTGAGGAAATAAGTGTCGATATTTGATGGATTCCTCATGCATATGTACCATTTCAGATAATTAACATAAGGTAGCAAAGTAAGGCACCATGTAGTCAAGAGTACCCTACTCTTATAGAGTACCATGTGGTCAAATGGTTAGTGTTCGTATGCCACTCTGTTGCTTATTATCTTCGTGATGTCAAGAAAATTATTTACACAAACTGGGTCTCAGTTTTCTCACATATAAAATGCGAATCATGTTTTCTCTTTTAAGGTTTTGATATGAGCCTTGAAAAAGACAAAGCAAACCACTTAGCACAAAGTCTATCCTATAATGTGCACTCAATACATAGTAGCTACTATTTTCATAAGCTTTTTCCATCTGTATGGTTATGATAAGGTATCCAGCAAAGCTCTTAGTAGACAAGAGATGATCAAAAATATATATGAAGAAGAAATTAATATATGATGAAGAAATTAATGAGGAAGTTATTCAATCTCATATTAAATCTCATATGAAAACATACTGAACTATAATGGGCTTCTATTTTACAGTTAGTCTAGCCCTCTTAGGTCCATACCCCACACTGAGATATTACACCCATAGATATAAAGATACTGTAGAGTTTGAGAGTTAACGCCATGGCATGCCAGCTGAGATTTCCCTACTTAAGGTGGAGTGGATTGGAGAGTGGGCAATCATCTGATTTTTCAATCTTTATTTTTTTCGGGTCCATGCCACTGAACACATTGAGGCTGGTAAGATATCAGTAGGATTAGCAACAATTATCTTCTTGCTGTGAGCCTAATTTAGGAGATAGGTTTTATCTTAGTCACAATCCATTTGCTCTGTTTGTTAAGCTTAGAGTCTTGGCTTTTACACCAATTACACTGTTGGGATTGGAGTCCTTTCCTCACACCTTTTATACATCACAGGATTCTTTACATCTTGCCTACAGAAGTTCTGTCAGGTCCCTTCCCAGAGTCCTTATTTCTCACTGCTGGCTAGGATCCTGTTCTGAAACAGACATCTACTCTCTAGGGGTAACAGTCATCCACCTGCGCTAGCATATTTCCCATAGAAAACTATATCGTTATCCTACTCATTGGATAGGTCCTTGTGAAGTTGTGCAGCTTCCCACAACTACTCAATTTGCCACTAGTTCAGGTCATTTTTGCACTTGCATTGACGAGCTGATCTTCCAGCCCCAACAAGAATGGCCCAACAGGTGGTCAGTTCCTCTGTGGAGCTCTTCTGCAGGTCCAGCTCCTTCCCTGGATTATGCTGCCAACATCTCAGCAAGCCTTGCTATGGAGGCTTTTGGGGGTACTGACACATTATTTTGAATTCTGTAGAGGGCTATAAACTTAATGCCAGGTAAAATTTCAAATGAATGAAAACCTTTACAGAACCCTATTAGGGTCTGGACTATTTTAGCAGAATGTGTATATATATTGCTACTCATAACCAAGTGTTCATCATCCATTTCTCACTATTCCATGCCCCATTCAGTGTGTAAGATACTGCCTCCAGGAGCCAGTGATGGAGGCTCCCTGGGCTGGTGCCATGACATGACTTCTGAGTGCTATCTTATGCCAGGATTTGTCTTACCAAGAGAGCTTTAATTTTAATTTCTGAGTGAAATATGGGATGCTGTCGCAGAGATGGGTTTCTTCTCCAGTGTCTGATGCACAGTTGTCCCTTGGTTGAACAACAAATAGCACAGTTCTTGCTATAAATCCTGTGGTTATTTCAATTAATCACTATTTGAGAGACTCCTTTACTTGCATAATCCCTGAAGAACCCATAGGGGCTGGTATTTGGTAGAGACCTTTGAGATCAGATGATTTAATCCAAATTTATTTTAATTCATTTCAAAAATGAGAAAGCCAAAGCCATGAGAGGTTAAGAGTCTGCTTCAGGATTCCCAGCTAATTTATGTCAGAGTCAGGACCACACTTCACACCTGCTGGCTTCTTTGGATCTAATTTAGGTATCAATGTGAATCTCAGTCAGCCTCAGATTGTGGTGTCCCTTGAATATAGCATCCTGGGCTGCTCCCCAAAGCCTAAGAATTCAAGATTTATGAGTGGTGGTGGGCAAACTTGTACTTCTATTATCAGAGTCATTTTGCAACAGACATTGTACCACCCTGGATCTCTGTTCAACACGTGATAGGAACTGAAGGGGCTCTTGGAGTCAGTGTCCAGATGGTGTCCCCAACCCCAGAGAGTTTCTATATCTGAAGAAAGTGGTCTGAGTCCCAAATGACCTATCTCTTTTCTCACTTTATTGAGGATACACTTTCAGTGCAGTTGCAAGACCAAGCAGAAGAACATCAAGTCATCTGGTAAAGCCGGTCCTCACATCGATCTAGAAAAATCCCCAGTAATTCCTGGGGATCACAGGAGGGCGACAGTTTCCCACCTGGGAATAATGCACTAGCTTCCTCTATAAAAGAAGAAAACATCTTAAAAGAGTTACATCCTGTCAGATGCTTTTCCTTCCTTCCCACATCTGTGTTTTACCAGATCCAGACACTCTTGCCTTTCCAATCTCGTATTCCTCTCTTCCCTGAACACTTTCATGAAATAGCCAATGATGTTTCTCAGGTCTTCTAGCCTGGCTTAGTGTGGAAGTCTCTGAATTTGTCTGTGGTCCGGGATGCCCTTTCCTCTAATCCACCCAGAATATTACTGTGAGACCAGTCTTGCAGTGGCACTAACTGATCAGGGATCTTGTGTGACGCAGTAGCTAGGGATGTGATTTGGAGTTAGACAGGCCTGCATTGGAGCCCCAGCTCTGCTACCATCTACCTGGTGCTCTGGGCCAAGTTATTTCATGTCTCTGCATCCCAGTTTTCTCATCTGTAAAATAAGGATAGTAACAATATCACCTCAACAGGTTGTCATGAGAATAACATGAGGTAATGCCTATGAAGTCCTCAGCTACAGTCTGTACTCAATCGGTATACCATCTCTCTGTTCTCATTCATGCCTCACATAATGTGTCACAGCTTGTGCTTCTCCTAAAAACAGCCTTTGAGACAAGGCTTAGAGTGCAAGTAGTTCATTTGGGCAGTAATCCCAGAAAGCATGGTGAGGGATGCTGATTGAGATGAGGAAGGGAGTAAAAGTAATAAAACAAAAAATCCTACTGTGCAACCCTGGCCTGATGAGTTAACCCTTTACTGTGCAAGCTGCCACTATGGGCAACTGGGGTGTAACTCCCCTAGAGACCCTTTGATAAACTCCATGAAACCCACCTCAGAACTGTCCCTTTGATGGTCAAGGAAGCTGGGATGTTTGTCCAGCAACTTGAACCCTGCATTTTTCTGAGGAGTTAACTCTGCTGTAGACTTGCTCCATGAGCTGGGCACACACACCCCCTGCTGGAGAACACCCTGAGGCAGAGATGGGATAGGGGAACTGTATTAGTCAGGGTTCTCCAGAGGCACAGAACTAACAGGATAGATATATATAAAGAGGAGTTTATTAAGGAGTATTAACTCACACGATCACAAGGTCCCACAATAGGCATTCTGCAAGCTGAGAAGCAAGGAAGCCAGTCTGAGTCTCAAAGCCAAAGAACATGGAGTCTGATGTTTGAGGGCAGGAAACACCTAGCAAGGGGGAAAGATGTAGGCTGGGAGGCTAAGTCAGTCTATTCTTTTCACATTCTTCTGCCTGCTTTTATTATGGCTACACTGGCAGCTGATTAGATCGTGCCCACCCAGACTGAGATTGGGTGTGACTCAAACGTTAATCTCCTTTGGCAACACCCTCACAGACACACCCAAGAACAATACTTTGCATCCTTCAATCCAATCAAGTTGATGCTCAGTATTAACCATCACAGGAACCTTCTGCAGCCAGCCTCTGGGGAAGACCTAGGAGGGCGTCCAGGGCACTGCCAGCATCTGCTCTTGGTTACCTGACACCATAGACACTATTAACACTACTGAGCTGTGTTTGAACTGAGCTGATTGAATGGAAACAGGACATCAATGCTAGGTTAGAGTGAGAGGCTTCAGTAAACAAAAACACTAACGCTTTATTTCCTTAACCTCTGGAGACATTGTCAGGCTGGCAGGATCTGACACATACGCAAGAGCTCAGTAGGAATCACTTAATGTTCACAGGCAAAGGAAGACCCTCTCTCAGCCTATACTTGGGTCTGCTTTTGTTCAGGGTCCTCCAAACCTGACCTCAATAGAGTGTATACCCACCAGAGACCCTTTTTCCTTTTTCTACCCCTGGTTAATATATTCTCATTGCACACATATTATTAGCATGCCCAAGAGCACTAAAAACAGCCAAGGCCTCAAGACAGTTCATGTTTATTGTGCTTTTCTGCATTGTCTTGGTCCCATCTGTATTAATCTTTAGAAACAGAGGACTTTCCTGTCTCCTGCTTAGTGAACAACTCCCTCTCCCAGGACCCGGCTTACTGTTATGTTACTTTGTTCCTCTGCTATCTTCTTTCATCTTGCAATTTCCAATATAATCTTTGTGTAATCTCTGCTACATATTTTTTATTTGTTTTTCCTGTGTCTGTTCTAGGCAGATGATTCTTCTCATACTTGTTTAATCTCCCTTGATCCTTTACTTTCCAACTTGTTTGCCCTCTTTAACAAGGTGAAGGTCCTGGTTTATTCTTCTTTGACATGTCTGGTTGATTAGCTACAAGATTCCCACTTGTTTCCTTCCCCGCACCCCAACACCTCTTTTCCTCTTTCCCCTCCTCTTCATATGTAGCCAGACAATTTATTACAGCAAGTGTACAGTGAGAGTATACTGTATGCCCAGGCTTGGCTGTGTGCAATCTGTGGGAAGTGTAAGATAAGGGTAAGGCCTTCTCAGAATTCAGAGTCTGGCTGGCAGACAGAGCACCCAGTCGTGAAAAAGTTAAGTAACCAAATATTGATTTAAGCTCACATGTGTGTTGTGAGTATTCTGTAAGTTCTAGAGTAGCCTGGAAGGAGAGGATGACTTGGACTGAAGGAACCAGAGAAGGCTTTGTGAGAAAAAGCTACTTACCTGTGTTAGGGTCTCCAAGACCACACTCAGGTTTGATGATTTCCTAGAAAGACTCCTAGAACTCAAAAAAAAAAAAAAAAGGTTATACTCATGGTTGTATAGTATATTACAGTGGAAGGATACATATTGAAATTGGCAAAGGAAAAAGACTCATAGCACTTTGGGAGGCCAAGGTGGGTGGATCACTTGAGGCCAGGAGCTCGAGACCAGCCTGGCCAACATGGTGAAACCCTGTTTGTACTAAAAATACAAAAATTAGCCAGGCATGATGGTACACACCTGTAATCCCAGCTACTCAGGTAGCTGAGGCATGAGAATCGCTTGAACCTGAAAGTTGGAGGTTGCAGTGAGCTGAGATCGTGCCACTGTATTCCAGCTGGGGCAACAGAGTGAGACTCTGTCTCAAAAGAAAAAAAAAATCATAGGGTGGAGTCCAGGAGACACAAAGGGAAAGATCCTAGTTCTCTCTCAGTGGAGTTCTATGGTAGAACTTGATTTTCATTCAACGCTGTGTGACAACATGTATAGAATATTATCAATCAGGGAAGCTCACCTGAGACTTGATGTGTCCAAGGTTTTTATTGGTGGTGGAGCGGTCAGTTACATATGCATGGAACACCTGTGTGACTGATCTCAGCTCTTTAGACTCTAGTTCCCCATGGGTCAAATTGACACAGCATGACCCAAAGCCCAGGCATACAAAAACAGACATTCAACATAAATTCCATTGTTAGCATAAACCATATGGCATGGTCCCAGACCTCAGCTATCCAAGGACACTCTTATTTGGCAGGTATTTCAAGGGCTCCAAGATTATTTTACAGGGGCTAGTTGAAGACTAGTCCTGAAGGCCTCTGAAATGTGCAGAGTTTGGGCAACACTGGCCTGATGAGTTAACCCTTTATTGCACATCACTGCTTCTTTCACCCTAAACCATATCATGTCCATAGAATGGTAGAATGGTATAGTGGGAAAAGCCCTCTGAGGTTACTGGGAGTTTAGTCTAAATCCCATTGTCTCTGAGAAATGGCAAATGAGGCTCAGAAAGGAAAAACTATCTTTAGCAGAAAGCCTTCCCTGATACTATCCAGATAGAATGTACTGCTCTTCTCCTAGGAATTTAATGGAACTTAAGAACGACTGCCATTTGCTGAGTGCTTTCTGTGAACTAAGTACTGGCCTGAGTGGTTTTCATGCGTTATCTCATTGTTAGCTGCTCTTGCAGATATGTACATTCAAGTTTTGTCTTCTCCGCTAGATGGTGAACTTCTTGAAAGTAACATCTGTGATTTATTCATCTTGATACCCTTATTGCCCAGCAGAGTGCCTGGCACAGAATAGGTGTGTAGGAAGTATTGATGCATGCATACATGAATAATTATTTTGCCGTGCAACAGTAGGTAAATAATGCCAGAACTCAGAACTGGAATTGAAGTTTCTTCTTGTGTAATTCTTCTCAGTAGTGCTGTGAAAATCAGACTCAACAGGATGACACTTGTCCCAGAGCTGACACCTTCTAGAGAACTAGAATTATCTGTGGATAATCCCCCATTGGCTCATCCACAGACATGTGATAAACAGTATGAAACAAAATTGTAAGTCATCAGCACTAGAAATATTATAAGATACCAGTTATTAGTAATGAAAACTGCTTGAATTTTTTTCAAAGGTACTGTGTTTGAAAAGCACACCTACCTGTGTGCCTTTGCTCACACAGCCCTCAATGCCTGGGGGACCCCTCATGGTTCTACCCAGACACGCCTTCCTATCCCCTAATTCAAGACACAGCTTGATCATTGTTCATTAGACAGAGCTTCTTAACACAGGTTTCCCATTCCTCCAATGAATCCACAGATCGAATTCAGGGTGTTTGAAGATAGAAAAATTATCTTCATTTTCATTAGCCTCTAACTGGAATTGATTATTTCCTTTAGTTCTTCACATAGTTAACAAATTCTACTAGTCTTAGCAGTATCTATGGTTTGTTAGCAATAGAAAGCACAGATATTTTCATACCACATTATAATTGTTGCTTGCACCTCAGAATATTGACTATGCCCTTTACTATTTTATAACTACAGTGGTTATTAGGCCCACCACTTGATCTTTTTTTAATAAGTTAATTAAGAAGCATGTGCATTATAAGGTCACATTTAAAAGTATTTTAATAACTATATTTCAATATAATTAGTTTCCCTGTAATCCTGTGCATGTTATATTATACATTAAAGCCATTATTCAGATAAGGTATCCATAAGTTTCACCAGACTGCCCAAAATGTTAATGACCCAAAATAGGTTACGAAGCCCCAACCCTCTTGATCATAGTCCTGTGTGATTCTGTGATGCGTGTGCACATCTCTATCAAAGAACTTTCCCAATTTCTGTAATGCTCCATTATAATGTCTGTCTCACCAACTAGATCATGGGCAGTCCAGGAAGGAGACTTAGTCCCATTTGTTTGAATGCCCCCAACATCTAGCACTGTGCTCAGGGCTTCACAGGTGATCAGTAATGCTTGCTGAACAAGCTTTTAAGTTTGTGGATGAATGAGCCAGAGAGCTTTTCAGCAAGCCTGCCTGAACTCATATTTATGAATGCAATTTTTTCCTTTTCCAAAATACTTCTCTTGGGGTGACCATATGTTTGCTCCTGGTGTTCTTCCCTTGCTCAGGGTATTTCTGCAATCCGCTCACGCTAATACCTTCTTGGCCAGGTTCTGAGAGCACTACTAAGTAATTCAATCCGTAAAATCAAAGTTAGACTATAATTGTGACCCACCTTGGTCATCCAAGGTGTTCAAGCCCAGCTCTGAATGACTTTTGACAATTTCAAATGGATAAATAAACATCAGAAAACAAACTCATTTTTTGAGCAAATGATCTATTACAAACACAAATGTTATTCAGAAAGATGTTTTTCATGCCTAAAAACAATTCCAAAAGAGGGACACCCAAAATGTTCTCAGTAGTAGCAACTTTATGAAAATAAGTTTGTACTTTCTCAAAGGGATCACTTTAAGTTGGCCAAAAACATGTATAAAATCTAATGTGTTAGTTATAAAATGACTTAATTTTCTGGCTATCTTGCAACAATCTTGGATAAGTTTCAACAACCCCTTCATTACAATAGCTACGTCCTAGGTTGTATTTAGGACTGGTGGCCGAAACTTCTCCAAATACATTGTAGTTTTTTTCCTTGCAATTTCTCCTTCTTAAAATGTAAGTGTTCAGGGTCTAATACTTGGAATAAAACAATCTATTTAGTATGTTACTGTTGTGCATCACATTTAAACCCCTCAATATAGAATCAGAGATTTACATAATCATGAACTCTCCAAAGGGTGCATGTTGCACAGCCTCATATTAAAGATTCTCTTCACTAATCAGTATTCTGTTATCACATACCAGGCTGGATTAGATGCATCTATGGAGAAGTGCAAGAATCTGGGATGATGCTCTTCCATTAATGCACCTTCTTTTACATTCCCCCAGTGTTCCAGGAATGAAAGACACAGATACATCTTTCTTGTAATTCCGCTTTTCATTTTAGCTACAGAGGAAACAAACAACACAAACACCAACAAGAAATAAAGTCCTCAAGAAGGTTAACAGTAAGAAGACCTTCCCTCATTCTTTTCTGACTCTTGGCTGATCAATTGTAAAGATCTGTCCATTGGAGATTATTAAAGATAAATAAATTGTATAAAAACTCTTCCTGTGAACTCTCTAGGATTAAAGAAAACAACATTGATTTATTTGGTTTCCAATCCAATAAGCTGTGTGTTAATCATCTTTCGCAGAAGATACATCAAAGGAGAAAAAAATATTATGAAGAAGAAAGTCTTTATAATGACTTGAGATGTCTCAGAATCTCATCTTATATATAATCTCCTGGGCTGCGTATGTATCAATTTAGATTTTCTTATTTATAAAATGAGTTGACTAGCTCTTGGGGACCACATGAATCTGGCTCGGTTAATTATCTAATATAATTATGGTAAGAAACATCTGTGCCTTTTGCCTTGCTCCACTCTAGTAGAAAGAGGCATTTACACAGTAGGCATTACACATTATTACTTCAAAAATGTGTAATGTTTAAGCATCCTTATTTAGGTTAAGTAAAAAATAAAATTCAAAGAATTTAGGTTTCCCATTTTTTTAAATGCTCAATTCCATGACTCAAACAGTTACATGTTTACTATGTGCTCTAGACAGTTCTAAACACAGAGAAAAACACTGGAAAATTATTTTGGTGTCTGCTTGTGTGTAGATTGCCATACAGTGGGGGAGACTACTGAGGGTTATAATTGAGATGTAAAAAGTTCTATCTGGGCATGGAGGAAAGAGAAATGAGTCTGCTTTATTTTGCTAATTATATCTTTCTTTCCGCCTAGATCATCGCTTTCTGTCCTAGCTTGTCGTATTTTATGGTACAGAAAGGAAACAAAGCAGCACCACCCAAATCCTTCTCAAGCCTTTACCTTCTGGTCACCGTCTTCTCCTTCCTTGACCTATCAAGCTTGCAGATGCATTGTCGGCACTTACCATTTCTTCATCCCATGTTTGGTGGACTCTCCAATGCTCAGATCCCCTTTTAAAAAAGGATTTGCATCCTCACCTCCTGGGAGAGCCATCGACAGGTAGCTGTCAGTTCAGGGTTGCCTTGGTGGCAGAGAGCTGACTCAGCCAAGTTCACCTCCCTTCTAGTCTGTCCACTGTCAATGAATGAATGAAACAGCGTGTATAGACATGGTCATTTTGGCCCATGATTAAACTACTTTGGAAGGCCACGCTAACTCCAGAGCTCCCCATGGTGTTTCCTGAGTTCATTGTTGGGCCTATTTTGTAGCTTTGTTCCTCCTTCTGTCCACTCCCACTTCTCTGCTTCTTTCCTTCTCTTCAGAGCTTGATTCTTAATAAACATCCTACATACCAAACATCATCTCCTTTTCTGTGTCTCAGGAAACCCAGCTGAGACACCCATAGCTCTTATGTATCTCTCATGAAGAACCTACATGATTAGCCTTCTAGGGAGGTCATTTGGAGCAATTTGTTATTATTATTTTTGTGTGTGTGCTTGACTATTTGTTGCTCAAGAGAAGGGTCATTTAAAAAATCTGTTGAATCCTCAGGGTGCCTGGATCATCAGTATAAATACTTCAAAAATATTAGTTGAGTAAATATATGATAGAAAGTCTCTTGCTATTTGTATGTTTGGACAAGTCTAGAAAACCAATATTGTTATTGTCTCATGGGGTTGCAAAAGAAAGAAGATTGGTCAAAATGGCTTTTTCTTATATTCTACTGTGTACAATCTGGTTATTTAGTTATTTCATCCAATGCATTATACTCTACTTTGTACTCTGTATATTCTGGTCTAACTCCAGATTGTACACAGTAGAGTATAATGCGTTGGATGAAATAACTAAAATACAGAAATACCTGGAGTCCACTAATCAAGTATTAGAGAGTTAGCTGCAAGCCGAAGAGGCAGTATTCCAGAGGAATCTAGTAATGTATAAAAGGATCAGAGAGAGCTCCTTGAGGTCATGGCAGTTAAGGTGGACTTTGTAGGAGTTAAATTTAGTATAGTGGAGAGGGAGAGGGGAGGGTACTTCTGGTGAGCATTCAGTGACAGTCAGTACATAGGGTGCTTGGGGACCAATCAGAACAGGCATTGCATTTGAAGATAATGGGACTAATTTAATGAATTAATGTTTCTCAGATGGGAAGTATGCCAATAGTGAAGAACCATGTGGATATTTGATAAAATCTTGGTAATTGTATTACCTGTTGTGTGATACATTACTCCAAAACCTGGTGACTGTTCATTATCTCATCATGAAAGTACTTTGGAAGGCCACGCTAACTCCAGAGCTTCCCATGGCATTATCTCGGTTTCCGTAGGCCAGGAAATGTTTAGATCACAGTTGAACATTTATAAATGGGTTATTCACATTTCACAGAGTAAACAGCTCAGCTATAAATGGTCTCCTGAATGATGTTTAGAACTAATTTTCCTGTAGTAAAGTGTGCCTTGATATGTGTTATTTGGCTTTTTTCTAAATTTCTTTTATATGATAATTCCATGGGCTACATAAAAATAGCAGAGTAACAGCTTTATTTTTAGACTAAGCTGTGTTGACTATTGAAATTAAAACAAGCTGGAAAACTAAGGGTATAGGCTTGCATTAGAAAATAACAGCATCCAGAAAAAAACTCAGTCTGAAAACAGAGCCAGGTAGATAAGCGTTAATTGAGTAACAAAGTCTTAGACACGAGAGGGGAAGAACAATCTTAAACTCATCATGACGTACATATTTTGCATTCATTTCTAAGGCCAGTCTTTATGAACTCAGGTCTGGCCTTTTTGTAGCCGAGAGGCATTTAAATTATTTTTCTTTTAATGGAAAAATGGAGAAAATGCAAAATTTTCTCCCATTCCATAGGTTTTCTCTTCACTCTATTGATTGGTTCCTTTGCTTTTCAAGCTTCCTAGCTTGTTTTGATCTCATTTGTCTACTTTTGCTTTTGTTGCTTGTGTTTTTGGTGTCATATTCTCCCTAAAATTATTGCCAAGACCAGTGTCAAGGGACATTTTCTCTATATTTTCTTTTAGAAGTTTTATAGTAGCAGACCTTATTTTTAAGTCTTTAATCCATTTCAAGTTGATTTTTAAGATAACGGTGGAATTTCATATTTTTTTTTGCATATGGGTATCCAATTGCCCTAACGCCATTGAGACTATCCCTTCCCCATTGTGTATTCTTGGCATCCTTGCAGAAGACTAGTTGACCATATATGCATGGATTTATTTCTGTGCTTTCTATTCTATTCTTTTGCCTATATATTTGTTTCTGTGCCAGTACCATAGTGTCTTGATTATCTGTGCTTTGTAGTATATTTATAGCCAGGAAATGTCATGCCTCTAGCTTTGTCTTGCTAACATTGCTTTGGCTATTCAGGATCCTTAGTAGGGCCATACAAATTTTAGGATTTTTTCCCTGTTTTTGTAAAAAATGCTGTTGAAATTTGGATTGGGATTTCATTGAATCTGTAGATCATTTTGAGTCATGTAGACATTTTAACAATATTGATTTTTCCAATACATGAACATGGGATGCCTTTCCATTTATTTTTTCTTTTAATTTCTTTCATTAATGTTTTACAGTTTCAGTGTAAAGTCTTTCATCTCTTTGGTTAAGTTTATTGCAAGATACTTTATTCTTTTTGGTGCTATTGTAAATGAGATTGTTTCCTTGATTTCATTTTCAGGTAGTTTATTGTCAGTGTATAAAAGTTCTACTTATTTTTGCACATTGATTTTGCATCCTGTAATTAGTTTTTACTGAATTTGTTAATTATTTATAGTTATTTTTAATTGTCAATTATTTCTAATTTCTAATTGTTAATTACTTCTCCCTTTTTTTGTGTGTGTGCATGTGAGTGTAAAGTCTTAAGACTTTTATACATATAAAGTTATGCCATCTGGAAACAGAAATACTTTATTTCTTCTTTTTCAATTTGTATTCCTTCTATTTCTTTTTCATGCTTAATTGCTCTGGCTAGGATCTACAGTACTATGTTAAAAAGAAGTGGTGAGAATGGACATCCTTGCCTTGTACTAGATCTTAGAGAAAAAAATTCAACCTCTACTTATTGAGTATGATGTCGTCTATGGGCATATAATATATGACCTTTATTATGCTAAGGCACATTACTTCTATACCTAACTTGTTGAGAGTTTTTATCATCAAATGGTGTCTAATTTTGTCAAATACTTTTTCTGCATCTATTGAGATGATCATATGCTGCTTTGTATTCCTAATTATGTTACTGTTGTGTATCACATTGATTGAATTATGCATGTTGAAATTTCCTTGCATCCCAGAGGTAAATCCAACTTGGTCATGATATATAACCCTTTGAAGGTGTTGTTGAATTCAGTTTGTTAATATTTTTTGATGATTTTTGCATCTGTGTTCATCAGGGATATTGGCCTAGAGTTTTATTCTCTTATAGTATGCTTTTCTGGCTTTGGTATCAGGGTGAAGCTGGTCTCATAAAAGGAGTTCAGAAGTGTTCCTCTTTATATTTTTTGAAAGAGTTTAAGAAGGATTGATACTGATTCTTTTTTAAGTGTTTGGTGGAATTCACTTGTGAAGCCACCTGGTTCTTGGCTTTTCTTTATTGGGAGGTTTTTTTTTTTTTCTGATTCCATCGCCTTATTGGTTATTGGCCTGTTTAACCTTTCTATTTATTCTTGATCCAGTCTTGGTAGGTTGTATGTTTCTAGGAATTTACCCATGTCTTCTAAGTTGTCTAGGGCTACTGATTCTGGCTTTTTATGAGAATTAGGGCTGCTGTCACATAGTGGGGTAAAGAAGAGTTCTCATCCTAGTATCTTATCTACTGATACAAGTTGTTGGAGAGAAAATGCCCTTTACATGAGTAGGATCTCCCAGGTCCTAGATTCATTAAGAATGGAGTATGAATGTCTCTTTATTGAGAAGCAAAAGGAGAGTATGAAAGAAGGTAGCATGATCAGGTAGAGGGGTGCTGAAGACAAAGTTAAGCCATTAGGCACTGTTGCTGGGGACTGGACTGTAAGAACATTTTAGATAAGGTAGATGTGACCATCAAGGTGTCCTTGTACCGTGAGCAGATTATATTACAAAAGTTTTTAAAATTAGTTAATTTACTCATTCATCAAACACTCTCTGGGGCCTTGGACTAAATGCTACACAAATAAAGATGGCTAATTGGCAGTTTCTGTCCTTGAGGAGCTCAGAAGTTTGAAAGAAAGACAAACCTGAAGTGGAAATCTTACATTCTGTGATTTGATTATTATGGCTTATTATAAATATGAACAAAGAGCTGTGGGAGCCCCCGATGGGGTAAGTAGCTAACACTTAACATGGTTTAAATGGGAGCTGGCATCCCAGCTTAGGCCACGAAGTAACTAATTAAACAAGTTCTCCTCATGCTAGTCAGTGGCATGCTGGTGTGAAGAATCAGACACATTTCCTATCTTCAAGGAGCCCAAGGAAATTGTGGAGTGGGAAGAAGACATGCTAATAAATAGAGATATGTGAATGTACTGGGGAAGTAGAGAAGGAGTGACTAATGCTGCCTGGGAAATAGAGACTTGAAGGGTAAATAAGATTTCTCCTTTGATTTGATTGAATCAGATTGAATTCAATCATTGACAAAACGTCCCAAACACCAAATGTTCACTAACTCTGGGTCAATTCTACTGCTTTGTGGATTTGAAGTTGTTTACTGAAATGATTATGAGGAGACTACAGAATCATAATCTGTACAGATACAAATTCAAAATAAATCTGCTTTGAATTAGCTATGTTATAGATGGGTGAGAAGGCTCATGACAATATTGGTAAGAAGAAAATCCTTACCAGGAAAAAAAAGAAGTGTTTATATTAACAGTTCAAAACAACAATATCATTATTAATGTACATTTTTTCCCAATGCACATATTGCTGTTATTCTTGTTGCTTTTTGTCTATGACCCGCCAGACCACATAATGATGCCTTTTCTATCTAATGCTTTTTATTATTTATCTATGCAACAAGAACAGAAAATTTAGTTTGAACTGTTTAGAGAAAATACTTTCTGTAAGTGCATATTATTTTGGGTAATCAAATAGTTAATATTTACTTATTCTCATTCATTCATTTACTCAAAAATACATATAGAGGATCTACTATATTTCTATAACTGTGCTAGATACCAAAAGGATTACAAAAGAATTGCATTGCTCGTATGTTGCCTCATCCATTCACTAGGCTTATATGAGTCTACTAAGAGGGCATTATATTTCTAGAAGCCAATGTCAGGGGAATGAGGACTGGCTACAGATAAATGTATAGAGAAATATGGTCTTCATTGGAGGGTCTTAAAATCTACAGAAGAAAGACAAAATTGTACATAAGAATTTAGATAAAATATAAATGACAAACTATGTTGCAGCAATTTCAATTACATGTTCGAAGACAAGAGAGATGTGTATGGGCTGAAGAAATCAGGGAAAGCTGCTTAAGAGGAAATTAGCAATGGTCCTAGCAGGAGGTTCACATGTGGTCAGCATTCTGAATTAATTTCCTATTATTACAAAAGTGGAAAATTTTGAAATGTGAAGGAAATATTGGGTGAAGCTGGAATACAGGCCTATATTTAGGTTGTGTTTATGGTTTTAGATATTGTAAATCTAGATATTCTGAAAAACACTTATAATAACTCCTATGTTCTGAATCTTTGTGTCTCCCCAAAATCCATATGTTGAAATTTATTAACTAAGGTGATGATATTACTAGATGGGACCTTTTGGAAATGATTGAGTGAGACCTATGGGCCCATATAAAAGAAACCACAGAGAGCTAGCTACTTTCTTCCAACATGTGAGGACACAGCAAAAAAGTGCTCTCTATAAGCCAGAATGAAAGCCTTCACCAGACACTGAATCTGTTGGTGCCTCAGTCTTGGACTTCCCAGCCTCCAGAACTATGAGAAATAAATTTTTGTTGTTTATAAGCTACCCAGTCTAAGGTATTTTGTTATAGCAGCCCACACCAACTAAGAAAATAATAAAACCGTTAATATAAAAATCAGAATTAAGGAGCTAGATATTCTACCAAAGGGTTCATACACATTATATCATTTAAGTCTCTCACAGGAAGTATTTTAACCCCCGTTTTATAGATGAAGTTATTAACTTGCCCGAGTTACCCACATAGTAAATGGTGGAGCTAAGATTCACATCCAGCTTTGAGTCTAAGGCCTGTAACAATAACCAAAGAGCAAGGATCCTACCTTCCAAAAGTGAGTTGTCATTCCATCAAAGCACTCCTGGTTTGCTTCTCTTAAAACCTCAGCATGGATGTGACTTGCTTTTCTTTAGTGTAAATTCACAAGGGCACAGGCATCAAAATGGGGAACATGGTAACAATGTTAACTATTAATAACATGTTTGAACAATCTTTTCTCATTTTGCTCTGACAATAATTGCATTAAGGTGGGTGGTATTAACTCCATTTACCTGATAAGGTAATCCTAACTGTGACATTTCCTTAAAAATCACAAACCTGAGACTAGATCCTAGGTCTTCAGCTCTCACATCTTTTAAACTTATGCTATCCCTAGCCTTCTTATATTTATTTAAAAATGTACCAATGGTACATTGCATAAGAGTGAAAGATGCAAAAATTTCCAGATGCTTCAAATCAACTCTTCTAAATCTCCTGATGTGACAAGGAAGATGATTCTATTAAGACATACTTACAATAGGGTGGAAGTACTGCGTTAGAGATAAGCACCTGGCATGATGGAGGAAAGGGAACAGGTATTTGTTAAACAAATGTAATATATGATCCTTTTATTTCCCCAAATTCTGTATTGTAGGTAAATATTTTCATCTCTTGTATATAAGTAATGTGGAGGCAAGGATGCTGAGGATGTTGTTAAATGGCAAAAAGCTGGTTAGTATAGGAGCTGGGCTTCAAACTCAGGTCTTCCTGGCATCAAGGTTCATGTTCTTTCTACAAAACCAACACACTAACCTGACTCTGTGATGACTGTGTTTATTAAACTGAAATAATAACATTTATTTTACTATGTACTTTACATGTATTAGCTAGTTAAATACTCATGACAATCTTAGGAGTTAGGTACCTGATCTACTGATAAGAAATCCAAGCTACAGAGTGCTAACTAACTAGACAAAAGCGTCATGGACAGTAACTGCCAGGCTGACATTCATATTCATGCAATTTGGATGCAATGCCCATGCTCTTTTTTTTTTTTTTTTTTTTTTTTTTTTTTTTTTTTTTTGAGACAGAGTCTCACTCTGTCACCCAGGCTGGAGTGCAGTGGCGTGATCTCGGCTCACTGCAACCTCTGCCTCCTGGGTTCAAGCGATTCTTCTGCCTCAGCCTCCCAAGTAGCTGGGACTACAGGCGTGCACCACCACACCCGGCTATTTTTTTTGTATTTTTAGTAGAGATGGGGTGTCACCATATTGAGCAGGCTGGTCTCAAACTCCCGACCTTGTGATCCAACCACCTCGGCCTCCCAAATTGCTGGGATTACAGGCGTGACCCACCACAGCTGGCCTGCCCATGCTCTTAACCACTACATCATCATATATGGTTTAACCTGTAAGAATAAGCTTACTGTGGCATAAAATTTTCAAAAATAGCCTGGAGAAATGCTAGGGACAGATACGGATAAAGGGTAGAGGCATAGAGATCAATCAATTTGTCTGCAACCTTTATGAAATATTGTAAATCTCATGATTGAATGATTGGGAGGGCTCAGATTACAAAAAGCCCTGCATCCCATGAAATGTGACCTTTCTGAGGAGTTTTAGATAGGGGAAGAACATGCATTCCTTTTGCATTTTTGAAAGTTATTTCTGCCATAGAAAGAGGTAAAATTGGATCTTTGCAATAGTTCAAGGTAGAATTTATTGGGATATTGTTCTTACAGCAGCTTAGCTTCCCTCTCCTCACGTCCCCTCTCTCTTTTTCAAGCCTTCACCTTATGGAGCACACAGTAATCAGAAGTCATTGTCATCCCATCTATTGGCCGAGGAAAGTGAAAATTGTTTTAGTCTAAAATCTTCATCACTGTTTTGACACTGTGTTATCACTGTAATACAGAGAGCTGACATCTCTGTTGAGTTATCTGCTTTGACATCTCACTCACTCATTTTTGAGGCATTTTAATTATCTTAAGGATTTTATTAGAATGCATGATCAGAATCATAAACTCTTCAATATCCAGAATGTCCATGTTATTCATGTTATTCTTGACACTGTGAGTGACCTGAGGAGCTTATTTCTATGCTAAACATCACCTCTGCCCATATTGTTCAATATTGGCTTTCTTAATTCTTCTTGTGGCCATTCTTCTTCTTGATTAATTTGAGAAATTTGTTAATTGTTGAAAATCAGCCCTCTTGCCTGCTGGCATCTCCTTCCTGATCATTAACCAACATATTGAAGAGCCATGTTTCCTTTTTGAGGTTAGTGAGAGCACATTTATTTCTGTCTCTTAGCCTTGCTCAAATCCGTGACAAGACTTCAGGACTTTTTTGTTTGTTTGTTTTTTGCAAGAGTTTCCAAGTTCAGAGTTGGTGAAGGACTTGATCAGAAATCTTCTAGATTAGGAAACTACAAACCATCTCAGAAAGGTGGGGTTTTAGACATAGCATCTGAGGCATGGGGCACTATGAATTCAGAGTGAAGTTTTTCAAGAGCATCAATAAGGAATAAGACTCAGAGATGACAATAAATAATAATATGAAACAATAAAATCAGTAATTGACACATACTGAGTAACTAATGTGAGCAGAGGCATTTTGATGGGCATTTTTATTATATTAGCTTATTTAACTCCTTATGAAGAGAACATCCTTAACTCCAAATTTTTAAAATTGGAAAACTGAGGCTCAGAGAGTATGATGTGTCTAAGCTCAATAGCTTAAAAGAGCAAGAACTTGAACACCGATCTTTAGTAGCAAAGTTTTTCTAACATTGTAAGCATGAAAGAAATGCTGGCTGAAGAATGCACAGAGAGAAGAAATGTTCTTGAATAAATAGATTAATATTTGAATGACTGATAAGGTCTTAGGCATCTTCACTTAGGAGACGTTCTATGTCTTACAAATGGAAAGAGGGAGGGACACTATTTTTAGGCTTTGCTCTTGGTACTTTATGTGACTCTGAAAAATGTCCCTGAGGAAACTTAAGACATACTTACTATTTTCATGTACTGACAATGTTTAGAATACCTAGGATGTGCTAGTCTTAGCGTCTTTTTACTCTGGTCATTGTCTTTGGGAATCTCAAATAGGATAGGCCATCTGGGAGTTGCCAATATTTACTTCAGTGCAGTAAAGTACATTTTTCTCTAATTCCAGAGATCATCTGGTTCCATCTTGTCTTGAGAATGGACATCAAAGTACTATTTTTGTTGTGATTGTTCAAGGTAAGGTTTTCCATTTGCATTTTTATTATGTTCTCAAGTCTCACTTTATTAGAGTAGGCACGGTCATGTCTCAGGGCTTATGTACCACTATTTGAGACATGTGGGAGGAAGAGTGAATGGAAACAATGAACTTATGTTTGGTACCTGTTATGTTCTAGGCACAGTGCTATCTTCTTCACATATATTATTTCATTTAGTCATCCCATAAAAATCCTATGAAGTGGATATAATTCTGATTTTTTTAAGTGAAAAAGACTGATATTTAGACACTATTTGTCAGTGGTCACTCCATTCTTAAGACATGAGAAAAAGATTTGATTCCAGTTCTAGCTGACAAGTCTATTATATCGCACTTAGCTTCTAGAAGGGTTTTACTGGGTCAAGTAATTTTCTTTCTTTCCTTCTTTCTGTCTCTCTTTCTTTCTCCTACTATCTCTTTGTCTCTCCCCATTTCTTGCTGGTCTCCCTCCCTTTTCCCTTCCCTCCTTCCCTCCTTCCCTCCCTCCCTCCCTCCCTCCCTCCCTCCCTCCCTTCCTTCCTTCCCTCCTTCGTTTTTCTCTCTGCTTTTTCTTATTTTGTTGAGTGAGATGATGAAGGACTGAGTACTTTTGACAGAAGTTTTTTGGATCCTTTCACTTCATTATATTTTCAGGCACCCTTTTCAAATAAATGTATATTAAAATAGCAACTTGCGCAAGTGTCAGCTGATGACATCTCTCTGTTCAAATGACTTTCCCAAGGAAAATTAAATTTGATGAATGTTTTTCCCCATTGTTTTGGCTTGAGATTTATGGTTTTACCTAGTCTTCAAAGGGGCCTTGTCTCAGGCACAGGGCTGGGGAGTTCAACTTTGGAGACATATTGCTTATCATTAAGACAGTAACTGCTACAGCTGTAGGGAACTCTTAGAAACAATTTTATTTTTTTTTGTAAAGGAGTCAGACTCAGACAAAGTATTTTTTTATTTTCAAAATGGAGTCATTAGTAAAGCCTACCTAGTACTTGATTAGAAGTATTAAATAAATTAATATTTGTACAGAATTTAGAATTGTGCCCAGCACATGAAAACACCATAGAGTGTTTAAAAAATAAATTTAATAGCTTGTTAAGTTCACAGAATTGGAAAGGCAGTATGGGTTTCTGAATAAACATACCTGGGTTCCAATTCTGTTTCAATTGCATGATTTTGGGCAGGTCATTTAAACTTTTAGATGTACAGTTTGCTCAATCTTGAAAACTTGAAGATTTTGACTTCATAGTATTACTGTGAGGTTGAATCAGACAACGCAGACAATGTGGGTGGCCCTTGACAGTCCCAGCATATGGGAGGCATCATCAGAGCCAATGTCAGACTCAGGAAACCTGTGCTCTGGCCAAGTCAACACTCCCTATAAATCTTGAAACATTTAAATGATTGCAAGAACAAAGATTTTATATCTGTAATGTAACTTTCTTAGCAGAGTTTGGGGGTGGAATGTTGAATATATATTAAGCTAACTCAAGAAAACCTATATAACTTGAAAAAGAAATACATTCCAGATACTTTTCTTCCTGTTAGCATCATCATCAGTTAGCACATTGTCATTGTGTCTGAGCTTCATTAGTATTCTCCAAATATCATAAGGGCGGGTAAGCTGAGTTCTATGCTTGCATTTGGAAGAAGATATTCTAAGCATAGTATTTCATTATCTTATCCTATTTTCATTTTTTTTTTTTTTTTGCTTTATCCTGCTATGCCAGGAGTTTTCAAACAATCTCAACTCTGATTCTAACTCTGCCATAACTAGCTGAATGACCTTGGGCTATACACCTCCAATTTGCTTTGGCTTTCAATGGCCTCTACTCCCCTGGATTACATCTTTAAACAAATAATTTCTGTTATTTACCGGTTAACTTTTTATTTTAGAATCGTTTTGGATTTATAGGAAGATTGTGAAGATAGTACAAGAAGTGCACACATACTCCTTACTCAGTTTTCCCAATTATTAACATCTTACATTAATATGGTACATTTGTTACTGTTAACAAACGAGTACTGATACATTTTCATTCACTGAAGTCCACGTGTTCACATTTTCTTAGTTTTTTATCCTATATCCTTCTTCTGTTCCAGGATCCCATTTATAGAATTCCATATTACACTTAGCTTTCCTATCTTGTTAGGCAGCACTTGGCCCTGACAGTTTGTCAGACTTTGCTTGTTTTTAATAAACTTGCTAGTTTTGAGGAGTGCTGATCAGGTATTTCGTAGCATGCCTCACAACAGATTTGTCGGATGTTTTTCTCATGATTAGACTGGAGTTATGGGCCTTTGTGCAGAAGACCACAGAGGGAAAGTGCCATTCTCATCACATTAGTATGTCTAGCGCACACCACAGTATGTGCTATAAACGTGACTTACCACTCTTGAGGTGAACCTTGATTATCCGGCTGAGGTATGGCTTGTCAAGTTTCTCCACTGTAAAATGACTCTATTTTCCTGCTTTCTATACTGTGCCTTTTGGAAGGAATTCACTATGTTGCAGCCCACACTTAAGTTGTGAAGAAGTGCGTGCCACTGTCTTGAAGGTAGATTTTCTATATTAATTATTTGGAATTCTTTTGCATTGTAGATTTTCCCTCCTTCCCTCCCTCCCTCCCTACCTTCCTTCCATCCTTCTTTCTTCCCTCCCTCCTTCCCTCTCTCCCTCCCTTCCCTCCCTTCTTCCTTTCTTTGCTGCTCATATATATGTATTTTATAATTGAGTTATAATTTTACTAGAGTTTTTGCTGTGCTGCTTAAATTATTCTAAGGTTGGCTATTGGAAGTTTATTCATTTGGCTTCTGTGTTGCTTTGACATTGTTGCTACCGTGGTGTTGCCCCGGGTATTATTTTTTCCTAGGCAATGACTCAGCTGATACAGCTGAGGAATATTTATGTTTACTAATCAATGTATATGCACTTATCTTTAAATATTTTCATATGTAAAGATTGGTATCTATATAAACATGAGTGCATATGGATGTCTCCACCTCTAATCCATGATCATGTGGATTAGTCTAGACTTTTCTCCTTGTTTATCTGTAACCTTTCATTCCAACAGTGAGAAACATGGTTCCTACAGTTCACCATCCATTTCCTCAATTGTTCCATTCCAATATACATTATAATGGTGTCAGAATTTTTAACCCATAAGCCTATGGGAAAAATTTTTATCAGTCATGATATAGTGCTTACATATAGTTTCTTTTGGCTGTAGTCTTAGATTTATACCTAAGTATCTTTTTGTGTATGATATTGTAAATAATATTTTAAAAATTTTGAAAATGTTTTATTTTTATAGTTTTAGAGGGTACAAGTGCAGTTTTGTTACATGGCTATATTGCGTAGTGGTGAAGTCCGGGCTTATTGTGTGCCCATTACCCAAATAGTGTATATTGCATCCAGTAGGTAATTTTTCATCCCTCACCACCCTCCCACCTTTGAAGTCCCCAGTGTCTGTTATTTCCTTCTGGATGTCCATGTGTACTCATTGTTTAGCTCCTACTTGTAAGTGAGAACATGCGGTATTTGACTTTCTGTTTCTGAGTTACTTCACTTAGGATAATGGCATCTAGTTCCATCCATGTTGCCTCCAGGTTGCCATAAAGGACACAATTTCATTCTTTTTCATGGCTAAGTAGTATTTCATGGTAAATATATATATATATATTTGCATATATATTTATAATATATATTTGTATATATATTTGTAATATATATTTGTATATATATTTGTAATATATATTTGTATATATATTTATTATATATATGTATACATACATTTAGTATATGTATGTGTATATATATTTATTATATATATATATTTTTAAAAAGCCTAAGTGGATGAAGACAGTAGAACAAAGAAGAAATTAAGGTAAAGAAGATAAGATGAAGCCAGAGGAGAGGTTATTGCATAGTATAGTGATAAAATCCTTGATTTTTTTTCACCTTTTAGGGTTTCTGGTACCTTAGATAACATTTGGCAGTTTTCAAAGTATAAAATTATATATACACACATATATGTGTATATATATATACACACATATATGTTTATATATATATATATATATATATATATATATATATATATATATATATATATATATATATATAAAATCTATTGATGGACACTTAGGTTGATTCCATGACATTGCTATTGTGAATAGTGCTGTGATAAACATACTAGCATAGGTGTCTTTTTTATATAATTATTTGTTCTTCTCTGGGTAGATAACCAAGTAGTGAGATTGCTGAATCAAGTGATAGTTCTGTTTTTAGCTCTTTGAGAAATCTCCACACTGTTTTCCACAGAGGTTGTACTAATTTATATTCCCACCAATGGTGTATGAGGGTCCCTCTTTCTCCACATCCTTGCCAGCATCTGTTATTGTATGTCTTTTTGATATAAGCCATTTTAACTGAGGTGAGATAATATTATATTGTGGTTTTAATTTTTATTTCTCTGATGACTAATGGTGTTGAACATATTTTCATATGTTTGTTAGACACTTGTATGTATGCTTTGAAAAATGTCTGTTCAGGTCCTTTGCTCCCTTTTTGATAGAGTCATTTGTTTTTTCTTGTTGAGTTGTTTTAGTTTCTTGTGGATTCTAGATATTAGTCCATTGTTGAATACATAGTTGGCAAGCATTTCTCCCATTCTGTGTTTTTTTTTTCAGTTTACTCTGTTGATCGCTTATTTCTTTTGCTGTGCAGAAGCTTTTTAGTTTAATTAAATCCCATTTCTCTATTTCTGTTTTATTGAATTTGCTTTAAAGGTCTTAGTCATAAATTCTTTGTCTAGATCAATGTCCAGAAAAGTTTTTTCTAGGTTTTCTTCTATGATTATTATAGTTTCAGGTCTCAGATTGACATATGTAATTCATCTTGAGTTAATTTTTATGTATGGTAAGCTATATGGGTCTAGTTTCATTCTTCTGTGTATGGCTATCTAATTTTCCCAACACCGTTTATTGAATATGCTGTCCTTTCTCTCCTGTATATCTTTGTCAGCTTTGTCAAAGATTAGTTAGTTGTACTTATGTGGCTATATGTCTGGGTTCTCTATTCTGTTCCATTGGTCTATAGGTCTATTTTTATACCAGTAACAAGCTGTTTTGGCTTCTAGATCCTTGTAGTATAATTTGAAGTTGGGTTAAACTGTTCCTCCCTCTTTGTTCTTTTTGCTTAAGATTGTTTTGGCTATTTGGGCTCTTTCTTGGTCTCATGTAGATTGTGGAATTATTTTTTCTAATTCTGTGAAAAATGATGTTGGCAATTTGATGGGAATTACATTGAGTCTGTAGAGTGCTTTGGCCACTGTGGTCATTTTAATAATATTGATTCTTTCAATCCATGAGCATGGAATATTTTCCACTTGTTTGTGTTATCTATTATTTCCTTTTTAAGTGTAATTTTTATTGCTGGCATATAAGAAAGCAATTGGCTTTTGTATATTAACCCAATATTCTGTGATCTTGCTATAATAAGTTATTAGTTCCAGGAGGTTCTTTGGTTTTTGGTTTAGGTCAGCTCTATATAGACAACCATGTCATCTGTGAATAAAGAGAGTTTGATGTTTTCCTTTCTAATCTGAATATCATTTACTTCCTTTTCTCATTTTATTGTACAATATTTAGTACAATATCGGATAGAAGTGATGAGAACATTATCTTTGCCTTGTCTTGATCTTACGGGGGAAGAATCCAGTTTCTCAACATTAAGGATGATATGAATTACCTATTTTTTTGTAGATGCTCTTTATCAACTTAGGAAGTTGTCTTCTATTCCTAGTTTGCTGAAAATTTTTTGTCATAAATGTGTGTCATATTTTGTTACAGGCTATTTCATCATTTATTGATATGATCACATAATTTTTTTTCTTCTTTAACATGTTGATGTGATAGATTACACTGATTTTTGAATGTTGAATCAGAATTGCCTACCTGGAATAAATCTCACTTGGCCATGATGTGTAATTTTTATATACCTTTTTTATTCTACTAGCCAAATATGTTTTTCAGTTTTTTATTTTATTGCTCACCAATATGAACTCTGATCTGGTCAAGCAACCCTGTTTTCTATTACATATTCCATTTTGTTTAAATCCTACCCCTTTCTATAGATCTGCTTTCCCTTGTCTGATCTCTTCCATCCAGCGCTTCCTTATCTATTCTTCAATCTTCCTCTCTTTGGATTCCTTTAAAGGTTTGTATCTTTATACAGCACTTGAATTTGAATGCTTTGTAGATTTTCTGTAAATAACACTCTATGTTTTTATGTTTGTAAAATATCTTAATTTATTACAGGTAAGATTTAAGACATGTTTCTTGAATACATTAAATTCAATGTGATAACACGAAATTAAAGATAAGCCTAAGTGGATTAAGATAGTAGAACAAAGAAGAAATTAAGGTAAAGAAGATAAGATGAAGCCAGAGGAGAGGTTATTGCATAGTGTAGTGATAAAATTCTTGATTTTTTTTACCTTTTAGAGTTTCTGGTACCTTAGATAACATTTGGCAGTTTTCAAAGTACCCTGACACACTTAATTTGGTGCTTAAAAAGAATAACTATGATGTCAGTGTTTTATGATAATAATATTATTATTGTAAAAATTATTTAAATATTTAATAATAATTATTTTGGCCAGAGTAGAAAGCCTGGATTTAAGTACTGAAGGTAGTGAATAATAAAACAAAGAAAGAAATCCCAATGAGTAAGAGTCT
Organism: Homo sapiens; assembly: GCF_000001405.40. Classification (NCBI taxonomy): domain Eukaryota; kingdom Metazoa; phylum Chordata; class Mammalia; order Primates; family Hominidae; genus Homo; species Homo sapiens. The sequence goes on from NC_000008.11 coordinate 125,893,657, forward strand.
AAGGTCCTTTTAACATATACTCCACTTCACAATAGGATTATAAATTTGTTGTGGGGAATGGACCATGTTTTTTCCCCATATTCTTGCTGACTTGGTATTGAACACCTATATGGCCAAGCATATGCACATTGATTTGAATTCCATCTCGTTTTGAATTTAAGTTTGTAAACAGTGTGACAAGCTGGGTTAATGAGAATTTAATGTAGTAGAATATGAGCACTCAAACTTGTGTTTTGTTTCTCATGCTTTGAAGAAGTAGCTGTTCATCCTTGGGGATGAAAAATTAATGTATGCATTGTTTTAGGCTGATCTTACTCTCTCAAAAGACAAAAAAGTCATCTGATAATTTTTGGACCTAAAATACTTTATGCGTTCTGGTTAACCATTAAACCTCCTTATTAAAGAAAAAAGTGTGGTGAAAGATAATTAGACAGGGGTCCTGAAATTGAAAGTAAGGGCTGCTTTGCTTGGTGGATTAGGAGGAGATTAGGGGACATACCCTGAGATTGGGAGGAATGATTGGACTTTCAGTTTCTTTGAGTTAGTGAGAACTACCCTTAAGAGTACATAGAGAAAGTCTGGGTTGTAAAAGTACAGGAGCTCAAGTCTATAGCCTGGGAAGCCATAGACTGTCTATGTGAAGGGTCAGGGACTCCGTGGCTTGTGCAAGTGAAGAGAACCAGAGTTGTTTGGTAGACTGAGTAATGGTGATGGTGGTAAATGACCTGAAGAAAACAATCTTTCCTAACTTTTGTGTAATCCTGAGAACTCCTAGCATGTTCCAAGGTCACAAAAAGTGGCCAATTAGCATAGATAATTGAGAGATTGAATAGGACAAAATCGATTTGCAAATATAAAGAAATAGGATCTTTCTTGCACTTTGAGTGTCAAGGAGCAATCTATATCTATTACATCAGGGAAGTGCCAAGTACCACTGCTATAAGAAACTTGTCTTTTTCTTCTGAGTAGGCAACATGGTATAATTTTTCATACCTAGCTGTCCCTTATAGTAACCCAGAAAACTTGTTAAAATACAGAATTATAGGCTGTATTCCAGTTGCACTGAATCATAGCATTGGTGTTAGAATGGAACATGGATATCTGGATTTTTTCTTCCTTGTCAGGCCTGCACTGATCTGTTAACTGCTCATAGAGAACTTCTGGTCAGGTGATAAAATATGGGCTTTAGGTTCAGCCAAGCCAGGATTTAAATGGAAACTCATCCACTAATTATGGACAAGTTACCTAAATTCTATGAGCTACAAATCCTTTATTTGTATGGGGATAAAAATACCTACCTTTCAGGTATATAGGGAGATTAAATGGGATACTATATTTACAGTTTTCATTTCAGTGTTTGGCACACAGTACATACTCCATAAATACTAGTATTCTCTATTCCTTTTTTTTTCTTTTTTTTTTTTTGAGACTGGATCTCACTCTGCCACCCAGGCTGGAGTGTAGTGGCACAGTCTCAGCTCACTGCAACCCACATTTCCCGGGTTCAAGTGATTCTCCTGCCTCAGCCTCCTGAGTAGCTGGGACTACAGGCACCCGCCACCATACAGGGCTAATTTTTGTATTTTTGGTAGAGATGGGGTTTCACCATGTTGGCCAGGCTGGTTTTGAACTCCTGACCTCAGGGGATCCACCCACCTCAGCCTTCCAAAGTGCTGAGATTACAGCCTTGAGCCACTGCGCCCAGCTATTCCTTAATTTTTCTACTTGATTTCAGGATGTCATTGGAATTTCTGAGTTATTCCACTTCTCTGGTGTGTAATATAAAAGCTCTTTTTCATGTGATGATCTGTAATTTTCATCTGTAATTGTTCTAGATTCTGACTGGCAGATCAGAACACTGAGAATGATACTTTTGAAATGACTATGTGTCCTAATCTTTGCTTTACTATCTTGGAGATAGTACAACTGAAGATGATTAAAAGATTGCTTTTTCTGAGCCTCAACCTTTTCTGCCAGCCTAATACAGAATCACCTCCTTTGAGTTTTCCAAGAATGATACTGTAAAAAGATTAAGCCATTAATCAGGTTTATTCAGGAAGGAAATGTCTATTTTGATTGTGCTAATACCTAGTCCAATGATTGCAGATGGGTTGCTTCAGTGTCCAAGGATATGTGGAGTGGTGGTTTTCTAAAATGGAAAGAATTTAGAGTTAGAAGACTTTAGCTTAAGAATTCTTCCTTCCTTCTTCCCTCCTGTCTCCTCTGTTTCCTTCCTTCCTTCCTTCCTTCCCTCCTTCCTTCCTTTTTTCTTTTCTTCCTTTCTCCCTTCCTAGCTCCATATTTCCCTCTCTATTTCCCTTTATTTATATATTTTTTTTACTATATGAATTTGGTAATTCAAATTATTGCCCTTAAACTCAGTTCACTTTCCTATAGAATGAAATGGCAGCTCTTGTCTGGACTGTCTTTCAAGGAATTTTATGAGGATCAAAAGAGATGGATAATGTCTCATTTTATAAATTAAATTCCTATATAAGTATAAATATAGTGTTTATTTTCCATTTTTATGTCTTAGATGACTCTGGGGTGAGAATGCATAAGAAAAGAAAACAAACATTTATTGGTTTGCCTGTTTACTGACTGCCCATTTATGCAATCATTTATCATTGCAAATATTAATTGAGAAGCCACAGAAGACCATAGACCCTATGAAATTCTTGCACTTACATTATTTTATGTAATATTTACATTGGCCCTGAAAGATAGTTATTATTTTCTCTATTTAGAAATTTAAAATTCAGAAAAGATGCATGATTAGACCAAGGTCACATGGCTAGTGGCAAGGTTGAGATGCTACTTTGGGTCAGTCTGACCATAAATAAGACCAGACAGTACATGAACAGGAAGAGAAGTGACTTTAAAAAAGATGATAAAACCTTGAGACGTTTTTGATGTCTTACCCAGACCCTTTGCTGAGTAATAGGGATTTTGTGCCTCTTACCACCTCTGCAATTTTCCATCTGATAAAATTAGATATTTCTTAAGCCTTACCCTAAACTGGCAAAGTCATGCAGACTTATTGAAATTTGTGTTTGACAAGATGGCAATTTAAATTCTTCTCTCAGTTACAGCTCATCCACCAGTCACCAAGTAGAACAAAATGTGGAGTGACTTGGAGAACAGGGTAACAATGGCACTTGTGAAACTGAGGCAATGACAAATGATTCAGTGAGTTTCTATCATTTTTGGAAGGGCAGAGGCAGAAGAAACTAGGCTTTTAAGGCAAAACATACAGGATAATTGTGGCTCCATAAATAATTGTCATTCTATGGTCTTCAAGGTGGTGAGATCACACTGTGATTTCAAAATTGCAACTTAGGTCCCAACCATAAACTGCATAACTGTAGAGTCCTCACCACTTTTCTTATTGTCTTCTTTGTCTGATCCCCTGGATTTCTCATGGTGGGATGAGGTGGCAGGAGGTTCTCACATAGACTCACCATGTCAGGCTGGGTTTCAACTCACAATGCTTCATGGAATCTGCCTGAATTTCTACTTTCAGTACTCCCCCTGGGTCATCATTCCTATCATTGCTGCTTCTCTTCTCCTAAGCTCTTAACTTCAGCCTCCTCTAGGCTCTGACCATACCACTGTTGTAGCTTCTCTGTGTGTGGGTCACGTGACTCCTGCCACCAAGGTTCTTTCTTTTTTTCATCATCACTGAACAGATTTTTGGATGAATCCTTTCATCCATATCTAAGCCCTCATTGATCTTGGTAGCTAAAAGAACCAAGCTGGGGTTCTCGGAATTACTGTGGGCTGGAGGAAAAGAAAGTGAAGTAATGTATTCTATCACTTAATTCAATCCAATAGATTGCACACGCTGAGAAGGATTCCATGGCATTGCTGCTTGAGCCCCATTGTTGCCATCCTTTTGTTTATATGCAGCTCTTTTTTACTGGCCACAGAAGCTTGTTCAAAACTGATTTAAGAAACAGTCTCCACATGGCACAGAGGCAGGTGATCTCATGGCTTTGATCTCATGGAGACAGCAAAAGATGAGCAGAGCCACCTCCAGCTAAGTGCAGTGGCAGAGCACATAATGGCAGAAGCCCTAGTGTGGTGGAGCCCCAGCTTCTTTTAGGAAAGTCTTTATTTATTATTGTCTTGCTGAGAAATGGTGAGAAGAAATTGGACTCACCTTTTGGAGCAGAATGAAGTTGTGTTATGCTTGCTGCTCATGCCTATCTTAAAGAGATATGGAGATACTTAGAGAGATTCTGAGTACAAGGTGTGGCTGATGCTAGAATCTGTTCTAACCTTGCCAACCTGTCCTATTAATGAATCTCACAAAAATCTCCATAAGTGTGTGCTCCTCTGTGTGTAGATGTAGGCCATGAGCACTTGAGCTGTGGCACTGGACTTAAAGACACACATCTTATGTGATCATAGCAGGTTATATTAAGAGAGAATGGCTTGCTCTTTGAAACAGGACACCTTCCTCTTAAACCAATGTTAATGGTTGTGTCTCAGTCACTACTATAGAAAGGAACTGTTGAACTGCAAGACATGCTATAGATCAGTGGCAATAACAGTAGCTAAGGAGAAGAGGATGTCCTAGAACACTGGACAGCCTTTATATTCTCTCTCCCCAACATGATTATGGGGTTCTTAGAGTGACCATGGGAAGGAGGAAGAGAAAGTGAAGAAAGGCATTTTTGAAATAGCTGCTATATCGTCTCAGGGTCATTCATTGTTAATATTAAAAAGAATTTGCACTCAAACTGTTGAATCAGGACCTATCGAGTAATCAAGTAATTCTCCCATAGAGCCTTTGAAGTCTTTGGTTGACCTTCCTATAGTTCAACCATCTGCCACTCTATACCAGAATCCCATTTCAGGACACAGCTTAGATTTTCCTTCTGCCTAGAGACCTCTTAGCACCTACTAAATTAGTGGATACAAACAAAGTTAGGGAGAGGTTGTAGGTAGGGCCTTGAGGCTATAGTTCAGCTAGGGCTTAGCAGGTAGGGCCTTGAGGTTAGCTTCACAGCCAGTATTTTTGGAAACATGCTTGCATACTGTATACATTTACATGTTTCTATCCATGTAATAATTCATCCAGTAAATTAAGAAAAAATGGCAGTGCTCTTATTATTATTATTATTTGTGTGTGGAAGAGACTGAGGCTAAGAAGGCCTGGATGTCTTGCATGAGGTCATGCAAATAAAGTTTGCTAAGCCAGGGTTTGAGCCCAGGTCTTCTGACTCAAATCTGGTGCTGCTTCCATGACTGTGGGCTGCTTCTCAGGATCAGAACCAGCCCTTATCAAAACCATGAAGTTGATGGAGTTGTCTTTGGGCTTTCACTGTTATTCCCTGTACATTTTACTCTCACCCAAATCCAGAGATCCAATATGTGCTTTCTGTTAAGTCTATTGGCTCTCACATGTGATGAAATAGAAAAAAGACATAGGCTTTGGAATCAATTTTGACACAAACAGGACTGGCTTTATGGGCTTACAAGCCAAGCACTTGCCCAGGATGCTGCCCCCAGAGAGATTTGTACTTGGTTTAATGCTCCTCTGTCTCTGTCTTGAAATTCTTCATAATCTGTTGAACACCTGGTCCTGCAGTTTTATGTTACACTGGACTCTGTAAATGAATAGCTGGTTCTGCTAATAAATTTAGGACTTTGGTTATGTTTCTTAATTTCTCTGGACCTCAGTTTTCACATCTGTAAATTAGAACCAGTACAGTTATCCATATCTCAAAGTGTTCTTGGGAAGAATAAATCAGATAGAATTGCAAATTGGCTAACAAGCGTTTGTACATGCGTACTAAAGATTTGTCCTCAGTAAATCTTAACCTATTTACATCTAATCTAGATGGAAACCTCTTCACTAATGCCTTACTAGGTGAGCACTAAAACATTCATCATATCCATGCAGAGCTTAGTTTTGTGCAAGGGAAGATGGTTATTTAGATTTTGCTGTTGTGAGAGCAGATTAAATAACAAGGGAAAAAAATTCCCTTTTCAATGCACTAGTTACCAGTCTGAACAAATGTGTAGACTTGGTAAACAGGGTGATGAGGAAAACAAATGCTGCAGCAGAAACATTGGCTGAGAAATCAGTCAGTTCTCACGACTCCCCAGCCAATACCAGGAGCGCTCGTACTTCTCAGAGCAGCACTGAGCTTGCTCAGCTACGGTTGGCCTTTGCCCTGGCCCAGTGTAAGGCGAACAATCAAAACAAAACAAAACAAACAGACAAACTAGAAAACCAATGTAACAAAGAGAAGAGAATGCAGAAACTAAGGTCTAAAACTAAGGATGTTTTTAAAACTCTGTGTCTGGGGCTGGTCTAGCTAGTTCAAATACATTATTTCATTTAAACTTCCTAGAAACCCCAAGAGGTAGGTAATATTAGTAGCATTTTGTAGATGAGGAAACTAAGCTCACAGAATACTTACAACTTTACAGTATCCCATAGAATTGATAGTGTTTAGAATACAAACTATTTGAAAAGAACAGAGCTAGATGAGATAATCGAGATTGTCTAGACAGTGATGTCAAATGTGTTGCATCTCATGCCTTAACTGTAAGTTTTTTTTGGTAGGGCTGTGCTATGGTTTGCATATTTGTCCCTTCCCAAACTCATGTTAAAATTAAGTCTTCAATGTGGTGGCATCGAGAGGTGGGGCCTTTAAGAGGTGATGGAATCATGAGGACTCTGCTCTCACTAATGGATTAATCCATTCATGGATTAATGGATTAATGGGATAATGGATTAATGGGTCATCATGGGAGAGGAACTGGTGGCTTTATTATAAGAGGAAGAGAGACTTGAGTGAGCACATTAGCATGCTCAGTCCCCTCACTATGTGATACCCTGTGCCATCTCAGGACTCTGCAGACAGTCCCCACCATCAAGAAAGCCCTCACTAGATGTGACTCCTTGGTCTTGGACTTCTCAGCTCCCATAACTTTAAGAAATAAATCCTTTTTCTGTAGCATGCATCACTATCTCCTGGAAGATTTTTACAGCATAGGTTCCTGAGCATCACCCACAGAATTTTTGATGCAGTCGGTCTGAGATGGGGCCTGAGAATTTGCAGGTTCCTAGCTGAGGCTAATGTTGCTGTCTGGGCCCACCCTGTGAGGACTTCCTATTGGTAACTTTCTTGACCATTGATCTGATTCCTCTTAAAATGAAATGAAATTATTCAAACATGCATTTAAAAAAATCATACAGACTTGTTTTTTTAATGTCTGTCAACAGCACGGGATTTGTCAATAAGTTCTGAAAATTGCATCGAAAATTGTTTAATTAGTTCTTGTTTTGGCAGCACATGTACGAAAATTGGAATGACACAGAGATTAGCATGGCCCTGGTGCAAGGATGACATGGAAATTCATGAAGCATTCTCTGTTGTTTGGAACCCTTCCGCATTGTTGGTGGGAACATAAAATGATGCAACCACTATGGAAAATAGTATGGAGGTTCCTCAAAAAATTAAAAATAGAATTATCATATGATTCAGCAATCTACTTTTGGAAATATATCCAAAATAAATTAAAGCAGGATCTTGAAGAGGTATTTGCATACCTATATTCATCGTAGCATTATTCACAATAATCAAGAGGTGGAAGTAACCTAAATGTTTGATGACAGGTGAATGGATAAAGAAATGTGGTATATACATACAATGAAATATTATTAAACTTAAAAAGGAAATACTATCCTTTTTTATTGTGTAGCACACACTACCACATGAATAAACCTTGAGGTCATTATATTAAGTGAAATAAGCCAGTGACAGAAAAGACACATACTGTGTGATTCCATTCCTATAAAGTATCAAAAGTAGCCAAACTCATAGAACCACAAAGTAGAATGGTGGTTTCCAGGGTTTGCAGGGAGAGGAAACTAGAGTTGGTGTTCAATGGTTACAGAGTTTCAGTTTTACAAGATGAAAAAGTTCTAGAGGTCTGTTGCGAAACAATATGAATATACTTAACACTACAGAACTATATACTTAAAAACGATGCAGAGGGTAAATTTTACACTGTGTGTATCTTATCACAATTTAAAAAATTGTTTATGTGAAGATAACACCTTCCCTGTAGGGCATAGCAATCCTATGTTTTAAACATGTCTAGAGAGAAGTGGAGAGGGACTCTCCTTGTGGTCACTCTAATGGGAGCCAGCTATTTATTCTAATTCCAGTCTTAGCAAGTCCCATGTTCTCTGTGGATCTTGCCTCTCCAAGGTCCTTCTTTAAAGTATGGGTGCTGGGTCCAAGCCAGATATTCTAATCTGGCTTGTGATGTGACCTGGGTAGTAAGGATTTTTGAAAGCTCCTTGAAGCTTGAATTGTAGGCATGACTATAGGGCATTGGTTGGATCAGTGATTTGTCACTTGTGGGAGGCTAAAAATAATCTTCTTGAGGGTCTTGTCAAACTACATATGCTGAAGTCTTCTGCATTCTCTTCCTCACTGTCCCAGGTAATTCCAATGACCATCATCTCCTCTCCCTCAACTAATATGAGAAACATAACATTAGAAAGCCCTTTTCAGAGAAAATATGTTCATGAATCTCAGTTGCAGGAGCTTGGGTTCATTGTCAGCTGAGTTTGTGCCTCATCAAGGTCCTTATTGAGATTGGTAAGACAGTCAGTCATAGTTTAGGCTGCACGTGTACACATAGTCCACCTATCCTTTTTGAATCCTCAGAGTCGGTCAAAGCTTACAGGTAAAATATAGCACTGGAGCTTAAAATCAAATTGCAGAATGATAACAAAACTTCATTATTTTGTTGAGAAATTAAGTTTGACAGGCTATGAATAATTTAGAAGATGATCTGAAGAACAAAGGAATAAAATTTTATTATAAATTCAACATTTCTGTGGGGGTATTAAGCCCTGCCAAGGGTTATTTTCCTTGACTTCATAAAAATCAGTGGTGTCAGAGGGAACTTGAACAATCCTGGGAATTTTAACTGTAGTGTCAGGGTGTGCTTAGTATAGAATAATCCCAAGTGGAAACAATTTTCTACATATTTAGTCATTGTAAGCCAGTTTAGATATCCATGAGATCAGAAATTTGGCAGTACAGGAGAAAGGGAGCTTGCCAACTTAATGCTGTTTAATATTAATTAAATTTGATATAACACAGTTATATATTTTTCAGATATTCCCAGGCAGAATGCCAGAGAAGAAGAAATAAATCTATATTCATATTATACATAGTTAAATTATATTATCAAAATTTATTCATAATTATACATTCACATTATGTAATATATATTATCATATCTTCTAATTTTCTGAACATTTCTAGAATAACTGAAAAGGAGGAATGGATTGCCAAATCAAAAATTTTCATGAAATAGAAAAATTTACTTGTGTACTGACACAAGTATTGTTCATACAAATACAAATTCTCTGTATAGTATGAAGAAGGCTAAAATAATACTACATGTCCTGCACAATAAACATACAGGAGTGGGATCAATTAAAGTTGCCCAGAATTTTGTGAGAAGATACCATGGAGGAGGTGATTACTTAGCTGTGTTTTAAAGCATTTCTAAGACTATCCAATACCACTGGGAAACACTATTACTGAAGTGTTGCTACCTTGGAAAGGTATCCGGTAACATTTAAAGAACAAAAGGAGGATCGCAATCTTGATGGATATCCACTGCATCAAAACTTTGATGGCTTTCTCTTTAGGGTGATGATCACATCTTACACATGCAATAAAACTGTCATTGTTTCTTTGTCCTCTGGTACAAGTGTGTGATATTTACAATAGGGCAAGAAGTATTCAATTTCTACTGAGTATCCCAATTTCTGTTATAGTCTTTCTAATATTTAGATGATTAATAATTAATGAAATGTATAGAAAATTAAATTAGGCTTCTCAGCATTGGCTTTAATGTAGCAGACACACTGGTTGTACATATGGGAGAGAGTGGAAAAAGTTGTGGCTACGGGGTCATAGAACCTGGGTCCATGATCCTTGTCATGTTCTAAAACTCACCCCACAAACCTCAGATTTTGTTAGATATAAGAGAGTGGATAAATCTATACTTCACAAGCCAGAATGATTAATAAATTCAGTGGGGAGTTTTGAAAATATGCGGATTCTCAAGAATGATTAGCCCTAATTTATGTATGAAGTAAGCCCTAGGAAAGTGCATGTATAAAAATCGTCCAGAAGAGATTGCGGCTTCCAACCAAGATGGGATAACAGAAACTATGTTAACTCTTCTGCAGAAACTAAAAAACTAGACAAAACATATGACACAATGATTTTTAAAACATTAGGTACCAGACAACAGAAGGCAATAACTCCTGAGAGATAGAAAACAAATGAGGTGAGCCCTGCAGTTATCTCAGCTAACTGCTTTGAGAGAATTTCCAGGTTGTATTGTTGGTGGGAGGGATCCAGATTGAGCCTGGTGGTCTCTGTGCATTGGGGAAATTGACTTGGGAATCTAAGGAAGCTGAAGTTTCTAGAGTTTACAGGGTAAAGTACCAGAGAAGAGAGAGTAGTACACAGAGAGGACTCTGAAAAACTGCAGAGTTGTCCCTCTAGTCTTCATCTGAGTACTAATCAGTTGCACACATGTAGAAAACTACACAAGGACAAGGAAAAAGGCAATATCAACTCTTGATAAAAACTGTCAGCAAACCAGAATAAAAAAGAAATGCACTCAACTTATTAAAGGGCATTTGTGAAAACCTATAGCTAACATTGTACTTAAAAATGGAAAAATTATTTTTCTTTAAAATCAGGACCAAGAAAGGATTATCTGCTCTCATCACTTCTATTCTATGCTGTGTTGGATGTTCTAACTAGTGCAATTAGGCAAGAAAAAGAAAAAAATGCATCCAGATGGAAAATGGTGAAGTAAACCTGTCTTTACTTGCAGGTGGCCTCATTTTTTAAGTAGATAATCTCATGGAGTTTATGTAACAGTTATTTGAACTAATAATTAAGTTTAGCAAAGTTGCAAGATAGAAGATTAACATACAAAATTCAATTGTATTTAAATATGTTAGCAATAAGTACTTGGAAATTGAATAAATATCATTATTAATAGCATATAAACATGAAATACTTAGGAGCAGCAGGTGGGAAAGAAGAATGTATAATCCAAGTATATAATAAGTCATATTCTTAAAATTTTTACAGCATTTTCTACTAGCTTTGAAGATATTGGATGTTAGTAGTGAGTGGTGATTATTAAATGAGAAAAACACATGCGCAGAAAATGAGGAACAAAGTATGGCACTTATATTGGGAATTTTGTAATGCTGGTAAAAAAAATATGTGGTTTTCAAGCACCCCGCTTCCTCCAAGTCATGGTTTCTTTTAGAATTTGGGATTGTAGAAACATTCCTTTCTGTGGAGAATAATGCAAGCTATGCGATTTGTTCTATTTCCATTGCTGCTATGGTTAGCTGAAAGCTCAGAACTAATGATGAATTACAGTCTTTATAATTATAAAATACCTATCAATTTTATATCTGACTATATTAGTTCTGCTGCAGAAACTAAAAAACTAGACAAAACACATGACACAATAATTTGTAAAACAGTAGATATCAGACAACATAAGGCAATATCTCCTGAGAGATAGAAAACAAATGAAGTGAGCCCTGCAATTATTTCAGCTAACTGCTTTGAGAGAATTTCCAGGTTGTGTTGTTGGTGGGAGGGATCCAGATTAAACCTGGTGGTCTGGATGTATATCTGATGTATATACATCTGATGTATCTTTCCTTTGGTGCTAGTTTTTTGTTTCAATTAACTTTCTTATAAACTGACTATTTCTTATTGAGAAGAGAGGAAAAAATAAGTATGTATGCACGTTATAAAGATATGTGTAATTGTATGTAATATATATATATGTACATGGAAAACCCTAGCTACATATTTATCCACATTCACTCAATAAACATGTAGGAACTACTGAGGCAGATTTTATAAAAATTCTACCTGGAAACTAGTCTCATTATTGTACACTCACCCAGCATGGTGTGTGTGTATGTGAGTCTATCTTGTGTGTCTGTGTCTACCTTGATTCCACTGAATCTCATTCTTTAGGGACGTTGGGTTGAAAGAAAATCCATCCTTTTTTGGCCAAGGAGGATGAGGCGTTAGTTAATTAAATTTCTCGTAGGCATTTTTCCTGATGCAATAATACTAAATCCAGGGATAAGTTGTCTTGGCAACTGCTTTGGCAACTGTTACTAACGTGCTTTTTAGGCTTGTGAATAAACATGTTTGAGAATGTAAATCACAAGCTGAGGTTCAACAGATTTTTTTTTCTTGTTCTTCCAAAGAAACTGGACACTAATTGATAATACAGTGTACTTCCATTTATGTTTGAATAATGCAGCAACATTCAGAGCTCAGTCTTTGGACGATTACATGTATTATTCATGCTTTCAAAATGTAATGAAGATACATACTTAATATCAGTTTTCCAATTAAACTTTATAACCAAGCTCAGAGATGGTTATAGTTTTTGGCAGAGATTTTTAATTTTCTTCAAATGCTTTCTTGGGATTCACAAAACAGCTTCAAGCATAAACATGTTTAGCTTGGGGGAAAGGGAGGGGCAAAGACATTGCAAATGTGATGACATACATACGCAAAAATTATTCTGGTGACGAATCTGGCAAAAATTTGACTATACTCCTTTTCTCTAGTAATTTCTTTTTAATTAAAAAATACCTTTTAGCATTCAACGCACTGAAAAAATTGGCTAGACAGTCAATTTGTTAACTATCAATTTTGTGGCCAGCTAATTTACACTTATGTCCTTTCTTAACACTAAAATAATATGTACCAATAGAACTATTTTTACTAGATAATAAAGTAATCCTCACTTACAGAGGCTTCATATTGAGTTCTTTACAGAATCCTAGGGAATTAAACAATTATGCAAGAGTAAAAGGGGCCCAAGATAATTTTGTCTGAATACTTCACCTTATAGAAACGGGTATTGAGATTCAGATAAAGCATAAATATCCTAAGCCTATAGTTAACTATGATCAGGCCATGTGTTCCCCAATGTAACATCATAGCAGCCTTCTCTGAATATAGTTCTGGCTAAAACAACCCCTTCATAATATTTTTTCTTCTTTATAGAGATGACATGGTATGGTTTAAAAATATGGGCTTCTGGGTTATGTAGATGTTGGTTTAAATTTGTGTTACTTACATTGAAAACAACAACAACTAACTTCCATAATCTTGATGCTCATCTAATTCTTATGATCAGGTAGTGACTTCCCTGTCTATAAAATACATGGAGGGTTTCTACCAGCTGGAGGTTATAAAAATGACAAAGGGCTAAAAATTCCATAGAGAGCTTCAACAGTAGACTCAATCAAGCCGAAGAAAGAATCAATGAACTCAGAGACAGGTCATTTGAAATTACCCAGTCAGAGGAACAAAAAGGAAAAAAAAAAAGAGTAATGAAAGCCTGTGGGAATTATAGGACACCATCAAGCGAAACACTAAAGATGACAAAGGAAATTTGTGAGACGCTGATCCCCCTCTGCCATGAGAACTTTATAAAGTGTACAACACATGGGTATAGTCAATAGCTCTACAGAACAAAATGTGTTTTACAATTGGTTTTCATTTAGTGCCCACTGGTGAACTGTTTCATTTTGGGTTGCTAAGGAAGAGGCTGCTGGCTTGTTCTGTTGGAATCTTTTTCTCTGTGACCCATTTTGCTCTTTTTCCATGTAGCTTATTGGGCAACAAAAACCTTGCTTCTTAGTTCTTTATATGTCACAGTTTTCAAAGCCTGCAAGATACTACAGCTCTCTCTCTAGCACAATGTGCTTAGCTCTTTTTTTAAGCCCAGCACCTCTGAAGTATATGATACGTTCCTTCAAAGAGAGTCACTTATGAGGGCAATACTGTTCAACAGAACTTTGATGGAAATGTTCTGTGTCTGCACCGACCACTATGTTAGCTACTAGCCTCATGTGACTATTGAGCATTTGACATATACCTACAGTGATGGAGGAGCTGAATGTTTAATTTTACTTAATTTACGTTTAAGTTTAAATAGCCGTGGCCGGGCGCGGTGGCTCACGCCTGTAATCCCAGCACTTTGGGAGGCCGAGGCGGGCGGATCACGAGGTCAGGAGATCGAGACCATCCCGGCTAAAACGGTGAAACCCCGTCTCTACTAAAAATACAAAAAATTAGCCGGGCGTAGTAGCGGGCGCCTGTAGTCCCAGCTACTTGGGAGGCTGAGGCAGGAGAATGGCGTGAACCCGGGAGGCGGAGCTTGCAGTGAGCCGAGATCCCGCCACTGCACTCCAGCCTGGGCGACAGAGCGAGACTCCGTCTCACAAAAAAAAAAAAAAAAAAAAAAATAGCCGTATGTGAATAGAGGCTACTATATTGTACAGTGCAGATCTACAAGTTGAGTGGAGATATATGGGGAGCCTGGTTCTCTACCTCCCTTTCTTCCCACTTTCCTCAACTCTTTCTACTTCAAGATTTTTGGCTACGTGCTAAGGTAATCTAGGCCAAATAGCATTCCTAGTGTTATTATTCCAAGGAAACATATGTGCTTTTTAATGGAATCCTTTTGGGGGCAGTCTAAACTGGAAAAAAAAATTTCAAGCTCTATAGAATCCTGGTAGGGAAAATCCTTTGAAGTTAAAATGGTTGTCTTACGTCCCTCAAACCACACCTGTGGATAATCATTCACTGCCAGTTTAGAACACAGGCCTAGTTGAGCATCACCATTATTACTGCTGTTGATATTTCTTGATCTGCTATAGTAATATTTTACCCTCTTTAAATAATCTGATATATGTTTTAAGACAAATAGCTTTTACATTTTATTTTCTTCTGGAGAAAGGGTCTCACTCTGTTGCCCAGGCTGGAGTGCAGTGCTATGATGTCACAGCTCACTGCAGCCTTGAACTCCTGGCCTCAAGTGATCCTTCTGCCTTGTCCTCCCAAAGTGCTAGAATTACAGGCTTGAGCCACCGCACTTGGATGGGACTCTGACATAGTTTGGATGTTGTCCCCCTCCAATCTCATGTCAAAATGTAAGCACCAATGTTGGAGGTGGGGCCTGGTGGGAGGTGATTGGATCATAAGTGTGGATTTCCCTCTTGGTACTGTCATCATAATAGTGAGTTCTCATGAGATCTGGTTGTTTAAAAAAGTGTAGCACCTCCCGTCCCTCTCTTTCTTGCTCCTACTCCAGCCATGTGATATGCCTACTTCCACTTTGCCTTCTGCCATGATTGTAAGGTTCCTGAGGCTCCCTGGAAGCCAAGCTGTTGCCAGCATCATCCTTCCTGTATAGCCTTCAGAACCATGAGCCAATGAAATCTCTTTTCTTTATAAATTACCCAGTCTCAGGTATTTCATTACAGCAATGCAAGAACATACTAATATAGACTGTATTATAAAAACAGGTAACGATTTCATTTTTTAAGCTCTGCTCATCTATTTCTAGTCTCCCATTCCCATGAGTTATGTAAATACAGATAGCACCTGCACCACAATAGTTTCTTTAACTCTTGTGCTCATTCATTGCAGGAACACCACACTTCCTTCTAGTAGTACTGTAGGGAAACAAAAAGAAACGAGATGAACACAGGCATTCGTTGTCTGGGGTGTAGCCCTTAGAAAGGTTTCTTAGTTTCAGTACAAATTTCTCTCTTTTATGTTTGGTGTCTGGCTTGGAGATTTTTTTAGGGGGAGAAATTTTTGTATCTCAGCTTCTGAAGTCACATCCTTTAACAGTATTTGTGTGTGTGTGTGTGTGTGTGTGTGTGTGTGTGTGTGTGTGTAGATAAGGTCTCACTATACTGCTCAGGCCAGTCTTTACTCCTGGCCTCAAGTGATCCTTTTACCTTGGCATTCTCTTGAACATTGATATTTGAATACATGACCTGTCATCACTGAAGCCTAGCTCTGTTCCATCAAGATTTGGCTTTCTAGACCCCAGCTGGCTCATCGCCCAGTCAAGTAAGAATCAAAGGTCAGCGCCTTCTTGGGAGCTGAGTACAGGGCTGTTGTCTAAAGCTGTAGTCCAATCAATTATACCCTAAAATGGTGCCCAAATGTACCATTTAACTCGCCATGATGACTGCACTGGTCCATTCCGCAATGTTCCCAACTCCTCTTAGCTGCCAAAAAGATCCTTTTTATACTTTTTTCTGATGGTTTGAACAGTCTGATTTTTTGCACCTTCATAAAATCCTTCACATCTAAAGTGGTGTGGTACCAAAATAATTTGTGCCCCACTGATCACTCACTGATGAGCAATTTGATCAATTAGCTGAACACTTAAAGAAAACTGTAGTGTTGGCAGGGTGCGGTGGCTCACGCCTGTAATCCCAGCACTTTGGGAGGCCAAGGTGGGCGGATCATGAGGTCAGGAGATCGAGACCATCCCGGCTAACACGGTGAAACCCCGTCTCTACTAAAAATACAAAAAATTAGCTGGGCATGGTGGCGGGCACCTGTAGTTCCAGCGACTCGGGAGGCTGAGACAGGAGAATGGTGTGAACCTGGGAGATGGAGCTTGCAGTGAGCCGAGATCGTGCCACTGCACTCCAGCCTGGGTGACAGAGTAAGACTCTGTCTCAAAAAAAAAAAAAAAAAGAAAAAGAAAAAAGAAAAAAGAAAATTGTAGTGTTGATAAAGAAAACTAATCTCCACTCATTAAATTAATATTTTGGTGCTGTTATAGAACCTCTGTCTGGGTACATTTTTTCATTTAACAGCAATAAAAATTATTAGTGAGTTTTCATTATTAGCTTTCCTTGTAGATAAGGAAATTGAAGCATAGGGTGTTTAAGTAAATTATGCAAGACATCACAGCATGTAGTAGTAGAGTTGGCACACAAAACCAGGTCTATTTGGCCCCAGTTACAAGTATTTCGACTTATCACCCATTTAATCCAGTTGAAAAAGCAGACGTATGTGAAGAATGTAATTCATACGTGATATTTAGATTCCAGGTGCCTTTACCAGTGAGTCTAATCTATTCACTATAGCCGACCTGACAAGACTTGGAAATTAAGATATTTGTCTGAATTCGTTTGTGTCTTTGAAGAAAATGTATTTCTTTAACGGTATCACAAAGTCCAATTTTTCATGAAGTAAAAATTTCTATCAGCCAATTCATCCTCATTATGAAGTTAAAAAAATGTATATGAAGCTGGGTACGGTGGCTTACACCTGTAATCCCAGCACTTTGGGAGGCCGAGGAGGGCAGATCACTGAGGTCAGGAGTTTGAGACCAGCCTGACCAACATGGAGAAACCCCGTCTCTACTAAAAATACAAAATTAGCCAGGCGTGGTGGCGCATGCCTGTAATCCCAGCTACTCGAGAGGCTGAGGCAGGAGAATCGCTGGAACTCGGGAGGTGGAGGTTGTGGTGAGCTGAGATTGTGCCATCGCACTCCAGCTAGGCAACAAGAGTGAAACTCCGTCTCAAAAAAAATAAAAAATAAAATAAAATAAAATAAAATAATAAAAAGTATATGCTTGTATAATATATGTACGTGGGTATTTTGTTTCCCATATACACACATGTAAGTCCAGTCTTGAACTTTGATGTTTGTTCCTGAATTTTTTCTTTTAGGATGGAAAGAAATTTCATTTTCTGAAGATACTGATTTAAAACGTTGGTTTTCAATTTGAGTTTATCTAGCAGCTTGCCATGTGGCTTTGACTAAGGCAATTAATTCCTGGGCCTTCCGGTTGTCTACTTAAAAAATGGGAAGGAGATCTGTGTTACTGTTTATATGTATTTTTTTTTTCTCACGGAAGTAAAGACTTATAAGTGTATTTTTAAAAAATATATTTTATTTTAAATTCTGGGGTACTTGTGCAGAACGTGCAGGTTTGCTACAAAGGTAAACGTGTGCCATGGTGGTTTGTTGCACCTATCAACGCATCACCTAGGTATTAATCCCCGCATGCATTAGCTATTTTTGATGCTCTCCCTCCCCCAGTCTCCCTGGGAGGCCCTGGTGTGTGTTTTTCCCTTCCCTGTGTCCATGTGTTCTCAATGTTCAGCTCCCACTTATGAGTGAGAACATGTGGTGTTTGGTTGTCTGTTCCTGTGTTAGTTTGCTGAGGATGATGGCTTCCATTATAAGTGGATTTGACATAACCAATTCTTTGTCCTTAAGTACCTTGTCCTCTCATGGCCTCTGTCACTTGCTATTCAACAGGGATAAATCAATCCTGCTCATGTAAACTCCACACCATACCTACTGTTCATGTCTGCATCTGTAGCATTCTCTTCATGGAGCAACCAGAACTCTCTTTTCCTTATAAATATTTATTTTCCAGAAATATCAGAATATACAGAACAAGGAAAACCTAAGGCCATCTGAGATACACCTGTTTTAAGGAAGCTGTTGTAAGTGTCGCTCCAGAGTGCCCACAAGGTGGCAGCGTCTCAGAACATTAGGCCAGCAGAAGTCCTGAGTCCTGGCCTTGGCGGTTGAACTGGGCTTCATAGCTTAGTTATACTGAGATAATAGGGTCAAGTGCCTGCCAAGTGATAGCTACAGGGAGGTCCACCAGCCAACAGTCTAGAAAACCACTTTTTGACAGTATTTTCTAAAAAGCAGTAGCAACATCACTCTTCCATTTTAGAGTGCTTTATTCAGAAAAAAAAAAAAAGAGCTTTCGGAATGCTTTATTTCACTTAAGAATGTAAAACCTACACTGGTGAGAAAAAAAAAAGGAGGGAGCAGACTCTTCCTTATATTTTCCTGTCATTCAAAGTCATTGATTCTCAACCTTGACTTTACATTAGAATATCTTGGGGAACTTTTAAATCACTCTCTGGGACAGAGACCCAGAGATTAATTTTTGAAAGCACTGTAAATGATTCTAAAGAGCATTCGGTGTTGAGAATCATCTTTTCAATTCCTCTCCATCCATTCATTCATTCACTCACCATTTATTGCATACTTCCTCATGTCAGCTTTGAGCAAGGAAATGGCAATGATGTAAAATGAGATTCTACAATTGCCCCCAAAGACCTTGCAAGTTAGTAATTCAATTTAATGGAAGTCAATTCAGTAAACATTTATCAAGCTCCTAGAACATGACAGGTACTATGCTAGATACTGAAACGGCAGAGATGAGAGCAATTCTAGCTGCCTAGCATTTATATTCTAGTGGGCAGTGTATACAACTGAGTATCAGATGAGGCAGAATGTGGCATTATTCATATTTTACCTTTCTATAACATTTCACAGTAACACAAAACATTTTAACCAACTTATATAACTTAAGCTATATAACCCAATAATTCTTGAGATTTGCAAGCAGCTAACTATCATTATCTGAAGTTCAGAGAGGAGATTAACATGCTTTGCCAATATGAAGCAGAATAAGTCATCATATCCAAGTCTAGGGACTCTATGGTCAGTGCTGACTGCCTCTTTTATGGTAGGTGTGGGGCTCAGAAAAGAGGGGTTGATTTTACATGCATAAGTGAAGATCTTTGTCTCAGGGTATATTTGTGCATTTGTCTTGGAGATTTTATTTCTGAGAGAGTGAGTAGAAGATCATTTCTGTCTATGTATTTCCTGAGACTCTTCCTCCATCTAATCAAAGGCCTTTTTTGCGCCAGACTTAATGTATATATTCTTTCTATATGCTCTCCTTCTAACTTTCACCAAAATGGTGATCTCTAAAATTGCTCTGGATGTCTATTTCCTTGAAGAGAAAACTGAAAATATTTAGTTCTATCAGCAGATCTGGTTGTCATCAGCTTCTGTCAATCACAGAGAGCTTTAATGAGGGGAATGGAAATTAGTCTAAATGTATGTAAAGAAGGCATACAAGTCTCATTTTTCAGAGATCTTCATTCTTTCAGCTAATAGAGTGTTAAGCCAAATGCCATCTGGATTAGGACTGGCACATGAGATAGTTGATCATGAACATGTTTTAAGAATTAACCTTACAGCAGATGTGGAGAGTTGACTCATGAGGGAGTCAAGTGTGGGTGAATATCTTCCTTATGTGGAGAACCAAAATGATATGGGCATCCTTTAGGGTCAATAAGCATAGGAAGATATTACCGGGTAGCTTGTAGGTTTTATGTTCCCATAATAGCAGAGAATCCACTCAGTGGTTGACTTCCAGGTGATTCATGGTCTCTCTATTATACAGAAGACTCTTACCAAATATCCCACCATGGCACTGTGGAATTGTCTGTCCTTTCCCTAAATGCTCAGCTTTATTAGGACTGTCAGATTTAGGTGCCATAGCCTAAGAGAAGCACGAATCCATTGCTGGATATATATCCAGCAGAAAACATTCATATGACGAATGTGAACATCATTTTAAAGAACAATTGAGAAGCTGTGAAGTTTTAAGCTAAAGTAGCAGTGACCCAGAAATGCAAATGCAAGCACAATAAATCAAATATGCAAACATCTATTTCTGCAAAAGGGGGTTACACTTGTTCTGTCCAGCTCCAGAGAGAAGGAAAATGACCAGAAGTGGAAGTGACAAGGGGGAAAATTGGAGCTTATCTTGATATGGAAGAACATTAGAATTGAGCAGTAGAAGCAGTTGCTTCACAAGCCCCCTGTTTTCAGAAGTGTTCAAGAACACTATGTTAAGAATGTGAAAGTCCAGCAGACAAGCCCCATCAGTAGCAGGAGTCAGCAGACCCGGGAATTTGGGAGCGGACTGAGTAATTTTTCTTTGAAAGAGGACCCATGAGTTAGAAGAGAATGGCCTTGGCCTTATGCCAACAGGTATTACTTTGAGGACTCCCACTCCCCCTGTTTTGGGCCCTGAAATCCTTGCATTAGTCATTTTTCTAGTTAGTAAGTCTTTGAAGGCCTCAAAGACAGATGTGATAGCAGTCCTTTATCCAGGGGCTGAGACCGATCCCTGCTTAGTCCAACAGTTAGGATTTAGGAGAGGGGACTCTGGTAGATTTGGCCCAAATTAACAAGCATGGCCAGGGCTGATATGAAGCCTGGGGAGGAGGAGATTCTGAAACTAAGAGCTGTGGGTGCCAAGTACCCACAGCTTGGACCTAGTTGTCACTCCTGCCATCTGGAAGCTCATCTTTAAGAAGAGATGCTTATGTCTATTAGACTTTCATCATGGTACATCTGGAAGTTTAGCTTAAAGAAATGGTGACTCAGATGTGGGAATGGACATATGAGAAAGGCCCGTTGGGTAGAAGAAGGGTTAGACTCTCTCCACTGAGCACTAGAGGAAGGAAAATCACCAAGGGTGGATATGTTGAGGGGATGAGGTTTCAGTATAATCAATAGCTGGAGGGACTTTAGAACTACTGAACAGTGGAAACAGCTGCTTTACAATAAGTCCTGTCTGTAGAGATGTTTAGGGACACATTGTCACTTCAGGGAGGAGGAGCCATCATTCATTCATCATTTGTCCTTATTGAAGTAAGAATTGAGATTAAATAAACTCTAATGATGTGTAGGAATTTGGATAAAATGTATTTTCCTGAAATTTTGTGAAACTACTAAACACTTTATTTATTCAACATTCCTGGATGCACTAAAAAGAATAATTCTCCTCCACATGTATCTAATAATTCTGATTGAATTGTCTGTGCCAGAAGACACTATTATCTCAGCTGAGGGCAGAGACTATGTATTTATTTTTCTCTGAATCCCTAGCCCATAGGACACTGCCTACTATAGAGTAGGTATACAGCAAACGTTTGTTGAGTGAATGTCAAATAAATTTTGTTAATTCTATTGCTCAAACATGGACCGAGTCCCCTCTGTGTATAAGGTATGCCTACTCAAAATATATCGATAGCTAACTTTATCAAATTCTTGTTATTGGCTAGGTGCCAGGATTTCATACACTGTCTCATTCAATCCCTGCAACCAACCCTCTTAAAAAGATCAAGTAGATGCTCTCACTACACCCTTTTTACTAATAAGGAAACTGAGGCATGCAGAGGCCAAGTAGCTCCCCCATGGTTACACAGAGAGTAATAGATGATACAAGATTTAAATTTAGGTTGTGTGACTACAAAACCAACACAGTTCATTATTACAGTATAGTCTCAGTAAAGGAGTGATCATTAATAGTGTAAAATATTTTTTAAATATAGCTAATAATTATTGCACGTGTTCTATATGCCAGTTCCTAAGCATTTGTCCATTTATTCCTCACATTAGCCTCACAAGGTAGGTACTATTATTGTGCCCATTTTACAGATAACAAATAGAGTCTAGGATTTTTTGATCTGGGCTTATCAGACTGTCAAACTTATCCTCTGAATGTTATGTGATATTCTTCCATTTTTAGGGGTACTGAAGGAACAAGTATCCCCCAAAATGGAAGAAGAAGAACATTTTGGGGGATACTGAAGGAACAAGTCATGAGTCCTCTTCTGTGAAGTGTGTGTGTTACTTTAAGAAAATTATATTTAGATTTGACCTGGCACTGGATCTCGGCTCACCCAACACTCTATTAGGATAGTACCATTCCAAATGTTCTTTATGCATGCCTTCTGGATATCAATTAGCTATGAGTTCAGAGGCAGGTTAGAGGTGACAAGGAAACTCACAAAGAACTAAAACATTAGGATCAAATGGAGATGGGTTCTGGGTGAGGCTCACTATTGTATTAGCTATGGGAATACTAATAAAATCCCATATTTGGAGGCCACTTAACCTCTGCATAGCCTAGTTTCACCATCTATAAAATGGAGTAGCGGGAGTAGTTATACCCCTTTCTTCTTATCCATTTTCTCATTAAAACTTGTAACTTTTTAAATGGGAAGAATCAGGTGTATTATAAGACAAATGGAATTAGGTGGAGAAAAATTCGTGCAAGCCTCATTTTATGATGTAGCCTAACTTTGCTTTATGAAACTAAGTCTACCTCAAAAGGGCATCGGAGCCTCAGAATCCTACAAAATATGGCCCCTGACTGAGAGTTGGAAGAACTCAACCAGATACACGGGCAGACTTAGGTTGTCTTGGGCCTGGAACTTATACAAATTTTGGACTCTCTTTAGGTAAAAGAATACAAAATTAGACACAAATGAGATTTTGTCATAAATCTTTAATGTGGATTAAATTAAGTAACATAAGAGATAATTCACTTCTTTTAAAATATCTTCACCTGATCAAAATCAATCATACTTCTGAAATAATTCCAGATCTCATACATTAAGTTGAAATCAAAAGCTGTGGATCATGTTATAATATAACAAGCTTGGCTTTGTGGAAAGAGGCATAGCTTCCTTCTCCCCCCATTGGTTTTATATATTTGAGGTCAAAAGCCTTCTTGCTGAGAAAAAGAGAAAAGGGTTGATAAGCGCAAGAGTGCATGTGTGCCTGCAACAGCAATTTGGTGTGGGGAGTTCTCGAGGACAGCAAGGATGTGAGCCATGGCAGCAAATCAGGAGGAAGCTAGGTGTTCACCACATTAACCTTATCATTAAGAAAACAATCTGCCTCTCTTGGCCTGGGAATCCCTCCTGAGTGCTTCTAGGCTGCGAGTGTCAAATTGTTCTTTACAGATGCTGAGCAGAAGAGGATTTTCCATTTCATCTTTTGGCCTTCCCTTCTCCCTCCCTCAATGAGGACTTGTGCTGCCTCCTGCTGGAGTGTTGTAGGGAAGATTAATTAGCTAATATTGGTTAAGGGCCTTTGATGATGACTGCTAAGTGTTTGCACCGTGTAATTGCCATTTTTTCCAAGGAAATGCCCATATAGTTACTAATTAGGCATTGTTGAAGAACCTCATGCCCCATTATTTTACAGTTGTCTTGTAATTAACTGGCATCAGTTCCATTTCAAATGACATTTATTGCCCATTTCCCTGGTTTAATTTTTGGAAATTTTATGGGAAGCCTGGGCATTGTTTCTTATTCACTGCAACTTGAATAATTAACAAGGTAAATATGGCTTTGGGTGGTGATATTGTCAACAACAAGAGTACTTTAGAGATTTTAATTAAGAATGCTACTGCTGTACTTTATGTGAAAGTTTATTATGGTGCCTAAGCACTCTAAGCACTCCTTCATTGTGGATTGTGGCTCATGTCTGAGTGTTTGTGCCTGTGTGTGTGTGTGTGTGTGCGCGCTTGTATAAATGTGTAATTTTTATGACAAACGATGCAATATGAGATATGAAAACAAAGTCCTCCTTTGGCTTACCCTTCTCAAACGCACAAACTGGAGAAGCTGATTAATTAATATTTTGCCATTGTCTTACTATAACCTAGAGACTTGAATTAAATCAAACATCACTTGTTAAATGTCTACTATAGTATCAGTTTTGGACTAGATGTGTTTCATGATTTCTTTAATCTTTACAACAAGTCAATCAGGTTTCTCACAATGACAAGATGAAGATTCAGAGAGGTTAAGTAAGATGTCCAGAGGCACATGGGTAGTAATAGATGAAGATAGAGCTCAAATTCAAGTCAGCCACACTCTGAAGACTGGGCCCTTTCCATGCTATCTCTCAAGCAAAATTACTGAGCTTTCTACTTGGAAGTGAGTCTTGGTCACTCCAAAGGACAACTCGTGCCTTCTCCAGGAAGTCTTGAATGATCATTTATGTAAGTGCAACTTCTCACCTGTACTCTGATATTACTTTCTATGGCTTCTCATGGTTTGACTTTTATTTAAGCTGTGTGCCAGTGGCAAGGACAATATAATGTGACACTTAGAAAAGGGTGGACTTTGGAGACAACTGGAATGTATTCCTTATTCTGCCTTTTCCTATCTGAGTCATTTTGGACAAAATTCAGCACAGCTTAAGATTCACATTGTTGATGTGAAGACGAAAGTAGAGCATGTGTGGCAAGTTCTCAGAATGTGTTGTGGTACATGGGAAGCACACAATATATGGTGGCTGGTTAGATGGATTAAAAACAACATAAATGGGCCGGGCAATGTGGCTCACACCTGTAATTCCAGCACTTTGGGAGGCCGAGGCGGGCAGATCATGAGGTCAGGAGATCGAGACCATCCTAGATAACACAGTGAAACCCCATCTCTACTAAAAATACAGAACATTAGCTGGGCGTGGTGGTGGGCACCTGTAGTCCCAGCTACTTGGGAGGCTGAGGCAGGAGAATGGTGTGAACCCGGGAGGCGGAGCTTGCAGTGAGCCGAGATTGTGCCACTGCACTCCAGCCTGAGCGACAGAGTGAGACTACGTCTCAAAAAAAAAAAAAAAAAAAAAAAGAAAAGAAAATTGTAGTGTTGATAAAGAAAACTAATCTCCACTCATTAAATTAATATTTTGGTGCTGTTTTAGAACCTCTGTCTGGGTACGTTTTTTCATTTAACTGCACTCCAGCCTGGGCGACCGAGCAAGACTCCGTCTAAAAAAAAATAAAAAACCGTAAATGAAGGAATGAATGGCAGTGACCTTTGTTCGTTTATAGGATCACCTCTCCAAAATTGCGCTCTGTGTCGGTTCAAAATGTAATTTTAAAAATATGAAAATGAATCTCATAAAGACTTGAGAAAAACAAGTATATCTGACTGAGTTCCAGGCTGCCCCACTGTAGTAGAAAAACCTGACTAGATCACACTGATTATAATGTTGTATACAACTTCTTAAAAATAATGGCCACTGAGACCAGAATATGTTGATTATTAATGAGCTGAAATATGGGGTCTATTGTGTTGTGAGTTCCTCCAACCTATTTCATGAATGAAATAGAATCATGGAGACCAACAGGAGACCTGGACTCGAAATCACAGGATTCTTATCAGAATTTCAATTTCAATTCCACCATGTGTAATTATATATGTGACCTCTATATGCAATAAGCTGTAAATTTCACAGAACTACCAAGACTCCAGGAAGCGGACTCGGAATTGGAAATTTATTTGTGTAAAGTTTATTGGGGGTGTTTTCTGGACCAGGACCTGTCAGGGGGTCAGAGAAGCAAGACTGGGTCAGACTGGTTACAGGTGACTTCCCAGGCATTTCTGGAGGGCTGAATTGAAGAAGGAATGCCAAGACTTTGAAGCCTTTCAGACTGTCCCCAGGAGAAGGGTGTAGCATTAGACAGAGCAGCTCTCTTTGACCAAGAGAGGACATTTCCTGAGAAGAAACTTGGCTGTGAGATATCAACAACCCATAATTCCAGCAGCCATGGGCATGAGTTTCTCAGTTCTGGAATCTGAGTGGAGCACTACAGCATCCACTACAGTGGTGAAAGAAGGATTCGAACTCAGGAAACCTGACCCCTCATGACTTCATTATAATTTCTTTCCTTGCAACTCAATGACTATCATCATTTTCACTTTACAGTTCAAAATATAGAACCTCAGAGTTAAGTAACTTGCCTAACATGCCAGAAATTGTAGGTCCCAAGATATACAACGAAAGCCCATGCGCATTCCCTAGGACCATATATCTGCGTACTTTAATAGCAAATGAAAAGTCACTCAATAGACTGCTAAATTGTTCAACATGTAATCGTTTGCTAAATCTCAGAAGATGGAAAGGGATTATGTGTGTATGTACTTGCACGTAATGTTTTAGAACAGGCAGATAGATATTAGCTGTTTCCCCCTGGATGGTGGAAACACTCAGGACTTCAGAGGAGTAGCAGCAGAAAACCATTACAACACACTTCATATCAAGCAGATTTTGCAAGTCAAGTAATTGCTTGTAAACATAACACCATGGAATAAAACCTGATATATATTATTTGGACTTCACAAAATAATTCCTATTATTTCTGTAAGTAATTTTTGTGTATCTCTTTTTTTTTTTTGAGACAGAGTCTCGCTCTGTTGCCCAGGCTAGAGTGCACTGGCGCGATCTCAGCTCACTGCAAGCTCTGCCTCCCAGGTTCAGGCCATTCTCCTGCCTCAGCCTCCCGAGTAGCTGGGACTACAGGCACCTGCAACCACGCCCGGCTAATTTTTTGTATTTTTAGTAGAGACGGGGTTTCACTGTGTTAGCCAGGACGGTCTCGATCTCCTCACCTCGTGATCTGCCCGTCTCGGCCTCCCAAAGTGCTGGGATTACAGGCGTGAGCTACTGCGCCCGGCCTTTTGTGTATCTCTGATGTTATGATGTACTCACTAGGAATATGGAGGTAAATGGAGCTTATAGATTGGTGACAGAGTTGTGTTGGATTTGGACTTCAATACTGCAAGAGGTTTCTGGTGACGTGGTCACCCAGAGAATATTATAAACAGACGGAGAATAGTCTTAAAACTCAGCCCACTCCATCATCCCAAATCTAAGATAAAAGGAAGGGAAGGAGGGAGGGGATTTACTGAAAGCAATAACTTATTTGCTCCAGCCTGGAAAATGTCCTACAACCTATGGAGTTGTACTAATGTGTGAGTGGATCTCAAAGTCAGCATGAATCCCTGCAGGGTTAGTTGGCATAATCATCAACCTACCCACTCACAGGATGCCAGCTTCTGGGCCATAGGAGCTCATGGAGACAGAGTAGCACCATGAAACTTGTCTTCATAACAGGACTGGTCCATGCGTCTACTTCTTCCTCCTCATAGACCCCATCTGCTGTGGGAAGTTAGGGCTTCACCCTGAGGCTCTGTATTTTCAACTGTAAAGTGAAAATGACAATAATCATTGAGTCTAACCATTTCCATTTTCTTAATATTTGCTTTCATCAGGCTGGGCCACCTCAGGATCTGTGTGTCTGCCTAAAGGCAAAAACAGTTCTCCCAGGCCTCTCCCAACTAAAATGTGAGAGCAGAGTCCAGCAGGACACTGGATTTGCAAGCAGAATGACGTGGACACGAGTCATGATTCCATCACTTTGTAAACAGCAGGCTACTCAGTTTCTCTGGGGTTTGATTTCTTCATCTGCAAAATGAGGTTGGATGAGGGATAATAATAACCTTCACAATTTTGAGGCACAAATGAGAATATTTGTGTTTTTAAGGAGGAATTATATAAAAGTTCCATACAAATAATGATGTTGAGCTGGAGGGCTCTGCGGATGCATTTAGCTTGGGAAGAAGAAGATAAGCCTTTACTTGGAGGAAAAGCCAGAATCACAGCTGTTGGATTTGTTCTGAAATGAATACAAGACACCTTTGTAAGCCAGACTGACAAATTAGTCTGCCCTACTCCTCATGTGCTGGCTGTCAGCTTGTGCCCCGCTGCATCCTGTGCCCCATGTTCAAATTCAATCAAGGTCAGAGCAAACAGTCACCCATTGCAATTCTAGAAACCTGTTTTCTCCTATCCATTGCACATCTCAACCCATCACATTGGAATAACACAGTCAGGCGCAATTAGCCTCAGACTATTTAATTACCCAATGGGTTTCCATATGTCATTAAGCAACATCCTTGTGAGATCACAAGGGTGCTGCACACACAAAATGGTCACGTCCTCTGCTTTGCACTTTCAGCAAATAAGACTTGAAGTCAGGTTGTCATGATAGTCTTGATTTAACATATCTAATTCCAGTAATTTAGAACTTTCCTTGGATCTGGAAATGCTCAGGACCCATCACTGAGTGTCTATTTTGATTTCCCTGGAGGTTGAGAAGGAGATGCCTTTCCAGGCTTCTGAGAAAACACATCCTTCTTGGGCCGTCACTTCCTTGCACAGGCTATTCTTCTTGCTATCAATATGTTTCCTTCTTATCTTAGTTGGCAAATTCAGAACACAAGCTTCAAATTAACCTCAGGTGGAACTCACCTGTGAGTAAAGGTTTTCCTGAAGCTTGCAAAAGCAGAGAGAGTCACAGTCATGCCCCTTGTTCAAAACACTTCTAAGCACATCAGCTCCAATTTCCAATTCTGCAGTTATTTGTTTAACTATATCCCTTTCCTGTAGACTGTGAAGTCCTTGAAGAATGGCACTGTATTTTGTTCATCTTTTTGATTCAGAACACTTAGTGTGGAATGAGCCTGAAATTATAAATTGAATAGATGAATAAATATACATAAATATAAATAGATACTGTTTTTCAAATGTTTATTTTCAACAGAAATATTGAACTCATTGTCTTTTGGTGAGTTGACTTTCATTTTTTGAGCACCATGCAAAATTATACTGGCTATTTTTCAAGGAATAAAACAATGGAAAATTATACCAGAAAGATGAGATTTCTTCACTTCCTCCTTTCTCCACTGTGGGTAAGTTTATTATTATTTTTTATTTCTGCCTTAACTATGGGCTGCTATAACATGCATAATTATTTAGTGGACTACTGGACTTAATGATAAGATCTGTCTGATACACAGGATGATGTCTTGGAACTGTCACAGCTGAGTTGGGAGAAAGATATAGCTCAAGATGAATGGCTGAATTCAGATTAAATCATCACTCTTTGGGCATCTACTAAAGATTGGATATGGTGCTGAAAACATCACCTTCATTATCTTAATAGTCAATTGACATTAGCACTCCCATAGTGCAGGTGTAGAAAGGGAGGCTTATAGAAGTGATTTAATTTGCTAGAGATGACCCAGCTATTAAGCATATGCTGAGTCCAGATATCTAGTTTCAAACAGACTGGAAATGGGCTGAGATTCAGAGAGGACATGGGAGTGCTTAGCTAGTGGATGTGTCTGCAAGATAGCCAAGTCCCTGGCAACCCTGAGGCTCTGTGATTTGTGTGGCTTGGTGAGGACCTCTACTGGCTAAACTTCCTGGGCTGATAAAATGCAGTGAGGATGGAGACTGGGGGGAAGAAGGGCAAAGGATCTGAGTTTGAGTATTAGTCTAGTCACTTATTGGATGCATTGGGTGTTTCTTGCTTCATGCCACTGTTCTGCCTATGTCCTTCCACGGCTCCCAAGTGCTCTTTGTACAGAGATCGTGAATGTGTCAGTTGCTGTATGGCCTGCCTCTCCTTCCCACTCCAGCCTCAACCCATTTCATACCCTGCTCCCTGCCTTGGGGCTGGCCATACCAGGAGGCTTCTTGCCTGTTCTCTCTTGCCTTTGCAAGTGCTGTATATTCTGCCTAGAATTCTCTTCTCATCTCTCTTGTGCCACCTAAAAAAAAGGCTTTTCATCTTTCTGCTCTCAACCCAAGCACCTGTTTCTCAAGGCAAGCCCTTCTGCTGCCCCAGGGCCAGCTCAGCTTCCATTATGAGTCCCTGATATTGACCTGTCTTCCTTTCCGTCAGAGCCCCTCACTTGTTTTGCAGGTAGCATTCACTAATGGATTAGGTAATTAATACTGGTCTTTCCTTTTAGACCGGAATCTCCATAAAAGCAGGGACAGTGTAGCATGGCTGGCACAGATCATGTTATCTACTCATAGACAGCTACTATCTAAACATTTGCTTGCCCTCTCTGAATCCCAGATAGTCTCCACGCTCTGTGAAACTAGATTATAGTAGTTGGCAAATCAAAATTTGTGATTCACTTTCAAAAAACTGTTTGCCATTTCTTCAGAGTACAAACTCAGTTCATATCTACAAACTCCAATGGGTCAAATGACTAATAGCGAATGAATGGAGAAGGAAGGAGTAGACACAACTGGTCTTATCATTGCTTAGCTGTCTGCAAGGCTTGAGCTGCAGAGTGCTTGCTATTTTGTAAGTTTTTGACCTCTGGAGGAGAATTCCAGAGCTGGTCTACTTATCTAATTAGGAGCCCATGTTCACAGTAAAATCAATTCTTCATGTAGTATGGGGTTGAGGGATCAGTAAAAGCATCGACTTTGGAACAAGACTGCCTGGATTCTACCACTTATTTGCTCTGTGAATTTAAGCAACTTACTTAACCCATCTCTGACTTAGTTTTGCCATCTGTAAAGTGGGGGATATTACATTATTTATGTTGTATGGTTGCTGTGAAGATTAAATAATTTATATTTATTTTACAAAGTGTTTATAATAGTTCCTGACATATAGTGTATGCTATATAAGTAATTTCTATTATTTTTATTCTTTTGGAGATGGGACATACTATGCCTTTTCAAGTGCCAGCCCCTATAACCACTTCCTTCCTAGGCATCCTCCCATTTCCCCCAGTAGCTGTAGCTGTTTCTGCCTCCCTTCTAATCTGAGTTGCTAAAATTTGAGTGTGTCTTATGTGTTGGTTTATGACAATATTGGTTGTTTCTTCCCTCTGTATTTTCCATTGCAAAGGCTTAGTTCTCCACTAGTAGGAAATAGTCCTGTTGTCTCAATTATACTTGGGCTGTGCCCCAAGAAAATTTGATTCTCCAGGTGCAATCAGGCAACAGGAACAATGTTGGGGAGGTGAGAGAGCTTGAGAAAGGTGGCTTTTGCTGGTGTGAGTCAATACAGCTCAGCTCCCCTGTGCTAAGTGGAGTTGCAAGTTCCAATGTGAGTCTGTGTGCTCACTCACTCTCCCCTGGCTCATCTCTCAGTGGGCTCCTTGGCTGGCAAGCTGGCATTACACAAACAGGAATGCTAATGAAATGCCTTTCCAAGATGGGTGCCAGGCAATTTAAACACAGAACTAGTTATTAAGGTTCTCTAATGGCATAAGAGAGTTGAGACTAAAGTCTGAGCTGGCCAAGGCAGAGAATGTTGTCTGGTATGGAGGACAGAATCCAGGCTGCACCAAGTAAGACATTGGTGACCTTAGGGAAAGTCCCTTCCTCTCTGTGGCCCTCTCCATGTGTTAAAGGAAAAAGTTCATTCATCCATTCAACATATATTTATTGAGCTTCTACTGTGTTCTAGGCACTGCTGGAGAGATGAACTCTCAGATGTATTATGTTGAAATCATTTTGTGAAATACATGACTGAAAGCTCAAATATGGTGAACTTGGGGACAGGAGTAGACGGACTGCATTATCTTAATCTGTGTAATCAACACATGGCAGAAAGCATGGTGCATAAGATGAGCTCTGGAAATATTTGGTGTTCTTTTAAAAATTCTGCTTTTGGCTTTCTTACTTTCTAAAATGTTTGTATACTATTTTATTGATGTAGTTTTTCATATTGATTATTTTCTTCCTTCTATTTACTTTGGGTTTACTTTGCATTTCTTTTTTCAACCTTTGAAGGTGGAAACATGAACCACTCTTAGTCTTTTATTTTTATAAAGTTGTAAAATTTCCTCTAGCACTGCCTTAGTTATGAATAATTTTTTTATTTGCTGTGTTTTTACTATGATTGTTTCAAATACTTTAATGTCCTTTGTGATTTCTTTTTCAACCTATGTGCTATTTGGAAGTGTGTTGTTTAATTTCTAAATATTTGTGTATTTTATGTTTTTAGTTGTTGAATTCTAATGTATTTCCTTTGTACTCAGAAATACAGTTGGTAAGCACTGTGGTATTTCCTGTGAGCTCTGGAAGAGATTGGCTCTATATATGTACAGCCCAGCTTCGGACCAAGGATCCACTCAGATTTCCCCATACAGCATTCTGAGGACTCTTGTCTGAATAGTACCCTTCTCTTTGTTAATTTGCTGTGCAAATTCCAGTTTGCATTCACAGCCCTCAACTTTAATCTCTGCCATCCCAGCTCAGCAACACTGCTGTGCTCTCCTTGGTCTCCATCTCCTTGTGACATGCAGATCACTGAAAGTTCCCTACGGCAGAAGGTTGGGAAAACATTGAGCTCACCACATGTTTGCTTTTTTGCTAGCATTATAGTCCTCCTCCAAAAAATGCTTCACCTATTTTGTTCCGTTTCATAGTTGTTTACCTTTGTGAAGGGAGGAAGAACAGTCTAGGTAACACCCATACTCTGTTGCAGTCAAACCCAAAATATTACTTTTTAATTTAATCTTATTTAAGTTGCTAATATTGACATAACAAGGTGGGTTCTGGAAGTTTAGGTTTTAAAATACATGTTTTTTAATTTTCAAAATGTGCTTATTTTGTTTTTACCAGGGCCATCTTTTTAGGTTTTTAATTTAACTTTTCTTTGCATTTCTAATTGTGATTTATTTATGTTTATGCATTTTGAAGAAAAAAATTATTAAATCATCTTTTTCTCCATTTGTGAGCTTCCATCATTTCGAGCAACTAAGTTGTACCTGCAATTGCTATATAAAACCTCTTTCTAACAATATCTGAATAGTGCTTTTTACTTGATGCTTTTTAAAGGTAACATAAAGAACTAGTTACAAATGACTAATTTAATACATAAGATCAACTCTGAATGACTTACTAATTGGTTTGCTTAAGCACAATGTTATCTTCTCACAGTAAAATGATATCCTGATAAGGCTATAACAGGTCGATGCCTCCCATCTCAGCCCACTCAGGTGACAGTGAGTCCTTTAGTAATGTATTCTGGGTAATATTGCTGTCTTGTGCTTGCTTAGATGTTCTTACTAACTCATGTCTGATTTTACACATTTTGCTGAATCTCTTCTGTGGTTCATGCTTGCCCATGCCAGGTGTGCCAAATAATTCTGTTTCAGATAAGTCACTACCTTGTATCTGTGTGGGAAGTGTAACTCCAGAGACTTCCCAAATTCTTTGTTTGTAATTCCTTATAGAACACCAATTATGAACAGCTTTCATTTATTGCACTTTTAAAAAAGCTATTTATGTTTCTATTGCCTATTGCATTCATCCATACAAATGCTGAAATTTGAAGGATTTTTTTTTCCTCCTTCAAAGTATACTCTGCAAAATTACTTTGCTTAAGCTCTTTGTTATCTAAGAATGGCTTCTCTTCATGGCAAGAAGAGGGGGTTAGGCTGCTTGGGTTTGGATGAAAAAATAATACAAGTTTATGCTCTCTAAAAAAAGCCTGTTTCACTTGGTCAAAGGTTATTGATGCTACACTTAATTCCTGTCTCATATTGTAAAATAATTCCTAGATGTAATCATCTTAGGTTTTGCCTTTACTTATTTAATACTCATTTAAGATGGCAAACATGATTTAGTAACATTTATTTTGGTTATTTGAAAGCTTTTTTTTCTTACTTATTGATTCTTTCATATATTTCTAATAGATAAGACTGCTAGCGCAGTGAATTCTGGTAGATGAGGTATTATTCTATCTTCTACTCACTTGTATTGATTCATCCAGGGGATAGAATTTAAAATCACAAATGCTACTATTTTAGGGAAAAGAATCATACTTCATACTCTGGAGGATACAAAATAAAGATTTCCAGTGCTCAAGTTGCTTAAAACATAGATAAAGGTCAGGCAAAATTACATGAAAATTAAATGACAACTCAAATTTTTTAACTGGAAAAAATTAAGGAAATTTTGTAAAAAATAAATGGTTGGGCAAATAATGTGGACAGTTCATAGAAGAAACTGAGATTGGAGTGGCTAAAAAAGCTTTTTATAGAGACTGTGTTGTCAATTGTATAACCTTTGTATACTTATTATACAAAGAAAAAAACCCTTGCTGCTTAAACCCTATGATTGTGTTTCTACGCAAAGGTTTAAAAGGCTCTTTGTTCTTTGAAATACAACTGGCCATGCTGTCTAAGTTACCGTCATATCTCCAACCTATTTAATTCATAACATCTCATCCCTCTGCTCTCTTTGCTCATCTTTTCATGTGCTTATTGGTTATTTGTATACCTTCTTTGGAGCTATGTCTATTCAAGTCCTTTGCTCATTTTATAAATGAGTTGTTTGCCTTTTTGTTGTTAAGTTGTAATAGCTTTTTATATTTCTGTATTCTGGATACAATAGAGAGCCTCATGCTTTCTAGAGCCCCAACTTTCCACTTTCATTGTTGCCTCCTCACTCGCAAGGCTGTCCAAGCTTCCCTTGATGCCAACAATGGGTTCAGCTCCATATTCTAATTCCAAACAAGGTTGCAGGCCACCATGGACTTCTATGTCCAGGTCATAAGTGCTGGGATAGGCTCCAACCACCCAAGACCCTGAACTGAAATAATGGGGTAAATAATCTTATTTGAAAGACTATATATATGAAAGATTTTTCATATATATGAAATATTATATATGAAAGATTTTTCATATACATTTTATATATATAAAAATATATATGAGAGAAAGAGAGAGAGACAGCACACTCACATTTGTTTCAGTGTTTACCATTAGAAGTGCTTTGGTTTTTTTTTTAGAAGTTTGGTGATGTTTCTGTGACCAAAAATATGCTGTAGGAAGTTTGTTTGTATCAATGAACCTATTTTGTTATAAATCCTTTCACTTAAAGTCACAGTTTTCAAGAACCTGTGGATGACATCGAGGACTTGTTGTATTTTCAATTCGTCCTCTTGTTTAATCCACATTATTACTCCATGGAGTAGATACAGTAATTTTTATTTATATTTCATATATGAGACTCAGTTATTGAGTAGGGGGAAGGTATAACCCAAGACTTCTGACTTGGATTCTAATGCTCTTTCTTTCACCCTCTACCTCATTTGGAGGTCTAAAAATTGGAAAACAAGACAAAGAGGATATAAAAGATAGTGTAAGACTTTTCTTACATAAAAAAAAAAGAGTCAGAAACAAAACCTTCATTTTTCAATGTGAAGGAAGTTTTTTTTGTGTGTTTTTGTTTTGTTTCCCCATGGTTTTGAGTTTTCCAACTTTCTTGCTTTCCCTCCTGGGCTAAAAATCCCATAAATTTCCTTCAACTGATTTCCAGCTCAATTATGCAAACTCAAGAGACTTGTGTAGCTTGA
The DNA here is from genome assembly GCF_000001405.40 of Homo sapiens. Lineage (NCBI taxonomy): Eukaryota > Metazoa > Chordata > Mammalia > Primates > Hominidae > Homo > Homo sapiens. The sequence continues at coordinate 125,929,207 of NC_000008.11, forward strand.
ATGCATTAGAAGATAACCCTTAATTAGTGATGCTTGGGTGAAATCCTCAGGCATTGGTATCTCATTTGTTTTACTGGGGCTCTGGTATTTTACTTAAAGGATCAGCAGTGTGTAATAACAAGGTGAATTATGTGGTCATGACCTGAAACTCATTATGATTATCATAAAACTTTTGATTCTTTCCCCTTCCTTTGCCAAAGTCCTTGGAATAGGGGAATAACTTAGAATGTAAAACCACTGTGCCTCCAGATCTTTCTGACACAAATTCACTCCACAAATATTATCTATGCATGATCATAAAGCAATGATACTTCTTTTCTTTTGTCTAGGATGTGGTTATAAGGCACTTTGTTCACTAAAGTAGGACATGGATGACTGGAGGTGTCAGAAACAGGAATGGTACCTGCCCAAGGAAGGAGGGAAAGCTGGGGTGGACAGATGGCTGGTATACCTGGGATCTGATAGGGAAGGGCTAGACAGGTGGCTGGTACAGCTGGGATCTGAGTTTAACAGAAGTGCACAGGGATCTACTCAGAGGAAATGATTGAAAAGCCTGTGGGTTAACTGCATCAGGGACAACTGTCCACAAATCATGAAGCCCCAGTATCTGAGCTGAGTTGAAGGGCAGAGAGGAAAAGAAGTTAGGAAGGGCAAAGAAAAACAGGACAGTTTTATAGGAGTTAGATGCTTGAAACAAGAATTTGAAACAAGCTCAAGGAACATGTCAGAGATTCAGTTAACTGGAGTGGAGAATGAGATCCTGGCAGAACCAGTAGCGAATATTTCTTTATTCTGTATCTATGTATTAGACAAAACCTGCTCATATCACATCACAGGTAAGAGTAAATTTATCCATTAAATTCACAAAGGCTTTTTGAGCACTTATCATGTTTGTAGTAGGTGATGGGAATTCAACAGATGAAACAGAAAGGCATCCTGCTGTCAGGCAGTTTATATCCTAATGGAGGGCTAGAGACAATAAACATAATAAATAGTTGAAGTTAAATAGAGATGACATTTAGTATGTAAAAGGTATTGTGTAATGTGAAAAACGGGTTTAGGATAAACAATATTGAGAGTGCTAGGTGTTCAATCAAAATGAATGCAGACTTAGGTAAATGGAAACTTTAGTTAAACAGCAGGGAGAATGCTTCCATCTCAGAAATCTCAAGTGTCTCAAAGTCAAACAGAAGAGGACATATCTTTTGGAGAGAGGGAGAGGTAAAACTGACAGGGAAGTTTGTAGGGGCAAAAGGCAAGAGGGCAGGGTAAGAAGGTGGCAAAATCAGGTTGCTTCAGCAGAGAAATGTTTTTCTTTGTGGTCGGCTGATTCTCGGAATGAGTGTTGAGGAGGATATTCTGCACCTGAGGTGCTTAGTGCTTATTTAAACTTGAGGGCAAGTCAAAATGTAGGGGCCTGTAGGGAGGGGAGAAGTCTGGCTGAAGTTTGGTCAAGCCAACGTTAATGGGCAATGGTGAGCCCTTGATCACCAAGGAGACTGTTTATGTGTCATATTCAGTAGAGTGGTCCAGGAAGAGCTCATTGAGAAGGTGACATAATAGCAGAGTTGAAGTAAGTGAGAGAGCAAAGTCTAGAAAGCTGTGAGGAAGCAAAACATGCTGATATCAAGAGAAAAGCATTTTAGGCAGAGGGAAAAGCTACTGCAAGCACTGAGGTAAGAGTGCAGCTGTTGTGTTTGAAGAATAGGATTTTCCAGAGACTTCCCTGATAATATCTTCTATCCCACATGCTCCTTTGCAATGTGACCTTGCCATGTTACCATGAGCAAGTGGAGTTTATTACTCCATGCCCTCAAATCCTGGCAGGACTGGTAACTGCTTTAACCAGTAGAATATGGTAGAAGTGTTGATGGGCCAGTTCCAAGCATAGTCTTTAACTGGCTTGGCAATTTCTACTTCCTGCCTCCTATAACACTTGCTCTTGGGACTCTGACCCTCAGAACACTGAATGCCATAGCTGCTATGCTATAAGAAGCCCAAGGCATGTGGAAAGGCCATGGCCAGAGGCATGTAGGTGCTCTTGTCCACAATCCCAGCTCAGCTCTCAGCATCAACTGTCAGTCACTGGAGTGAGCAAGCTACCGTGGACATCAGCCCATGGATCCTTCAGATGACTTCAGACTCAGCTGACATTGGACTGTAACCACACAAGAAGCCTTAAAGCACAAATGCCCAGTTGAAGTCAGTTAATCCACAGACCCAATAGAGAATATAACAAATTGTTTTAAACTGCTTAATTCTGGGTGGCTTGTTATGGAGCAATAGATAACTAAAATAAATAAAAAGGAGAACATGGTAGCTAGAGGAATGTGAGCAAGAGGGAAATTAGCAGGAGATGAAGTCAGAGAGGACTTGGGAAGTTCAATAGGATATTTTCTTGTAATAACTTTGAGTTTTGCTTTGAGTGAAAGAGAGAGCTGTTCTGGGGTTGTGAAAGAGGAGTGCCATGATCTGACTTCCATTCTAAAAGGAGCCCTCTGGCTGCCATGTGGGGAATAAACTGTGCATACTTTGGTAACAATTCAGGTAAACAATGGTAAAGGGGTGGGAGATGAGAAGGTGTTGCTGTCTGTAAATATTTTGAAAGTAGAGCACAACAGTGTTTCCTCACAGATTGAGATATAAGAGATGAGATTGCCAATAATGTTTGAGATACTAGAAAAGGATGTGTCCATTTTGAACTGAGATGGAGAATACTGCTGGAAGGCAGGCTCAAGGAAGAAGACTAGGGGTATATTCGTTAGAAACACTGTTGGCCTTCTCAGTGGAAACATCAAGTAGGCAACAGGATACCATAACTTTGGAGCTGGTGAAGGTGTCAAGGTTGAAGATGTAAATACGGGAGTCAGCAACATGTGGGATTTTTAAAGTCATGAATTAATGAGATCCCCTAGGGAGTGAATGTAGTTAAGAGAAGAGAAGAAGACTGACTGATCCCTAACACTTTGCAGATAAAGCAACTGGGAGGAGACAAAAAATTAGCAAATTAGACTGAGAAGAAACAGTCAGTGACATAGGAGAAAAACCAAGACAAGGAATGTGCTGGAAATCAAGCAAAGGGAACATTTTTAGTAGGAAGAAGTTATCAGCTGGATCAAAAGCATTTAGGTCAAGTAAGAAGAGAACTGAGAATTGACCTCTGTATTTAGCAATGTGTGGTCTTAGCAGAATCATCTAATTTCCTCTTTCTGTTTCTCCTCATACACAACGCAATATTTACTGAGCATTTACTATATGTCAGGTACTTCCCAGGCTTTGGGGATAGTAAACCAAATAAAATGTTCCCTCAAGGAGTTTACAACCGTTCAATCGATTAAACAGTATTTACTGCACAATTACTACGTGTAAGACACTGCACTAAATACTATGAGAGATATAAATGTGGTGTAAGACATGTGTTTAACCTAATCGGAAACTTTAGACAGAAACACACAGACTTGTAAATTGCAGTACAAACAAAGCCAACGAGAAATGCCAAAATGAAGTATAAACTTTCAATAAATGGCAGCATATAAGACTAAATGCCCTGTGATGAAAGGATAAGTAGTCTAAATTGCAAAAATGTAGAAAAGCTTCATGAAAAGGCACACAAATAAAAAAGTGCAGGGTTGGGGAGCCTATGATATAGACATTGGAAGTCAATAAATGAGCAACTCTGAGGAGACCAGAAAATGAATATAAAAAATAAGTGCAACAACGTGGGTGAACCTGAAGGACATTTTGCTAATGAAATAAACCAGTCACAGAAGGAAAGATACAGTATGATTTGACTTACACAAATATCTAAAATAATCTCATAGAAGTAGAGAGTGGAAAGGTGGCTTCCAGGGGCTGGGAGGAGGATGAAATGGGGAGTTACTGTTCGATACGCATAAAGTTTCAATTATGCAAGAAAAACATGTTCTAGAGATCAGCTGTACAACATCGTGCCTATGGTTAACGATATTTTACACTTACAAATTTGTTAAAAGGACAGGTCTTATGGTAAATGTTCTTACTGCCATAAATGACAACAAAAATTTATTAATTATGAATTTCTTAAAAAGTAAGTGGAGCTACATCAAGAATGGATGGGGCCACTTGTATGACTTTGGAATTTGACCTTTTCTGTGCTATGGCAAGGGTGGAGTTTGGGGGATGAAGAAGTTTTAGACCATTGGATATATCATAAGGTTTCTATTTTAGGATAATTCAATCTAGTGGTGGAAGTTAGGATGGAGTGTGGATGGGGGATGACAGGACTCAGAAATAACACCACTGACATGGATTGCCACTTAGAATAATATAGGTATTTTAAAGCCTTTTCAGTCTCATGGAGGCTTTCCCTCTCCACTGATGTGTGTGTTCTTGTACATTTAGGGTGGGGTATGTGTGTGTTTAAAAAACATCTCTTTCTTAATGCATTAATTTGTAGGTACTCAGTTTTTGCTGCCAGAAATGGAATCCATTCATTTCACACTCTGGCTGTCACTAGTATTTAAGAATTTAACTGCAACGCTTGGGGTTTCCTTAGATTCTACAACAAAAAGAGCTTAATTTGTTTCAGGATTTACTTTTATCCTATTTTCTGCAGCACTGAATTTCATATTAGCCATATACTCTCGCCCATAGACAAAGTCCATGTGAAGGAATGCTGGAGAGACAACTGCCTGGCAGCAAAATGGACTGTGCCCTAATTTTACAAAAACTTCTTCTTAGAGGTTATAGAGGTGAGAAAAAAAAAACTGTATGTGTTGCTAGCATGAAGTTTGGTCTAAATGTGAAGTAGCCTTGACATCTGGCAATTTGCAGACATTTTGTACATTATAGGTACTGTAGTTCAAGGCTGGTCATAGGACCAGTGGACCAAGAAACAGGGATGTGGTTTGGGGGGCGAGGTAGATTCTCTCTAAGAGCAGTCAACTGTTATCAATTTTATGAAAAGATCAACATCTAAGAGTAAGGCCGGCCAGGACAGTGCATTTAAGAGTTAACCATGTCTTTTCTCAGAAAACGTGACAAAAAAACAAGTCTGGGAAAGTAATTTTTTTGTTCTCTTTGTGGTTTGGAGCTAAAAAGTGTAAATGGGTGGAGGTACGCTTGAGGTTTACATCTTCTTTTGTTTTTGCATAAAGATTTTAGTTCTTTATACTCTTGGGCACCTTTTGCTTACATACATCCCATTGGAGGTCAGCTTTGCCCTGCATGGACAGCAAACCACAGCACATAAAAAGTGCCACCAAAACAAAGTGAGGCTAATGTCACAGATACCACTAATTCCCCAAAGCCTAAAAGGGATGCTTACATTTTTCTTGTCCTTTAGTCTAAAATGTAGCTTTAGCCCAGAAGTTAAAGGGACAAGTTATCTTGTCATATCTATGAATAACAGAATGAAGTCCATAACAAAGTTTTGAAAAACTGTATAGATTAAAAATAATAATAATAGTAACCTCAGGACTATTGATACAAATAGGCAAACTACTGGTCAACCAGCAGCTGTATTTCCTAATGTTACACTTTGCCTACAGTTCTAACTTGTAACTACTAAACAGGAAGGTATTTTTTCCTTTCTCTCAGCTCACCCACCTCCTGTAATTTCTCTTACATTGACAGTAAGCAATTACAATACCTGCAAAAATAAAATGATAGGCCCCTAAAATGTATGTTTTGTATAACCACAACAGAAGGAAGAATCCCTAGCTTCCCCAAGACCAAATATAATTTTATTCAAAGCTTCTCAAACTACCTGTGGGAAAAGGATAATTTTATTTTTTTAAATTTCTAATGCTGATTCTTTCATAAAATAGAATAAAAATCAATTACTACAAAAATTATTAAAAGGGCATAAAATGCAGCTCTTTTTTATCATCAGATTCAACAGACATGAAATTTCTTTGCCAAATGTCTATAAAAGTTTCTAAAGACTTACTCTCAATTTCAGTACTCATCTTGTCAGAGATAAACATTTGCAGACTTGCATTAGCCTGTTGATGGCCTTGGAATATCACCTTTCTACAGTTAAATATTCTGAGTGAATATTGTGATTAATCTTTTTTTGAATGCACATTAATTGAAATCTATGTATGTATGTATGTATGTATGTATGTATGTATCTATCTATCTATCTATCTATCTATCTATCTATCTATCATCTATTTATTATCCATCCATCCACCTGTTTATCATCTATCTATGATTTACCTATCTATCCATCATCATCCATCTTTACTATGTATATTATTGCTTCCCTAGTTTGAGGTCATATGCTTAAATGCTATTTTATTCTATTTTCTTTTCTAAATTTGTTAAACGTGTGGCTACAAAAACATCTCTCACTAATGGATCCCAAACCAATTGCAAGAATGCTGGGAAGAATGTGTGCAACGTGTGTGTGTGTGTGTGTGTGTGTGATGTTGGTTATGCCTATAACAATTTACTGTAATGTGTTAAGAACTTGTGGGAGAGTAGTCACTTGGCTCTGGTTAGTGAATGTTCTTTTTATGTTTTCTGACTGCAGATTTTTAAGTAAATGATAAAAGTCACATTAAAAAGTGAATCTGTTTATATTTTAGGCTTCATTTCCTTTATTTCTTAATATTAATCTTAAGGGTAATCTTTTGATGGCAGAAATGTTTTTGGATATTCTTTGGTTGTACCTCAAGGTTTTCACAATGAATAGCTCAGCTGACCAATCTTTTTTCTTTTTTTCCGATGCTTTACTGCTCTTGATTTTTTCGTCACAGTGTTCATTTTTTAAAATTATGTTCCACTTAGTTTGAATTTTAAATTATTTATTACTTCTCATTTTTAAAGGTGAAGGACTTAGGTAACAATCTTTTTCAGTCCCTATGTCTTAATTCTGTTTTCTATGACCTGCAGAGACCAAAATTAGCATATCTAGGACTTACCACTCCTTGAAATTGCTTTGTTTATCCTAGATTTGTGTTGATTTTCATCTAAACCTTTGTCTTCTGAAAGTCTAAAAGGCAAAATCTGAAGCCATTCATCTTCTTGTATCTTTAATGTTACTTACCTTCCTCCTGGACTCGTGTAAGATTATCCTTGCATTTGGAGGGGAGGGAAAAATATTTTTCCATCTACTCTCTTCTAGATTCTCAGTTGAAGCTCTGCAACAAAAGATAGATTAATGAGCAAAAAACCAACAGAAGTTTACTAATGCGTATATCTCCTATGTACATGAGAGAAACTCAGGGATGAGTAGCTTAAAGGTTTGGTTAGAACTCGGACTTATATAGCAAAGGAACAATAAATTTTTAAAGAAGTGACAAGACAGAGGAAAGGGACCTTTAACCTCTAGGGATAGTAAATTGTGGAAATGCAAATATATGAAAAACTAGTCATAGATGAAGTCTAGTTGGTAAAGTTTATTATGCAGATCCTTCTGGTACCGTCCCATCTCCAGGATGACAAGGTTCTACAGTTGTCTCTGGTGATTAACTGTCGTCCTTCCTGGTACAGAGGTCAAGAGGAGCACTTTTGCAAATTTACTTCCTAATTTTAGGAAAACAGGTGGAGGGTGGAGAGCTTTTTTTTTTTTTTTGGGGGGGGGTTATCTATTTCTTCACAATTTTTTTACTCAAAATTGTTATTATGCCAAAGTGGCATTTTTGCTACCTGTGACATTTAAGGTCATAAAACTTAAAAATTAGAGGAAAATTTTTCTCTTTCAGTGTTACTTCTAAGAAAAAAATCAATGGCAAATTAAAATTAATGTCCACATGAGATTTCATATCTGGGATTTTAAAAGTAATATGCAGTGAAAAATCACATCTCTAATTACACAAAAATAAATACAGATCATGGAATAAAAACAAGAGCTAAAGAGTAAAGAGAAAAACGAGATAAAAACACATATGAAAATCTATTCTGAAACAGCACCTGGATTTGAGAAGAAAATTAAGTTGCTTTCTTGTATAGCATGGTAATTAAGAGCGTGGACTCTGGAGCCAGATATCTATGTTCAAATCTATCTGACACCATTAATGTAATTGTGACTGGTGTCAAATAACCTCCTTAAGTCTGAAGTAAGTGGGGATAAAAAGAATACCTTTCTCATGGTATCATGAGGAATAAATGATTTAATACATTTAAAGTGTTTAGAATAGTGGCCTAGGAACTCTAGGTATAAAGATGAATGTGACATACTTTATGTTCTTTGAGAGCTATCAGTAACTCTTATAAGCAAAATGTAAAACAGTGAAAGTTAAATGCTAGAAGATGGATAAATGATGGACAGATAGATGAGCATAGCAGTGTGGACATTAGAGTATCTATTCAATAAATAAAGAAGCTGAGACCCAAAGAGTTTGTGATCTTTCGGCTAGCAAGATCACAGGCTGAGAATACAACTTCTTTAGCCATCTCCAAGGAGAGAACCAAGGAGGGAGGCTTTTTTCCTCTGTGCAGCATAAGCTCAGTTTCTTTACCTACTAGATGTATGGTCTTTGGGAAGTTGTTCAGCTGCCCTGAGCCTTAATTTCTGTATCTATGAAACAGAGATGATAATAGTATTTGCCTCTGAAAATTGCTGTGAGTATTAAATGAGATGATATGTATAAAGGGCTGTGCAGAGTGCCTGGCTTACAGCAAGCATTCAATAGATTTTAAGCTCCATTAATAGTAACATAAATATTTTATTTCATCTCAATACTATTTGTGGAGAGTAGATTAGATACCTAGAGATACATAGTCAAGATTAGTACTATTTTTCTATCCAATTTTTGCTTCTGAGTAGAGAATACAAGACAGAAACAATCAGAAATAATAAATACATAGAGATAAATACTACAATTACAAGGCAAAGTCTTCCCAGAAGAAGTAATTAATTGCAAAACGAAGTGACATGAGTTTTCCTCCTGTCTCTTTAAGCTCCCACAAGAGGCTATAAAATGCCTCAAAATACTCCAACATATGTGTTTCAGAAAAAAAGAGAAGAAAAAACCTCTGGACAATGCAGTCTATGTAAAGTCTCTTGGGCAATTCCTGGCACCCAAAAGGTGTTCAACATAGTTTGAATTGCCTCTTTATGTAAATGTTTCTATGCCTTCTCCACAAATACCCAATGTCCCCAAAGTAGGTTTGTCAACCTCAAGGTCTGAGTAATGCCAAAAAAGAAAAAAAAACGAAACACCTGTCCTTCGTAGGGGAAAGTTATGGCATTCATTTGCACACAATTTGGATTAATAATAAAGCATCTAGAAATATGTGCTTTTAAGGGCTGGTTTTAAAATATAATATGGTTAAGCCTCTGAAAGCTGTTGGGTTTTTTTTGAAAGACGATTGTGGCCTGAATGATAATGAGTGTCACTGACAACTAAATAAGTTAGAGAACTCTTGGAAGCAAGACTTATGATAAGAAAAAATCACAATTAGTTCTACAGTGCAGAGATGATATTCTGTAAGCTGTTCAGTTGCTAATTCATGGTGAGTTCCCTGAGGCCTGGGGATGCACAGCAACCTGTATCCGGCACTGGAGGCAGCCCGTGAAGTGTGGGGTAGAACCCTGTTCAGGTGCTCAGGTTCCCATAAAAAGACAACACATACACTCACAAGTCAACCAAATTGCATAGTCCAAGGTCAATAAAAATTCTCTAATGAGGAATTACAATGCAGAATGCGATTCAGGCCAGATAAGAGGCATAAGCAGGAACTTCTTTGAGTTATGGGGACAAGAAGGCATTGAGGAATGCAAGGACCAGGGAAGGTTTTATGGAAGAGGTGAGATCTTGAGCTGAAACTCAGTGGATGCTCAGCAGCAGGAGATGGCATGAAAGAGTTGAGTTGCCAGGACCATGAGAAGGCGTTGCTGCTATATAAGGGGAGCAGACAAAATGTTCTGCACTTAGGAAACCTACTGGGGCATCTCTTAGAATTATCATGCTATGGCTTGATAGAATGTGGTAACTAGGGGCCGAGACTCCTCAGGGATGGTGGTTTTAGTAGCCCCTCCAGGAAGGTCACCCACACTGACAGAGGCACTAGCCAAAGCTTCATGAGGAATCTAAAACAGTGTCAGAGAAGAGGGATGATGACCATCACTTACGGCCTCAGGTCTAAATGCTACAACAGATGACTTTTTTCCACTAACTTTTCTGTTTATAAATTTTCTCCTAGAAATTGTGACTAACCTGAAAATGTAAGAAGCTGTGACAGATGAGACAAACTTAATGTGTCCCACCCAGAGTATTTCAGGGCAATGTTTCCAATGCCTGATTGTCTATTGGGAATAGAATAACCCAGCTCCTTTAAGTCAGGACCACCCCTAGGGTATATTTTATACTTCAGAGCCTTCTGCAGACCAGGCTGCAGTTGGAGCTTCCTGAGAAATCACACATCTGCTTGGCTTCTTCCCTTCCGTCTCCTGCTTCCTGTCTGCCTTCTTATAAGAGAACATCCTTAGTACATCATTTATACTGGGATCCCTGCAGCAGGATCTGCTTCTGGACCTACAAGAAACATGCATTGGATATGGATTGAATGAAAGCTTAAAGGACAGAATCTGCATGTTTAATTCGCTTGAGGTAACTGTTCTCATTTAGGTAGAAAAGGAGTGAATGAACATTCTGAGAACGAGTTTGGAAACCCAGTTATTGGATGGTGTGTTTCAGAAATTTAATGAAGCTAAATAAATTCATAATTCTTTTTTGCCTGCCTATCAGCTGAGACAGCTTATTACACATGCAACAGCTTAGATTCAGCTGAAATATAATAGAGTCTATGTTCTTTGTACTACAAGAATCCATGATTTTCTACCTAGGAGCTCCCTCTGCCATGATAATATGTTTGCTCTGATGTTAGGTGGGCTGAAACGCAGGGAATTAATATCCTCAGGGCAGCTGTCAACTAATAGTTAATGGAAATTGTTATATTAAATATTTCATATTTCTTACTGCTCAGGTGAGTCATCTCTGAGGCTGTTCTGCTCCATCTCCTGGAGACTGAGACCTTGTTTCCTACAATGACATTCCCCTTTAGCTTCTTTTTCTTGCCTCTCTCTTTCTCCAGCCCCCTACTGATGTTTCTTGGGATCCCATTCCAAATCTATTTGCAATAATCCTGTGTCAGGGTCTTCTTCTGGGGGAACCCAAATTAAACCATGAATTTTCCACCTCAGACCTTTCCTAGTCCCCTGAGTGCCCTCTACTGAGATGCAGTGTCTATAAGAGGCAATTTACCTACAACACTACTCTGCAGTTTTGGAGTATGCTTCTTCTGAAGTTATTCTACACTTTGTAACTCATATTTATGAATATGGTTAGTAAGGATACATACTTTTTTTAAAAATTGTGACAATGATCTTAACAATATTGACTGATATTGCAGACGATACATTTGAGATTAAAAAAACCAAGACTCATATTAAGGAAATCATAACCCTCCCAGAAGTGGTGTACAGCTGTTCTGCAAGTCACCAAGTCAGGCAGTATCTATCAAGCCTTGGGCATGCATAGAGTACTGTGTGGGAGCCAATATAGTTGTGAGTGTGGATGTGACTTTGAGGAATACATCCCATTAGTCATGAAAGCCAAGAGGATGTTCACATTGGTTAATTAAAAAGGAATGAAACTGATTTCAGTATGGGGTTTGCTCAGAAGGTATCCCAAGAATTAGCTTTTAAGGAGGAATTCTCTCCTGGGTTTGAGTTAAAAAAGTCAATCCTAAAATAAGTGAATATCCAGACCCCCAGAGTGGCTAGTTACCATGTTCTAACATTCATTAGGTTTCATGAGATGTAACACAATTGATTAACATAAATCATTCTATTTCATATTCTACCTCTTAGAGTCTTCAGTTTTTGCTAGTTGCTTTATATGAGTTTGTCTTGTTTCTACAGGATTTGAGATGTGTTCTGTAAATCCAGTGTATTGCACAATTTTAAACACAAATGGTGAATTCACCCACTTTTTAATTTCACAAGAGTTTATTAAGTACTTATAGTGCTCCAGGCACTGCCTTCTGAGAACAGATGCCCACTCACTACTGCAACCCTATGTCTCCCCTTGCCATGAGAAAGCATCAGAGAACACATGGTCTTGACCTGCAGGGAGCTCCTGGTCTAGCTGCTGAGACAGAAAAAGAAGGAGGAACTTGCTAAACAGTGTGGTAGGTGTTGTGACTGGAAAGGGTAGGGAATAGAGGAATTTCAGCCAGACTCAGCTTCAAGGTGATGGGGAAGGCTGGGGGCTGAAGTTGGGGCCTGGGATAAATCCAGAAGAGGTATCCTCTAAATTCTTATATACATACATTGGGACTTAGCCAGTTGGAGGGAGGACATTGGAGGTGGAAGGAAAGGCACAAGCAAATTCCTAGACATGGAGAATTGCAGGGGGTGAAGGAAAGGCACAAGCAAAGTCCTAGACATAGAGAATTGCAGGGGGTGTAGGAAAGCAGCTGGAGCTTCTGCACAGCTGGAATGTAGAGTTGGCTAAGGGCTGGCAAAAAAAGGGGGTGACTTGGAACATGAAGGGTTTGAATGTTGTGCTATGTAGCATAGGCTTTCCTTGAAGGGCAATAGGGAGAGACAGAAAAATTTTGAACAGGTTGGTAACAAAATCAGATTTTCACTTTTGTTCATTCTGGCTTCTCTGTGGAAACTAAATTGTGAGAAAAAAGAGTGGAACGAAGGCAGCCATTTTGGAAGGTAGTACAGTAGCCTTGGAGGGATGAGGTGACACACTGATTGAGTCAGCATCAGTGCAAATAGAGAGGTGTAGAAATGGGTATTCACAGGGCAAGAAAGGCTATGTGTAAGAAGGTGGGGTGGGGTTGGGACAGGCAGGCATGGGAAGGAAGTGCATCACATGCAAGTAAGTGAGCTAGGCTGCAAGGAGGTATGCCTCAGCCTCTTAGCTTTACTTGGGGTGGGGGGTGGGGGTGGGAATGACCGCAGCCCCCTTCCTGTTTCTGGTTTTTCTGTTTGATGTTATCTCTGTGTGAAACTATTCTAGAAGATCTTTGGTCAAGTGTGACAAGACCTACCACAAACTGTCCCCTTTCATCTGCTGACAAAACCTGCTGACAAAGCAAAAAAATCTACATCCTGTTCTTTGTCTCATAGCTGATTAGCTGAGATAATCTCTGCTCTCCGAAGCTTACTAAGAAAAACCACAACCACTACTGAGAAAAACATCTCCAAATGTTTTGGAAAGTTAACAAACTGTGACATCTGCAGTTTGCAACTGACCACAGTGTTAAACCACATCATTTGCATTTGTTTACCCCTCCCTATAAAAGCCAAACTGCCTAAGAGGCTGAGCCATTCCCATCATCTTCAGATAAGGGTGGTTTCCCTATTGCAATAGCCCAAATAAAAGCAATCTTTTAACTTGTCTGTTTCTTTGACAGGATTGCTGCCATGACTCAAAATGGGACCATGCCTTCAGATCTCCATCTGCTCCACCCAGGTAATAAGGACACTTGGAGCCTTCATGCTCCATTTGTGACTGGCAATACAGGGACCTAAAGGTGAGCCCTATTCCTAATTCAATGTTCCAGACTCTTGTCTGTTGGTAGCATGGTAGGAATTTAATTTTCATTGAGTATGCAGTTGATCTCTAGTGCTGGATTTGTGTGTGTGTGTGTGTGTGTATGTGGTCACTTGGTAATCTCTGTAAATGAATTAAATGGTTTGCAGATATTGTGTCTCTGTTACGTCAGAAAGATGCCAGAAAATTGGGTTTGTTATTTTTGTTCGTCTATTTTTTTCTCTATTTTGAACTCAATCAAGAATTTCTACCCAGTGGAACGAAAAGAGCCCTTTTTATAGGAACAAGTGAGTTATGTATTTCTGTGTTATGCCTGGTCTATGGCTGAGATTTTAGAATTAAAATGATAAGTTCTCTAGATCTGTATGTATATTTATGTGTCTGTGGGTATGTAATATTTTCCTGCCTCCAGATGGTATTACTAAATTAGATTATCAAAATTTTTAAAGGTACTATTTTCTGATTGACTTAGAACTAACTAAAGTCTTATATAAATAAAATATTCAAAAATTTCTGGAAATTAAGATAATTGCATTTCTACTTTTAATATGCTTATAGATACTAGCTTGAATATTCTAAGAATTTAAGTTACATAATTTAGGTAAATTTTGGCAAATGAGACTAGCTTTATTTTGTTGGTTTAATTAAAACAGTTATGTCTTCTGAGTTCTCAGTATTAGGTATTACACAAGCATACATTTTAATCTACTTATGCACATTCTTCCTCAGCTTATACAGCTTTCTTGGTTTAATAATCTATCATTTTAGTTACTATATGTTTATAATTATAAAAATATAAATTTGCATTTAGTTAAATTGAATCACTGTTTTGACAAATGTTAATTCAAAAGTAACTAATTACATTTTATAGTGTGTCATCCTGGCTCAAGACCAAGATCTTTTGATAACATAAAACTTTAGACTGATGCTAAATTTGGTTAATTAATGGGCATTCATTAGATACCTAGATTATCTAACTATAATAAAATACTGAAGCATTAATTACTAAGTATAATTTTCTGCTTGTAGACTTTTTGCTGCTTATTTTTTATATAATACGGAGAGCCTATATATTTGGGTGTGTTAATGAGCATGTTTATTTTTTGCTACAGTGAGTTTTATTATAGGGATGTTTATTACTGCAAAAATAATGAGATGTATATTCATAAGATCTATTAGTCTGCTACGAAATAGTGTGTATGAAAATAGTTCACAATTATCCACTGAAAAAGACTCTTCCCTTGACCAAACTTGAGTTAGGCTCCTTGGAGCATTCTTCCTAAGTAGACTTTGACCTTGGCCTGCCCAGCCGAGTTTTAGTAAAGATTCCTGCTTAGCGAATTTATCAAGAATTTACTAATTCTTGATATTAGACTACTGGATATTTGATCAAGTTTCTCACTCTCCACTCTGGATATCTTAGTTTTAGAAAGTAGTTTTATTATTAATAGTTTTATTAATTAACAGTTTTATTATTTAAAATAATTTTATTAAGCCAGTTTAGCAAGAATCCCTCTACCTTTGATATCTAGGTAAGTTCTTAGTAAATTTCCATCTGCTTACCACCTTGCTCTACTCCTTGGCTATAAATCCACAACTGTCTTTGCTGTATTAGAAGTTGAGCTCAGTTCCATACAGAAACCTCTCTCTCCTACTGCAGCAGTTTGAATAAGATCTATCTGGCTGTTTTAATACATATCCAGTAACTTTTCTTTTATACTACCTCCAAAGTTTCTCTATGCAATAGGAGTTACCGTAGTTAAAAATAATCAAGGCCGGGCACGGTGGCTAACACCTGTAATCCCAGCACTTTGGGAGGCCGAGGCGGGCGGATCATGAGGTCAGGAGTTTGAGACCAGCCTGACCAAAATGGTGAAACCCCGCCTCTACTAAAAATAAAAAAAGTAACTGGGCATGGTGGCGCACGCCTGTAATCCCAACTACTCAGGAGACTGAGGCAGGAGAACTGCTTGAACCCGGGAGGCGGAGGTTGCAGTGAGCCAAAATTACACCACTGCACTCAGCCTGGGTGATAGAGCGAGACTGTCTCAAAAAAAAAAAAAAGTTATAATCAATATATGTCAATAAGATGAATGAGACTCTAGTAGAAGTGACTGTGGCAGAAAGGAACATTTTGAGTGCAAGGTATGCAGGATATTTTTTTGTTAAGGAAAACAAGAGTAATTTTTTTCTGAAGTAAAATGAGTAGTTATTCCAGGATGAGAAAGGGGAAAGTGTAGGGCAAAACCCTACAAAACCCTAACTAGATAGAGAAAGCTGTAGAAGGTTCATGGATAGGAAATTTTATTTCTTGTAGTCACAGCTGGCTGAAGTTTAATGGGTTTGTTTACAAAATGTTTAATATAAGCATTAGTATCAAATATGCAGATGCAAAACTAGAATTTGTTTTATTCTCTATTAAAATAATTTTTTTGGATTAGTGTATTCTCTTAGTAAGAGCTTGTAAAATATTTTTCTTTACCTTCTGAGTAATCTTCTTAGAAGATAAACATTCAGAATCTCATCAGAATAATTTTCCATGCTTTGTGCTGACTTTTTCGAGTCCTTGATTATTTAAGAGAACAGTCTTCATATAAAAGAGATGAAGTTCTTTGCAATTATGTTACCTCCTATATCTACTCTAAAATTATTTTACATCATTTGATTAAATAGATAACCAAGTACTATTTCTCAGTAATCCATTATCCTACTTAATTAAGTATTCGAATTTCCTGACAATGTTTTATATTTTACCTTCTGAAAATCAAATCCTAAATGGTATCTTTTGCACTGTCAATGAAAAAAAAATGTACAAATCTGAAGTTAAGTGAGGAAATCATTACTAAGGGAGAATCTTATAATAGAAAGATGCTCAAGATCTAAGCCAGGAAAGTCTCAGGCATGGGGTGAGCAAACATAGCTTTTATATGCAGAGACCTGGGAAGAGATGCTTATGGAAAATGGAAGGGGATTTGATGCTAAGAGCTGGTATGTGTGTGTGTGGTGGGGGTGGGGGCAGGGTGAGGGACTGTGGGGTGGTGAGGGATGATGCTGAAACTTACTGGGCTACATCAAAATTGGTAGCAGAGAAGTTAAGGCAGGAAGATTGGTCTATGGTTAGGCACATGGGGTGGGATTCTGGGTCTAAGACAGAGCAAACAAATTAGAATGCTGGAGGAGGTTCATATAGATTGAGAACCTAGTAGTTTAGGCAAACCAACCTAAAGTTGTGTCAAGGACAGTTTAATCGCCCTATCGGTCCTCCACTCTTGTTCAAGAAAGGCTCAGAAAAGGTGTCCTTGAACAGAGAGACAAGGAGCATCTCAAGTAGGAGATGGCCGAGTAAAGTAGTCCCAGGTCAGGATTGCTCAGTGTTGTTCCTGGAGGACTAGTTAAACCATGTGTTTTACATGCTGGCAAAGGTCAGTTGTTTTACTGTCCTTCAGATCAGGCATCTTAGAAGTGGGATACCTAAAAGGAAAAAAGAGAAATGTTAATATAGAAAGAGAGATTAAACTGAGAAAGACAGAAGTTGAACCCAAGGGTATCCATTTCAGGGGATTTCAGGGGGTTAGTGGATGAGCCCTTTTGATCATGTAGCATTGCTCTTTGAGCGTTTTGATGCTCTTGGTAATGTTGCCCAGAGCCTGGATTACCTCTTCTATCAGAACATGCGTGACCTGAGCATTTCCCATCCTTTTTTTGTGGTCCAGTCAGGGCTTGTCCAGAGAAAAAGAGAACCATGCATAGTCTGCTAGCAATGATGGGTCTTTATATGTTTATAACAAGTCATCAGACTTGAGATTGTAGTAATACTTCAGAGACTGGGGGCCAGCCACAAGGCAACCTAGGGTCTTAACTGTCATCTGGATAGTAAAGTTTTCTCAGTGACTATGAGTAACAAAAAAGGAGAAAAATTGGAACGTTAGTTGAGGGGTTTATGGCTAGATATTGAGGGAAATTGGAAGATTTGAAAATTTAGTAAAAGTGGACAATTTGTGCAAGATAACAGATTCAAGTACAATTTATTAGTAGTTACAAAAACTGATTGTCCCATAGTGTGAGAGAAAGTCAATTAAATCTCTACTAGAGAAGAGAGAGTTTGCATAACTATCAGTTACTCTCAGTTTACCAAGAGGCACTAAATAGCTCAAACACAAATTAACAGGATCAGAATCTGATAATCCAGAAAGATGTGCTATGATTTCCCATGGAAACACAAATTTTCTTTCTACAGTTACTCCTCCTCTTTTGATCAAAGACAATCTCAAAGAAAGATTATTCTTGATCACAAATTAAGGTTGGTCTCATGAGATTCGGCCTGGTTATTTGCATAGGTGCTGCAAGAGCAGCAATTTACATATAGATCATATTATATTTGCTTTGCTGGAAGTTTTCATAAAGAATGTCAAATTGGACTTTTCAAAGCCTCTTGAGGATAAGAAGCCAAGCCAACAACTCACATCAGATTTCACATGCAGTACCTATCGATTTGGCAGGCATTCCTTTCTTCTTGAGATCCCACAAATATCCTAAGATTCCAGAGCCTGCTGGGAAGTGACATTCCTTGCTCACCTGCAAAGCTGCAAACCCTGCAAAGCCAGGTTTCAAGCCAGTTTTCGCAAGAGGAGCTTTGTAAGCATTGGCCCTATAAGGTCAACCTTAGTTCCTTAAAAGTGTCTGGTCATATCTGATTAAATAAGCGTCACTCTCAAATATGACATCCAGGCAAAGCCTTGGTTGTATTACCAATGTTTTTGTGCCCTGTTAACAAAGAGGACAGACTCTTACTGAATCTATGCAAATAACCATATTGCCATGAAAATAAGAAGACTCAAGGAGAATTTCCAAATTTTGAATGGGTGAGTCAGGGAAGAAAAGAAAGAAGTTTCATTTCTGTTTACAAGAAATTAGCATGGTCTATGAAATTGTTATGAGTGATGAATAGCTTAAAAAAAAGAGGAGGGGTTTTCTTATGTCCAGAAAATAGGATATTAGGCCGAGCGTGGTGGCTCACATCTGTTATTCCAGCACTTTGGGAGGCCGAGGCGGGTGGATCATGAGGTCAAGAGATCGAGACCATCCTGGCCAACATGGTGAAAACCCGTCACTACTAAAAATACAAAAACAGCCAAGTGTGGTGGCACTACCCTGTAATCCCAGCTACTTGGGAGGCTGAGACAGGAGAATTGTTTGAACCTGGGAGGCAGAGGTTGCAGTGAGCTGAGATCACGCCATTGCACTCCAGCCTGGGCATAAGAGCAAAACTCTGTCTCAAAAAAAAAAAGAAAATAGTACATTAAAGGAATAGCCCTATAGCCCTATTCCAAAAAAGTCCCATAATTATCTATCATCAGTTCATTCACTCCTGTGGAATTAGTTCTTGTCCCACTTGATCCCGGATTAGTAGGCTTATGAACCCATCTCTTTTTCAACTAGAGTTCTGGAATTCCTAACTCAGTTCATTGTTTTGGTCCCAAAGTTACTTAAACAACGTAATTAGAAACTTTAACACAACAGCACCTAGCATAATCCTTTTCCACATACTTCTGAGTCAGTCCTTTTTTGTGGAAACAAAGTCCTCCATAGATAACAAAAGACTTAAAATTGCTGTGGTTAACATATTTTTGATAATTTTTGAAAGTAAAAGATCTGATGAAAGTTTGCTATAAAAATAATACATTGACAGAAAAATTTAATTGTCGTTATGGCACTTAAAGTTGCTACAAAAAGTTTCAGAGAAAATATGTGTAAACATAATAATTAATTTTATTTTCAAAAAAGGGTGGATATTACATCAAATTTATGAAAGTGGATGGGCATAGTTTTTATAGAGAAAACATTTTCAGATATAACATGATTATCTGGGCGCAGTGGCTCATGCCTGTAATCCCAGCAGTTTGGGAGGCTGAGGCAGGCGGATCACAAGCATAAGGTCAGGAGTTGGAGACCAGCCTGGCCAACATGGTAAAACCCCGTCTCTACTAAAAATACAAAAATTAGCCAGGTGTGATGGCAGTCACCTGTAGTCCCAGCTACTCGGGAGGCTGAGGCAGGAGAATCTCTTGAACCTGGGAGGCGGAGGTTGTAGTGAGCCGAGATCGTGCCACTGCACTCCAGCCTGGGCAACAGAGTGAGACTCCATCTCAAAAAAAAAAAAAAAAAAAAAAAAAAAAAGAAATAACATGATAATCATGAGACATAATGTGTCATGAATATATCAAACATATAGTTAGAATATACCAAGAATATATTTAGATTATCAAGCAAAGAGATTCAGTATATTTGTATAGGTTTAGGAAAAAAATACTCAAGTAGAACAAAAATGTATTCTTACCATGTGGACAACTCAGAAGACATAGCTATATTTATTAAATCAATTATATTAAACTACTCTCAATGGCCAAAGGTTTATCTAAATTAGGTGAACTTGAATTTTTAAACACTTTGTTAAGCTTTTATAAAAATACTTTTTTCACATTGATGATATTAGAAATTTGATTTTCCTAATTTCAAGGAAGTTCAAGAATACTTAACTTATGTAGGCTCTCATTCATCTCTAAGACAATCCAGAAGGAGCTTATTTAAGGCGTTTTATAATTTAATGTGGTAATACCATCTGGAGGTAGGAAAATATTACACAAACAAAATGTATGTGCACATGCACAAACACACATACATAAACATATAGGCAGACATAGCCAACTTACAGCTTTAATTTTTAAATTTTAGCCATGACTTAGGCATAATCACAGAAATGCAAAACTCACTGATTCATATAAAAAAACAGAGTATTGACTGGGCACGGTGGCTCATGCCTGTAATCTCAGCACTTTGGGAGGCCAAGGCGGTCAGATCATTAAGTCAGAAGATCGAGACCATCCTGGCCAACATGGTGAAACACAGTGTCTACTAAAAATACAAAAATTAGCTGAGCATGGTGGCATGTGCTTGTAATCCCAGCTACTTTGGAGGCTGCGGCAGGAGAATCGCTTGAACCTGGGAGGTAGAGATTGCAGTGAGTCGAGATTGCACCACTGTACACCAGCCTGGCAACAGAGTGAGATTCCATCTCAAAAAACAAACAAATAAACAAACAAACAAAGTATCATCATTGCCTCACGTTTATATTTTTACAAGGATAATATTTTTGGTAGATGGGGCAAGTTGAAGTAACCTGTTCAGTATGAGAACTGAAGCATCTTCACCAATATTTGTGTAGGAGACCCATAAGCTACCCTTGGCTCTGGTGTATAATTCTAGGGAAGCTGTGGACTCAATTTCAAGGGAGGCATGGAGGAGAGACCAAGCGGTCATCTGGTGTCTCCAGAGCCCACCTGAGGGGATAAAACATTCAGCCTGTTTCCGGTGAGCCTTTTTAGCCTCAGGCTGTTGCTCTTAGTGCCCCTGGGCTTCTCTAGAGCCTCCCATGAAGGGACAGGACTTAAAGCTCAAGGGATTATAAGGAATTGAGGGGCCAGAGTGGGAGAGGAAAGGTCTGGCAGGAGTGGATGGAAAGGTGGAGGAGATAGAGGGTTGAAAGAGGAAGATCCAAGGATTAAAGGGAGCTGAAGGGAACATGGAAGATGGTAGAAAAGAGAGATTGGGGGATAGGTGATGAGAAGACACAGGTCACAGATTGGGGAAGGATGACTGTCTTTGAAAGAAGCAATGGTCACTGAAAAGTTTTTGAGAGAGAGCATTTTTTTTTTCTGCCTCTTTGTACCAAATGCCCACCACCACTAACAAAGCATCTATTGCTTGGATGAGATCTTGGTGGCACAGGATTCAATTGCCCTTCGCAGAATGAGGCAATTTGGAAAAATTCTACGTTCTCCAAAGAGGCCATTGAAATTTAAGTTGTAAAATATTGCCATTTTTTTTTTTGGAAGAAAGTGGGTGGAATTATTACCATAGTAACACAGAGCATACCCCAGAGTTGAGGGTTCTGGAGAACAACAGCCAAATTGACGGTTTCTCATGATAATGGAAGGGACACCTGCTGGTGCTAGAGGCTTTGGGATTTCAACTCAGGTATGATTCTCAGGAGAGAATGAGGGGCTTTCACCACACTCAAAAAAGGCAGAAGGGAAAGATGGAAAAACAGAAGAAAATGACAAAAATGAGAGAAATATAAGTCAACTTCTCACTGTGCTACAACAGACAGACGTCTGGAGCACTGGATTAGAAATCATGACTTACCACTGTGTATTCTGATTTCCCCAGCCAAGGAGAGGCACAAGGAGTCCAATAAGGCAGCACTGGGTGAAGAAAGCAGGACCCAGAGGCAATGGGCATTTTGTCCAAGTCATGGCATCATTATTGTCAAAGAAAAGAAGTTTAATCTAGACATTAGTCTAGAAAAACTTTCTTAAGAAGGGGAGTATTGCAATAGGAGTGGGGCAACAGCATAACAGAAAGATGCTCAAATCCTAAGTCAGAGAAGGGATGAGTGAGCAAAGCTTTTAAGATACCTGTGGAAAGTTGAGGGGAAATCAACAAAACCCTGCGAAAATCTGGGGGTGGGAGGGAATTCTTAAAACTTAACAAACGTCCTCAAACGTTATATGAATAGGAGAATTGAGACAGGAAATGTTGGTTTGTGGTCAGGCACATGGGGCTGGGTCTGCACCCAAAATGGAGCAAACAAGTTAAAGTGAGAAATTCACATAAAGCAGAGGGCCTGTTAGTCCTCTGCCAAACAGCCAAAAGTTGTTTCAGCTAACAGTCAAGCACAGTCTTCTCAGCCTCCTCAGTGCCCAAAATTGCCTTTGAGATTTCCCAGAGGACCTCTGGAAAGTTGCAAAGATGTGTTCTTTCACCGTGGGAAAAGACAAGAATTGGAAACAGTTAGGATTGTTTGATATGTTATCATTGACAAGATGTCTAGGAAGCATTGTCCAATCGGAAGAGATGCTCAGGTTTGCATAGATTAAATTTGTGTGGGTAAAATGTCATTAACATAAACATGTTTAAAACTGTATTCTACATAAGAAGTTTCTGGAGAATTGTGAATGTGTGTGTGTTTTTTTTTTCTTTACACTTTTAAGATTACAGTGTTAAATGTTTATCAAGTTACATTTCTACAGCTAGCAGGATAACACATGTGTTACTGGCACTCAGACCTCATCCTAGGGAATGTTTACTGGGAATTCCCAAATACACCACAAGCCAAATAACTTCCAGCATTTCCCATCTTTGTACTTTCTTCATTTCCATCTTTGCCCAAGTCATCTGGTTTTTCATGGACCACCATTGCATGGCCAATGATGGAGTGGCCTCCTGAGAGTGAGATCATAGAATCTTCAATAGACACATCATTGCATCATCTTTGCCAGCAGTCACATTGCCCAGGTGTTTAACATGCCTCTCTTGATCCTTTGGTCCACCGTGTTTTGGGGATAGAGGATTAAAGTGAGGACCTGCACTGGTACAGCCTTGTATATTATTTGCACACTGATGAACATGGCATCTGCTGGCCTTCAGGCAATCCTGTAATGTGTCCCAACACCACAACTGGTCCATTTTCCTTCTGCTTGAAATGGATAATTCTCGGTACCAGCCCTTCGCCCTTCAGCATGCACTGATGGGGCCACGCTCCTGTCTGGGTTCTGAGGATTGCCAGGGAAACAGGAGGTGCTATAAGAGATGACAACACAAACGCCAGAATTGTTAATGTTTTCACTGTCCATGATGTATTTCTATTTATCAGAGTCCTGGGGTCGCTTTGCTTGTTGTTAGATAAAAGCAGTATAGTGTTATCAGTCATAATTAATTATATTTTCAAACTTTAACTTGGTTGCAACTTTACTTCTTTTATCTGGAACCAGTATATGCTAGGCTGGTAGTTTTACGTTGAGGATTCACTTCACTTATCTATGCATTTTTATTAATACTCTAATGTTTAGAATCTACTTCAGATGTACTGACTCTATTTACTTGATAACTTTGATATATTTTTAGTAAATTCTAATGAAGTGCTAGGTATTTGTGGCATCTAATGTCTCAGGATTTTTATGTTATATATGAAAATGTTTTCTTTGTAAGGTTATATATAAGCATTTTTATAAATTGGATGTAATATAGCCTCTTTGAAAATATTGCTAATACATTGTGTTGATAGATATTTTCTCTAAAATGTTTTTTGGATTGAATTTATTTTGTTTTGTACAACAGAAACAGCCAGATGTGTTTGTCAATTGCATTATTCTTATAATGAACTCTATTCAGATTATTCACTTTTGAAAATTATCAATAATATGTACATGATAGCCATTTTTAGACTTTTGTCATCTACTGATAGTTTTGTTTGTTCTGTTTTACACTGATGTTTCCATAAAATCCTTGCAATCAATTATAGGCTAAGGTGTTCTATCTTCAGCAAAAAGGAACAATCTTAGAGTCTGGTGGAAAAGGATCATGCCATATACTCTGGGGAACAGATTTCTGATGGCATTGTTTAAACAACTATGAAATCATACCATTGGACTGAGTCAGGAGTTGCAGATGTCTAGTTGAGAAGCAGATGCATTCATGAAACAACACAAGATCAGGTGGAAGAAGAGTGAATTTTATAGAACTGAATGAGCAGATGATTATGATTTCTATTTGAAATATTGTTAAGGTTTTATTGCTCTATTTTTTGGAAGTAAGAATTTCTTTTCTTTTTCTCTTAAGTTATCGCTCAAACAATTTTATAGACTATGCTAATTTCTTGTAAACAGAAATGAAACTTCTTTCTTTTCTTCCCTGACTCACCCATTCCAAATCTGGAAACTCTCATTGAGTCTTGTTATCTTCATGGCAATATAGTTATTTGCATAGATACCATAAGAGTCTGTCCTCCTTGTTAACAGGATGCAAGCAAAAACATTGGTAATACAACCAAGG
The DNA here is from genome assembly GCF_000001405.40 of Homo sapiens. Lineage (NCBI taxonomy): Eukaryota > Metazoa > Chordata > Mammalia > Primates > Hominidae > Homo > Homo sapiens. Next base: position 125,953,602 of record NC_000008.11, read on the forward strand.
CTTTGCCTGGATGTCATATTTGAGAATGATGCTTATTTGATCAGATATGACCAGACACTTTTAAGGAACTAAAGTTGAGCCCCAAAACTCCTTAAGATAATAAGCAACTTCAGCAAAGTCTCAGGATAGAAAATCTGTGTGAAAAAATGACAATCATTCTTATAAACCAACAATAGATGAGCAAAGCCAAATCATGAATGAACTCCCATTCGCAATTGCTACAAAGAGAATAAAATACCTAGGAATACAGCTAACAAGGGATGTGAAGGACCTCCTCAAAAAGAACTACAAACCACTGCTCAAGGAAATAGGAGATGATACAATCAAGTGGAAAAACATTCTATCCTTATGGATAGGAAGAATCAATATTGTAAAAATGGCCATACTGCCCAAAGTGATGTATAGATTCAATGCTATTCCCATCAAACTACCATTGACATTCTTCAAAGAATTAGAAAAAACTACTTTAAATTTCATATGGAACCAAAAAACAGCCTGTATGGCTAAGACAATAATAAGCAAAAAGAACAAAGCTGGAGGCATCACGCTACCTGACTTCAACCTATACAAGGCTACAGTTACCAAAACAGCATGGTACTGGTACCAAAACAGACATATAGACCAATGGAACAGAACAGAAACCTCAGAAATAACACCACACATCTAAAACCATCTGATCTTCTACAAACCAGACAAAAACAAGCAACGGGGAAAGGATTCCCTATTTAATAAATGGTGCTAGGAAAACTGGCTAGCCATATGCAGAAAACAAATTGGACCCTTCTCTTACACTTTATACAAAAATTTACTCAAGATAGATTAAAGACTTAAATGTAAAACCCAAACCATAAAAACCCTAGGAGAAAACCTAGGCAATATCATTCAGGACATATGCATGGGCAAAGACTTCATGATGAAAATGCCAAAAGCAATTGCAACAAAAGCCAAAATTGACAAATGGGATCTAATTAAACTAAAGAGCTTCTGCACAGCAAAAGAAACTATCATCAGAGTGAACAGGCAACCTACAGAATGGGAGAAAATTTTTGCAATCTACCCATCTGACAAAGGTGTAATATCCAGAATCTACAAGTAACTTAAAGAAATTTACAAGAAAAAAAAAGACCATCAAAAAGTGAGTGAAGGATATGAACAGACACTTCTCAAAAAAGACATTTATGCAGCCAACAAACATATGAAAAAAAGCTCAATATCACTGATCATTAGAGAAATGCAAATCGAAATCACAATGAGATACCATTTCACACCAGTAAGAAGGGTGATTATTATTAAAAAATCAAGAAACGATAGATGCTGGCGAGGCTGTGGAGAAATAGGAACACTTTTACACTGTTGGTGGGAATGTAAATTAGTTCAATCATTGTGGAAGACAGTGTGGTGATTCCTCAAGGATCTAGAACCAGAAATACTATTTGACCTAGCAATCCCATTACTGGGTATATACCCAAAGGAATACAAATCATTCTACTATAAAAACACATGCACACATATGTTTATTGCAGCACTATTTTACCATAGCAAAGACATGGAACCAACCCAAATGCCCATCAATGATAGGCTGGATAAAGAAAACGTGGTACATATATACCATGGAATACTGTACAGCCATAAAAAGGAATGAGTTCATGTCCTTTGCAGGGACATGGATGAAGCTAGAAGCCATCATCTTCAGCAAACTAACACAAGAACAGAAAACCAATCACCACATGTTCTCACTTGTAAGTGGGAGTTGAACAATGAGAATACATGGACACAGGGAGGGGAACAACACACACCAGGGCCAGTTGGGGGTTAGGGGGTGAGGGGAAGGGAGAGCATTAGGAGAAATAGCTAATGCATGTGGGGCTTAAAACCTAGATGACGGGTTGATAGGTGCAGCAAACCACCATGGCACATGTATACCTATGTAACAAACATACACGTTCTACATTTGTATCCCAGAACTTAAAATAAAAATTTAAAAAAAGTTGAATTGTCATTTTTGCCACATTCTGTTAATCAAAGCAAGTTAAAAAGCTAGCCCAGATTAAAGAGAATGCAGAAAGAGCCCCAGGAATGATGACAGGAATGGCGAAGTCACATTGCAGTATAGTGGTGTCTACTGGAATAGGAAAACTATGGAAATTTTAAAAAGTCTAACACAATCTTATAAGGAATTCGAACTTTACTTTTTAATGATTGAGGCATCTCTAAAAGGTATCAAACAGGGGAATTACATGGTCAAGTTTGTATTTTAGAAAGATGACTATTAAGGTAGTATGGAAGATGAACTGAAGAGAGAAAAGACTGAAGTTAGGCAAAATGTATTTAAAAGACTAATAAAATAGTCTAGAGATAGATTTAGAGATGATAGAGGCTTGAACAAAGATTGAGGAGATATCTTATGGATTTTTCCATCTGACTCTGTCTAGTAGGTTTCAAAATTATATATAACATGATAACTCACTATATTATGACTCTGTGTGTGTAATAAATTATATATCACATTTTGCTAAAACGTGATATAAATATTTATTGAGTGAAAGTAAGGAAATCATAATCATAAGCATAGGATTTGGCTGGAATAATGATTACCTTAGGCCAAAGTTGTAAGCTACTTTAAAGTTCTGCATTTTCTATATTGTTGTGGGCTCATACTTGCTAATTGCATTGACAAAAGAAACAGAGAGAGAAAGAAGAAAGATAGTTGTAGACCAAAGATGAGCACATAGCATAAGACAAAGCTTGCTCTGAATCTCTGATCCATGAATGAAAAAGATAATAGTAGTCTGTTGTGTTAATATCTGGTGAGATTGATTTGTATGCAGCATTTCCCACATTTGCTTGCTCTTGAATCATTTGTCCACAGATACGCTTTGGGTAGTACTGAAGAACTTAACATTTCATTGGCAGATAAGAACATTTGAGTTATGAGATGTAAAACAAACTTGTCCTTTCTGATTCCATACTTCATATTTTTCTTTCTTTTGTTTGTTTCAGTGGTTTTAAAAATAATTTTATCAATTAGTAAGAATTCAATTTAATAAGGACTGGATACTTTACAAGGTCCTTAATACTATTAATAAAAAATCATAAAAGCCATATTCTAGCATCTAAAGGTGAGCTGTCTAATATGGTGTCTACAAGCCACCCAGCACTATTAAGCACTTGAAATGTGGATAGCATGACCAAGAAACTAAATTTTAATTTTAATTATTTTCCATTAAATGTAACTTTATTGCTTTGGTAGAAGTATATTTCACTTAAACTATTGTAAACCTAGCATCTAAATTGTGATGTGCAATAAGCATAGAATGCTCACTGGATTTTGAAGACAGTATCAAAAAATAGTAAAATATCTCATTAACAATTTTTATATTAGATGCAGAAGTAATAATTTTTGATGTATTAGGACAAATAAAATATTAAAACTAATCTCATCTGTTCTTACTATTTTTAATGTGGCTGCTAGAAAATTTCAAGTTCCATATTTGGCTCATATTTATTTCTATTTGACAGCACTACTCTAGAATACTTTTATTTCTTGGTTAAAATACAAAGCTCAAACTTTGAAGTACTGTAACTGCTGTGTGATCATCAGAAAGAAGAAAACCATCTATGGCTTTCCGACTTTTAAATTGTTATTGGCCATTGACTCTTCCCAACATGTGAGGTCACAGCCCTGGAATGTGAGGTCTGTTCACACCACTGCAAATGAGGTTAAGGTATGGCAGGCCAAAGAGGTGCCCTTTCTTTGTGACAGTATAATCCAGATAGATCGGACTCAAGACCGATCAGAGGCGTCTGCTTGACTTGTTTCAATGTTGAAACTACACATTTCTTGTTTGGCTAAAAAGTGATGGAGATTATACAGTAATGAAACTTTCTCAGTTTTTTCCAGAGAAGAGCATTCTCCTCTAGGGCCACAAAAATGCTTGTGTAGATAGGCCAATTATGAGAAAAGCATGAAGGATAGAAGGGAAGAATATAACTGAAAAATGTGAGAGCTCAAAAAGCAGCCAAACCCTTCATAAGGGTGTAATTTGTCTGCAGCTCAACCTGCTCAGAGAGGAGCTCTGAGCCCTCAAAGACTTGAAGGAATGGCAGGAGAAACAGTCCGGAAAGGAGTGTGTGTATGTGTGTGTACACATAACATGCATAATTTTAAAAGATTGTACCTTCCAAACGGGAACCCACACTGAGATGCACACAGTAAATGTATGCATTTCTCCATCTAACAAACGTTTACCCAACATCTGACTCAAGCTGATGGATTGGATATAGATGGATAGGAAAAAGAGGAATCAAGAATAAATGCTAGTTTCTGGCCTGAGCCACCTGGTGGTGCTATTTACTGAGATGCAAGAGATTTGTATCTGAGTAGGGTTCACTTGGGTTTCTTTGAGTTACAGAGACAGAATGAAGGGAGGAGCTATTGTGTCCATGTTAGTTTTGAGAACCCTATAATATGTACAAACTGAGGCAATGTAGAGTCCTGGTCCCACCCTGGACCAAAATATGTAAAAGTATCTTGAGTGGTGGTCTGGCTTTGGTATTTTTTTTTAATTCCTCAAATGACCCTGTGGTGCAGCCAGACACAACTGGAACAGTTTGAGTCAGGTGTTGGGTAAATGTTTGTTAGATGGAGAACGTATGCATTTACCGTGTGCGCCTCAGTGTGGTTCTTGTTCGGAAGATACAATCTTTTAAAATTGTACATGTTATGTGTACACACACACACATACACACTCTCCTTTCTGGACCTAGAATATGGCTGAACACATAACCAGATTTTGAAGGGAAAGAAGATCCATTCCATTTCGACCAGTGAGGCAGAGGAAGTGAGAATGGGTAAACAGATTTAGGAATCCTACGTGCTAGCCTAAGCTCTGTAACCTTGGAGAAGTGCCTTTCCCGTTGTAGCCTTAGTTTCCTTACCCCTGAGATGAAGAGATTGGACTATATGAGTGATCTATTGGTCAACTGCTTCCTAAATGAATAGGGGTCCTCAGTTTTTGGCAATATACTCTGAGTGGCCACTGGTTAAAATACAGGAGTTAGACCACAACACCTCCATTTCCTAACACTGACTCTGGACAAGTCATGTAACCTCTCTTATGCTTGATTTTCTTAGAAGAAGTGCCTCATAATACCTACCAACTTGAATCATTATAAATATTAAATTAATATCTATAAAGTACTTAGCACAATGACTTTCATCTGAAAGTTGCTCCTTGAAAGTAAACATTATTATGTCTTTTACATTTTCTTGTTTATTTATTTATTTTGATTTTTCCTTAAGTTATTGGGGTACAGGTGGTATTTGGTTACATAAGTTCTTTAGTGGTGATTTGTGAGATTTTGGTGCACCCATCACTGAAGCAGTATACACTGCACCCTATTTGTAGTCTTTTGTCCCTCACTCCCCTCCCATCCTTCCCCACAAGTCCCCAAAGACCATTGTATCATTCTTATGCTTTTGTGTCCTCTTAGCTTAGCTCCTACATATCAGTGAGAACATACGATGTTTGGTTTTCCATCCCTGAGTTACTTCACTTAGAAAATAGTCTCCAATCTCATCCAGGTTGCTGCAAATGCTGTTAATTCATTCCTTTTTATGCTGAATACTATTCCATCATGTATATAAACCACAATTTCTATATCCACTCATTGACTGATGGGCATTTGGGCTGGTTCCACAATTTTGCAGTTGCGAATTGTGCTCCTATAAACATGCGTGTGTGAGTATCTTCTTCAAAAAATGACTCTTTTTTCCTTTGGTTAGATACCCAGTGGTGGGATTGCTGGATCAAATGGTAGTTCTACTTTTAGTTTTCTAAGAATCTCCACACTATTTTCCATAGTGGCTGTACTAGTTTACGTTCCCACCAGCAGTGTAGAAGTGTTCCCTGATCACCGCATTCATGCCAACATCTACTGTTTTTTTATTTGTTGATTATGATCATTCTTGCAGGAGTAAGATGTTATCCCATTGTGGTTTTAATTTGCATTTTCCTGATCATTAGTAACGTTGAGCACTTTTTCATGTATTTCTTGTCCATTTGTATATCTTCTTTTGAGAATTATGTATTCATGTCCTTAGCCCACTTTTTGATGGGATTGTTTGTTTTTTTCTTACTGATTTGTTTGAGTTCATTGTAGATTCTGGATATCAGTCCTTTGTCAGATGTATATACTGTGAAGATTTTCTCTCACTTGGGTTGAATGCTTACTTTGCTGACTGTTCCTTTTGCAAAAGCTCTTTAGTTTAGTTAGGTCGCAATTATTTATCTTTGTTTTTATTGCATTTGCTTTCGGGTTCTTGGTCATGTAATCCTTGCCTAAGCCAATTTCTAGAAGGGGTTTTCCAGTGTTATCTTCTAGAATTTTTATAGTTTCAGGTCTTAAATTTAAGTCCTTAATTCATCTTGAGTTGGTTTTTGTATAAGTGAGACATGAGGGTCCACTTTCATTCTTCTACATGTGGCTAGCCAATTATCCCAGCACCATTTGTTGAAGAGGGTGTCCTTTTCCTACTTTATGTTTTTGTTTGCTTTGGCAAAGATCAATTGGCTGTATTTGGGTTTATTTCTGGGTTCTCTATTCTGTTCCACTGGTCTATGTGCCATTTTAATACCAGTACCATGTTATTTTGGTGACTGTGGCCTTACAGTATAGTTTGAAATCAGGTAGTGTGATGCCTCCAGATTTGTTCTTTTTGCCTAGTATTGATTTGGCTATGCAGGCTCTTTCTTGGTTCCATATGAATTTCAGAATTGTGTGTGTGTGTGTGTGTGTGTGTGTGTGTTTTAATTCTGTGAAGAATGATGGTGGTGTTCTGATGCGGATTGCATTGAATTTGTAGATTGCTTTTGGCAGTATGGTCATTATCACAATATTGATTCTACCCATCCATGAGCATGGGATGTTTTTCCATTTATTTGTGTCTTTGATGATTTCTTTCAGCAGTGTTTTGTAGTTTTTCTTGTAGATGTCTTTTGCCTCCTTTTTTAGGTGTATTCCCAAGTATTGTATTATTTTTGCAGCTATTGTAAAAAGGGTTGAGTTCTTGATTTGATTCTCTGCTTGTTTGCTACTGGTATATAGAAGAGCTACTGATTTGTATACATTAATCTTGTATCCAGAAACTTTGCTGAATTCTTTTATCAGTTCTAGGAACTTTCTGGAGGAGTCTTTAGGGTTTTCAAGGTAAACGATCATATTGTCAGCAAACAGCAACAGTTTGACTTCCTCTTTACCGATTTGGATGCCCTTTATTTCTTTCTTTTGTCTGGTTGCTCTGGCTAGGACTTCCAATACTATATTGAAGAGGAGTGGTGAGAGTGGGCATCCTTGTCGTGTTCCAGTACTCAGAGGGAATGCTTTCAACTTTTCCTCATTCCGTATTATGTTGACTGTGGGTTTGTCATAGATGGCTTTTATTACATTGAGGTATGTCCCTTGTATGCCAATTTTGCTGAGAAAAGATAAAATTGATAGACCAATAATAGCAAGATGAACCAAGAAAAGAAGGGAGAAAATCCAGATAACCTTTTACATTTTCTATTTTATCTTATGAAGCCAGAGTTCCAGGGAAATCAATAAAGAGCACGTGGAAGTTATATTTAGTTGATTTTACATGTTTGTTTAATTTCTCTGTAGGCTTTCATGGCCATATTTTTCCCTCATGCTTACAAAAACATTCACAATCATCAGAGTTAAATAGCATTCATTTTTTCACCCTCAGAATCTGTAATATTTCACATGAATAGTGGAATTATCCCTGAGAGCTTTCCAAAGCATTTTTAACACAAATCTTTATTTATTAAAGGGTAAAATACACCCCCTGTAAGAATACATTATTTCATTTGGAGAATACAACAGCAGTAATTGTTTTTATTCACTTGTAACAATTTCACCATCCCAAAGTTTACCTGCAAAGGCATATTTCAGTCTGGAAGTCCCACTGCCAGACAGCTTGTTTGCACATTTTGAAAGGAGGGACACAAGGAGGGAGTGGACATTTATTGTGATAAGCCCTGTGCTATGCTTTTTAAATTAATTTTAATAGCCACACAGCATTTTAAATACATAAATATTTTTTCATCCTTTGAAAACCAATTGTAGGAATATCTGGGTGCATGAAGGTTCTTCAGCTTCTTGTTAGATACATAGATATTTATTTTGTACATTTTTGTACTTCTAAAATATTTCAGAATGCCTTTTGTTTTGGCAACAGTCTCTGCTGCATGACCTCAGCCTTGCCAAGAACTATTTTGCTGCTTGGTGCTACTTGCAACCCATCTTGTGTCTTATTTTAGTTTTTCACACATATTTATGTTGAGTGATTAAACACTAAGTTGGTTGCATTTTTAAACAAATTTTTTTCAGTGTTCTTGCCCCAAAGATGCAATTCCCAAGTCAAGAAAAGTTAAGAAGGAAAGAGAGTTTTGTTAATGTGATTATAGAAATAAAAACAACTTATCAATAAATCTTTAGATCACTAGTCTATGTGAGGCTACTTGCTTTTATGAGAAAAGAAAGAACTAAGAAAAAAAACCCTTGTTTTTTTCCTCCTCTAAGTGTTATTTTTCCTCTTGCCTCATTTGTTCTCTCCTGCAAATAGATACGTTGTTTCCCTTTTCACTTTTGATTTCTTGACTTAATTCCTTACTTCCCTTTCCAATCATTTAAAATTGCCTTCAAATGGGATATTCCAGTTTTCAATGACTGAACAGGAGGATTGTAATCAATCCATAGGTGGTGAGAGCTGAAAGACATCTTAGAGATCATCTATAGAGTGGTTCTCAAACTTGATCATGCATCGGTATCATCCTGAGAGATTGTTACACTGTTAGGTCCCATGCTCAGAGTTTCTGATTCAGTAGGCTGGACATGAGACCTGATAATTCGCATTTCTAGTACTTTCCTAGGTGGGACTGATGCTGCTAGTCGTGCTTGGAGAACCTCTGATCAGTGATTCAGGAGATCAGTGCTCTTTTATTTCATTGAAGAATGCTTACAAAGCACTTTCAATGGGTCAGATAATAAAGTCATTTAATTATCATAGTAATGCTATAATTTGACACCATCTTTATTCCCATTTTATTGTTGAGGAAACTGAGAGAGATAAAATAATTTGCTCAAGGTAACAAGGCCAGTGAGCAGCAGAGCTTTGGTTTAAACCCAGCAGGCAACCTCCAAATGTGAGCTATCACCCCTATCCTCTGCTGCCTTCCTGCTGAGTTTCAATAGCACAAACAAGATGTGAGTGTGGGAGGGTGTGGAGGGGACAGAGAAGAGAGTAATTCATTTAAGCTTGGGGGTCCTAAGAAAGTGGTAGAAAAGAATTTGAGGGTGTTGAAAACATTTTCACTAGGTCATAAAGAAAACATAAATTTTGACACGCTGTGACAGCAGGAAGAATATTCCAGGCTCTGGAAGAAAACCATACAATAAAACAAGATGAAGAAAAGTGCATGAAATATTATGTGAATGAGGAGTCTGGCTTGATTGAGGCATAGTTTGCCTAGATATGTTGAGCGAGAAATGTAGCTAGAACATATTGGGATGTGAAAGGAAAATATCTTGAGCCCCCAAAATCACTAAGCTAAAAGGAAAATTCAAGCTGGGAACTGCTTAGGGGAAATCTGCCTTGCATTCTATTCAAAGTCATCCCTCTACTAACAGATAAATGCATATCTGATGCCTCCTTTGGAAAGGCTAATCAGAAACTCAAAATAATGTAACCATTTGTCTGTCACTTACCTGTGACCTGGAAGCCCCTTCCCTGCTTCCAGTTGTCCTGCCTTTTGGATAAAACCAGTGTTCATTTTACATATGTTAATTGATGTCTCATGTCTCCCTAGAATGTATAAAACCAAGCTGTGTTCTGACCACCTTGGACAAATGTCATCAGGACCTCCTGAGGCTGTGTCATGAGTGTGCATCCTCAACCTTGGCAAAATAAACTTTCCAAATTAACTGAGACCTGTCTCAAGTTTTGTGGGTTCACAGAGAGAATAGATCAAAAGGGACTTGACTACCTGCCAAGATTAGTTTGAATTTTCCTTGTGATAAGAGATGAATGAAGAGGAGTCACTGAGGTGTTTTAAGTATGAATGGAGCAAAGCTCACTATCATTTTGGCATCAATGTGGAGAATGGATGGAGGAGGAGGATATTAGTCAGAAGACTGCACAAGATTCCAATTAAGGGATGATGGCAGCCTTGGACTCAGGTAACAAGAGAAAGAATGGAGCTGAGAGGGGTTGGGTTTGAGAATTATTAAGGAGGTTGAATCTAAAATTTTTAAACATTGATCATATAGAAGCAGATGATACAGAAAGAAGGAAAAAGAGGCGAAACTAAGGCAGACAAACCTTTATTGGTTTGGACATTTGTTCCAGGCACTATAACAAGCATTACTAACAAAAGGATACATAAAATTGTAGGTTTAGAGTCTGCCCAGAAGGCAGGGAAGACTCCAAGGCAGCGTCAGCAATAACTCCTTCATTTAAACCCACACTGGCAAGGTTCTGATCCAGAGTGTAATTCTCCATGCTGAAGCTTGGTTGGACGAAATAGCTCTGGATTCAGGATCATTTCCCATCAGGAAAAATGGAGTGAACTAACCACAGTCAGCATGTCCCACAGAAGACAAATGCCTCTACGGCAACCACACTTTGAGCTGGTAAATAGACCTGACATTTAGGCATCTGTTGCTCCTTGTGCACTAATAAGTCTAACTTGAGGCTCAGAAATCATTAGCAGAGTGAGTGCTTTTAATGAGCTCTAGGAGAAAAATATGGTTTAAAAAATATATTACCTGCAGTTAAGCATTACCATGGATGCTAATGTTAAAATTTATGGGAAAAGTGCTTGAGGAAAGCCTGAGCCATTATAAAAGCTAGACAGAATTTCTATTTTAGAAAAAAAGTTAGATCATTTTTTAAAGTGTCCACTCTAGAGTTTATTAAGACCTCATAATAGATTTTATCTCATACTCAGTTTTCCCTGTCCCGCCCCCCAACCCTTACTTCCCCATGGTGGTTAAAGACTAGGCTGAGAACAGGCAATGAGGCCATGCTGTGACCTGGTAAATGCATCCACTAGCTCTTTTTCTGCAAATGGTGTTGCTGGCCAAAGTGGAGAAGTGTCTACCCAATCATTTAACAAACTAAGGGCAGTCAACCCTAATACATCCATTAAATCCATTCATTTAGTTAATTATTCACGTAACAAACATTTTAATTCAACCTTTATACTTAATCAACACTTACTTAGCTAGGTTAGCCAATGTAATATATTGTCCACAGCAGAATAAATAAATAATAAATAATAATAATAAATAAATAAATATATAACAAATAATAAATAATAATATTTATATTATTATTTATATTATAATAAGAATAAATAATAAATAAATAAGTTCCCTTTTGAGAGACAAAGGGAGCATTATTAATAATTGCTTTTGTTACTTATTGCTGTGGAAAAAGACTCCAAAACTTAGTGGCTTAAAGCAGGCATTATTATTATCATCTATGATTCTCTGTGTTGACCAGGCTTGGCTCAACTGAGTGGTTCTCACTTGTAGTCTTTTGTGTGGTTGTTGGCTGGGAGTGGTACCATCTGAAGACTCACCTGGACTACATGTCCATAATGACCCTCTCTCATTTGGCAGGAAGTTGGTGTTGGCTACCAACTGGGAGCTTAGCTGAGTTGCTGACCTAAGCACTTATGTGTGACCTCTTTGTGTGACTTGGATTAACCACAGCATGGCACTGGGTTCTGAGGAAGGACATCCATACCAACAAACATTCTCTAAGAGGCACAGGTGGAAATCCCAAGTCCTCCAAAAGTGATGCTTGGAACCGGCACAGTGTCACATCCACAAAATTCTATTGACCAAAGGACAGCCTGGAGTCCACGGGATGAATAGACAGACTATGCTTCTTGATGGGAGAATGGTACTTTCATACAAGAGGAAAAGAGTTGGTGGTGGTCCTCTCAGAGGGGAGCTACCTCAATAATTACATTAGGAAAAAAATATGTAACCCAGGATTACCCCAGGGACTGCCATCCAACCTCACTCTCAGTTTCCTTTTCTGTAAAATACGGGTAATAATAAGGTAACTTTCATTGAACTGCAGTAAGGATTGAATGAAGTAATCCTGGTGAAACCTGAGACCCTGTGTCTGGCACAGAGTGGCGGGTGCTGGATGAGCTCTGACTGTTTTGTGGTCCCATGTTGATTGTACTATTCATTCTCTTCATTGCCATTGCTCAGACTGGGCCCTCATTGTCTCTCAGCTGATAGTTATAAAAGTGGTTGGACCAGACTTTGTTTCTATTTTCTATTCTTGTCCATCTGCCCTTCAGATGATCAGCAGTATGTCTTACTCGGCCCTGTTCCTACCATGCCCCTCCCCTCCTCTCATGACTGCAGCATGTCCTAACATGGGTGCAAAGTACAAACTAGCTTTCCTGGCATTGTAAGCCTGTGCTCCAGACAAACTGGACAAGCTATTCTTGCTATAAATGGTCACTCCTCTGCTGCCTGCTTAGTTCCAGGCTGCTTTTTCTTCCAAGAATGCCCTTTCCCAAGTCCTGTGTGCCTAGCTCCCCATCCTTCAAGGCTTATCTAAAAGCTGACCATACTCTCTCATTTGCCTCTTCATCTCATCCATACAAGTTGTAAGGCACTGGGGAAATTCTACCTTGCATTATAATGACTGGAATACACGGATGCTTCAGGACTGGAGGGAGAGAAGGAGAAAAAGGAGAGAGAATGAAGTATAATATTTTAAAAATGTTAACTATTTTTTTTTCCAATTCTATCATCATTTGGTTCTCTTTAATCTAAGCTGTTCATTAAGTGCCTCCAAAAAAGGATATGGCAGCAGTAAGATTGTTTTGAGAGTCAAGATCTTAAAACTTAGTGGCCAATAAATAAAAATCCAAGGCATAGAGAATAAAACTGGAATATGTGAAGACAAGAGAAAGGCTTCTATAATGAGACCAGATAATAATTTCCCCAGGCTTTGTTGATGGGAAGGAGGGAGTAGAATGTGCAAAGGGCGAGGGGAATGTGTGGCCCCAACTGAGGGGCCAGAACTGAGCAGACTTTCTTGGAGGAGTAGAATCAGCAGCCCAAGATAGTTCAGCTTCTCACGAGTGCATGCTGTTCTTGTTGCATCTTGAGGGGCTACACTGATGATGCCATCATTAGTGTCCATAGCACAGCCAGAGATTGCCCATGAACCGTTCAGCAGGAGTGGTTCCCATGTCTGCCTTAACCCTTTGCTTGGTCCTTGCCTTATTTACCCTGTGGAACAACCACCCTCACTGCCTTCGTCCTTCACCCACAAGAGAGAAGGTGGGTCCTGGTTATCAACAGGTGGAGAATGTATGGAAGGAAAAGTCCCTGAAACTGTGATATGGTCAGAGCAGAGCAGATACAATCTGAGAAATCTCAAGCTCAAACAGGGGCCAGTCTCAGCCCTGCACCATTGTTATTGTCATAAATAATAATCCATAGATACTTATGGAATATAAGGCCATCTCTGAAGGCACATGCAGTGTTAACTGAAATTCTGCACAAGAGGTGTGTTTCTTCTGTTTCTTTTATTTATATTTATTTATATTTCTTTTATTTATTTATTTATATTTCTTTTATTTATATTTATATTTATATATCTATTTCTTTTATTTATATGGGCAATCCTTTAATAATATCTCTACAAGGTAGGCATAGTGGCTCATGCCTCTAATCCAGGCACTTTGGGAGGCTGAGGCAGGAGGATTGCTTGAGACCAGGAGTTTGAGACCAACCTGGGCAACATAGTAACACCTGTCTCTACAAAAACAAATTTTTTAAAAAATTAGGCAGGTGTTTGGTGCATGCTTATAGTCTTAGCTACTCAGGAGGCTGAGGCAGGAGGATCACTTGAGCCCAGGAGTTTGAGGTTACAGTGAGTTATAATTGTGCCACTTTACTCTAGCCTGGGCAACACAGAAAGATCCTGTCTCTAATATAAATATATATGCTGTGTGTGTGTCTGTGTGTGCGTGTGCGCTTGTGTTTGTGTGTGTATTCACGAGAATTTATTTCATGTTTTGGGTTATCATCCAATACTACTTTATTCATTTTGTTGTTGACACGGTTTCAGTTTTGGCTGTTGGGAGCTTTTTCAGTTGACTCCTGGGTCTCTTTTGATATACACCCATCATTTTTGTTTTGAGCACTTCTTTTCTTTCTGGCAATGTGCTCCCTACTCATCTTGTGTATTCTGTCCCTCAATCCTAGAATGAGCCATTTCTTTAAGGTGCCCTGGTCCCTTTTATTGGAGAATGACATTAAATGAACAAATATTGGTACCAAGTGGACTTTGTCTTTTTATTTAGGCAGGGGAACTCTTTCCAGAAGACTTTATTTCTTTCTCATAAGCTGACCTGGAAAATCAAGTATTTGGTTCCTTTTAACCCTGTGATTGAGGAGAGCATTGTTGTGAATAGATGTTAAGTGAACCAACCTATGAGATTTGCCCCTATTAGAGAGGCAACTACTTCATATGTAAGTTTTCAAACCAAATCACGATAAACACTTCCACTGCTTACTTGGAAATTTGGGAACCTCCATTATTGTAAAATTTTATGTTGCTCTTTCATCTCTGTAAATACAGACTACTAATGAACTATATATATATATGTAGATTTTAGCCATTTATAATAATAATGATGATGATATCTAATGCCTGTGAAGTGTTTATGATATGCAAGGGACTGTATTATTTTGCAGGCATTATCAGATTTGATCCTCAAAAATCCTTATGAGATATGCACTGTTATTATCCCCAGATGCGGTCACCAAGGCCGAGTCACATTAGCGACTTGTCTAAGGCTAATACCTAGCAAGTAGTGAAGCTGAAATTTGTATCCAAGCAAGCTTTCACAAGACTCTCAGCCTCAATTTCTCTGTTATTGCCTTGGTAATTTATAAGGGAAGATATTGCATATGAGGGCATTGCATCTCAAAATCTGTTGAAAGACACATTGTCAGATGCTCATGTAAACACATAAGAGCTGGTATGTGCCCTACAAATTATGCAATGTTGATGTTTTTAGACTGAGTGCTGTGGGATGACTCATGTCCTGGCCTCCAAATTCATACACTGAAGCCTTAACTCCCAGTATTTTAGAACGTGATTTTATTTGGAGATAGGGACTTTAAAGAGATAATTCAGTCAAAATGAGGCCTTTAGGGTGGACCCTAATGAAATTTGGCTGGTGTCCCTATAAAAAGAGAAAATGTGGACACATAAAAAGACACGAGGGTGCACAAGCACAGAGAAAAGACAAGGTGAGGGCACAGCCATCTGCAAGCCAAAGAGAGAAGCCTTGGAAGAAACTAAATTCATGAACATTTTGATCTTGGACTTCCAGTTTCTAGAACAGTGTGAAAATAAATTTACGTTGTTTAAGCCACCCGACTATGGCATTTTGTTATGGCAGCCTTAGTAGGCTAATATACCAATCATGCCACAAGTGATTTCCCCTAGTCAGATTCAGCCAGATGCTGTTCACGTGTGAGTCATATACTCAAAGTGGTTTGTTTATGAGAGCTATGAAAACTCCGGCTTAACTCCAGGAAAAGATGAGATAGTGATTCATAAACAGCATAAACTGATTGGAAAAGCCAAGTACCCATTGGTTAGTAGCAGAAAAAATAAGGTTATGTCCATGACAAAAATGCCTGTAAGGAGCAAATCATATGACAAGGGAATAATATTTGAATTAGGCTATATTAAAAAATGAAAAAAAAATAGATGCCAGGGGAATACAACTTATTTCAAGTGAGGCTTTTAATTAGGTCCTAGTAGAGCTGCCCCTGATTTTGTATTGTGGGTTTCGGGACTAACTGAGAGAAAAACCCACAGGGCACCCACATTCTCTATATTTTTGGTGGTCCATCATCACACTGTAATGCGCTGATGTGAGAGAACATGCTCCTGATTTAACAGCCTGAGTTTGAATCCTGGCTTGACTGGACCTGCCACTTTGGGCAAGATATCCTCTCCACACCTCAGTTTTCCCATCTGTAAAACAGGGTGATAACTGTTCTCACCTTGGAGGATTTTGTATTATGAGAGAGAATATGTTGTTAAGTGTTTGGAACAGTAGTTAATACAAATTAGTTTTATTACAAATTTTATTTATAAAATATCTGAATCATTCCTCTATAATTTATTTATAATAAAAATTTTATGATAAATTAGCTTCCTAGGTAAGTGACACTGCAGTCTTGACATGAATCTCTTCCATTAGAAAATGCTGAACATGACTTTATTTAGGCTTTGCTTGAAGATGCCATCATCATCATGAATATCACAATCTCTAGTTTTAAATACGCAGTTCGGTCCCTTCTGAGGCAACAGGGCATGACCTCCAATTGCCTTTCTAACTTCATTGATTTTCTCCACCTATTGACACCCCATGATTCTGAGAGTCTAAACTGCTTTTTTTTGGGGGGGGGGCTCCTATCTCTACGCAATCCTCTATCATCTTCACAGACTTTTATGTAAACCTTATTCTCTGCTTCAAATATTCTGCCTTCTGCCAACCTTCTCCTGATTGTACTTCTTTGTACTCATCACTGAAGATTCATCTTGGCCGGGCGCGGTGGCTCATGCCTGTAATCCCAGAACTTTGGGAGGCCAAGGTGGGCAGATCTCGAGGTCAGGAGATCGAGACCATCCTGGCCAACATGGTGAAACCTCGTTTCTACTAAAAATACAAAAAAAAAAAATTAACTAGGTGTGGTGACACATGCCTTTAATCCCAGCTACTCAGGAGGCTGAGGCAGAATAATCGCTTGAACTAGGGAGTTGGAGGTTGCAGTGAGCTGAGATTGCACCACAACACTCTAACCTGGTGACAGAGTGAGACTTCGTCTGAAAAACAAACAAACAAACAAACAAACAAACAAAAAAGACTCATTTCAGTATCACCTTTCCTGATCTTCTAGCCCCTGATATTCAGTGTTAGCCGTATCTCCCCTGGGCTTTTCTGGATGTCTGAGCATACCTGTGCAATGACATTTATCATGGGCATCATACTTCTTTGCTTATTTTTATATACATACCCTCACTGGATTCTGAGCTTCATGAGCTATTTCATTATTTCTGATCTTAAGTGCCTACCAGAAAAACTGCCATTAAATAGTCACTTTATATAGGCTTGAAATAAATGAATAGATTTAAAAGCAAATGTATGTTGAGGTTTCCCTTCAGTCTGAGCAAAAGCAAGTCAGAGTTGGACCTAATACATTGATGGCAGTAATATATTTAATATGTATTATTTAAACTGAATGTTTTATTTCAATAGACATTTATTGGCTGCTTAGCTATATGCATAGTACTGGGATCAATTTGGAAAGGAGAGGGAAGAAAATACTGTTGTACTCTTTGCCCTAACAGGAAGATTCTATCTCTTCTTGCTTAATTCAAGCCCCCCTCCAAGATAGGAGAATCTGCTAATTCAATCAGAGTCTTGAATTTGGATTGGATAATAGTTATTAGTGAGTCTGGTGACTGGAGTCTGGTGACATTTAAAGGATAGAATGCACATGTGCAGATAGCACTCTCTTGCACTTTCGGATTCTCCTTTTCATATGGAAGCAGACATCAGCACGGTCAATAGCCCTGAGCTGGATGCAGAGCCACGTCTCTCCTCTTTCCATCTCAGGACTTAAATTCAGAGGGACCTAGGGGATCGCATTTAAGCCTCAGGCTTTGTATATATTCTCCAATCTAATTTTTACCAGTGCTCTGATTTAAAGGTTAAATGGTGCTATTCCATTAAATATAGTAATACTTTGTTTTTCATATAACCTCTGTTCTTATATGTAGCTCTCTAAGAAACTGGCTTTGATTGGGGTGGGTTACAGGGTGGGGATTGGAGGTTGAAGAAAGAATGAAAAAAGTAGGAATAAATTATGCAGCAGGATTCAGGCTTTTCTCGGTTTCTAGCCATACCATGAAAAGAATAATGGAAAAGATATATAAATAGAGATCATTTTACCCTTGCCTTATAAAAATTATAATTGACTATACCTTTATGAAATTTATGTGAATGAGGAGAGCTGTTGTATTAGTTTCCTAGGGTATAATTATTCTGCTGTAACAAAGTACCAAAAGTACCAAAGGACCAAAAGCTGGCTTAAGAAAACAGAAGTGTATTCTCTTACAGTTTAAGAGGCAAGAAGTCTGAAATAAAGATATTGACAGGGTTGATTCCTTCTGCAGGCTGTGAGGAAGTCTTTTTCATGCTTCTTTTCTAGTTTTGAAGTGGAGAGATCAGTAGAACTTGTTTTCTGAGCACTGGTAATGACCTTGCTGATCAAAAACAGGATGCTGTAAAGAAACCTGCCAAAACCAGCAGATGGTGACAAAAGTGACTTCTGGTGCCCACACTGTTCATAATTAAAGACGCTCCTGCCAGTGCCATGACAGTTTACAAATGCCATGGCAACATGCCGTGGCAACAACTAGGAAGTGACCTTATACGGCTCCAGGAACTCCCCGCTTCTTTTCTAGAAAATTATGAATAACCCACCCCTTAATTAGCATAGAACTAAGAGTGGGCATAAATATAGCTAGCCAGCAATCCATGCTGGGGCTGCCTCTGCAGCTGTGGCTTCAGCTGTGGCCACTGCTCCTGCTCCAACGGCTTCTCCAGACAGCTACTGTTGCTGTATACTGCTTCTGCTGCTGCTGCTGCTGCTGCTACTACTACTACTCCAGGCTGCTCTGCCTGTGGAGAAGCCACTTTGCTGTACACTGCTACTGTAGGTGCACTGCCAAGGGCTTAGCCCAGTTATGCAAGGAACAGCCATTCCGCTATGCACTGCCGTTTCAGTAAACCTGCTTTCTTCCACCACTGGCTTGCTCTTGAATTCTTTCCTGAGTAAAGCCAAGGACCCTCCTGGACTAAGCTAATTTTGGGGCTTGCCTACCATACATCAGTTTCTGATGGTTGTCAGCAATTCTTGTCATTCTTTGGCTAGTAGACGCTTCAATCTGCCTTCACTTCACACGGCAGCCTCCACATTGTGTATCTAAAGCTTTCTGTGTCCTCTCCTCTTATAAGGATGCCAGTCATTGGATTTAAATGCTCTCCCTAACCCCAGGGTGATTTCATCTTGAGGTCCTTAATTACATCTGTAAATAACTCTATTTCCAAATAAAGTGACATCGTGAGGTTTTGGGTGAAAGTGAGCTTTTAGGGGATACTATTGCTTTGGTCCATTTTGTGCTGCTATAACAAATTACTGCAGGCTGGGTAACTTATGAAGAACGGAAATCTATATCTTATAGTTCTGGAGGCTGGGAAGTTGAAAATGAAGAAGCCAACATCTGGCAAGGGCCCTCTTGCTTTGTCATTCCATGGTGAAGGGTGGAAGGCCAAGAGAGCAAGAGAGAGCAAACTCCCTCCCTCAAGCCCTTTAAAATGACATTAATCCATTAATGGGCCAGAGCCCTCATGATCAAAACACCTCCCATTAGGCCCCACTTCCCAACACTGTTGCATTGGGGATTAAATGTCAACATGGGTTTTGGAGGAAACAAAAACATTCAATCCATATTCAACCCACCACAGTTGAGAGCTTATGTTCAATTCATTTGTTGAGGATGGTGGACTGAAACAGGCTCTCGCATCCCACTCTTGCTCCAAATACAAAACGATAAAAATGGCATGTAAATAAATAAATAAGTCCATGTACATGATGCACACAAAAGAGTCATTCTATGGACCAGGAATTGTGTGAAATCCATGAAAGACATAGAGTTGAAGACTGCAACCACAGCCTAAAACTACCCTAAAAGGTGTGATAACAAAATTGAAGTTGGCAGAAAAATGCTTGCACCCTGGGAATGGCCTATACTCAGAGCAGAAAGCAACTCTGTGACAACCAGCAAAGTGATTCATTGGTTTTGCCACTAGGAATAGCTCAGCACTTGACTGTATATTCA
Source organism: Homo sapiens (assembly GCF_000001405.40). Taxonomy (NCBI): domain Eukaryota; kingdom Metazoa; phylum Chordata; class Mammalia; order Primates; family Hominidae; genus Homo; species Homo sapiens. The sequence continues at coordinate 125,973,637 of NC_000008.11, forward strand.
TGTATCCTCACCTCGATGTGCATTTCTAGGTGGATGCAGAGGTTGTGGAGCTTGGGTTGGATGTAAAAGGCTGTAGGCGCACTGCCAAGGGGTTGTCCCAGATGGCTGGTCCCTTTAGGAGAAAGTGGTGGGCCGCCATCCTCAGATGCCTCGCATTCCCAGTGAGGACGGCCTCAGCAGCACCTTCTGTGGTTACCTTCAAGCTGACACTGCAGAGATGTATCAGGTAGTCTGACAGGAAATACTAATCCAAAAACTGAACACACAACGTGGAATAGCTAAACATCCAAGGAAAACCAACACCAGAGGAAGACAGATGATGAACTTGAGCTCAGGAGACTCAGAAACCTTGGGTGTTAGTCAGATGTTGTCCCCTAGAGAAAGAATTATGAAAATATGTCCCCAAATAGAAAAAATCCTAGAAGAGAAAGGCAGTATTCTTAAAATATCTTAGGTCAGAGTCCTATCCTATGATTTGTCATTTGCATCATTGCTTGGCAAGAAAATGACGTTCTTACCCTATCCTAAAACCCGAGAAGACAAAGAACACAAATCAAAACAAAACAAACTCTGTAACAGTTAGGTCACTGTCCTGCCTGGCCAACATAATGAATGATAACATTCTGACCAGAGATTCAAATTCCTAAGACCTTCCCTGGTTTTGGTTGAAAATTAGGGCAGTTGTTACCAAGGTCATCGAGGCCATACTTTTTTTTCCAGTGTATGTAGCGGTTCCCAAATGGGTCAAAATTGATTACATGCCTGAGAGTTTTTGAGGTGAAAAATGTATGCAAAGAGAGTTTCTTTTCCTTTGCATTGGAAGGAAAGAAAATTTCTGAAGAGGGTTACCAACCTCAAAATGTCATATATAAATAATGCTTATGAATCTCCCAAGGATAAAAAACTCTAGGCCAGAAAATAGTTATAAAGATGCAAGAATTGCATTACTCAATTCTATAATTCAATGGTTTCTAGCTAAGGCAGAAACTTCCTTTATTGGGATACAGAAAGTAGGAAAAAGCATCTTTAAATGTTTGATTCATTGTCACGTAAGAGAAATTATTTCTGAAAACATAAAAGTCTTTGTTAAAACCCACTAGAGCAGATACAGATAAAAAGCATTTTTAAAATAAGCTAAAGTCCAAAGGAACACAAAAACAAAAACTGCAGAATTTAAATTATATAATTCAAATTCTACTTGGCTTTTTCCATGCTGTTTTATTTTGAAAAATTTACTTAATTTTTCAGAGTCTTGATGCCCTCATTAATAAAGCAGAGATACTATAGACCTGATATGGCTTTTAAAAATAATTATATCAGTAATACATATTTATTTTAGAAAATAAACTGAGCATAATGGAAATTTAAATCTATAAAATTACATCTCACTTCTCTTTTTCTGTCAACATCTTCAAATTTAATTGCCTAACACCTACTATAGTACCTTGCTCATAGTAGGTAGCCTATAAATATTTGTTGAATGAATGAAAAACTAAATAGCCTTGTATCTCTGAGCTGGAGAAGTAGACAGGGACCAGATTGTAGATGGATTTGAATTTCATGCTGAAGAGCTTTTATTTTGAGCTGAGAAACACTTTTATCAAGTTTGATATGGTAATGTGGAATATAAAGTTAAGTGTGGGAAGTAGCAGTGGACCATCTTGATGGCAACTGAATGAACAGAGGCAGTGGAAAGAGTTAGAAAGTGGAAAGAGTTAGAAAGTGGAAAGAGTTAGAAAGTGGAAAGAGTTAGAAAGGTTCCACAGCGGCCTAAAGGCTACAGGCTATTTTCATCTTAACTATGCTTCCATTTACTCTATTACCTTTAATAATAGGTTATTATTCTCCCCGTTATGAAGGGGAGAAGAATCAGAGGAAGCAGAAAGAGAGCAATAAATAGAATTACTATATTTTAAAATTGAAATCCTAAGATTTGCATGATTTTATGTGAGTTGATTCCAAGTGCCTGCATATTTTCTCATCAGCAAAACAAGCTGGAAGTGGAACACCTCTGCCTGCTGCTGTTTTTAATGAGATAATTGAGACTAAGGAGGGTTAAATTTCTTTTGAGACCCCCCAGCTCGTGAGTGTTAGAGTGATTTTCAAACCAAGGTTTAAATGACTACAAAGTCCTTTTTCCTTCTATTAAACCTACTTTCTCCACAGATGGGGATGGGGGATGGAACTGAACTTCCTAGGATTACTAAACTCAAGGCTCTACAATCCTCTGTGGTGCTGATATTATGATGAAAAGCCAGTGGCTACCCTTAAAGAACTTTGCTCCTTCTCTATAGCGTCTCACCTGCTCATCTCTTCCTCTTACTCATGTTGGAACTAATGAGTTCTTTCCTTTGTTTCTTCTAAACTTAAAGGTATCCTTTCAGAGCTTAGAAAAGCACCTCATGATCTGCAGTAGAATTATGTTGAATTTTTCCATAGAGTCTTTTTCACTCCTTCGTATTACAACTGTTTTTCTCCCTGGATAATGCCCAGAGCTCAGAAAGCCTGAAATTTTCAGAGATGTGTAAGTATCTAACCTCAGTCAACACCAGAGCAGGAAAGAACAGTTTGTTCTTGAGAGAACAATCTCATTGATTCTTAATCTCAGGCCCCAAACTCAGCCATGGAGTCAGTCTAATTCCCTTTCTCTGCCAGCCTTATCTTTCTCCAAAGAGGCCAAAGACCTCTTTATAGAACGCAGAGCTAATTGGTGATCTTCATGGATGAAAACTACGCAGACAAGCTCATGAGGCAATGTATGAATGCGAGTGAAAGATAATCGCCAAGAGCACTGGGTTATAATAAAAGAAGAAAGACATGGAGAGAAAAGAGCACCTAACACACAGAAATGTGGAATAACCTTCGAAATGAGGTTGACAGCACCCTTTCTTTTCTGCAGTCAAAATAGAAGGGAACAAATCACTGAAGAGGTCTGTAAAAGGCAGTCCTTGAGTGTCATGCAGATGAATGATGTATGACCTCCCTGGTTCCCCTTGCTCTTTAATTTCTGTGGTTCCAAGAACTAACATTCCCTGCCACCTCACTGAAAAAGGGAGAGGTGTCTCTAATGACATTCCCAAAGTGAAGAACGCTGACCTTTCCAAGAAAAAGAAGGCCAGACATTTATTCACGTAAAAACAAAGCAAGTGTGTGTATGTGTAAGTGCAGTGTGTAGCAGCTTAAATTTGAGCCTAAAGATCAAACATTGAATTTCAGTGCTGTGATAGAAAATCCTTTTACACGTGCAAATTCAATGTATGTTTAATAAAAGAACAACTTCCTTCTTACATCAGGGCTCAGATTTTCATTTTGCTAGCAGGAATATTCATTACAATCCCAATCCCGTAATTTGTGTTGCTGTCATCTTCACTGTCACCTAGTATACTAAAAACATTAATGAGGCATTACATTTTCAATTTGAAAACTAAGTGTATGTCAAATATCTGCTTGTGTATTAAACTTTTAAAATGTTCTATATACTGTAAATGGAGTAGTATATTTTGTATTGCAGGAGGGCTATAGTATCTAATGTGTATTGGGTCTTTTATGGGAATATTATTCTGGTTTAAAAGATAGGAGTATTTGATTCTAATCTACATTCAACCAAGATTAGAGCTAACTGTGTGATTTTAGGGAGATCATTTTACTTTTATTGATCTCAGATTCCTGATTTGTAAAATTATGGCTCTCTCCTCTAAAAGCCTGCTGTAAGCAGAATAATTGGTCACCCAAAGATGTCCACATCTCAATCCCTGAAATTTGTGAGTGTCAGGTTACATAGAAAGGCAAATTAAGGTTGCAGATGGAATTACAGTTGCTAAGCAGCTGACTGTGAGATGTGGAGACTATACTAGATTATCCAGGTAGACGCAGTGTAAGCACAGGGGTTCTTATAAGCAGAAAAGGAAGGCAGAAGAGAGAAGGAACCAAAGAGATGGCCTTGTGGGAATGACCTGCCCATCTTTGCTGACTTTGAAGATGGAGGAAGAAACCACAAGTCATGGAATCTGGGCAGTGAATGGCAAAGAAAGGGATTCTCTCCCAGAGCCTCCCGAAGGAATATGGCATTGCCTACAATTTGATTTTAGCCGAGGCTTCTCTTTACAGGATTCTGTCCACCAGAACTGTAAGATGATAAATGTGTGTTGTTTTAAGCCATTGAGTTTGTGGCAGTTTGTTACAGCAGCTATACAATTATCTCTGAGAGCTAATTGTGACGTACTTGGTACTAAGTTTTCCGGGTGAAGATCCAGAAATCCTACCACTCACCATTCCTTCCTTTACATTGACTGGAAAGTTTATACTCCTAAGGGTTAATTGCCAGATTACACAATCAAGGGAATGCCTGATATCCTATAATTTAGGAGAAAAATTTAAGCTCTGGCAGGCAATTAGGGCTTCACAGCCAAGTTGGGGCTCTTGCTCCTTTTATCTTGCCACTGCCAAGCTAAATCCAGAGGGGTCTGCTTTAAAGCAGAAGGCGGAGCTTGGGTGTGCTGATGGCATGGACAGGAGCAGCAGAGACTGTAAAGGAGACAAGGAGAATTTTCCTAATTTATAGCTATGTCATTAGTAAACAGTGATTGATTTACATATTACTTTCCAAAACTTGTTCCCCCAATTGCTTCCTTTTGTCACATTTCTTTGGCTACTGATGCCTTCACTGTCATGTTAAGAAATAGGGGAGAGAGTAAGCATCCTTATCTTTTCCCTAAGTTCAAAGGAAAAATTATGCACCCTATAATGTTTCCTATTAAGATGCTGGTCTGGGGACTAAGGTCAATATTATTATGTTAAAGATTTACTCATCAGTTTATACTGTATTTAATGTTTTATTATAAATGGGTGTTGAATTTTGTAAAGTACATTTTCCATATATTAGGTTAGTGCTAAATATATATGTTAGGTTTTGCCATTACTTTTGCACCAACCTAATGACATCAATGGATATGTTACATAATTTTTCTGTATAGCTCTACAAATATGATGGGTTACGTTTACCGATTTCTTTTTCTTTTTTTTTTTTTTTTTTGAGACAGAGTTTCACTCTTTCGCACAGGTGGGAGTTCAGTGGCACAATCTCGGCTAACCTCAACCTCTGCCTTCCAGTTTCAAGCGATTCTCCTGCCTTAGCCTCCCGAGTAGCTGGGATTACAGGCACTTGCCCCCATCCCTGGCTAATTTTTGTATTTTTAGTAGAAACAGGGTTTCGCCATGTTAGCCAGGCTGATCTTGAACTCCTGACATCAGGATCCGCTCGCTTCAGCCTCCCAAAGTGCTGCGATTACAGGTGTGAGCCACCGCACCCAGCCATATTTACTGATTTCTAAATGTTGAAACTCCCTTGCATTCACATGATCAAAAGTTCTAAAAAATTTGATTCAATTCTCATTCAATTCTCAATAGTATTTTATTTGAAATTTCTATGCTCATTCATGTGTAGGAGTGGTCTTTAGTTTTCTTTGTTTAACATTAACATTTTTAGATTTTAGGATGAAAGTTATACTTGTCTTAACAAATTCTTTTTCTATACTTTGAAAAAGTTTACAGAGCTTTGGAATGATCTGTCTCTAAAAATTCTAGGCATGGTTCTTATTCATTTATTTTTGTGGAGGCGTTCTTAGCTACTGTACTTTCTGATTTTTTTTTTCCCCCTGAGGTACAGTAATTAGCTTAGTCTTTCTGTCTCTACTGGGGTCACTTTTAGTAAGTCACATTTTTCAAAAAAATTATCCATTTGACTTAAGCTTTTAAATTTATTTGCATAAGACAGTTAAAACCACAATGAGCTGGTACCTTACCCCAGCCAGAATGGCCATTACTAAAAAGTAAAAAAACAAAAAATATTGGCATGGATGTGGTGAAAAGGGAGTGCTTATACACTGCTGGTGGGAATGTAAATTAGTACAGCCTCTATGGAAAACAGCATGGGGATTTCTCAAAGAACTAAAAGTAGATCTACCATTCAATCCAGCAATTCTACTACTGAGTATCTAGCTAAAAGAAGAGAAGTCACTATAGAAAAAGGGCACCTGCATGCATATATTTATTGCAGCAAAATTCACAATTGCCAAGATATGGAATCAACCTAAGTGCCCATCAACCAATGAGTTGGTAAAGAAAATGTGGTATACATACATCATGGAATACTACTTAGCCATAAAAAATAATGATATAATGTCTTTTGCAGCAACTTGGCTAGAACCAGAGGCCAGTATTCTAAATGAAGTAACTTAGGAATGGAAAACCAAATACCACATATTCTCATTTATAAGTGAGAGCTAAGTTTTGGGTACACAAAAACATACAGAGGGGTGTAATGGACACTGGAGACTCAGAATTTGGGAGGGGGTAGCGGGGATGAGGACAAAAAACTACCTATTGGATACCATGTACACTACCCAGGTCATGGGTGCACTAAAATCTCAGACTTTACCACTGTACAATTCATCCATGGGACCAAACACCATTTGTACCTCTAAGGCTACTGAAATTTTAAAAAAATTATATAAAACTAGGCAAAGTAGTTTTTTGATGTATTCATTTTCTGCTTTTTATGGCTATTTTTACCTGTCATTTCTGAAATGTGTATTTGGCTTGCTCCTTTTCTCTTGAAATAGGCAGTATTTTTTTTTAATTTTGTAGATTTTTAAAAGAATTCTTTTTGGATATATTTATTTATTCTACTTTTTTTGTTTTCTAGTTTATTAAATTTGCTATTATCTTTACAGAAAAAATCTTTATATCTATTGATATTTGTTATTTTGCATGCTTATCTTTCTTTGTGGTAAGTTTGATTAATTTACATTTATTTCTATTTTTAATAAAGGTATTTAATAGACATTTTCACTTTATAGATCTTTTAGCCATATTCCACACACCTGGATATACTTTGTTTCCACAATCATTAATTTTGAGAAAGTGCCCAATTTTGTTTTTTTAAATAAACTTTGTCCTGAGTTATTTAATAGACAACCCCCCTCTTTTTTTTTTTCAGGGTCTCACCCAGTTACCCTGGCTGGAGTGCAGTGGCACAATCGTGGCTCATTGAAGCCTCGACCTTGTGGGCCCAGGCCACTACGCCTGGCTAATTTTTGTATTTTGTGTAGATAGTGTTTTGCCATGTTGCCCATGCTAGTCTTAAATTCCTGGGCTCAAGTGATCTGCCTGCCTTGGCCCCACAAAGTGCTAGGATTACAGGTGTGAGCCACTGTGCCTGGCCCAGGCACCCCTTTTAAAAGTTTTTAATTTATTTTTTTTAATTTGAGTTCTAAATATTTTTTCATATAAAAAGACCTTTTTTATTTTAATTAATTTTTTATTTTATTGCATAATGTCAGAGAATAGTATTTGTATTGTTTCTAGTGCCTGGAATTTATTGAGGTTTTTTGGTAGATCAAGGAATGCCAATTTTCATGACTGATTCATATGCATTTAAAAATAGGTATTCTTGATTAGCAGGGTTGATTTTATATAGATAGATAGATATAGATATAGGCATACCTCATTTTTATTGCACTTGACCTTATTGTGCTTCAGATAAAAGTATACAATTGTAGATATTGTGCTACAGTGTTTTGTTTTGTTTTAACAAATTGAAGGTTTGTGGCAACCCTGCATTGACCAAGTTTGGTGCCATTTTTCCAACAGCATGTGCTCAATTTGTGTCTTTGTGTCACATTTTGAAATTCTCACAATATTTCAAACCTTTTCGTTATTATCACAGTTGTTATGTTAATCTGTGATCAGTGATCTTTAATGTTACTATTATAATTGCTTTTGGTAGCCATGAACTACATCCAAATAAAACAGGGAATTTAACAGATAAATGTGTATGTTCTGCCTGTCCCACTGACCTGCCATTCCCTCATCTCTCTCTCCCTCCTCCAGCCTCTATATTCCCTGAGACAGCAGTATTGAAATTAGGCTAATTAATAACCTTACAATGATCTCTAAGTGTTCAAGTGAATGGAAGAGTTGCATGTCTCTCAGTTTAAATCTAAAGATAGAAATGATTAAGCTTAGTGAGAAAGGCATGACAAAAGCCAAGATAAACTTGAAAACTAGGCCTCCTGCATAAAAAAATTAACCAAATTGTGAATGCAAAGGCAAAAGTCTTGAAGAAAATCAAAATTGCTACTCCAATAGGCAAGTAGAACACATGATGATAAGAAGCAAAACAGCCTTATTGCTGATATCGAGAAAGTTTTAGTGGCCAGGACAGAAGAGCAAATCAGCCACAACATTTTTTTAAGCCAAAGCCTAATCCAGGGCAAGGCCCTAACTCTTTTAAACTCTATGAAGGCTAACACAGGTGAGGAAGCTGCAAAAGTTTTAAGCTAGCAGAGATAAGTTCATGAAGTTTGAGGAAAGACTCAATCTCCATAATAGGAAAGTGCAAAGTGAAGCAGTAAGTGCTTAGGTAGAAGCTGCAGCAAGTTGTCCAGAACATCTAGTTAAGATAATTGATGAAGGTGGCTACTCTAAACAACAAATTTTCAATGTAGATGAAACCACTTGATATTGGAAGAAGATGGTTCCTAGAAGTTTCATAGCTAGAGAAAAGTCCATGCCTGGCTTCTAAGTTTCAAAGGATTTGCTGCCTTTCTCAAAGAACAGGCTGATGCTCTCTGAAGCCCTGCTTCAAAGGATAGGGCTACTGTAGTTGGTGACTAAGTTGAAGCCAATGGTCATTTGCCATTTCAAAATTTCTAGGGCCTGAAGAATTACGCTGTATTTACTCTGTATGTGCCCTAAATAGAACAACAAAGTCTGGGTGAGAACACATCTGTTTACAGCATGGTTTACTGAATATTTTAAGCCCACTGTTGAGAACTGCTGCTCAAAAGATTTCTTTCAAAATATTTCTGCTCCTTGACAATGAACTTGGTTATCCAAGAATTCTGATGGGGAAGTACAAGGAGATCTGTTCCATTCTGTAGTCCATGGATCCAAGAGTAATTTTAACTTTTAAAATCTTATTATTTTAGAAATACATTTCAAAAGGCTACAGCTGCCATAGACATTGATCTGATGGATCTGGGCAAAGTATATTGAAAGCCTTCTGGAAAAAATTCACCATTCTAGATGCCAATAAAAACATTTGTAATTCATGAGAGGAGGTCAAAATAGCAGCATTATCAGGAGTCTGGAAGAAGTTGATTCCAACACTCATATATGCCTTTGAGGGGTTCAGGATATCAGTGGAGGAAGTCACTGTAGATGCAGTAAAAACAGAAAGGAAACTAGAATTAGAAGTGGAGGTGGAAGATGTGATTCAGTTGCTGCAATCTCATAAAACTTGGGTGGATGAGGAGTTGTTTCTTATGCATGAGCAAAGACAGCAGTTGTTTGGGGATGGAATTTACTTTCGGTGAAGATGCTGGAAACATTGTTGAAATGACAAAGGATTTAGAATATTACATCTACTTAGTTGATCAAGCAACTGCAGAGTTTGAGAAGACTGATTATAATTTTGAAATAAGTTCCACTGTAGATGAAATCCTGTCAAACAGCATTACACAGTACAAAAAATCTTTCATGAAAGGAAGAGTCAATCAATGTGGCAAACTTCATCATTGTCTCATGTAAAGAAATTGCCACAGCCACTCCAACCCTCAGTAACCACCACCCTGATCAGTCAGCAGCCATGGACAAGAAGCAAGACACTCCACCAGCAAAATGATTTTGACTCACTAAAGGCTGAGAATAAAAGGCTTAGATGATCATTGGTAGGTTTCTCTTTTTTTTTTTAGCAATAAAATATTTTTAATTCAGATATTTACTTTTTAAAGCCACAATGCTATTGCACACTTAATAAACTACAATATAGTGTACACATAACTTTTATGAACACTGGAAAACCAAAAAAAGTTACATACCTTATTATGATATTTGCTTTATTTGGTGGTCTGAAACCAAGCCTGCAATTTCTCCAAGATGTAACTGTATCTCTTTATGTATAATTATGTAATTCTACTTTACTGATTTTGTTGTTTAGTCCTTGTACACCTTTAATACTTTTTCGTTCTATTTGATTTTGTTGTGTTGCTGAACTGTGCTCAGTATAGTTTTGATTTATCCCATTAGGCATTGTGAACATGTTTTTTTCTTTTTATAAAAGTGCTCAGCCTATTATTATGTTTAATTCTACTTTAGTTTTTTATTTTTAATTATGTATATGATGCTTGCATAGATAGATAGATGTCAATAGATAGATAGAGAGATAGACAGATAGATAGTGACGTAGTTGGGATATTTGTCCCCTCCCAAATCTCAGGTTGAATTTTAATCCCCAGTGCTGGAGGTAGGGTCTGGTAGGAGGTGTTTGGATCATGGAGGAGGATCCCTCCTGACTTCGTGCTATCTTCATGGTGGTGAGTTCACACAAGATCTGGTCATTTTAAAATGTGTGGCACCTCCCCTTGGACTCTCTCTCTCTTGTTTGCTCCTGCTTTCACTGTGTGACATGCCTATTCCCCCTTTGCCTTCTGCCATGATTGAAAGTTCCATAAGACTTCACCAGAAACTGAGCAGATGCCAGCACCATGCTTCTTATAAATCCTGCAGAACTGTAAACCAATTAAACCTTTTTTTATAAATTACCCAGGCTCAGGTATTTATTTATAGCAATGCAGGAACAGCCTAATACAGGTGGATGGATAGATAGATAGATAGATAGATAGATAGATAGAGAGATAGATAGATAGATAGATAGATGATAGTTTTTTCCAGTCCTATGAGTACCTCTTGGGGATTTGGGGGTTCTTAAACTCTTGGGGACAACACAATACCTTGCCCTCCCTCTGTTTCTTCCTACAATTTGGGTCTTGAATCTATTGGTAATTGGTTCCTATCTTCTCCAAATTGTTCTTAGGAAATCTTGTTCTGTTCAATATTTTTGTAATTTTTTTTTGTGTTGGCTACTCTAGTTGGTCTGTTTCATGAGGTAACTAAAGGAAATTAAAAACTATGCTTGTCTCCTGCAATTTATTTCCAGAATTTATAAATTGGTAATTTTTTCTTTTCTAATTATAAATCAATTTTTAATTTTCTAATTTTATATTTGTAACTTTTATAACAAGCAGAACCTCCCCCAACACATAAACTTTGGGCCCCCAGAAACTTGTCTCTTTGCCTCACCAAGTCAAAAATAAAATTGTAATATAGAAGAGAGTGGAAGAGGTGGAAACTCAAGTACTAGGGCAAGATTTATGGACCAAAAAAGTAGTAAGAGTGACTTGTTGCTAAGTCCTGACTACTGAGAGATTTAGGTTCTTCCAGCATTTATTTCTTTATTCTTATGTTTATTGGCTTGACATATATTTATTGTACATTCATTATATGCCAGACTGTCCTTAGCAATGAACAAATTAGGCATAACTCCCTTCCCTAATGGAAGTTATAGTGTAGGAGTATGATAGAGAACAAATAAGCTAATGAAATGTATTTCATATAGTGATGGATTCTGAAAATGGAGGCAGGCTGTAGCCTGTAGGTGGGGAAGAGGGGGGATGAAAATACTTTTTGTGTAATAAATGACAAATTTATTTATTTATTTAACAAATACTATGAACTCCCAGATTTTTAACATTGTTTATTAATTTCCATATTCAAAAACATTTTGGATGCACTGGAATACCTAGTCTGTGCCAAGGATGTAATTTACAAAGAAGAATAAGATACAGTATTAGCTTTTAAGGGCTCACTGGGTAATGTGGGAGAACCACTTTAGGGAAAGAACAATCTAGGTTTCAAAACCAATAGAAGGGATCTACATACCACCTTTCCATGCGGAAGTATTCTTGAAACACAACTTTACCACCCCTTGTCACTAAACTTGAAGATATGTTCAGGGTAGCTACAAGGGAGACTAACTGATCAGGTAAACTACATGCCTTCAAAGACAGGACAGCTATAGTTGATTCTTTAAGCAAAAGCATGTTAGCTCCATATTACCACTGTGGTCTTCATGTCTCTCAGTATCTGCTGTGCAGACATTTGCTTTTATTGCTTCACTGTCTAACTATATACATTTCTTAGGGGAGATGAAAAGATTGCTAAATCATAATTAACCTTCCAAACATATTGAGCATTTTTCCACGAATTCAGCTTCCAAGGAAAATTAATAGGCATCTATCTTCAGTAAATTATGAGCTACTGAAATGGGACTACAGTAACTAAATGCTCTTTATGTTAAAGGAAACTGAAGAGAGAGAGAGCATAGACTACTCTTTTGAGGTGTGATATGCACATGTCAAAGTCCATTGGACATGACTGCTATTAACCTGAAACTAAAAGTTTAGTGAGAAGAGTATGCTGGAGATGACAAATTTTAATAAATTCAATTCATTTAAAGTACAAAAAGAAAAATAAGAAACAAGCAATAGAGCCAGGAGGAAACCACATGCCCTTCTACTGCCTACAGTGCAGGTGAGTTCCACTAGATGAATTATCTGTTATCTTCAGCAACTGTGCTAGAAGCTGACATGAGTAGCTTGTTCAGTGGGTGTGGATGTGAGAATGATATCAGCCAGAGCCCTGGAAATTCATATGTCCTACCTGGCAGCAAACACTGACTCTTGATGACTCTCCAAACCTCATCTCATTTGAGATGAATGCCCAGGCAGTGCCCATGAAAAGTAATAGAGAATAAGTTGAGAAGAAGGTCCTGAACTGTAAGGAGAAGTATCTATTTGAAAACTATCTACTGTAGGGCTCAGAATTGAAATTTTAGAATCTGTTAGGAATTGTCAGTATAGAATGTGGAGAGAAAGTGCTATGAGACAGGTGCAGAATGCCTTAGGAGACAATAGGCTGACTGGGAACTATAAGGGAAGATATTGCAAAGTGGAGGTAGAAGGGGTAAAGAAGGGTACAGGAAATACAAATGAGATGAGGTTAAAATCTGTCATGGAGAAAATGAAAGCCAATTTTAAAGTACAATATATCAGATCAGAAATGTGAGGGATAAAATTATTTGCTTTCCAGAAATGTGCGGAAAAAGACAAATAGATGAAAACAAAGTACATTAGACTTTGGAGATTGAGCTTGATAGATGTTCTGAATCATTAATAATTGAAGGAAATAATGTATACATTGGTCCATTTCCAAGGCAAAGTGCCTTGAGTTGGTTTAGGTCAGCAAGCTACAGAAAAAATAGGATATACTAGGTCCCTGCTTGGATAGCCGACGCCTGCTTGGATAGCCGACGCCTGCTTGTCAGCTCTCCTCCCCTCCTGCTTAGTTGCCCTTACCCGAACCAAAGAAATTTAGTCTAAGATAAAAGTTTACTAGCCTGCAAAATAGCTTGCTTTGTCTGTGCTTATCAGCCTACCCAGCTATTTAGGTCATAAGTCAAATACTTGGAGAGCCTGTGAGCTGAGTAGGATTGCAATGCATTGTGGGCTGCAACAAAATGTAGCAAGACAACCCTAAAATAAACACATAAAGCCCCTACCCAGCAACTGATAGGTGACGTCTACAAAGACTGTGACCCCACAGTACTCAGCCTATGAGGAATCTGGGGAGGGACCTGCACACTAGGGGATAAATTGCTTGTTGTAACCGTGTTGCATGTGCCTGCCCATCAGACACCCAATCTTGCAAGACCATCATTAAAAGTCTCACTTTAGCTGTTCTCTGAGCCCATTGGTTTTTTGTTAGTTAGTTTGTTTGTTTTTATTTATTTTTAGATAGAGTCTTGTTCTGTCACCCAGGCTGGAGTTCAGTGGTGCAATCTTGGCTCACTGCAACCTCTGCATCCCGAGTTCAAGCAATTCTCCTGCCTCAGCCTCCTGAGTAGCTGGGATTACAGCCATGTGCCACCATGCCCAGCTAATTTTTGTATTTTTAGTAGAGACGGGGTTTCACCATGTTGGTCAGGCTGGTCTCGAACCTCTGACCTCGCGATCTGCCTGCCTTGGCCTCCCAAAGTTCTGGGATTACAGGCATCAGCCACCAGGCCCGGCCTCTGAGTCTATTCTTTGGGTTTGGATGGGTGAGTTTGTTTCTCACAACCTGGTGGCCAGTACGGGGAACTCTGTGCCTTCATGCAGTGGGACTCTGGCTGAGAGGGGAGACTCGTCCCATTTGATTTAGGTGGCCTACTCTCTCCTTGTGTCCCGGTTCCCCACATAAGCCAGAGACAAACCTGAGACTGTTATTCAGGAGACAACAGAATTGACACAGGGAGAAAAGCAGGCACTGCAGCAACCAGGCAACCTTGTGCATGAGCCAAGGTAGGAAAATTGGACTGTAAGCACTGCCTTGGTGGTTGGGCATTTTCGGAGGTCAAGTGTGTGTGACTGAGATGTATCTAAGATATGAAGCGAGTGCGGAGTCCCAATCCATGGTTCCATACTCCTGCGAGGGAAATGGCTCGAGATGGATGAAGTGATTCTTGGGTGTGCAAGAGACCTCCAGTGGCATGGCAGTGAATATACAGGGAAACACTCAGACACAGAGACTAACTGAAAATGGGAAATAAGAATTCTAGGCCTAGGGAACAAAGGAAAGAGGGAACTAAAGAAACTCCCTCTGAAATTCCCCCAAATAGTCCACTGGGGAGAATGCTACAGGTTTGGAGGGATAACCCTTGAACCAGCGACAAGGAAAAACAAAAGATGATAAAGTATAGCTGTTTTAGGTGGCCCAAAGAGCTCATTCATCAGTTTTCCGTCTTTTGGCCTAAGTTTGGCTCAGATGAGGATTGAGTGTGCCAAACTTTAATTCTCTCTGTGAATGATAAAAACCCATCCTCACAAGAGGAGATGGGTTACAGTCTTTGTTGGATTGGTGAATTAACTCCCATGTTCCCCCTTAAAGAAGAGGAAGAAAAAAAAAGAGCATAGTAAAGAGCTGTCACTCAATGAAAAGCCCTGGGATCCCCTAAAATGCTTGACCCCACCCCCATACATCTCACAAAGTAGAAGACATGGAGATCAGGGCACAACAGGAAGATGAGAGGAAGAGGAATCTGGGGGTCATGAAGGAGGGGAGTTACACTAATTTTTTTTTCTGTCTTTTTTGTTTGTTTGTTTGTTTGTTTTCCTTTTTCTGGAGAATGGGGTCTCGCTATATTGCCCAGGCAGGTCTCGAACTCTTGGGCTCAAGCTATCCTCCAGCCTCTTGCCTCCCTGAGAGCTGGGATTACAGGCGTGAGCCACCACGCCCGGCCGAAGGAGGTAAACCCAATGCTCTCTTAGATTCCTATCCAAACTTGAGGAAAGAATTAGAACAATGTAAGAAGGACATTGAGAATTTCCCTATCCCCTCTAAACAGCAGATGTCTAACATGTACCCTCTTAGAGAAGTCCCTATGGGACAGGAGGAGTTGGATTTGTGAGTGCGCCTCTAACAATTACTGAGGTTAGGAGTTTTTAAAAAGGAAATGATGCCACTCTTGGAAGATCCCCTAGTTTTAGCAGAGCAGCTAGATCAATTTTTTAGGACTCAGTTTTTATACTTGGGCTGAGATGCTGTCAATCATAAATATTCTATTTACTGAGGAAGAGAGGGGAATGATTAGAAGGGCAACCATGAACATTTGGGAGAGACAGCATCCTCCCAGGCAAGGAGTACTGTCAGCTGAGTAGAAATTCCAAAATGCAAATCCCAGATGGGATAACAATAATCCCAGAGATCAGACCCAAATGCAGGACCTAAGGGAACTAAGGGATTAAAAAGTCCACTCCTGGCCGGGCGCGGTGGCTCACGCCTGTAATCCCAGCACTTTGGGAGGCCGAGACGGGCGGATCACGAGGTCAGGAGATCGAGACCATCCTGGCTAACACGGTGAAACCCCGTCTCTACTAAAAATACAAAAATTAGCCGGGCATGGTGGCGCGCGCCTGTAGTCCCAGCTACACGGGAGGCTGAGGCAGGAGAATGGCGTGAACCCGGGAGGCGGAGCTTGCAGTGAGTCGAGATCGCGCCACTGCACTCCAGCCTGGGCGACAGAGCGAAACTCCGTCTCAAAAAAAAAAAAAAAAAAAAAGTCCACTCCTAGGACACATCATGTCTCCAAAGCATTTGAGATACAACAACAACAACAAAAGGAGTCTCCCTTTCTGTTTCTGCAGAGGCTCAGGGATCAAATGAGAAAATATTCAAGGTTAGATCCAGAGAACCCAGTACGGCAAAGCCTTTTAAAGGTTAATTTTGTGACTAAAAGCTGTCCTGATATTACTAAGACACTGCAAAAGATTAATGGATGAAATAACGGATTAAGGGATTACTGAGGGAAGCTCAAAAGGTTTTTGTTAAAAAAAGAAAGAAAGAAAAGAGAAACTGGGAAAGGGAGGAAAAGAAAAAAGTAAGAAGGGAAATCAGAAAGAGAAAGAAGAGGAAACAGCAAAGGTAGAGGGCCAGAGAGAGAGAGAAAGAGGAAGAAACGAGTGTGAGGGAGAAAGAAAATGAGATGACAGAGAGAGAGATAGAAGAAGAAAATAAGCGAGAGAGGGACTGGGGCAGACGGAGATCAAAGAGAGACACAGAAGGTGAGTTTGAAAAGAAAGATAACGTAAGAGGAAGAAAAAGTAAAGTACAAGAAGAAGCGAGGGAGAGAGAGAGAGACCATAAAAGACGGGAGACAAAGAGACAAAAGCGCAAGTAAGCAGTAGCTGCCACGGCCCTGCTGGTAGAGGAGAGTCGGAAGCTGACCTTCGGCAGGGCCCTGGTAGTAAGCACCCCACAATGGGTCAGGAATATATTAAATCAAAGAGCTGGGAGATGGCTGACTGATTCCCGGAGTTTAAAACATGAAGCCATATTACTAGAAAAAGATAATTTGGTTTTAACAACAGATACTTGCTTGAATCCAGCCAGTTTCTTATGGACAGGAGAGGAGAATGAGGAGGCATCAGACCATAACTATTTAGATATCATAGAATGTCAAACCAAAGGTAGACCAGACCTTAGAGGAACTCCACTATATTATGGGATAAGGCTGCTTGTGGAGGGGTCATCCCAAGTGATAAACGGTAAAAGACACGATGGCTTTGCTGTCACTGATGGAAACAAACAATCCTTATGTGAAAAAGGTAGATTGCCCAATAACTGGCCAGCCCAAACCTGTGAATTACATGCTCTTAACTAGGCCCTAAAGCTCCTAGAAGGCCAAAAAGGCATTATATATACTGATTCCAAATATCCCTATGGAGTAGTACACACCTTTGGAAAAATCTGGACAGAGCAGGGCCTAACAAATAGCAGGGGGAAAGAATTGGTACATGGGAAACTAGTCAAACAAGTTTTGGAAAACCTCCTGCTTCCAGCAGAGGTAGCCATAGTTCATGTAAATGGCCATCAGAAAGGAAACAGTATAGAAGCTGCAGAAAATAGGCTTGCAAATAAAGCTGCTAAGGAAGTCTCCCTGGAGGAAAAAGTTAAACTGTTTGGACCAATCCTAGATATCCCTAAGGTGGTATTAAAACCCCAATTTTCTAAGGAGGAGGAGGAAGAGCTGGGCAAGATAGGGGCCACTCAAACTGAGGATGGGAGGTGGGTGCTCCCTGATGGGAGAGAAATGATAAACAAACCCATAATGAGAAAACTAATGTCCATACTCTATAAGGAAAGTCATTGGGGTCCTCAGCTGATGTGTAATACAAAGCTTAAGAATTATGGGTGTATAGAGATTTATACACTTGCTAAACAAGTGTGTGGGGGTTATGTGAGCAGCCAGAAAACAAACAAAAAGGTAGTTAAAAAACAGACTACCAGAGGAAAACCTCCTAGGTTAAGGCCATTTCAAAGCATTCAGATAGATTTTACAGAAACACCCAAAATAGGGAGACAAAAGTATCTACTGGCAATGGTAAACCACCTCTCTGGCTGCCTTCTCCCTCCCAAATGCCACCCCCCGGAATGTGATAAAAATAATCTTAGAACAAATTATACCCAGATTTGGCCTGGTAGAAAATATTGATTCAGACAATGGGAGCCACTTTACCTCAAGGGTGCTAAGGGGAATTACGGTAGGTTAACATATTAGATGGGATTACCACACCCCTTGGTATCCCTCCTCCTCTGGAAAAGTAGAAAGAATGAATCAGATTCTCAAAAAACATATTATTAAACTAATCTTAGAAACTAAAATGCCTTGGACCTAATGTCTCCCAATAGCACTTCTTAGGATTAGGACCGCCCCAAGGAAAGATGTGGGATTGTCTCGTGAGTTATTATATGGACTCCTATATTTAGGTAGGACTACTGACTTTCCTACTATGGAAACGAAAGACCACTTTGTAAGAAATTATATACTGGCCATATCCTCCACCCTGTCATCCCTTAGGTTGAAAGGACCTCTCGCTCAAACCCTGCCTCTTGAGTCCATGGTTTACCACTTTCAGCTTGGAGACTAGGTGCTAATTAAGACTTGGAAAGAAGACAAGCTCTGCCCAAGCTGGGAAGGTCCCTACTCTGAGACAGCTGTATGAACAGCTGAATGGGGGTGGACGCATTACACTCAGATCAAGTGACTGATAAAAGAACCCCTGGAAGGAAGAGAAATGGGTGAATGGAAAGTGTATAGATCACCTAAAGAACCCTTAAAGCTAACTCTAAGGAAAACCTAGAAGGAAGCTATGAGCAGGCTCTGTCATTGGGAGTGGATGTAGTTGGGATTAATTCTACTACCAGGGGTAAGAGGGTTCACAATTGTTGGATGGAGCCCGGTAGAAGAATAATATCCAATCAACGTAATAGTCAACGTAACTAGAACCCCCATCCCCCAGACCATAAAGTTCAATGCCTGCCAATTCTTACATTTCGGGAATTTAGGGAACCAAAGACAGCTGTCACAAACAAACAAATATCTATCCTGAAACAGGTTGTTACTGGGGAAAGCCCCATTCTAGCTGGAATGAGGTCTTGTGGACCACTCAATTTGGAGCCTGGGTGAGCCATTCTTCCCAAAACAAACCCTTAAAGAATAAAATACATTTGTATAAGGGCCCCATGCCACCTAACTGTAGAAATTTAGAATGCAATCCTATATCAATTACCATAAACAATCCAGCTACTCTAGACCAGGAACCTTGGAGGTATGGATTAGGAATAAATGTCTCAGGAAGGGATCCCGTGGGAGAGTTGGCTTTTAGGCTAGTCACCAACTCCACCCTGAGCCCACCCAGGGTTACTATAACTCCTGGTCCCACTACTTCCTTTAACCCACCAGACAATGACCCTAAGAGAGTAAAAATAATTAAGGTAACTGACTTGAGGCAGATTTTAGAAATTGAGACTGGACTGGGGGACGTAAATGCCTGGGTTGAATGGGTCAAATTTTCAGTACTAGCTCTGAATAAGAGCGACTGTTATGCATGCTCCACTGGGCAGCCTCAGGTCACAGGTGGTTCCATTTCCCCTAGGATGGGATACCAATCCTGATGGAACGCGTTGCATGTTGGCCCTATACCAGGACAGGGATGCATGGGGAAATGAGGCTTGCAAAAGTCTATTGTTCTTTCCCGTCTTGCAGAGATCAGACCCTAGAGCAATCCCCTTGTTCTCCATAGGGAATATAAACCACTCCTCTTGTCTCTCTAGGCAGGGGGCAGAGTTCAATAAGCCCATGGGAGGACTCTCAAGTTGTACCCACATCTGAAACATTACTGGTGAGTCAAAAAAAGGCAACTACTTGGCTCTTCATATACCCTGAGCTGATGTCTGGTGGTATTGTGGAAAGAGGAACCTCCGTAACTTGTTACTGTCCAATTGGGCTGGGACTTGTGCCTTAGTTCAATTGGCCATTCCATTCACCCTGGCATTCCATAAAATCCCCAAGAATCCACATGGCCACCGAAGTCGGAGAGATCTAACAAATTATTTTAATCCCAACATTTATATTGACTCAATAGAAGTCCCTAAAGGAGTACCTAATAAATTTAAGGCCTGAAGCCAAATAGATGCTGGATTTAAATCAGCACTCTTCTGGTGGTCGACTATTAATAAAAATATGAATTAAATTAATTACATCTTTTATAATCAACAAAGATTCATCAACTATACTCAAAACGCTCTCAAAGGGGTGGCTAGCCAGTTAAATGCCACCAACCAAATGGCCTGGGAGAACAAACTTGCACTAAACATAATCTTAGCAGAGAAATGTGGCATATGCATCATGCTGGGTGGAAAGTGTTGCACTTTCATTCCTAACAATATGGCCCCAGATGGAAACATCACAAAGACATTATAAGGATTAACAACTTTAGCCAATGAATTGGTGGAAAATGTCAGAATTGATGACCCATTTACTGATTGACTAGAGAGATGGTTTGGGAAATGGAAAGGAATGGTAGCCTCCATTTTAACCTCCCTTATAATAGTGGCTGAAATCCTGACAGCTATAGGGTGTTACATTATCCCCTGTGTTACAGGGTTAACCCCAAAATTAATTGAAACAGCCATCAACAAATGCCCATAATGTATCAACAATTATTAGAAACCAAATCACATCTACTGTCTTATAATGAAGAAAGTCAACAGTTCTTGAAACGATTTGAGGACCAAAGGATGCAAAAATAAATGTGGAAATGGGACCAGAAGGAGTAAAAAGAAAAAGAGGAGGGAATTGAAGGAAATAATGTATACAGTGGTCCATTTCCAAGACAAAGTGCCTTGAATCGGTTTAGGTCAGCAAGATAATAAAAAATAGGATATACTAGGCCCCTGCTTGGATATTCAATGCCTGCTTTTTAGGCCTCCCCCACCACCTCCCCCCCCACCCCCTTCACCTCTTAGTTGCCCTCACCTGAGCCAAAGAAGTTCCATCCAAGATGAAAGTTTACTAGCCTGCAAAATAGCTCACTTTGTCTGTTCTTATCAGCCTGCCCAGATACTTAGGTCATAAGTCAAATACTTGAAAAACCCCTGAGCTGACTAGGATTGCAGTGCATTGTGGGCTGCAACAAAATGCAGCAAGACAACCCTAAAGAAAGCACCTACAGCCCCTACCTATCTATAGGTGACATCCAGGAAGACTGTGACCTCATAGGACTCAGCCTAAGAGGAACCAGGGGAGGGACCAGTGCACTAGGGGATAAATTGCTTGTTGTAACTGTGTTACATGTGCCTGCCCGTTAGATCCCCGATCTTGCAAGACCGTCATTGAAAGTCTCACTTTTGCCATCCTCTGGGCTCTGAGTTCATTCTTTGGTTTGGATGGGTGAGTTTGTTTCTCATAATAATCAAAAACTTAATTTAAGAAAATTCTTCTGATATGAACTTTTCCCCTTGGTATTCAGATTAAAAGTGTCTGGTAAAAATCCTGGCCAAAGAATACCTCTAATTTATTGAATTACAAAGTTATGTAATAACTTATATAAGTCTTATAATAAGCCTCATTATCCAATATCAAAATGTATTATGACATATAATAATCAAGTGGAATATTGTTACAAGAATTTATACATATGCCTATAGCAATGAAATATAATAAAGAACCCAGAAAAAGCCATACAAAAGCATGAAAATGTGATGCATGACAGAGGAAGCATTAAAGCCAATGGGAAAAGAGTAGACTGTTCAATAATCCTGCTTGAATAATTTGTTATCCAAATATAAAGGTAATATAATAAATCCACCTCATATGATACACAAAAATATAAGTGGATTAAAGTCTTAATGTGTAAAGTAAAACTTCAAAAACGTTCGAAGATAATATTATGACCTAGAGAAGGAACAAATATTTTAAATAAGATGTCGCCAAGCCCAAATCATGAAAGAAAAATTAGATGTGCTATTTTAAAATTTTCTGCCTCTTTGCAGAAAATGACATTATACAAATGACAAGCAGTAGACTGGGAGAAGATTTTAGTAACACAAAAAATTGATAAGGCACTTTCTATCCAGAATAAAAAGGAGAATAACTTCTACTAATCCATAAGAAAAAGGCAACCAAAAAGAAAAAAAAATGAATAGGTACATGTAAAAGAAAACCTTAATGGCCAGTAAACAAATGAAAAGATGTTCCACCTCCCTAGTAACCAAGGAAGTAAAAATAGGACCCATAATGAGATACACTTTACATGCAACAGACTGGTATAGATAAAAAATTCTGACAAAATCACATTAGCAAGGATGTGAATGGAGTTGGAAACTCTAATTGCTTGTGGGAGTGTAAATTGCCGCAGTTGATTTGGGAAGGACTTGGCAATATCTAGTAAAGCCGAAGTCTATGTGAAGTCAGATCTATTGCTTAGTAATTTGACTCTGAGGATTTGATCCTGGAGAACCTTTCACAAAAATATGTGAATAAGAATCTTCACAGACATTTTGCCTGCAGTAGGAAGTTGGAAAGAACCTGAAATGTCCACTTACAGGAGAATAATCAGATTGGTTACAATCTATTTAATACCACATTTAAATTATTTAAATAAAACTGTACATATCAATATAGTAATCACAATAATATACTATTGAATGAAATAAGCCAGTTGCGGGATAGCCCATGGAACATGTACTATTCATAAAGCTTAAGCAGGCAAAACAATGTAATATATATTTCTAAACTGTATACATAGTTATAAACTATATATTATATAAATATACATATATAGGAAGGTATATATGTAGTAACATTTTTAAAATGTAGAGACATTTAAATATGTAGTAACTTTTGTTTAAATGCAGGGAAAGATAAATACTAAATTCGGGATAGAAGTTAATGTTGGTGGCTATAGAAAAACCTTGTCTTCATTAAGCTTTATTTCATAAGCTTGGGGGATGGGCACATTGGAGATCTTACTGTTTATATTATTTGTAAGCACAAGATACTTAAAATAATAATACATAAGACTGTGACACTAATAATACCAATTTACAATTTCAGATTACTTTTACAAACATTGTGAAGTATGAATAATAGGGGATGGCATAATGGTGAAAGTGAAAAAAAATGTACTGACTCTTTAATAGCTTATATTTTACAAACTAATTGTAGCCTTTTTTTGCCACTGATAATTAGAGAAATAGAGCTTAAAAGGTGCTTTTGAAAAACTTGGCAATTTCTCTATGCATAATTACAAAAACAGGACATATAAACTTTCCAAAACTCTGGGAAGATATAAGCAAATTAAACTTTGTACTTATAGAAAATGACATAAAAGAACAACAAGGCAGAAAAACAAGAAAGCATGAAAGAGAGTAATAGAAGAAATATCAATCATAGCAATTGATATAGAAACTAATTTAACTGAAATATCCAGTACCTGACCTGTTTTGGATAAAATATTTTTTCTAGAGTTTGGATATCTTAACCTCAAAATGTGTTGTAGTGGATATGGCATAGAATAAATTTAGAATCTAAAAAGAAAAACAAATTTAAGGTTTCATGTTACCAAATATAATCTTGCTAGTTAATCTGAGAATGTGTTAGGTGTCTGTTATTCCTTTTCTTTTAGATTGAATGTAGGGCAAAAAATCCAAAACAATTTTAGTTATAAAAGAACATAAATGAAGTTTCTTATCAATTTTGACAACAAAACAGAACTTCAAATGTGCACTACTTCTCCTAAAAAAGGTAATTTAGCATCTGACAATAATATTAAAATGTTGTGTTAAATAAAAAGTGGTGGAAAATCATTTATCAGAGCAATAATTTGACAGGCAGTAAAACATAGTGTTTAAGCTCATAAACTCCAGAGCTAATCTGTTTTTGAATCTCAGCTCTGATATTTACTCAGAGCTGGTATTTATAACCTTGGACAAGCTACTTAACTATTCTGTGTCTAGTTTCTTCATCTGTAAAAAAGGGAATAAAAATAGATCTCCGATATAATATTCAACATACTCAGCCACTGGTATAGTAATATAAATTATTACTTAAATAAATACATATATTAAAATATATTTTTTTTTATTTTCTAAATATATAGACAGGGTACATAGCAAAGTGGTTACTAAATAATGTGGTTACAGAGAAAACTCCTTATCAAATCATTTTATTCGCAAATCTCCTGTTAATTTTGAAAAGTGGTAATTGCGATTTTACCCCGATGAGTCATGGCTTGACATAGGAACTGCATCAAAATGTTTCAACATTCCCATTTAACTCATTATCATTAGGTCCTTGGTGTCTAGTGCTTTATTTTAGCCAGAAGGTGGCTTGATGCCTGGTGTTTTGTTGCAGCCAGAAGGTGGCTGGACACATTGCTTATAAGGCAGAGCCAAGTATTCATTTAGATGGGAATACATACTCTATTGCTTGAACCTTGGTTCATGCTGACAATGCTGCTGTGAATACCACCTGTCCTGCCACCTGGACAGATGCCCCTGCCAATGCTGGGCTTCCAAGGAGCAGCCAGTAGGCACCGCAGACACTCTTGCCACCGCACAGCCTCTCTGTAGCCTTAGTTTCCTCAACAGTCACCAAGGTCTTTCTTCCTATGAGCCAGCACCACCCTTAGACCCCATCACCTGTCTCTGACCACTGCCAGGTGACATTATTTGGTGACTTGTGGTCTCAATAATTAAAGAGTTGCTCTTTACTGTTAGATAATATGCACCAGTATTGCCATTTTAATACACACATTAGAATAGATTTTCTTTTATTTTCTAAACATATACACAGGGTACATAGCAAAGTGGTTACTAAGTAATATGTTACAGAAAAACCCAGAAGGGTTTTGGTATTTCTCTGATGGTTATGGCAATACTGGGTGCATACTATCTAATAGTAAGGAGACTTATAGGAGCTTTTAGTATCTTTGTGAGGATTACATAAGTTGATAAATGTAAAACTCTTAGAACAGTGCCTCCCACAAAACAGCCACTCAATGTTAACTCATTATTATTAGCTAAACCTATTATAACGTCATTTTTGGAAGCCCAAAAAGGCCACAACATATTCTTAATAGAAAAAAAAAGGATCCCAAGTGTTAAACTCTTGCTCTTGCTATAATTTGTTGGTCAAATTTTCCTTGCAGTTTGTTCTTCTTGAGTGTCTCTGGTTCCGTCTGATGTGATGTTTATTTTTTTAATTGATGATATTTTCAATATATGAAAGAACCAATTGTAGAGTGATTTTGTCTTTCCACTGAGCTCGGTAGTAGTGTCTTTGCTTTGTAATTTAGCCATTACTACATTGTTAAAAATCACTTGTACCCTAAGTTATAATAAGCACTATTCTATCACTTAAAGTGTCAGTTAAAAGGTAGACTTCCGTATGATAAAACAAGTAAATGGGTTAATTATTTTAGTAAATGACAAATGCTTGGATAAGGTTTAAAACACAAAATCAAATCACAAATTGTTTACAAAATACTTAAAATTATAAATAAAAAATAACTTGTAAATGACAGGAAAATATTTGACAGACAAACAGAAACACGAAAAGGGCAGCTAACACTATTTTATTAGAAAAGAAAAAACACAACAAAAGCCATTACATTTGGTAAGAGATAATTATTCTCTATTTCTTCCACATTCTCCCCTCTGCAAATACTTCTGCCTTCTTACAGGAACTGCAAGAAGACACTTCTGTCTTCTTGTTCAACATTTTACTTGCTCTTCTCCTAAAAAGAATGAATGGTAATTTTGACTTATCCATGTTATAAGTGGGGTCTCAGAAACAGATTTCTCTGACTCAATTTTTCCGTCTCTGTCTCTGTTTCTGTCTCTGTCTCTATGCCTTTGTGTTTCTTTATTTCTTTTTCCCCTCCCCCTCTCTCTCAAGGACTATGTTCTTTGGGTCTTGATTCCATACAGTTAACTGCCTCTGCTTTGTGCACTTAAGCCTGTAACTAAACCAGGAAGGCCCTATTGTTTTAGCTCATATTTTTTCAATTTAGAAAGAAAGGAGGAGTTACTCAGGCATGTACCTAGGGTGTCTACTATTTTCTATAATTCATCTTTATTGGGAAACACTGCAGTTGTATAACATCTCTTTCATTTGCCATAATTCATTCATTCACTTAATAAATTTTGTATTAGATGTCTGCTGTATTTTAGGTACTCTTCTAGGTCCTTAATATACATTAGTATACATTACTGCTCTTATCTTATATCTTTGTGTTTATAGTCTTGGCCAAAACCCTTGAAAAGCAAAAAAAAAAAAAAAAAAAAAAAAAAGTAAGTTGTAAAATTTAGTTTGAGAGAGAAAAAATACATATATATGCATTATTTCATGATAAAAAACAAAAAATTTCAACGATCTATAAATAAAAGGAAACTTTTTCAGACTGATTAAGAGTTTAGACATTTTTACAGATATTATCATATTTAATGGTGGAAGACTAAATGTCTTCCCTCTAAGATTTGAAGCAAGGTGGTATAGATTGAGTTGTGTTCCTCCATCCTCCCCAACCCAAATTCATATGCTGAAAGCGCTGATCCTCAATGTGATGAGATACTCAGATGAGATCTTACAAGACGATTAAGTTTAGATAAGGTCAACCTGGTAGAGCACTCATGGTGGGACTCTTATGTCAGAAGAGGAGGAGACACCAGAGCTCTCTCTCTGACATGTGAAGACATAGTGAGAAGGTGGCCATCGGTAAGCCAGGAATAGAGCTGTCACTGAGGAGCTGAATTTGCTGGCACCTGGATTTGAGACTTCCCAGTCTCCAGAACTATAAGAAATAAATTTATGTGTAAATCCCTCAGTTTAAGGTATTGGTTGTGGCAGCCTGAGAAGACTAATACACAAGGCAAGGATGTCCACTCTCACAGCTTCAATTCAGTATTAACTTGGAGGTTCTAACGAGTACAATGAGACAAGGAAAAGAAACAAAATGCATAAATATTGGAAAAATATGTATATTTGTTTTTAAAGATGATGTGATTGTATACATACAGTATGCAATGGAATTTGCAAACCACTAGAACTAATCAATAATTATGTCAAAATAATTGGTTACAAAATCTATATAAACAAAAATCAGCCACACTTCTATATACTAGCAACAGACATTTGGAAAACATAATAAAGTATGTAAAATAGCATCATATCAAATATTTAATAATAAATTAAATGAAAGATGTTTGTCTGTACTAAAAAGTAACCCCTCAAATGCTGAAATAATATTTAACTAATTAGAAATACATTATGTTTATGGATAGAAGGACAAGTTTTTTTTTTTTTTTTTTTTGAGACAGAGTCTCGCTTTGTCACCCAGGCTGGAGTGCAGTGGCGCGATCTCTGCTCACGCAAGCTCCACCTCCCAGGTTCACGCCATTCTCCTGCCTCAGCCTCCCGAGTAGCTGGGACTACAGGCGCCTGCCACAACGCCCGGCTAATTTTTTGTATTTTTAGTAGAGACGGGGTTTCACCGTGTTAGCTAGGATGGTCTCGATCTCCTGACCTTGTGATCCGCCTACCTTGGCCTCCCAAAGTGTTGAGATTACAGGCGTGAGCCACTGCGCCTGGCCAAGACAAAATATTTTTAAGATGGTGTATTAGTCAATTTTGCATTGCTATAAAGAAGTACCTGAGGTTGGGTAATTTATAAAGAAAAGTGGTTTATTTGGCTTATGGTTCTGCAGGCTGAAGCATCATGCCAGCTTCTGCTTTTAGTGAGGGCTTCAAGAAGCTTACAGTCGTGGCAGAAGGCAAAAGGAGCCAGTGTGTCACATAGCGAGAGAGGGAGTGAGAGGGGGAGCTAGAGCCAGAGGGAGGAGGTGTCAGGCTCTTTTAAATAACCAGATCTTGCACGGACTCATAGAGTAGAACTGACTCATTACTGCCAGGACAGCACCAAGCCATTCATGAGGGTTCAGCCCTCATGACCAAAGCATCTCCCACCAGGCTCCATTTCTTTCGAGAATCACATTTCAACATGAGATTTGGAAGGGACAAACATCCAAATTTTATCAGATGACTATTCTTTATTGTAGGATTGAATGCAATCCTACAAGAATTGTGATATTAAAGTCAAATGACAAGAAACTTAAAAAGATATGGACAAGCTGCTTTTAAAGCAGACATGATCATGCTGATAACCTAAATAATCTTGAAAAAGAACATAGTTGGAAAACTTAGGCTACCTGACAATATCAAAGGGTAAAAAAGAGGTTGGGGTACCTAAACTATCAGATTTTAGGACTCACTATTATGCTACCCTAATTAACACTGCCTGATATTGGCATAAAAATAAATACACATGAAAAAAAGAAGAGCCCCAAAGTAGATAATCACATATATGTTTAATTGATTTTCAACAAAGTGCCAAAGGAATTCAATGGGAGAAGGGGAGGTCTTTCTAACATGTGGTGTTGAAGCAATTGGCTAGTCATATTGAAAAGTAAAATTTAACCTCTTTCTTGCACTATATGTAAAAATTAACTCAAATTGGGATACATATCTAAATGTGAATGTTAATCAAGTTTCTTGAAAAAAATATAAAATATTTATTTATTGCTTTGATAAGTTGGACTTAATAAAATTAAAATCTTCTCATCAAAATGCACTATTAAGTATGTAAAAATACAAGCCACAGCCTTGGGAAAGATATTTGAAATACATATATTTTACAAATAACTCATCTGCAGAATATATAAAGAACCTTCATTAATCAAAAGGAATTAGACAAGCACCTAGTTTTAAAAAATAAATGGTGAATAATTTAAACAGAAACCTCAAAAAAGAAAATATCAGAGTGGCCAATAAGCACATAGAAAGATACACAACATCATTAGTTTTTAGAGAACTACAAATTAAAGCAACCATAAGATACCTCCCCAACACTACAAGAATGACTAAATTTTTAAAGTCCGACAGCGTTGTGCCGGGTGTCCCCAATACCACTCAGGTTTAGTGATTTTCTGGAAGGACTCACAGAACTCAGAAAAGCTATACTTTGCTATACTTATGGTTATGGTTTGTTACAGTGAAGAGATACAGGTTAAAATCAGGTAAAAGACACAGAGGTCTCCCAAAGAGAGACCACAGGCAAATTTCCAGTTGTCTGCTCCTAGTGAAGCTGTGTAAAGAATGTTCAATTCTTCCAGAAAACAATGTGGAATATTATCAAGCAGGGAAGCTCACCCAAGCTGTTCGTTGTCTAGAGATTCTATTAGGCTTCAGTTACAGAAGCATGGATTGCCCATGTGGCCAACCTTAGTTACTTAGCACTCGGCCCCTCCGGATGTCAAACTGACAGCATGGTCAAGTTCCCCACCATAAATCACATGGTTAGCATAAACTATTTGGCATGATCGAAGGCCCCACATTTACAAACTCACTCTTATCATGCAGGATATTTCAAGGATTTGAAGGTTATCTCTCAGGAGCAGATCAAGAACCAGTTGGTTCTTTGGAACGTACAGAATTTGAATTCCCTAAACCTGTAGGCTTAGACCTTCACTGGAGAAATATCAGCGTTGAAGATGAAATAGAGCAACTGAAATTCTTATACATTGCTTGTGGGAATTTATGATAGCAAAACCACTTTGGAAAACTTTTTAGACATTGCTAACAAAATTCAAGATATACCTACCCTGTGACGAAGAAATTACACTCTTAGGTATACATCAAAGAGAAATGAATATATATATCCATAAAAATAAGTCTATAAGATGACTTATGGCAGCTTTATTACTTATATAAGAAAATGGAAACAGATTAAATGTCTCTGAACAGAAGAATAAACAAATTTGTGTGGTATATTCATGCAATACCATAGAATATTATTCAGAAATTAAAAGGAATAAACTACTGGTATACATAACAGTATTGAATGAGTGTTTAAAACATGTGCTTGGTCAAAAGAAGACAGACACAAAAAATACAGAGTATATAGTTTCATGAAGATGAAGTTCAAGAACAGGTCAACATAACTACTATTATAGAAGTCACAATAAGGTCAAGTAGTTGTGGGAAGATATGAGCATGCCTCTAACCCAGTCTTGAAAGTCTGCTATTTCTGATATCTCTCCAGAAAACTTTCTGAGTTGTTGGAAATACTGTATACTGATATGGAAGGTACACAGGAACAAACTTTAAATATTCATTGAGCCAAATGATTAATGTTTGTTAATTATACTGTATGCAATTTTTTCTTAAAATTAAAAAAATCTTACCATGGTATTTAAATTTCTCGGAAGTTTTTACCACATGGTATGCTCTAAATCAGTATATTTGAATGAATGCACACATAAATGGATGCATATCTTGATATCCTTACTCTGTTATCATGCTCATCAAGCCACATTTTTTAAAAAATGACTATCTTTGTTAAATTATCTATAGTAAGAGAATGCAATGAGCAGAAGGCTCTGGCAAGTATTTCATTAATTATTTATTTGTGTTACAGTTGAATACATTATTATTCTAGTATTTATATGTCAGTCTCAAATGAATGTAGTGACAGAAGCCAGTATCTAAGAGCCAGATTACCCTTAGGTATATGAACAGTTTTATTTAAAATGAACTTGAAAAATTAGATCTTGAAATACAGAAACCTTCAAAAGACTTCATCTACTATGTATACTAGCCTGGATGATCTGTCAGCCTTTGTCAGGCAAAAAAAGCCCTTCGGTTTTATTAAAGTCTCAATCAAGCTGCATGATATATGAATTTCTTAAAAACTCAAGGTCATTATTGTGAGCACCTCTGATTGTATTGTGTGATATTATTGTTTGCAGAATAACAGAATGTTGTGGCTAGAAGAGAGCTTAGTAGTCATCTAGTAAAATCTCTTTATTTTAAAGATGGGGAAATTGAAACTTTCCTTTAAAGCTAGCAATTAGAGAACTTTGGGTTCCTGATGGTTTTGTTGAGCTAATTCCAAGTTGTCTGCCTCATGACTTCTTTTCACATGAGACAAATAAATTCCTGTGTATTTATTAACCAATTTAATAAAGCTTTTTATTTGCCTCTCATAGCCAGGTTCATTTCTAACTAATGCAAAACCACACTCTACTAAAGACTTTTCCTTTGACAAACACAGAATTTGAAAGCCCAGATAAATTAATTTTTTGAATGATACCTATTTTTCAACATCAAAGCTTTAGCAATCATTAGTGGATTAGTATCTTCAAAGTGTTGAAAAAATAATTTTGGACTTAGAATTTACATTCAACTAACTAATCATCTAAAAATGAAGATACAATGATAATATTCCTGTGCATGCAAAGTTTCTCAGACATTTTACCAAACTAAAGCCTCTTTTAAAAAGTTCTTGCTGGATATACCCTGGCAGGATAAATCTGAGAGTTAATGATAAAGTACATGAAATATAAGTAAGCAAACTTTTTTTGGTAAGCTATATTGTATGCTAAGTAAGGAATAATATATAAACATATATTTTAATAATGTAGAAATTTGAGAGCAATGGTGGGAGATGAGAATGCTAAGATTCTTGTCTCGCTTTGGGGAAATATACATATTACTAAACTTAGGTATTGAGAGAGTAAACTGAATTTAATTGTGGATATTACTAAATCAAGATTCAATCTCTGTAATGGAAGGTAGAAAGAAGAAGGAAAACCAAAAATTAAAAACAGCTTAGTAATCATAAAACAAAATTAATTGGTAAAAATAAAGGATAGTATTTACTCACATACATATATATTATGTACTGTGCATTTAATATAAAATCATTTTTAATAAATAAAAGCAATTTCATAGGAATGCTTTTATACTGTTGATGGGAGTGTAAATTAGTTTAACCATTGTGGAAGACGGTGTGGCAATTCCTCAAAGATCTAGAACCAGAAATACCATTTGACTCAGCAATCCCATTACTGGGTATATACCCAAAGGAATACAAATCCTTCTATTATAAAGATACATGCATGTGTATGCTCATTGAAGCACTGTTGACAATAACAAAGACATGGAATCAACCTAAATGCCCATCAGTGATAGACTGGATAAAGAAAATGTGGTATATATATATACCATGGAATACCATGCAGCCATATAAAAGAATGAGATCATGTCGTTTGCAGGGACATGGATGGAATTGGAAGTCATTATCTTCAGCAAACAACACAGGAACAGAAAACCAAATACCGCACATTCTCACTTATAAGTGAGAGCTGAATAATGAGAACACATTGACACGGGGTAACAGGAACAACACATACTGGGGCATGTCTCGGAGGCAGAGGGAGGGAGAGCATTTAGGAAAAATAGCTAACGCATGCAGGGCTTAATACCAAGGTGATGGGTTGATTGGTGTTGCAAACCACCATGGCACTCATTTACCTATGTAACAAACCTGCATGTCCTGCACGTGTATCCTGGAACTTAGGATAAAATTAAATTAAATTAAATTAAAAAACTATTTCAACTCATTGGTCAAAATAGAGCAATACTCAGATTGTATTACATAACAATGACAAAACCAGCAGATGTAAGAATCATTCTAAATGGATATACAAGAGTTAAAAACAAAGTTAATATAAAAATGTAAGACAAGTGTACACCAGAAGAAATACAGAATAGCAATTTTAGTAGAGCACAAGATAGATTTTATGGCAAAAGCATAATCAGTGACAGAAATGCTACTTACTGTGAAAAACAGTAATAGATCTAGAAGATAGAACAACCAGCCAAATATACGCATGTAACTATATATAAGTTCAAAATATATTAAAGCAGAAAATGACGAGATTAATGTAGCAATTAATCTTATAGTTGGAGATTTTAACACATCACTCTCAGAAATTGATAGAACAAGTAGACAAAAATAAGCAAGACATAGAGTTGTATGTAGTGATAAATGACTATCATCCAGAGATACATAGAGAACTTTCTGTAACAAATAAAATAGTCACAAAAATGTATCATGTACTAGGCTACAAATGTAGCTTTAAGCAAATATCAACATAGTACCATTAAAAAAAAGATTCAACATTGTACCATACAGTTTCTCTTGGACACACAAAAATATAAAGTTAGAAATGAAACTCCAAAAAATAGGTTGTTAAATTACTTATGGATTTAAGCCAAAAAATGTACTTATGGAAAATGTCTGTGTTAAAAAACACATACAGTAAATGACAAAATACTTTGAACTAAATGACAATGAAAGCAATGTATAACAAAATATGTGTGAATTAAACAATTCTTAGAGAAGTATATATAGCTTTTAATCCACTGATCAGAAAAAAATAGACTGAAACATGAGCTAAGCATTCAACACAAATAGCTAGGAAAAAAGCAAAACACTTTATACTTCCAGGAATATGGCAATCCAGGTGTTCTAAAAATAGCTCAGCTGCCTTAAACATCCACATTCTGAATAATTTACAACAGATTTATTTTAAATACATTGCTGAGTGCATTAACAAAATATATGGGAAATCCTCAGCAGAGAGAGAGAGGTCTGAAACTATAGAGATTATACCCTAGGACCTAAGCCACTATCAGAAACTCAGAATTTGAGGTATTAGTCCAACGTGAAAGAATAGGAATAAGGTTTTAAGATCATGCCAAGTCAATAGGTTGTTTAGAAGTAGATCCAAAAATAAAAATTCTTGTGCAGGCATTTAAGGAAGTACTATCACAGGAAACTCATAAAACCAATAAAAAGAGGAGGAAGTAGGAAAGAAAGGAAAGGTGCTGTGTTAGTCTGTTTTTATGCTGCTGATAAAGTCATATCCAAGACTGGGAAGAAAAATGGACTTTAATTGGACTTACAGTTCCACATGGCTGGGGAGGCCTCAGAATCATGGTGGGAGGTGAAACACACTTCTTACGTGGTGGCAGCAAGAGAAAAATGAGGAAGAAGCAAAAGGGGTAACCCTGATAAACCCATGAGGTCTTGTGAGGCTTATTCACCATCACGAGAATAGCACAGGAAAGATCGGCCGCCTTGATTCAATTACCTCCCCCTGGATCCCTCCCACAACATGGGGGAGTTCTGGGAGATACAAGTCAAGTTGAGATTTGGGTAGGGACACAGCCAAACCATATCAGAAGCCAACCAAAGGTATACCTTCAGAGAAAATCTTGTTAAAGTGATTATGACCTGATCTCACAGGCAGAATCTAATGTTGTTATTTAGTTATTAGTTTATTATCATTATGAGGTAATATTACATATGTTATAAATTATATATTCTATTACTAAAATATTGGTATGTAATTATTATAATGATAGATTACTATAATATTATATAGTAATGTTATTCTGCTGTTGGGAACAGGCCCCCCAAAATCTGGCCATAAACTGGCCCCCAAACTGGCCATAAACAAAATCTCTGCAGCACTGTAACATGTTTATAATGGCCCTAACACCCAAGCTGGAAGGTTGTGGGTTTATGGGAATGAGGGCAAGGAACACCTAGCCCGCCCAGGGTGGAAAACTGCTTAAAGGCATTCTTAAGCCACAAACAACAGCATGAGCGATCTGTGCCTTAAGAACATGCTCCTGCTGCAATTAACTAGCCCAACCTATTCCTTTAATTTGGCCCATCCCTTCATTTCCCACAAGGGATACTTTTAGTTAATTTAATATCTATAGAAACAATGCTAATGACTGGTTTGCTGTTAATAAATAAGTGGGTAAATATCTGTTCAGTGCTCTCAGCTCTGAAGGCTGTGAGACCCCTGATTTCCCACTTCACGCTTCTATATTTCTGTGTGTGTGTCTTTAATTCCTCTAGCGCTGCTGGGTTAGGGTCTCCCCGACCTAGCTGGTCTCGGCAAGTGGCATCCATTGTGGGGACTGAATCCAGGTCAAAGGGTCACAGGAGCGATGGTTGGAACAGAAAACTAGCTGGAGGACATCTGAGTACTCTTAAAGCAATCCCTGTGGTGAGTAAGAAGGGGAGCTTGGAAGCGTCAGGGTAACAATGGGACAGGTGTGGGGTCTGGTTCATTTCACCTTGGAACTTTTTCACGCTGATGTTGAGGAGGAACAAGAGTATAGCGAAGTAACAGAAGAGGTTACAGAGCATGTTTATTTGCCAGCTAAAGCTAAAGCGGCAAAGGAGTGAGAGGTTCATCCGTACCTTTCTGCACCCCCTCCTTATTATTTGGAAGAAAATGACCCTCCAGATCTTTCTTTTCCAGAGGACACTGGGTGAAAAGTAGTGGCCCCAGTGACAGTTCGAGCAGTGCCTCGAGCGACCGCTCTTAGTTCTACTCAGGCAGGAATTCAGCAAGCTAAACAAGAGGGTGATTTAGAGGCTTGGCAGTTCCCTGTTAGAATACACCCCCAGATCAAAAAGGAAGTATTATAGCTACATTTGAGCCTTTTCCTTTTAAATTACTCAAAGAATTTAAACAAGCTATTCATACTAAAAAAGAATGTAGAAAAAAGTCAGCAAGTCAGGCCGCCAGAGAGGGGAAAAAAGAAAATTGTTGAGCCTGAAATATGTCCAAAATGTAAAAAAGGAAAACATTGGGCTAATCAGTGTCACTCTAAGTTTGATAAAGAGGGGAACCCGATTTTGGGAAACGCCATGAGGGGCCCATCCTGGGCCCTGTTCTAAACCAGGGCATTTCCAGCTCAGGCCATTCCCTCACCCCCATACAATGTCTGTCCCCTGCCACAGCCGGTAGTGCCACAGTAGATTTATGCTGCACAAAAGCTGTGAGCCTTCTGCCTGGGGAACCCCTGCAAAAGGTCTCAACAGGAGTCTGTGGACTCTTGCCAGCAGGGGCAATAGGATTACTTTTAGGAAAGTCTAGTTTAAGTTTAAAAGGGGTACAAATACATATAGGAGTCATTGATTCAGATTACAATGGGGAAATTCAAATTGTTATATCTACTTCTGTTCCCTGGAAAGCAGAGCCAGGAGAGCACATAGCACGGCTCCTGATTGTGCCGTGTGTGGAAATGAGAAAAAGTGAAATTAAATGAACAGGAGGATTTGGAAGCACAAATAAACAAGACAAAACAGCTTATTGGGTAAATCAAATTACTGATAAATATCCTACCTGTGAAATAACTATTCAAGGAAAGAAATTTAAAGGTTTGGTAGATATAGGAGTGGACATTTCAATCATTTCTCTACAGCACTGGCCATCCATGTGGCCAATTCAACCCACTCAATTTAACATATTTGGCGTTGGTAAAGCCCCTGAAGTATACCAAAGTAGTTATATTTTGCATTGTGAAGGGCCCGATGGACAACCTGGGACTATTCAACCAATTATAACTTCTGTACCTATAAATTTATGGGGAAGAGATTTATTACAACAATGGGGAGCACAAGTTCTAATTCCAGAACAATTATATAGCCCTCAAAATCAACATACGGTGCATGAAATGGGGCATGTCCCTGGTATAGGACTAGAAAAAAATTTGCAAGGTTTGAAAAAAACCACTTCAAACGGAAAAACAAAGTTCCTGCCAACGATTAGGAAATAGTTTTTGATGGCAGCCATTGTTAAGCCTCCAGAACGTACACCTTTAAAATGGTTAACAGATAAGCCAATTTGGATAGAACAATGGCCACTAAGTAAAGAGAAACTGGAGGCTTTAGAGAAATTAGTTACTAAACAATTAAAAAATGAGCACATAGCTCCAACATTTTCCCTTTGGAATTCTCCAGTTTTCGTAATTAAGAAAAAATCAGGTAAATGGAGAATGTTAACTGACTTAAGAGCTATCAATTCAGTTATACAACCTACGGGAGCATTACAGCCAGGATTACCTTCTCCTGCTATAATTCCAAAAAATTGGCCTTTAATAGTCATAGATTTAAAAGACTGTTTCTTTACTGTCCCTTTAGCTGAGCAAGACTGTGAACGGTTTGCATTTACAATTCCTGCAGTAAACAACCTGCAGCCTGCTAAGCGTTATCATTGGAAAGTATTGCCATGGGGCATGTTAAACAGTCCAACAATTTCCCAGACGTATGTGGGGCAACCAATTGAACCTACTCGTAAAAAATTTTCACAATGTTACATTATTCACTACATGGATGATATAGTTTGTGCTGCCCCCTCTTGAGAAATATTACTCCAATGTTATGATCATTTGCAAAATTCGATTTCTCATGCTGGTTTAATTATAGCTCCTGACAAAATTCAGACTACTACTCCTTACTCCTACTTGGGGAGTAGGACACTACTTACTCCCCAACTATTACTCCTACTTGGGGAGTATGACACTACCATTGTGTCACAGAAAGTAACCATACATAGGGATCAACTAAAAACATTAAATGACTTTCAGAAATTACTAGGGGACATTACTTGGATACGACCTGCTCTAGGCATTCCTACCTATGCCATGAGTAATCTGTTTTCTATCTTTAGAGGAAATCCTAGTCTTACTAGCCCTCGGCAATTAACAAAGGAGGCTGAGGCAGAGTTACAACTGATTGAGAAGCAAGTCCATAAAGCTCAAATAAATAGAATAGATCCAGAGAAGACTCTAGATTTGCTAATTTTTTCAACTCAGCATTCACCTACTGGTGTTATTGTCCAAGAACAGGATTTAGTAGAGTGGCTTTTTCTTCCACATACTAATTCACAGACTCTAACTCCTTATTTAGATCAAATCGCTACTATGATAGGAATTGGGAGAACTCGGATTGTTAAATCACTTGGATATGATCCTGGAAAAATTATTGTCCCTCTCACGAAGGTACAAATACAGCAAGCTTTATAAATAGTCTTACTTGGCAAACCCATTTAGCTGACTTTGTGGGTATTCTCAGTAATCATTTTCCTAAAATGAAACTGTTTCGGTATTTGAAATTAACTAATTGGATTCTCCCTAAAATAACTAAATTTAAATCAATTGAAGGTACTGAGAATGTTTTTACAGATGGGTCTAGTAATGCTAAAGCTTCTTATTTTGGATC
The DNA here is from genome assembly GCF_000001405.40 of Homo sapiens. Classification (NCBI taxonomy): domain Eukaryota; kingdom Metazoa; phylum Chordata; class Mammalia; order Primates; family Hominidae; genus Homo; species Homo sapiens. Next base: position 126,011,349 of record NC_000008.11, read on the forward strand.
AAAAGGTAAAGTTTTCCAGCTGCTCTATACTTCAGTTCAAAAAGTGGAGCTTGTAGCTGTAATTGAGATATCGACTGCTTTTGATATGCCTACTAATGGGATTTCTGATTCTGCATACCTGGTTCATTCCACACAGTTAATTGAAAATGCTCAGTTACAATTTCATACCAATGAATAACTGATGACTTTATTTACCCAATTGCAAACAGCAGTTAGGAGTAGAATGCACCCTTTTTACATCACTTAGATTAGGGCTCATACACCTCTTCCAGGACCTTTGACTGAAGGAAATCAAATGGCAATCGCCTAGTTGCTAATGCAATATCTAATGCTAGACACTTTCAGAATTTAACCCATGTTAATGCGTCTGGTCTCAAACGCAGATACAGCGTTACCTGGAAAGAAGCTAAAGCTATTATCAAGCAATGCCCAACTTGCCAAATGGTACATTCCTCATCTTTTACAGGAGTTAATCCTTGAGGATTGGAAACTAACTCTCTTTGGCAAATGGATGTCACACATGTTCCCTCATTTGGGAGACTAGCTTATGTACATGTATGTGTGGACACCTTTTCTCACTTTGTCTGGGCTACATGCCAATCAGGAGAGTCTTCTGCCTGTGTTAAACATCATCTTTTGCAGTGTTTTGTGGTGATGGGCATTCCAGCTTCTATTAAAACAGATAATGCCCCAGGCTATACTAGCCAAGCTCTGGCTACATTTTTCTATATGTGGAATATTAAACACATCACCGGTATCCCATACAATTCTCAAGTACAAGCCATAGTGGAAAGAATGAATCTCTCCCTAAAATAGCAGTTGCAAAAGCAGAAAGGGGGAGACAGAGAATATGGAACCCCACAGATGCAACTGAACCTAGCATTATTAACAGTAAATTTTTTGAGCCTGCCCAAAGGCCACATGTTATCAGCAGCTGAACAGCATCTACAGAAACCAGCTGCAAGGACAAAAACAGAACAACTGATTTGGTGGAGAGATCCGATAACACGAAGTTGGGAAATAGGTAAAATAATAACTTGGGGGAGAGGTTATGCTTGTGTTTCTCCAGGCCAATATCAATAGCCTATTTGGATACCATCAAGACACCTGAAACCTTATCGTGAGCCAGATGCTGAGGAATAGACTCCGGGAGGATCCTGAGAACCCCCCAGTTGCAGCCATGTTGAGACTGATGCTGAGGAGGACTCCAACTGTCACGAGCACAGCCACCCATCTGGGGACAGATCAAGAAGCTGTCACAGATGGCAGAAGAAAACCTGAGGAAAGCAGGACAATCGGTCACAATGAGTAAATCTGATGGTAGCTATGATAGCGGTTATCACCACAGCCATGAGTATTCTTTCAGTAAGGGCTGACACAGAGAACAATTATACTTATTGGGTATATTTATCAATCTTGGCTGGCAATAATGCCTGGATGCAATCACTTTATGACACAGTTACACATGCTTTCTGATCTCAGTATTTACCATAATATAATTGAGGCATACTGCCCTCAAAAACCTGTTTGTAAACAGGATTGGACCCAGTTAGAAAAAATGAACGTACTTGTTTAGGAAGATTGCATTGCATAACAGGCAGAGGTGCTGCACAATGATTCATATGGAATCATTATTAATTTGTCCCCTAAGGGGATGTTTAGCTTTAATTGCACCTCTCAGTCTGCGTGCCACGGCCACACTATGTTCAGATGATCTGAACAAAATGGTCAGATGGTAGAAATGATAAGAAGTATGGCAAAAGTTCCTATTATCTGGAACCATGGCGTTATAGTGGCACCTCAGCCTCAAATGATATGGCCCGCTCTAGGAGCTTAACGTAAGGATTTAAAATTAAAAGAACAAATATTTAAAGCATCCCAGGCACACCTGACCTTAATGCCAGGAACTGGAGTACTTGAAGGAGTTACAGACAAATTAGCAGCTAGTAACCCATGAAAATGGATAAAAACACTTGGAAGCTCTGTGATTTCAATGATGATTGTGCTTTTAATCTGTGTTGTTTGTCTTTGTATAGTTTGCAGATGTGGATCCTGACTCCTGAGAGAAGTAGCTCACCGTGATATAGCTGCCTTTGCTTTTATAGATTTGCAAATCAGAGAAGGGGGACGTGTTGGGAGCAGTCCCCCCAAAATCTGGCCATAAACTGTCCCCAAAACTGATCACAAACAAAATCTCTGCAGCACTGTAACATGTTCATAATGGCCCCAACGCCCAAGCTGGAAGGTTGTGGGTTTGTGGGAATGAGGGCAAGGAACACCTAGCCCGCCTAGAGCGGAAAACTGCTTAAAGGCATTCTTAAGCCACTAACAATAGCATGAATGATCTGTGCCTTAAGGACATGCTCCTGCTGCAATTAACCAGCCCAACCTATTCCTTTAATTCGGCCCATTCCTTCATTTTCCATAAGGGACACTTTTAGTTAATTTAATATCTATAGAAACAATGCTAATGATTGGTTTGTTGTTAATAAATATGTGGGTAAATCTCTGTTTGGGCTCTCAGCTGTGAAGGCTGTGAGACCCCTGCTTCACACTTCTATATTTCTGTGTGTGTGTCTTTAATTCCTCTAGCGCCGCTGGGTTAGGGTCTCCCTTACCGAGCTGGTCTCGGCATTCTGCCCTAAAAAAATCCTGGGTTTTCATACACCTGCACCTAATAGTAATTGGCTAAGGGTGTATGTGGGGAGGTTGAAGGGAGAAACTCCTAGGAACTTCTAGTTTCTGTGCAGATCCAGTACAATGGCTCCAGTAGCTTAAGGGAGGCCCTCTGAAGAACATGTCTAGCTTGAAATGGATTGGAGGGCATCTGTGTCATCACTAGCACTGTCTGCTACAGTTGGGGAGCAGAAGTGGAGTATCTTAATAAAACTTTGGCATTCAAAGAAATACAACTTCTGTATAAGTGTGGGCAGAAGAACAGCTAGCTGCCTATAAATGGAAGCAACAGAGAGTTCATTTATTCGCTATACCATGGAAATACTTTCAACAATAACAAGAACATAGTATTTCCATAGAATTTATGGCTATAGCACTATTACTGTGGTAAACTCAGGTATACACTCCTCAAGATCAGCTATGGTGGGGCCAGTGTGAAATGAAACTGTGAGAGCCTTTGTTTACAAATTATTATTAAGAATTTGTAAATGGCCACAGCAGAGCATTACACCAAGCGTGATGCCTTTCTGAGTTCAAGGTTCTGTGTGCCCACACAGGTCCGGCACCCATAACGTCTGCACTGACTGTTCTCTTGTTAGGTTATCACCAGGTTAAAACAAAAGAAAAAAAGGAAAGTTGTTCCATGTTTGTGGCATGTTTGAAAGACCAAACGTGGCAGAAGCAAATAAAAACTCTTATCTTGAGAAAAGCAGGCTCAATTTATGACCCTTCAGATTCTCATAGACTACATTGAGCCAATTATGAGCTTACAATGAAAAAAACATTTATAAAAAAACACATGGAAACAAGAAGAGAGAAAGCAGTAGAAATTGCAAACAAGAGTTATACCCTCAAAGACATCAGGTATTTGAATGATCATATACAAAGTAAATGAAACAGATTATATTACAAAATATACAAGGAACAAGAGAATATTTTTCATGTGACCAGAAAAAATTGCAATAAACTAAATGAAAATTTTAAAAGTGAAATATATAAATAATGCAGTATAAAACTTAGTGAGTGAGGCGTTCTGCTTCCATGTGACAGAGTCACTTCATGGTAGATCAATCCACCTACAGAAAACATCTATAAACTCTGAACAAAAGTTAAAAGGCAACTACCAAACTCAGACTTTGGAGGTAAGCTGAAACTCGGAAGAAGAGATGGGAATGGGTGAGTTCCCTACCTTTGTAGATTTAGCTTGAGGGTGGGCCCTAGTCATGACATTTTGTAGGTGGCTGAAGCGGCAGTAGAAAACATGTCATCTTTCTTGCACAAGGAAGAGAAAAGCTGGGGTCATGACCATAAATGTCCAACAATGAGAAAGCAATCTGTGAAGAAAGAGGGACAGAGAAAGTGGACCCCACTTAGGTTGTATGTGTAAACTTTATCCAGTCTCTGTCTGATTACTGAACTACACATAAATAGGATGGAAAGTAAATACCTTATCTAAGTAAAAAATCTAAATCAGTTGCACAGAGATCTGAGCTAATGCATTTTGTAGGACAGTGTATTTAACCAAGCAACAAACACATGACTATAACACTCCTTTGGGGAAAAAAGGGTCTTTGATTGCAAAGGCCCCAAACATAACATTCAAAGTGTAAAGGAAAGAGTCCAAAATTACCCAACACACAAAGAGAAGCACAAAAATGTGATGTACTAGAAAAGTACGATATTATAATGCTTAATCTCATTAGTAATCAGAGAAGTAAAAATTAGAAGTATAGTTTAAAATGTTATACTTTGACAAAAAAGGAAAATTTAATAATATTAATTGCTGAAGAAGACCAAGAGAAAGAAAATCTCACGTGCTTGTGTTGAGAGTGTAAACTGAAGTAACTGTTAAGACAACCATCTGGAAGTTTATTTTTAAATGAAGAACAAATACATATCCAAGTCGGTGATTTCACTCATGTATATGTCATAGAAATTTCAATACAGGAACAGAAGAGTACATGTACAAGAATATAATTTCAGCACTGCTTTTTGCAAAAAACCAAAACATCATAGGTATTAGCCTTACGGGAAAGTGTAAGTGAATTGTAGTCCATGCTTAGGTAGAATACTATGTATTAGCCCACTGGATAGAATATTAAAATAGTGATGCTAAAAGAGAAAGCAGAATGTAATTTGAAGCCAAATAATTACTTAAATTTTAAATATGTACATGCATACATAATACTTTATTAATATATATAAATAAACATAAATGAAAATATTTACATACTAAATATACAAGACTAGGAGCTTATGAAAGTGTGAATTAAGTTCAGGGGATAAGGAGAAAGGCATGATGTTAAATGTGAATTTCAGATGAACACCAAATAATGGTTAATTGTAACCAAATAATATTGGATTAAAAAGACTACCATTTGAGAGGGTCACCATTTCAATCTTGACCAGCCCAAGAGGATTTACAAGGAAAAGCAGCAGTAGTTGTTTTGTTTGTTTGTTTGCTTGAGTCCAAAATATTGCATGGCATATACCTATACTAAATATGTGGTCATATTTACAAAATGTTATTAATCTAAAATTCAAATTTAAGTGGCCATCCCATATTTTATCTGGAAACTCTAATGTGTAGATAAACAATAACGTATAAAAGAAAGAAGAAAGGAAGAAGGAAAAAGAAAGAAAGAAGGAAAAAGGGAAAAAGAAAGAAGAAAAAAGGGAAAAAGAAAGAAGGAAAAAGAGAAAAAGAAAGAAGGAAATAGGAAAAAAGAAAGAAAGAAGGAAAGAAAGAAAGAGAAAGCCCAGGCACAGACCAACAATGATTCTGTGCCAGCCATGTCTGAGAACTACTGCCAACTCAATTCTGACATGGGGATGGAAATAAATTAATCAGTGAATAAATAATCAAAATAGATAATTTAGGTACATTATTTTAGAAATATAAATCATAGTTTGACATGATAACCTATAAAAATGTGGGAGGAAATAACTCTATTATGTCAAGAACTTTAGAAAGTACAGAAAACATCTTATTTGTCTCTATTTTCTGAGAAGGAATAAGCAGCTTCCTGAGATAGTCATATTCTACCCTAAGCTAATACCCTAAGCTAACAAAGGCAAAGTTCTTGAGTACATTCACTCAATGTTAAATACAAAGGTAAGTTTGGTCTACTAGAAATATAACCTCCTTAAATAAGTACCATTTCTTATTCTACAGAATGTGTATGTTGGGGTGGATAGTTATATTAGAATTTAAAGTGATTTAGACCAACTGAGATCTTTTCTTCTAAGTAGTTATATTCTCTATATAATTGTTACATAATGTGTAAAATACAAAAATGAAGAGTTCTTTTATTCATTCTGCATAAGGATGGACCCCAAAATTTGGTTCAGATGTTGAGAATGGGTATACCACATACACACCTAGCGGGTGTGTAATATGGTTTGGCTGTGTTCTCACCCAAATCTCATCTTGAATTGTAGCTCCTGTAATTCTCACATGTTGGGCGAGGGACCTAGTAGGAGGTAATTGAATAACAGGGGTGGATCCTTCCCATGCTGTTCTCATGATAGTGAATAAGTCTCATGAGATCTGATGGTTTTAGAAAAAGGGAAGTTGCCCTACATACACTCTTTTTGCCTGCCACCACGTAAGAAGTGATTTTGTTCCTCCTTCACCTTCTGCCATGATTGTGAGGGCTTCCTGGCTGTGTGGAACTGGGAGTCAATTAACCTATTTCCCTTATAAATTACCCAGTCTCAGGTATGTCTTTATCAGCAGTGTAAGAACAGGCTAATACACCATGAAAGGTTTATTCCTTACATATTGAGGCTTTCTGAGGATAGCAAGGCAGGCTCCCAAACCTCGTCCAAAAATAGCTTGAGAAAGCTGGAAAAGAGGCTGGCTTAGGGTGTTTATAATAGTTAAATGTGGTAGGAGAGGGGGTTCCTGTGCACCACAGGCTGGGGTTTATGTGATTTTCAGACTGGTGCTAAAGGAGGGAGAATTGGATTTCTTGACAGCTTACCCAGATGTGGGGCAGAAGGCAAGCTGTCAGCAGTCAAACAACAAAATGGAGTCAGACTGTCTACTGCAAGTTCTAATAAAAGGAACAAAAGTCTGCTGACTAAAGAACATATGATTGACTAGTATTTTATAAATTATCACAGTTGCAATGATAAGCAATTGAAATATATGAAGTAACTCAATGAGAAATTAGAAATGTAAATGATAGCAGAGCAGGCCCATGTTATGCATAAAAGGCCTGTTAATTTTTAATAACATTGCTTTATATAGCATTTAGTGGATACAATGGCCATCTATCAGAAGATTAGATTTTTCTTAAAATTTAAACTCAATATGTTGCTTAAAAAATCTGACACAACCAATGCCTTTTCTTTATTAATGCCATTGCAAATTTCACTGAATAAGGATTTCAGACAGAAAGGAAACCATAAATAAAATCAAGTCTAGATTTGTTTTAACTCCTACCATTTTTAGACTACATCATTCATTCTATAGAGATTAACAAAACTGTAAAATACCAGCAGTCTCAGCATTTAGATGGTATTTTAGAATATTTTAAAACATTGTTATTCAGAATTATCCATAAATCCTAATTTAACCCGAACTGAAAAGTAGGCTTATATTGACATCTCTTTTTTCTCTTCCTTCCAGAACTGCAGTGATTTTTAATTATTATTGAAAACACTGATTGTAATGGATACTCAGCTGTGTAGTTTAAAGAAACGTTATGGAGCATCAGGAGACACCCTTCCCACTCTCCACACACTGTATCTCACTGACTGAATGTCACTGGAGTAAGATACCTGCTTTCATTTTTCACCCCTAAGGATTTCCCTCTGTAAAATGTGAAGATTCTCTCTCTCTCCTTTCATACAAACAAATTAACTAGTTTTTAAAAGATGCTAAGAGAGTAGATTTTAAGTGTTCTCACCACACAAAAAAATAGTAAGTATGTGAGGTATTACATATGTTAATTTGCTCTATTTAGCCATTGCACAATATATACATATTTCAAAACAACATGTTATATGTGATAAATATATAAAATCTGTATTTGTCAACTAAGAAATTTAAATTGAAAAAAAAAAATAAGTAGGGCTTCTTCCAGTTCTGAAATTCTCAGGTCTTCAACCCATTGTGTTAGTTTTTCTAATTCAATAAGAGGGAATTATGGGCCTGTCTATCTTATTCTTCTTGTTCACTTCCTAAGCTTCAGTGCTTTATGAATGAGCCTCAGAGTGAATAACCCACATCTCAATTGTTCTGATTTCTTAAAGTTTATCATTTCTTCTTTATATAAAAACAATGTCTGTATATTATTAGGTTAACTAAATATATTTAAGAAAAGCAAACTAACTAAAAAATGAAATAAAAGTAAAATCTGATAGTGATAGTGCAATGAAGAAGAATAAAGTAGGGTGAGAAGATACAGATAACAAGGAGAGGAATTCCAAAGATGATGGTCATAGAAGGCCTCTCCAAAGTGATGACTTTTGAGAATCTCTGGAAAGAAGTGAGGAAGTAAACTGTGAGAGTGGAAGAATGGCATGCAAAACTCTCAACGACAGACATCAGCCTTGGCATATTAGAACATTGACTGGAAAGCCATTGAGCTGGAGTGCACTGAGCAAGGGGACTCTAGATGTGGTTCTAAGTCTGATGGCGAGTGATTGGAGGATGTTCAACGGGTCCATTCTCTGATCTGACTCATATATTTAAAATATTATGCCATTAATTCTGTCCAAAATGGTATCATGGTGGAGTGAAAGTGCAAGCAGGAAAGCCAGTTAGGTGGCTCTTGCAACAGTCAGGGAGAGAGAAAAGAGGAGCTGAGCAAGTAGACAAAATCTTTTGGTTGGATTGGATGTGCAGTGTGAGAGAAGAAGGATCAATGATTTTTCCAATGTTCTGGGCTATAGATATTAGGTGCCTGGAGTCTTTCGCAGAGATGAGAAAAGGCATAGAGTGGCAGATGGATTTGAGAGTTTGCTGAGTTTGAGATACCTCTTAAAGATACAACTGGAAATGTTGAGCAAACAGACAGAAATTAGAGTCTAGATTTCAAGGGAAGGTAGAAGATGGACCTAAAGTTAGGAGTAATAAGCTTATTGAAATAACAGGTCTGGAAGACTTCATTTAGAGAGAGGGTTTATATAGAGAAAAAGCCTATGTATTGGACCTGGACATCTAGAGTTTGGAAAGGGAAGACAAGTCTGATCAAAGAATTTCAGGGTAGAAAAAAATTATTGGTATAAAAGACAAAACCAGTGTCAACTTTGAGGATAGAGGTATTTTTAAAAGCATTTTTTCTAAGAAAGGACAGGAAACTTAGGACTCAGTAAAAAGCAAGTTTCAAGGTACTGTGAGAATAAAAAGATTTCCAGCCCAATGAAATATTCTTGGGATAGTTCATTCTGAGAACTTTTACTATCATAAATATAAACTGCTCTTCATTGCCCGGTTTCCAACTATCATATATATATCTTCATTTTTCAAAGCCTCTTTATGTCTCATACCATCTTATTTTCATAGCAACTCTTACTTAAGAGATATAATACATTTTTCATAGACGTTTTATTGATGAGAACGTTGAGGTTCATGGTGAAGTGGTTCCTCCAAAGTCATACCACTAATGAATTATGCATCAGCTCTGCAACTTTGGTCTTTTGACTTCTACTTCTGTCCACTTTGTATACTACTTATTTAAGCATTTTAAATTTATACTCATAAAGGTTATTTCTTACAAAGAGCAATTTTACACAGTCAGTTATACATACATAAGGAAAAGAATGCCAAGAAAATATTTTCATTATTCATCCATTCCATTTAATCATCCATGAATTTATCTGTACATCTATCAATTCAACAAGTAATTTCTGGGTACCCTCTACGTAGGCCAGATACCATGTTTCATGGACCTACAAAGATGAGAAAGGAGCAGAACTTGTTTTCAAGATGGTCACATGTAAGAGGGTATTTTTACACTTTTACTTCTTATAGAATAATGCTAATTCATAGTACTTCTTTGCTGTTGGTTAGTATTATGAGAAATATTTTGAGATTTTGAAATTTCATCATGAGTTTTAACTTCTTCAGAGTAATAAGTTCTAGTTTATGGGGATTGCATTTTATTTTCTCATTTGAAACTACATATTATAAATTAATAAGATGTTAGGAGAGACCTTGAATATCATTAATCCAACACTTTCATCTGGGACATTAAAGCCCAGAGAAGTGAAAAGTGGTTTGACCAAGCCACAGAGCTAATCCATTGCACTGACATTGAAAGTTACATTGCTTGTTAGAGCAGTTTCTCAGAGCCCTGAGTTTTGGCCAAGGATACTTCCTGATTGCCAAACGTTTCCAAGAAGTTTATCTTGGAAATTCCATGAGTTTCTCACCCAAGAATTAATTCACCAAGCCAGATGGCATCCTTGGCAAGAATGGGGTACTACAATCTAAATTTTGCAATCAGAGAGGGAGTTTGCATTTCATTACAGAATTCAGATGACCAGTGTTCACTGTGTGAGTTTCTTATGCATTTATTCTCATGCTTGGGAGAATAATGTATTAGTGTTTCCAGACATCACCCAGATGTTTTCCCTTAATTTAACTTGATCATGAAGCCCTTTATTAATAATATTAGATAAATCTTGTTAACTGCTTCTGAAAACCGAATACCAAACGAAGCTAACTGTAATATATTTGGGAGTTTATTATGGTAATGTCAGTGTCTTAATTCTTACTTGTGCAATGTCTGCTTCAGGTTTGGGCCCCTCTCCAGGGTGGCTGTTTTTCATGCTGTGGCTCAGCATTTCAACCCCATATCAAGCCACACTTTCACAATCACTTCAACTGAGTGGGACGAGCTAGAGGTTTAAGTATCAGCAACCAGATGTTTCCATATGGAAATGCCACTTACCACTTTTGCTTACATTTCATTGGCCAAACAGAGTCATGCTCAGACCCTGAGGGGAACAATAGTAAAGTCTATCGTAGCTATCTTTTCCTAACAGAATGGAGATATCTTTTAAAGGGAATAATTGATTAAAATTGTTGTTCTCATTTTTTGCCCTCTTAAGAAAAATGCAGCGATGAAGACCGTAAGTGCAAAATCAAAGCCACATAGTTAACCTGGAGATAGCTGAGCATTTACCATATGCCAGGCATTGTGCAGAGTTTTTCGGATGTTACCTTATTTAAGTTAGATCACACAATTACCTTAAAAGATTGTGTTATTGTTGCCATTATATACACAAATAAGCTGAGTTTCAATGACTTATCTGAGGTTATATAGCTAGCTTAACAATGGGTCAAGACTTTCTGGTAGCAAAAAGGCTAAAATGCCTAACAAAGAAACTCAATAATACCATTCTTATCAATTGAAGCCTATTAAATAATAAGTATAATAGCCACACAGAAATAAATAGAGACTTGCCTTTTGCTGCCTGAGAAAAAGTTCACCTTCTTTTCAAAGGGCCCTCCTTCATGACCAGGCTATTTAGAGAATTTATTGTTGTTACTTTCTTTTGATAATAACTCCTATATTGCCCCAACAAATGTCTTCCATTGTTACCTTAAATTGTTATTTACACCACTTTGAGAGTAGGAATCGTATCTGCTTTTATCCTGGGTTACTATCAAAACTGAACAAAGTACCTGGCACATTAGCATGTTCCTCATGAATTTATTTTTTAAGGGATTGTCACTTCAGCTTTGAAGAGAACAGCAGTATAGAAAAGAGCATTGTAGACATATAAAAATGACTGCTACGACCCATCTGATGATTCTTCCTTTGTTTTTGCATTATGCACACCATTACCTAGAATTTTAAATGTTCTCTCTCAGCATGATGCTTATTATTTAATCATGGAAGACATAGAGAAGGAGAATGGGAGTTGAGGAAAATTTTGCCTTGAAAATACTCAGTTTGAATCACTAGTACTTAATTTTCAGCTTGGAGGATGGGAGAGCACCCAGATTGGAATAATATTTGAGTTGGGTGTCAGGCCTGTTAGACAGACTGGTGTAAATCTCATTTCACATTGAAATTCTTCAAGTACAATTTAGCAGTCTAAAAATTTAGGTACATGCAGCCAAAAACTTCACAAAACCTGCAGGCTTGGAATGTCTTCAAGGAAGGATAAACAGGAGTGACAATTAATTTTCTTGAAGGTCACAGTCTAAGAATGATGCAGTATCTTCAGAATTTTGACAACTTGGCTGCCTCATAAAGGCCCCGAAAGAATTCCCAACAAATATTTAATCATGCTTCTCAGAATAGAGCTTGCTTTAAAAAATTTAATAAGATGGATTTCTGTCTTAAAATCATATGTTGGCAGGGCATGGTGGCTCATGCCTGTAATCTCTGCACTTTGGGAGGCCAAGGCGGATGGATCACCTGAGGTCAGGAGTTCAAGACCAGCCTGGCCAACATGATGAAACCGCGCCTCTACTAAAAGTACAAAAAATTAGCCAGGCGTAGTGGTGGGCACTTGTAATCCCAGCTACTCACGAGGCTGAGGCAGGATAATCGCTTTAACCTGGGAGGCAGAGGTTGCAGTGAGCCGAGATTGCGCCACTGTGCTCCAGCCTGGGCAAAAAGAGTGACACTCTGTCTCAAAAAAAAAAAAAATCGTATGCTTTTTCCCTTTTTGATTGACCTAGGTCATGGACAGCCACTTAGAGAGTTGAATATATTTGGAGAAAGCATGTCCTGGGGTTAAGAGGTCATAAATAAAATCCATGATAAGAGGAATCTATCTTAATTTTTCTCATTTCCATTTTCTGTTCATTCACTCAGGTCCTAGGCATGTCTTAATTTTTTTTTCCACATTTTTTTCTCTTTAGTTCCAAGTGTCTACCTCTTTCTCTATAAAATGTAGATTGTTCTTCCTCCTTTTTGCCTTATTAATTTCCATTAATCCATGAGACTTCAACCAATGCTTGGTGGGAAATTTCTCCACATCCTTGACTGCAGTATTACCCTTGATATTGCAGGACAGTCTAATTGACATGAATGTTGCATTTACTTATTCTGAGGCATGAGTGATTGACAAGGCACAGTACAGAGGCCTCACAGTCAGGTTTTCTTGTGAGAGGTAAGATAGGTAAGGGAGAGAATCCATACTGAGTATGTAATATACATAAGTAGTTTTCTATATATTCATGTAAAATAGGTCTCACAATGACACTGTGAAGTCAATTCTGTCACCCTCCCCCAACCTGTGTAGTTAAGAACACTGGAACTCAAATAAGTGGCCTAGGTCAAAGGAAGCCCAAATCCCAGGCAGGAGGGAAGTTGTTTTTCACCAGAAGAAGATAAAATTGTTTCTAGTGTCAGGAATGGGGAGTTAAAGTTTGTTCCTGCTGTAGAAGAGAGATTTTGAGTGAAAAACCTATTCAAGCAATGAGTGCAAATATGTTCTTCTCCTTTGTTACTGGATCACCCTCACTCGTGATGCTGAAGCCCCTGGTTTCAAGTAAAGCAATAATCCTGTGAAACAGTGATTTTATGGAATAAAAAAATGTAGTCTAGTTGGAGACAATTACTATGCATTTGCTCATTGTCAAGTTCTTGAGGGAATTTCAGTTTCAAGTTAAAACCAAGGTAGGAAACTTTGATCTGTGGATATGGGCCCCCCTGAGACAGGGCTGTAGTGGCCATGTAAGGAGTGCCAGAGATCAGGGTATAGTTATGGCAAAGGTGGCAACTTCCTACTTTTCCCAAAATGTCTCACCTATTTAGTCATAGCTATCTTTCACTCAGGAAACCCATTCAGGTTTATGCTCAGATTTCACTTTCACCAAAAATTGCTGGGACTTAGGCAAAGCAAAAATAGTAGCTCCCATTTGACTGATGAGAAAAATGATGTCAAAAGAATTTTAAAGGCTTCCTAAAGGAATAAAAATTTGCAACTGTGACCCAAATCCAGAAGTTTTGGCCAGAAATGTATTGTGGTTTTTATGTTATGCAAAAGGGAATAATGATAAAAGAAGGCTTTAAATTGAATTTAATTAAAAATTATATAAATTTGATATAAAAAAGGCAAATGTGAATCTATCTTTAAAAATATTAACATTAAATATGAATGGACTAAACAATTTATTCAAAAGGCAAATATGTAAGATTGAAAATAAGAGGTTTTTTTTAATTATACTTTAAGTTCTGGGATACAAGTGCAGAACGTGCAGGTTTGTTACATAGGTATACATGTGCCTTGGTGGTTTGCTGCACTTATCAACCTGTCATCTACATTAGGTATTTCTCCTAATGCTATTCCTCCCTTAACCTCCTACCCCCGGACAGGCCCTGGTGTATGATGGTCCCCTCCCTGCGTCCATGTGTTCTCATTGCTCAGCTCCCACTTATGAGTGAGAACATGCAGTTTTTGGTTTTCTGTTCCTGTGTTAGTTTGCTGAGAATGATGATTTCCAGCTTCATCCATGTCCCTGCAAAGGACATGAACTCATCCTTTTTTATGGCTGCAAAGTATTCCATGATGTTTATGTTCCACATTTTCTTTATCCAGTATATAATTGACAGGCATTTGGGTTGGTTCCAAGTCTTTGCTATTGTAAACAGTGCTGCAATAAACATAAGTTTACATGTGTCTTTATAGTAGAATGACTTATAATCCTTTGGGTATATACCCAGTAATGGGATTGCTGGGTCAAATGGTATTTCTGGTTCTAGATCCTTGAGGAATTGCCACACTGTCTTCCACAATGGTTGAACTAATTTACACTCCCATCAACAGTGTTAAAGCATTCCTATTTCTCCACATCCTCTCCAGCATCTGTTGTTCCCTGACTTTTTAATAATCGACATTCTAACTGGAGTGAGATGGTATCTCATTGTGGTTTTGATTTGCATTTCCCTAATGACCAGTGATGATGAGCTTTTTTTCATATGTTTGTTGGACCCATAAATGTCTTCTTTTGAGAAGTGTCTGTTCATATCCTTTGCCCACTTTTCAATGGGGTGTTTTTTTTCTTGTAAATTTGTTTAAGTTCTTTGTAGATTCTGAATATTAGTCCTTTGTCAGATGGATAGATTGCAAAAATTTTCTCCCATTCTTTAGGTTGCCTTTTCACTATGATAATGGTTTCTTTTGCTGTGCAGAAGCTCTTTAGTTTAATTAGATCCCATTTGTCAATTTTGGCTTTTGTTGCCATTGCTTTTGGTGTTTCAGTCATGAGGTCTTTGCCCATGACTATGTCCTGAATGGTATTGCCTATGTTTTCTTGTAGGGTTTTTATGGTTTTAGGTCTTACGTTTAAGTCTCTAATCCATCTTGAGTTAATTTTTATGTAAGGTGTCAGGAAGGGGTCCAGTTTCAGTTTTTTGCATATGGTTAGTGAGTTTTCCCAACACCATTTACTTAATAGGGAATCTTTTCCCCATTGCTTGTTTTTGTCAGGTTTATTAAAGATCAGATGGCTGTAGATGTGTGGTGTTAAGTCTGAGGCCTCTGTTCTGTTCCATTGGTCTACATATCTGTTTTGGCCACATAAATGTCTGATTTATTTATTTAACTGGTTTATTCATGGCTGCATAAATAAACCAGTACCATGCTGTTTTGGTTACTGTAGCCTTGTAGAATAGTTTGAAGTCAGGTAGCATGATGCCTCCAGCTTTTTTCTTTTTGCTTAGGATTGTCTTGGCTATACGGGCTCTTTTTTAGTTCCATATGAAATTAAAGTAGTTTTTTCTAATTCTGTGAAGAAAGTCGCTGGTAGCTTGATGGGGATAGCATTGAATCTATGAATTTCTTTGGGCGGTATGGCCATTTTCATGACAGTGATTCTTCCTATCCATGAGCATGGAATGTTTTGCCATTTGTTTATGTTTTCTCTTATTTCATTGAGCAGTGGTTTGTAGTTCTCCTTGAAGAGGTCCTTCACATTTCTTGTAAGTTGTAGTCTTAGGTATTTTATTCTCTTTGTAGCAAGAGGCAATTAAATCTTGTCCAAAGGAAATATGCTTTATTCAAACATACAAAAGACTGAAAACAAAAAACATTAAGATGCTATAGTACACAAATAGCAACCAGAGAAAGCCTGAAAGGACTACATTAATATCAGACAAAAATTGTTTTCAAATCTAAAAAAAGTAAAAGAAAAAAATTTGTTAAGAGGAATATTTTATAAGACTAAAATAATAAATTAATCAGAAAGATATGATCAGTGTAAAAATACATGTACTAACAACAAAGTCCCTAAAACTCAAAGCAAAAAATTAATAGAAATTAAAAAAATAAATATACAATTAAACAATAGTAGTTACAGATTTCAATACCTGACTTCAATAATGGATAGAACAAACAGATTAACAAGGATATGGAAGACTTGAACAACACTGTGAACCAACTAGACTTAACAGAGGTTTCTAGATCACTTCATTCAATAGCAGTAGAATATACATTTTCTCCAAGCACACACAAAGCATTTTCTAAGATAGACTATATTCTAGATTATAAAACAAGCCTCAATAAATTTACAAGAGTTGAAATAAAATAAAATGTTCTCTCAGACCACAATAAATGAAATTAAAAATCAACAGAAGGAAATCTGGGACACTGACAAGTATCTGGAAATAACACACTACTAAATAAGCAATGGGTCCAAGAGGAATTTACAAAAGAAACTAGAAAGTATTTTGAGGTAGATGTGGCATGCCAAAACTTAGAGCATGCCGAAAAAGTAGTGTTTCAAGGGAAATTTATAGCTGTAAACAGCTAGACAGAAAAAGGAGAGAGAGCTCAAATTAATAACCTAATCTTCCACCTTAAGAAACTAGTAAAAGAAAAGTAAAATAAATCTATGAACAGAAGATGGAAAAAAATAATGAACAGAGTGGGAATTAATTAATAGAGAAGAGAATAGCAATAGAGAAACAATGAAACCAGAAATTCATTCTTTCAAAAGATGAACAGAATTGAAAGACTTCAGCTAGATTGATCATCATAAACAAAGAAGACTCAAACTACTAAAATCATAAATAAAAAAGGGATATTACTACTGACCTCACAGAAATTTCTTTGCATATAAGAAAATATTATAAACCATTGTATACAAACTAATTAGATAAGTTATATGAAATGTATACATTCATAGAAAGACACAAATTACAAAAATGGACTCATAAAAAATAAGACAATCTGATTACACTTATAACAAGTAAAGACATTAAATTAGTAACGATAAAACTTTTTATGCAGAAAAGCCCAAGGTCAAAGAGCCTCACTGGTGAATTTCACCAAACATGTAAAGAAAAATTACTACCAATCCTTCACTAATGCTTCAAAAATAGAAGAGAGAACACTTCCTAATTCATTCTATGAGAAATATTATCCAGGTATCAAAATCAGACAAGACATTACAAGAAAAGAAAACTACACGTCCATGTTAATTATTAATATAAATGCTAAAATTCTCAACAAAACTAGCAAATCAAATCCAGCAACATACAAAAATGGTCATACATTATGACCAAATAGGACTTATCCCAGAATGCAAGCTTAGTTTAACATCTGAAAATCAATGTAGTATATCACATCAACAGAATTAAGGACACACACAAAAAATACACGATTGTCTCAACTGAAACAATAAAAAATCTTTTCACAAAATTCAACATCTTTTCATGATAAATGCAGTTAACAAAATAGTAATAAAAGGAACTTCCTGAGTCTCATAAAGGGCATTTATTAAAAACCTATAGCTAACATTACACTTAATAGTGAAAGACTGGATGCTTTTTCCCTAAGATTCAGAACAAGACAGACATGTCTACTTTCATCACTTGTATTCAACATTGTACTAAAAGTTCTAGCCAGTGCAATTAGGTATGAAAAAGAAATAAAAGTAATCTATGTTAGAAAGTAAAAAGTAAAACAACCTTTATTTGCACATGAAATGATCTTGTATAGAGAAAAATTCTAAAAATTACATCTAATCTATTATAGTTTAACAGGTACTTTATCAAGATTATAACAAGATTAACATATAAAAATGTATTCCATTTCTAAACACTAGCAATTCATAATCCAAAAATGAAATTTGAAAACAATTCCATAACATCAAAAGGAGTAAAATATTTATGATGAACATTAACAAAAGAGAATAAAGTACTTAGAATTAAATTAACAAAAGAAATGCAAGACTTGTACACAGAAAACTACCAAACATCACTAAAAAAAGAAAAGATCTAATAACTGGAGAAACATTCCATATCCTTGGGCCAGAACATTTAGTATTGTAAAAATGGCAATACTCTTTAACTTGATTTACACATTCAATGCAAGTACTATTAATCATCACAGCTGATTGTGTGTGTGTGTGTGTGTGTGTGTGTGTGTGTGTAGCAATTGACAAAATTTATATGAAAAGTCAAGGGACCCAGAATAACCAAAACAATCTTGAA
This sequence comes from Homo sapiens, assembly GCF_000001405.40. Classification (NCBI taxonomy): domain Eukaryota; kingdom Metazoa; phylum Chordata; class Mammalia; order Primates; family Hominidae; genus Homo; species Homo sapiens. Next base: position 126,029,438 of record NC_000008.11, read on the forward strand.
AAAAGAAAGTAGGAAGACTCAAAATTTCCATTTCAAAAACTTAACTACAAATCTATAGTTATCAAGATAATGTGATACTGGCATAAGGCTAGACATAAAGATCCATGGAATAGATTTGAGAATGCACTGATAAACATTTAATTTAATGTCAAGCGATTTTTGACAGGAATGCCAAGACAATCTAACGTGAAATGAATAGTCTGCTCAACAAATAGTATTGAAGCAACTGGATAGATGTATCCAAAAGAATGAATTGGATCCCTACTTTACACAATGTAAAAAAATAAATTCAAAATGGATTATAGAACTTAATGTAAGGGCTTATAAAACTCTAAGAAGAAAACATAGAAGTAAATCTTCATGATCTTGGAGCTAGATAATGGCTCCTTACATTTAAAACCTAAAATATAAGCAATAAGAAAATAGATAAGTTGGACTGAATTAAAATTAAAAACTTTTGAGTGTAAAAGAATACATTAAGAGAATATTACAGCAATCCATAGAATGGGAAAAAATTGCAAATCACATATGTGATAACAGGATTGTATCTGGAATACATAAAGATACAAGTATCTTACAACTTGTATCTTTATCTACAAGGATCTTATAACTCAACAACAAAAAGACAACCTAAATAAAATATGGGCAACAATTTTGAATAGATATTTCTCTAATGAAGATACACAAATGACCAACAGCATATGAAAAGATGGCTCATATCAACAGTCTTCACAAGGAAGTCTTCACCCCCACTAAGGTGACTAGAATCAAAATAACAAGCAATAACAAGCATCTCTGCATTGGCAAGGATGCAGAGAAATTAGAACCCATGTATATATAAAAAGTGGTTCATCCGATTTGAAAATTGTTTGTCAGTTTATCAAAATGTTAAACCTAGAAATGCTGTATGTTCCAGCAATGCTACACCTAAATACATAACCACACAAAATGAAAATATATGTGCACACAAATCATGTACATGAATGTTCATAGGAGCATTATTCACAATAGCCAAAAAGTACAACTCAAATGTCCATCAACTGAGGAATGAATGAATAAAATGTGGTATAGTCTTACAATGGAATATTATTTGACAATAGGAAGGAATGATGCTCTGATACATGCCATAAGATGGATGATCCTTGAAAATTTTATGCTAAATAAAAGAATTAAGTCATGAAATACCTCAAATTGTATGATTTTATTTTATGTAAGGGCAAGAATAGGCAAATCTGTAGATACAGAAAGTAGATTGGTGGTTGCCTGTGGTGAGGTATGTGGGGCTGTAGTGGGGGTAAGTTGAATAGAACTTTCTTCAGTGATGGAACTGTTTATATCTGTGCTGTCGACTATACTAGCTGCTAGCCACATGTGACTAATATGCATTTGAAATGTGGCTAGTACACCTGAGGACCTAATATTTAATTATTTAATATTTAATGATCTCCTTGCTTATGCCCCATGGCAAGGTATACCAAAATTTGAGAATTTTCTTCTTCAGCAAAAGAACACTTTTTTTTTTTTTTTTTTGGAATTCAGAGTTCTGAAAGGGAGCGAGTCAATTTTCCCAAGGATTCCACATCAAGGAGAAGGACTAAGTCCCTAAACCATTCTCTGAGAGATCCAAATTTAGGGAAGCCGACAATGGAACTCACCAAAAGTCATGGAGAAGTAAAATGTTAATGAATGAAATTATCACGAAGAAATAAAGAAATGAATGCCAAGAACTGACCACTTCCATGAATCAGTGAAAAGAACCTGGGAATGAAGTTTCTGAGGTTTAAGTTAGTTTCTACAGATCCCATCCCAGCTCTCCTAGGGGCAACCTGAGGAAGCCTGTTGACTAATCAAATAAGCTTTAACCTTATACAGCAATCTTGACCAGTGTTGTGTAAAACTCTTAATTGGCCATGTATGGTATCATCTGCTCTGGAATACTACTGGAGCAGTTACATGCTCTTGGGCCTTAGCTTGAGTTATATTTCTTTGAACAAGCCCTGAACAAGTCTTCACTCCAGACTGAGATTTCTCAATCTTGGTACTGCTGATACTTAGGACTAGATAATTCTTCATTGTGGAGGCTGACATGTGCTTTGTAGGACATTTAACAATATCCCTGGTCTCTGCTTAGTAGATGTCAATAGGACCACCTGTCATGATAATCAAAATGTCTGATTTGGTCACTCCACAATGTGTGCATATATTGAAACACCACATTGTATCCCATAAATATATATAATTATTATTTGTCAATTAAAAATAAAAATAAACAAAGAAACAAAAATGTCTCCAGATGTTATCAAATTTCCCCTGGGGGAGCAAAATGACTCCGGTTGATAACCACTGCTCTAGATAGTGCTCCTTCCCCAAGGAGAGTTGGGGCCAAAATGCCAAAGCCTTATAAAGGTATCCAGCTCAGTGTGGGCTGACAAATATTTTGACAGAGGAAAAACAAGAATTTGGAACACCAAAGAAACAGAAATGTAAGTAACCAATTAGAAAACATGTGGAAGTGTTATAACAGCATGAACAAGCTCACCATAGAATCACAGAGCTAGGAGTGATTGATTCTGCCTTGAGGGAGAGGTAGGCATAGAAACAGCTTAGCAGGGAACGTGAAATTTGATTTGGACCAAGAAGGCTGAGTGGATAAAGAGGAGAAAGGCACTGTCGGCTGGAGGACAAAGAAATGAGTAAGGGAGTGGAGTCTTGTGGATTGCAGGCAGAAGGGTGTAGATGCCGGAGAAGGAAAATGGTGGCAAATAAAGAAGCTGAGGGGGCCTATTATTATTATTTGCAGTCTTTATTTTAGTTCTTCCTTATACATAGCTCAAAGTTTGTCTCAGGCCTTGTTTATTCATTTTTCCTCATTTCCTAGTGAATGAAAAAAGTATATCAAAACCAGAAGGGACCCTTAAAGTCCATTTGACAAAATCAAGAAGGATCCAGAAAAAGAGATCAATGTGAGAGAAGAGGGGGTTTCTGTTTGAATTTCTGCCCAATAGCAGAAATAATTTTTCTTTTTACCTCCTTTCTTTCTGTCTTCCTGATCCCTTGAGAAATTCAGACCCTCTTGAGCAAATGCTTGCTAGGGCCTAGGAAAAAGTAATCTGAATTGGCTCTTTAGAATCTATATTTGTAGGAAAGGGTATGAAAGTTCTTCACCCATTTAAATCTGAAGGAATTTTTAATTTGGGTAATTATTTAAGAGAATTGTTATAAAAGCACAAAAAAGCTATTTCCTGCTTTTAGGAAAGAATCACATCTGTAGTTACTTCAATGTAGAAAAAATAAGGATGGGCTTTCAAAATTTTCACAGTCTGGGTGTAGGCAAAACCTCATTTCATTTGACAACACATGTCTTTTACCTTTTAAGTGAGGACAGCGATAATTTGAGGTATAGCATTTGTTGTATCAAGTTCTGCACTTTGATGTTTGTAATCTATGCATTGCATGTTCATTAATAATGTTTGGTGAACAGTACTACATACTGCACTTTTCTGCATTGTGGAGTACACAGAAAAAAAAAACAAGATATGGCTCTTAATGTTTAGAAACCCACAATATTTGATTTTTGGATAATAATGCTGTATACTGTATGATTGCACCCATTTTGTAACAGAAGATAGGTCAGATAAATTTAAATATTTAAAAATATTCAACTATATTTAGGGACAGAAAAGAGGCAGTGTAGAGCAGGTATTAAAATCACTTTAAAAGCCAGATTCAATCTTGGCTTCTCTGCTTATACAATTTGTAACTCATTGCTTAACCTTGTCAAACCTCAGTGCCCACATTTACAATGTGAGGATGTTAATACCATTTATCTCCTGAGACTATGGTCAGAATAAATTGACATAATCCATGTAATGTGTTTAAATGAATACTATCTTGTTTATTTGTCATACCTAGTACGGCAGCTCCAATTTGAGTCACTACTTGGTTAAGCTTACAATAATCCACTGTCTTTCTTCAAGATGCATCTGTCTTCTCTACAAGTCACAAAAGGGAGTTGAAAGGAGATGTGGTGGGAATCACCATCCCTGCATCTTCCAAGTCTTTGATGGCGGGACTAATGTCTGCAATTTCTCTAGGAATGCCATATTTCTTTTGAGTTACTAATTTCCTAGGGGGAGGCAGTTCTAATGGCTTGTACTTGGCCTATTCCACCATAATAGCCCTCACTCCACAGTTCAGGGAACCAATGTGGCAATTATATGAGTTGATGCACATCTGGAACTGGTGAAACAACCACAAGATGAGTTTGGGGACTCTGTGCGTCCACTGTGAGTCAGATCTGAGCTTAAACTTCACTGATCATCTGACCTACGTACTCTCAATATTACTCTGATTGGAGGGCCACAGTGATGTTTTGGGTTTTCTGGAACAAGTGTCAGTACAGAGCCACTGTCCAGTAGTCCCTGAAAGGTCTGATGGTTTTTCCCAATGCACAATTACCCTGGAAGAAGGCTGGGAGAAACATAAACAGTATACATTTTTTGGTAGTGTACTGGGTTTCTTTTTCGAGGGGATGCAGGCTCCCTTTCATTCAAAGGGTTCTGGGACTGTAAAGTACCTCAAGTCTGGAAATTAATTCAGCGGGCGTGACTGTTTTTTACTACTCAAATTAGATTCTTGTTCACTTGTACTAAAACTTTTCTGCCTATACGTGTCAGGTAGTAACCTAATAGACTTACTATCTATTTCACTTCTCAGAATACCATGATTAACCGGCTGATGCCACAGGTCTATATGAGTCAGACTCTGATTGCTGCTTTGACTCTGTTGTCCATTAGAGAAACGACACCCACCTTGTCTTTGGCAATTCGGTGCTATCACTTAGCTGCTACCACCCCAGGATCAGATTGCTCCCATTGCATTTGGCTTTTCCAATCAAATGGCTGGGATTCCCATGGAAAGACCTGGCCTTCAAAGAAGAATGATTGCTGTGTTCTTAAAGGATACTGAGGCTCTCTATACAAATTTATTTTGCAAAGTATTAATTAGGGGTATTCAGTGCAGAGAATTTTGCATTTCTATAAACAGTTTACTCCATGAACTATCAGTGTTCTTTTAACTAATGGAAATAGCCATTTGGTATGTCTTATGGCCTCTCCTGGTGTAGGTATTTATTAAATGACAAATCTACTCTAACATTCCAGTCTCTTTAAGCCTTTGAATCCCTTCCTTAAAATTAAGCCAAAGAAGGTCAGGCGTTTCCAATTTGCTTATGGTGGGACACCTTTTGATTCATGTTTTAGCCAACCAACCAACCAAACTGTTAGAGCCCTTTCTAACTTTGTGAGATACAACATTAAATGCAGACTTTCTGCTTAGTGAGCCCACATCAATATTTTCAAACTGATCGAACTTTCTATTCTTTCCATAATTATCCCACAACCTTAATATCCATTCCCATACATGTTCCTTGATTTTCTACTTATGTAAATTAAATAACTCAAGTAGTTCTTTTGGACTTTGTACCTCACCTTTGGGGGTCTGCTGGGATTTGAGTCTAGTTATAAGTCTAGAAGCAAAGACAGGTGCTGGGAGTGGGTCGGGGGGGGGGGAAATCAGCATGTCTTGCATGGTAACTGCTTCAGGTATGGCTATAACTATAAATATTTCCTTAGGCAATGCAGGTTTAGTTCCCTAACATGGAGGTGAAAAGGCCAATACCACTGTGGGTGGGGAGGGCACTATCCACCAGGGGTGGGGAATGCCACTGCTGTGTCAGAGAAGACTCATCAGAATGTAGGAGATAATGTTCCCAGCTTCATCAGTGTCTTCACACATGTCCTCCTCCTAACTTATATTATCCCATTCTTTCTCAATTAATGCCCTTACTTTAATAGCAGACACCTTGTGAGACTGAAAGCTCAACTTTAAATTTCAATTCAGCCAATTGCAGGATGAGGTTCTGTGTTTCATTTTCTGCAATTTCAGCCCTGCAGCTACAGTAGATAAGGCTTTTCCTCAGGACACATTTAGAAATTCTAAGGTCATTTGTGCAGTGCTCGAGCTGAAAATTTGAATGCCCGAGCTCACTTTTTTCTTTCACCACTTTGTCCAGCAATATTAGAAGCAAGCAACCAATGTCATTACATTTTTGTTTTCCAAAAATGTTCAAAAGTATCATATACAGAGTCACTTGCCTTCTCACTTCTTATAAGTGATTAATTAGGGGTATTCAGTGCAGAGAATTTTGCATTTCTATAAACAGTTTACTCCATGAACTATCAGTGCTCTTTTAACTAATGGAAATAGCCATTTGTGTCTTTAAAGAGTTTAGAAAGACAATTGCAGAAATTTCAGAACCAATTCTGAAAATTCTCATCCTTAAAATTTTGTTACTCTAGAACCTCTAAAACTACTCTTGGTACCATCATCTGTATTAGTCAGAGTTCTCCAGAGGAATGAAACAAATAGGAGAGATAGATAGATGGATAGATAGATAGATAGATGTAGATGATAATTATAGATAAATATAGATGATGATGATGATGATGAAGATAGATAGATAGATAGATAGTAGTATAATAGGGAACTTATTAGGGAAATTGGCTCATATAATTATTGAAGCTGAGCCATTCCATGATCTGCCATCTATAAGATGAAGAACCAGGAAAACCGATGATGTAATTCAGACTGAGCCTGAAGGCCTGAGAACCAGGGGTGCTGACATTTGAGGGTCAGAGAAGATGGATGTCCCAGATCAAACAGAGAGAGCAAATTCATCCACTCTCCATTTTATGGTTCTTTCTGGGCCCTCCCTTGACTGATTGCATAACACCTTCCCACATTGGTGAGGGTAATATTGTTTACTCAGTTGGCTCATTCAAATGTTAATGCCTTCTGGAAACAACCTCATAGACACAACCAGACATAATGTTTACCACTTATGTGGGCATCCCTTAACTCAGTCAAGTTGACACATAAAATTAATCATCATACTAACATAAAGTGAATTTAAAAGAAGCTGTAATCACTTTTGAGGATGGGTTTGGTGAAGGCCTGGAGTTTTCTTGCTTGACCTTTTACAAAAGGTATCTTTCAAGTGCAATAAGCATTAAAGGGATCAAGTTCATAAGAAGCTGGGAACCTACTTACACTTATATAAGATGGTAATGATATTTATCATTGCCTAGGCAGTTATTTACCCTGGAGATAATATTTTTAGGGAACTGATATGAGTTAATCCTATGTGCAAAAGCTGGCAGGTAGGGTGAGTATGGCTACCTGTGTGGAGGGAAGTAATGTGGGTGACACTGGATGAGTGGTTGAAATATTTGATATTAAAAATCCACCATATGCTATAGAAACTTTACTTCTGCTACCTCATTGTTTTTCAGTCCTGTGGGAGGGTTTCATGCATTTGGAGCACATCTTAAAATGCAAATATCTATGTACACTATGCCAGGTACTGGTGGATAGATATGTAAGTTCACCATCACCGACAAGACCATTTAACTAAGTTTAACTTGATTCTGTTTAGCTCTGCTTAGTTATAAATATATTTACAAGACAGATTCATTCTTAGGACTATTCATTAATTTGTATAACATATTCTGTTAGCACCTACCGTATTGTGTATTGGGTTATGGATACATACAAATGAACAATGCATTGTGTTTTAGAAGCAACCATGATTTGAACATATAACAGATTAATTAAGGTTCTGGAATAGGAGTTTAAAGAGAATACTATGGGAGTGGAAGGCTGTGACAGAAGGTAGAGGGAAAATATGAAATTGAACACAACATGGTTTCTGTCCTAGAAAGGAAATAAAGAATCTTAGCAGAGGGACAAGCACAGCATATCCCTATCCCAAATGTTCCATGGCCTACCTAAAGTAACTTTACGTAACTATGAGATCCCTACTATGTGCCGGCTTTAAAGTATTCCTGATTAACTAAGACCCTAAGACTGAGAACTTCTCCTCAAGAAACTCATTATCTAGATTTGAATAGGAACTTTCAATGATGATATCCAAGGATCTTGCATTTGTCTTAAACCACTCTTATTAGCTTTGCTTAAAGCCAACTTGAAATCTGAAAAGCTAGAGTGACCTTGGGCAAGTTATTTAATCGCTCCAAGACTCCAGATCTGAGAAATAGAAATGATAGCACCTTTGTTGGGGTTTGTTAGGATTAAATTACCTAATACACAGGAGGGATAGCACAATGCCTAGTATAAAATAAACACTCAATATAGTGGCTCTGCTACTGATTTTCACATAATTGGACTTTTGTTCTTTCCCAAATATTGCCCAATAGTTTTCAAATTTCCAAATAACTTTGAATTTTCCAAATAACTTTGCTCATCTTATTCCTCTTTCACAGTGAAGTCCATTACTTATATCTGCCAAACTTGTACTTACCCTTTAAAGACCACAATGGGCTCTCAGATATGGTAAACAAAATTTAATGTACCTCTGCCAATAAGAAATGAATATTTATTCTTAAAGCAGCTCTAAGATAACTTTGAAGAAGCTATCTTGCTTATTTGTTATTAAGATGTGACATCGACATCTACTCAGGAGAAAAGGGAGAATTTACCAAATGTTTGAGGTGTCCCAATAATGTAGGGGCACTCAAGAAGACACAACCAAAATACCTGATGCTCTAAGAAGTTTCAATTATACATACTCTATCAAGATATCAGCTAGTTATGTTATGAAATAGAAATTAGGGATTAAGTAAAATGATATTTTTGCTAGTATTCTCTCTCAAAGACCAAACTTTTCTTTTGCAAAAAGAAGGCCTTCTGTAGAAGTGAGATGATGCTTAGGAATAGTGGCTTTGGTTGAATATTAGGATTACAAGAAACTGGAGAAATGGAGAGATTAATGGGTGAACTAACATTTATTGATTGACTATGAAGTGTCATGCATAATTTCACTAAATTCTCAGCCTTAAAACATGGAAATTATCATCTCTGGTTTCATATATTTAGAAACTGAAGTTAATAGAATATAAAGGTCTGCCAAGGCTTGTTGTCAGATCTAGGAATGAGAAGATTTGAACCTGTGTCAGTAAGACTCTGAACCCATACTTTTTGTACTATCTCATTTCTTCCTCTTGTTTTCAACAACTCAGAAATGAAGAATCAATTTCTATTCTCTGTCCTTATACTATATTTTCTTTGTACCTTCAGAGTAAAATGGGATGTGGCTCAGAGGAGGGAAAGAGGAGGTTTAAGTGGCACTGTGTGGGTCAGAAGCACTCTCAAGGTGTCCTTATCCTTTTTGCATTTCCCCCAATCTTTTCATTGGAATGTGATTTGAAAGGAATTAGAGTAGTCCTCCTGTACTAATTTTTATTGCTCACTGCAGGGCTACAGGGATGTTTACTCTACACAGTATGCCTCTTCCCTGATGCCCTTCATATCTTTTTTTTTTTTTTTGAGATGGAGTTTTGCTCTTGTTGCCCAGGCTGGAGTGCAATGGCACCGTCTTGGCTCACCACAAACTCTGCCTCCTGGGTTCAAGCAATTCTCCTGCCTCAGCCTCCTGACTAGCTTGGACTACAGGCATGTGCCACCACACCCAGCTAATTTTTGTATTTTTAGTAGAGATGGTGATTCACCATGTTGGCCAGTGTGGTCTTGATGTCTTGACCTCGTGATCCACACACCTCGACCTCCCAAAGTGCTGGGATCACAGGTGTGAGCCACTGTTCCTGGCCTCTTCATCTCTTTTTTTTTTCTTTTTTTTTTTTTTGAGACAGGGTCTCACTCTGTCACTCAGGCTGGAGTGCAGTGGCATGATCATGGCTTACTACAGCCTCGACCTCCTGGGCTCAAGTGATCCTCCTGCCTCAGCATCTTGAGTAGCTGGGACTACAGATGCATGCTACCATGCCTGGCAAATTTTTGTAGATTTTTGTAGAGATGGGGGTCTCACTCTGTTGCCCAGGCTTGTCTTGAACTCCTGGGCTCAGCGATTTGCTCACCTCATGACATGGTTTTTCTGTGTCCTCACCCAAATTTCATCTTGAATTGTAACTCCCACAATTCCCATGTGTCATGGGAGGAACCTGGTGGGAGGTGATTGAATCGTGGGGGCGGGTCTTTCCTGTGCTGTTCTCGTGTTGGTGGGTGAGTGCCACGAGATCTGATGGTTTCAAAAAGGGGAGTTTCCCTGCACAAGCTCTCCCTTTGCCTGCTGCCCTCCTTGTAAGATGTGACTTACTCCTCCTTGCTTTCTGCCATAATTGTGAGGCTTCCTCAGCCAAGTGGAACTGTAAGTCCATTTAACCTCTTTCTTGTGTAAATTGCCCAGTCTCAGGTATGTCTTTATCAGCAGTGTGAAAATGGACTAATAGAGTAAATTGGTACCAGGAGCAGGGCACTGCTGAAAAGATACCTGAAAATGTGAAAGCAGCTTTGGAACAGGGTAACAGGCAGAGGTTGGAACAGTTTGGAGGGTTCAGAAGAAGACAGGAAAATGTGGGAAAGTTTGGAACTTTCTAGAGACTTATTGAATAGCTTTGCCCAAAAAGCTGATAGTGAGTGATGTGAACAATAAAGTCCAAGCTGAGGTGTTCTCAGATGGAAATGAGGAACTTGTTAGGAACTGGAGCAAAGGTGACCCTTGTTATGTTTTAGCAAAGAGACTGGTGGCATTTTGCCCCTGCCCTAGAGATTTGTGGAAATTTGAACTTGAGAGAGATGATGTGAGGTATCTGATGGAAGAAATTTCTAAGCAGCAAAGCATTCAAGGGGTGACTTGGGTGTTGTTAAAGGCATTCAGTTTTAAAAGGATAACAGAGCATACAAGTTCAGAAAATTTGCAGCCTGACAATGCGATAGACAAGTAAATCCCATTTTCTGAAGAGAAATTCAAGCCAGCTGCAGAAATTTGTATAAGTAACGAGGAGCTGAATGTTAATCTCCAAGACACCCAGGGTCCCCATGCTGTATGCAGCCTAGAGACTTTGTGCCCTGTGTCACACCGACTCCAGCCATGGCTGACAGGGACTAATGTAGAGCTTAGACCGTGGCTTCAAAGGGTGCAAGCCTCAAGCCTTGGCAGCTTCCACATGATGTTCAGCCTGCCACTGCATAGAAATCAATAATTGGGGTTTGGAAACATCTGCCTAGATTTCAGAGGATGTATGGAAATGCCTGGATGTCCAGATAGAAGTTTGCTGCAGGGGCAGGGCCCTCATGCGGAACCTCTGCTAGGGCAGTGTGGAAAGGAAATGTGGGGCCAGATCCCCCACACAGAGTTCCTACTGGGACACTGCCTAGTGGAGCTGTGAGAAGAGAGCCACCATCCTCCAGACCCTAGAATGGTAGATCCACCAACAGCTTGCACCATGCACCTGGGAAAGCCACAGACACTCAATGCCAGCCTGTGAAAGCAGCCGGGAGGGAGGCTCTACTTTGCAATGCCACAGAGGCAGAGCTGCCAAAGACCATGGGAACCCCCCTCTTGAATCAGCATGACCTGGATGTGAGACATGGAGTCAAAGGAGAACATTTTGGCACTTTAAGGTTTGACTGTCCTGCTGGATTTTGGACTTGCATGGGCCTGTAGCCCCTTTGTTTTATCCAATTTCTCCCATTTGGAATGGCCGTATTCACCTAATACCTGTACCCCCATCATATCTGGGAAGTAATTAACTTGCTTTTGATTTTACAGGCTCATTGATGGAAGGGACTTGCCTTGTCTCAAATGAGACCTTGGACTATGGACTTCTGAGTTAATGCTGAAATGAGTTAAGACTTTGCGGGACTGTTGGGAAGGCATGATTGGTTTTGAAATGTGAGGATAAGAGATTTGGGAGGATCCAGTGGCAGAATGATATGGTTTGGCTGTGTCCCTGCCCAAATCTCACCTTGAATTGTAACTATCACAATTCCCATGTGTCGTGGGAGGAACCTGATGGGAGGTGACTGAATCATGGGAGTGAGTTTTTCCCATGCTGTTCTTGTGATGGTAGGTGAGTCTCACGAGATCTGATGGTTTTAAAAACAGAGTTTCCCTGCTCAAGCTCTCTCTGCCTGCTGCCATTCATGTAAGACATGACTTGTTCCTCCTTGCCTTCCACCATGATGGTGAGGCTTCCCCAGCCACTTGGAACTGTAAGTCCATTAAACCTCTTTCTTTTGTAAATTGCTCAGTCTTGGGTATGTCTTTATCAGCCGCATGAAACAGACTAATACACCTCGGCATACCGAAATACTGAGATTACAGGCATAAGCCACCACGCCTGGCCTCTTTTCTTAAATAGAAGTTTCAATAGGCCAGGTTGCAGGAAATTGACCAGGTTACATTTGTTGGAGTGCAAGATCATTGTGGGCTAAGATGTAACATATCCTTACCTAGCTCTCTCTTTCTTCCTTTTGTCTTAATATGTTGAACAGGCCTCTGTTATAGGTGTCCAGTCAAAATGTAATAAGGTCCTAGTATTTGCATTTTCCTTGGAGGGTGGAGTAATCAATGATCCTATTTATTGTGTGAACCTAAGTGAAATGTTCTAAAGCAGCTTTACAAGAGCTCTGATTTTTAATAACTGTATATGGGCCCAGCTATTAAGAAGAAGTGGTATGGGTTCTCATTTGTCAATTCTTCTTGAGTAAGTACCCCTAAATAAACTTGGGCACTAGATGTTGGATGGTTGATGGGATAATACCCAAGAATTCCAGACACCCCTCAATCTCTGCTCTCTGAGATTCCACTTTTGGGAAACCCATTGTCTGGACTGATATGACACTGAGCAAAAACATCACTGGGAGAAAAACACCAGGGCCTTGAAGGGAGCTCAGTAGGGGGGTAAGAAAATTGGTCTGGTAACTGATTCTCCTTCCAGGGTTCTCAAAATGTCCTTAGTTTGTGGGAAAGGGCTGGTTCTGGCATACCAAGCCAACCTAGAAAATGATTTCTGAGCATATGACTATGAATAGACAGATTCAAACTTGAAGTTTGGGAATTGGCAGGTATTTAAACAAGTAGAGACATACAGTAGTGGTGAACAAGTGTCCAGCAGAATGGGTAAGACAAGTGTTCAAAAGAGATTCATGTGGCCACAATAAAATAATAGTGCTGATGGGGTAGGAGGGCTTTATAATGCTTTCTTTTCCATCTGGAGTTTGAGAAGAAGGGCTACACTTATTTGGGTTGAGTGAACCCTTGACTTCTTTGGATAATGTATATTTGTAAAGAGAGGCATGTGAGAATTCAACCAATTAGTGGAAATCATAAAAAATGTGGTTTCATCTATATCTTAAGTTGGTAGAGCAGGTCAGGCAGGTTACTTTGAATCTATAGTACCTGTAAAGCAGCTAAGTAAAGATATTGAGGAGGAAATAGCATAAATGAGAATGTCCAGAGAGAGATTAAAATTGAAAATAGAGACTTAAGAGGCTTATTCTCTTCCTATTTGCATGTCTTTTATTTCTTTCTCTTGCCTCATTGCTCTGGTATTTTTTTTTTCTCTTGCCTGATTGCTCATAGATCTCCGAGGGCTATGCTGAAAAGGAGTCATAAGAGTGAGCAACCTTGTCTTGTTCTAGTTATCAAGAGAAATGCTTCCAGTTTTTCCCATTCAGTATGATGTGGTTGTGGGTTTGTCATAGATGGCTCTTATTATCTTAAGATATATTCCTTTGATATTTAGTTTCCTGTGGGTTTTCATCATGAAATGATGTTGGGTTTTATTGAAAGCTTTCTTTGTGTCCATTGGGATGATCATATGATTTTTGGTTTTAATTCTGTTTATGTAGTGAGTCACATTTATTGATATGTGTTTTGTTGAACCAAACTTATAATCAAGGATGAAGCCAACTTGATCGTGGTGAATTAACTTTTTGATGTACTACTGGATTCAGTTTGCTAGTATTTTGTTGGAGATTTTTATGTCTTTGTTCGTAAGGGATATTGACTTTTAATTTTCTTTTTTTGTTGTGTCTTTCTAGGTTTTGGTACTAGGGTGATGCTGGCTACACAGAATGAGCTAGGAATGAGTCCCATCCCCTTGATTTTTTGAAATAGTTTCAGTATAACTGGTGCTGGTTCTTTTTTGTACATCCGGTAGAATACGGCTGTGAAACCATCTGGTTTAGAACTTTTTTGGTTGGTAGGTTTTTTATTACTGATTCAATTTCAGAACTTGATATTGATCTGTTCACAATTTCAATTTCTTCCTGATTCAATCTTGGGAGATCATGTGTCTCCAATAACGTATCCATTTCCTCTAGATTTTCTAGTTTGTGTGCATAGAGATGTTCATGATAATCTCAGAGGAACTTTTGTTATTTCTATGGGATTGGTTATAATGTCACCTTTGTTGTTTTTTACTGTGCATATCGAATCATCTCTTTTTTTTGCTAATCTAGCTAGAATTCATTGATCTTGTATATTCTTTCAAAAATCAAACTTTTGGTTTTATTGGTTCTTTGTATGGATTTTTGGTCTAATTTCATTTAGTTCTCCTCTGATTTTAATTATTTATTTTATTCTGCTACCTTTGGGGTTCGTTTGCTCTTGTTTTTCTAGTTCCTCTAAGTGTGATGTTAGGTCATTAATTTGAGATCTTTCCAACTTTTTGAGATAGGCATTTAGTACTACAAACTTGACTCTTGCTTTTGTGCTACAAACTTGTTCTTTTGCTTTAGCACTTCTTTTGTTCAGTGCTATAAACTTGATGATTTTTTATTTATCCCAGAGGTTTTGAAATGTTATATCTCTGTTTTAATTTTATTTCAAAGAATTATTTGATTTTTGCCTTAATTTTATTGTTTACTTAAAAGTCTTGTGGGAGAAAGTTGTTTTTTTCCATATAATTATGTGGTTTTGAGAGCTGTTCTTGGTATTAATTTCTATTTTTTACTCTGCTGTATTCTGAGAGTATGGCTGGTATGATTCAGTTTTTTTTAAATTTATTGAGACTTGCTTTATGGCTGCATATGTGGTCAATCTTGGACTATATTATGTGTACACATTCGAAGAATGCATAGTCTGTAGTTCATGGGTGTAGTAGTCTGTAGATGTTTATTGGGAACAATTGGTCAAGTGTCGGGTTTAAGTCCAGAATATCTTTGTTTTATGACTCAGTGATCTGTCTAATGCTCAGTGAGATTCTGAGATATACCACTGTTATTGTGTGGTTGTCTACATCTTTTCATAGATGTAGAGGTACTTGTTTTATAAATCTGGGTATTCCAATATTGAGTGCATATATATTTAGGATAGTTAAGCCTTCTGGTTGAATTTAATACTTTATCATTACATAATGTCATTGTTTGTCCCTTTTTACTGTAGTTGGTTTATAGTCTGTTTTATCTGATATAAGAATAGTAACCTCTGCTCTTTTTTGTTTTCCATTTCTGTGGTACAGTTTTTATTCCAACCCTTTACTTTGAGCCTATGGGTATCATTACATGTGAGATGAGTCTCTTGAAGACGGTACACAGGTGTATCTGTATTTTTTTTTTTATCTGACTTGCCACTCTGTGACTTTTAAGTTGGACATTTAGACCATTTACATTCCAGGTAAATATTGATATGTCAGTCTTTGATCCTATCATAAAGTTGTTAGCTGGTTGCTTTGTACCTTTCATTGTGTGGTTGCTTTATAGAGTCTGTGGGCTATGTACCTACGTGCATTTTTGTGGCAACAGTTACTGTTCTTTCATTTCCATGTTTAAAACTCCCTTAAGGATCTCTTGCAAGGCTGCTCTAGTGGTAACAAATTCCCTTAGTACTAGCTTGTCTGGAAAAGATTTTATTTCTCTTTTGCTTCTGAAGCTTAGTTTGGCAGGACATGATATTCTTGGTTGGAATTTTTTCTTTAAGAATGCTGAAAATAGGCCCCCAATATCTCCAGGCTTATAAGGTTTCTGCTGAGTTCACTGTTAGCCTTGTGAGGTTCTGTTTATATGTGATATCACATGCTTTTCTAGTGCCTTTAAGATTTTTTCTTTATTGTTGATCTCAGATAGTCTGGTGAGCATAGCCTTGGTGATATTAATTTTGTGTAGTATCTCATAGATGTTCTCTGGATTTCTTGTATATGGATATCTACTTCTCTAGCAAATTTCCTTGAATTATTTCCTCAAATATGTTTTCCTGATTATTTACTTATTTTCCTGCTCTCTTAGGAATGCCAATAATTTGTAGGTTTGGTCACTTTAATCATCCCATATTTCTCAAAGACTTGTTTATTTTATACAATTCTCTCTTCTTTGTTTTTGATTGAGTGGGTTAGCTCAAACAAACCGTCTTCAAGTGAGAAATTCTTTCCTCTGTTTGGTCCAATCTATAGATAAATGTTTCTATTCTATTTTGAAATTCCTCAAGTGAGCTTTTCATTCCAGAAGCTGATTGATTTCTTTTTAAGGTGTTTATCTCTTCCTTAATTTTTGGATTGCTTTAGAAGTTTCTCTGTGTTAAAACTTTTCAACCTCATGTTGGATCTCATTGAGCTTTCTTTCAATTTGTGCTTTTATTTCCTATTTGTTTTGACTGAGTTTCCATTTTCATTAGGAACCATTGCTGGAGAGCTGGTGTAATTCTTTGGTGGTGTCACTACATTCAGATTTATCATGGTGCCAGAATTCTTGCCCCTATTCCTTCTCATCTGGAAATGCTGGCATTTCTAATTTCTAGAATTACTTTCGTGCAGGTAGGATTCTTTTTTCTTTCTTTTCCTATGATAGTATTGCTTTTTTTTCTTTCCTTTCTTCCCTCCCTAGGAATGTGACTGTATAGAGTGCTTGGTAGGGTCTTTTGGCTTAGCTTCTATAGCCCTATGCACTTCTTTCAGTAGATTTTACATTGTGCTATACAGTTCAATCTACAAGTTGATAGAGGAAATTTATAGGGAAGAGCTGGCCAGAACAGCTGGGTATGTACTTGATCCTTGTTTACTGGCAGAAACTCTCTGCTGCCTCTTGCAATAAGCTGATTCATGGAATACACAGTGGTCTGAGTTCCTGCTCCGCCCCAGGGTAGCAGGGGCCACAATGGATAGGGCCAGACAAAGCAGGTCTGCCTACAAGTCCCCCAGTGGCTGGCACAAGTGCCAAGGGAGAATTCATTGTGTGGCCACCAATCACCCAGAAGTGTCTCTAGGCATGGAGCTGGAAAACTTTCTCAGCCCCAAGTTTTCTATTTGGGTAAGGGGTTCACCTAAACCAATCCAGGACAGTGGGTGACTTAGATTTCTGGATATCTGCCTGAGCATGGAGTAGGGAGGCACCCCCACCCCTGCACCAAGATCTCTTCACAAGAGGATTGGGCAATTCAGGCTGCTGAGCCAGTCAAGCAGGTATTCTGAATGCCTGGAGATCTACCTGGGAATATAGCAGAGAGGCCCCTGTGCCCCCCACCCCAGAATCTTTGCACAGGAAGGGTGGAGTGGCTCAGGCTGCTGATCCGGGCAAGCTGGTACTCTGAATGCCTGGAGATCTGCCTGGGCATGGAGAAGAGAAGGGCTCGCTGCACCATAATCTATGTCCAGAAAGGGCAGAATGGCTCAGGCTACTGAACCAGATGAGGGAGTACTCTGAATTCTTGGAAATCTCCCTGAGTATGAAGGAAAAAGGGCCTCCTTGCATTAGGATCAATACACAGGAAGGGTTGGGTGGGTCAGGATGCTGATCTAGGTGAGCAGGTACTCCAAATATCTGGAAGTCAGCTTGAACATGGAGCCCCACCCTGACCCGCCCCACCCTGCATCACCCTGCATCAAGATCTCTTCACAGAAGAGGTGTGGTGACTCAGGCTGCTGAACCAATTAAGCAGGTACTCTGAATGCCTAGTGATCTGCATAAGCCTGTAGCAGAAAGGCCCCCTTACCCCTGCACCAGGATCTCTGCACAGGAATGGTAGGGCAGCTCAGGCTGCTGATCCAAGCAAGCTCATGCTCCAAATGCCTGAAGATTTGCTTGGCCATGGAATGGAAAGGGCCTCACTGCACCACAATCTATGTCTAGGAAGGGTGGGGCCGCTCAGGCTGCTAGTTGAGGTAAGTGGGTGCTCTAAATGCCTGGATTTTCACCTGGGAGTGAAAGGGTGGATCAGAGAGGGCCCTGCTGCACCCTGATCTCAGGGGAGAAGAGTGGGGCACCCAGCCATGGCACACACAGACAGGTTTCAAATCACCAAACTGGCTCTGGCTGTAAGTCTCTCTGTCCAGAAGAAACTGCAGCTGTAGCGGCTCTCTTATCATTCCAGACTTGCAGCAGGGAGAGCACAATTCTAGCATCGACTGCTAAGTCGTTTTCCACAGTTCTGGCTGCCCAGGCCCCCACCCTACTCCAGAGCAGGTGCTCCAATCTCTGGCCCAAGACTAAAATGCCTGCATGGCCACACCGCTAGGTGGTCAAGAATGGCTGACTTTGCCCATTTGGGTTAAAAATGATGCCCTGCTGTATTTCCAGATCTGGGAAAATTGCCAGATCTGAGAAAAGCAATGTCTTCAGCTTTTCCCATTGTCTTTCCTTCACAGTATCTCCAAGCCTCTCCCCAGGTTAGCTCTGGGGCTCAGGAGAAAAAAAAAGTGCTCTCCCTTGGCCTGGCTTTCTTTGATCCCCAGTGGAAATGTGAGTCACAGAGGGAGGCTCTCTGCTTCTCTCACGTATAGGAGATTCACTCACTTTTATCATCCTGATGCCATCATGAGGGTTGTTTGCTGGCATTCTCCTTGCCAGGATCTGGAGAGTCCTTCATGTTTCTGTGGATTCCCATTTTCTTTCTTGAAGTAAAGCTAACAGAGTTGATCTTTATTCACTCTTGCTATTTCCAAGTGGCTGCTGCACTTAGAAACATCCAATCTACTACCCTGAAAAAATGAAAACACTTTTCTAACATATTATCTCTGCACCTTTCACTTACCTGCGCCAATACATGCTTTTGTTGCTTACATCAGTTGGTGTTGGGGTTTTGGTTTATTTGAATCCAAAAGAGCTTAGAGCTCTTTTGTCAATGGGATTTTCACATAGACTTTGATAACTCTCAGATTGTGGCATCCTTAGATATCCTTGGTCTAGGGAGCTGGATGGCTGTTGTTGTAGAATGGATAAGGTAAGTTGCACTTGTAGCTGTCTCATATGTCATTTACTAATAAGTACCACCGTCTTTGATACAGTACAACTTTTATAAGTCAAGATACCTTAACCACAATAGTAAATTTCTAAATAGATGCATTGTTAATTAATGTCATAGATGGTCTTTCTCCATGTATATATCAGTTCACTTAAGACTATAAACTTGAGACCAGATCGGATGAAACTATAACTGTTCTTCCATGCAAATCTCTGTGGCTTCTCTGTAAAGGAATGCCTTTTACAACTGTACACTGGGTGAAATAACTGTATGGAATCTTACTCAGGCTTCAAATGGTTCTCACTAAGTGTTCTCTACCTTCTTACAAAACTTTAAGTAATAACAATCTTCAAAACGCTAATATAAACCTCTAGATGCCTTCTGATCTCTTAGGAGCTGTGAGCAAATGTTATGCTAACATGCTCTGTTACAGCTGAGAAAATACATCAAATTTGCTAGTGAACCACGTTATTGACAGAGCTCTGGGAATTCAACCCCATGAGCCTCAGAAGTTAGAAAGCAGAGCAAAGCTTATGCTAGAAAAATAAAGTCCTTTGACTATGGCCTTGATTTTTTAATTATAATACCCTAAAAGTTACAATTTTATTCGGCCTACTCACCAGGCATTTAAAAAACAGGATTGCTGCATCTTGCTTTTAAAGAGCATGTCTGCATGAAAACATAGTATGCCTCCACCTCCTGTGGAACTATCTAGTAATTCAAAGGCATATTTCATCTGAGTTGTCTAGACTGTCATTGCCATTGGAAAATTAAAAATAAAAATGTTCAGTTCTTACTGTGCTGCGGAATGCAGGAATGAGGATACTCAGAGAGCCCATAACTTTAAAAGTACAGGCCACAATTCCACTCTGAAAACAAAACAAGCCCAAGAGTGTTTGCTATGACTTTATAAAGGAGCTTTAAAAGATTTAGAGTTAAAATAAAACAACTCTTCCAGAACTGGAGGTATGGGACCCATAACCAGTGTGTGCGCTATCTATCTTGTCTTCCGGGGAGAGTTGCTAGGCAGGCAAGGTCACATAAAATCCCATTGGAATAAACTTCTTGATATGTCCAAACTGTTTGATTGTAATAGAATTTGGGGACAATTATTGTGCTGCTAGAAATCACATTTGAAAAACTGTTAGGGCCGGAGATGAAATAGAACTTATCCATCTTTTCTGTAGTTAAATCAGTGGGAGAAGAATCTTGAGCCTAATTCATTCGGGGAAATAACATGCCCAGCCAACCTGGGAATGACTCCAGCTTTGGAATTAAAAAGACCTGGGCTCATATCTTAGCTCTGTCAATTTCCATTAGGTTATTTAAACTCTCTGGAACTTACTTTTCTCATAGATAAAATAGTGATACCTATCTTAGAATATAGTAATAATGGTTAAATTGAATCATGTATTTAAAGCCAATATCCTGGTAACAGATACTAACAAATGCATATAAATGATAGTTATGGAACACGGGCATGACAACAAGCATAGTACTTTCCAGATTCTTTTCTATCTTTTAGCTTCAATTATTCAGGAGGGAAATAGACCATTTTGTTTAACTTTAAATTTGGGATTTGGGGAGGATTTTGCTTAGAAGATAGAGGTGGGGAAGATAGAGGAAGTTTTAGAGGTAATTGCTTTCAACTTTTGCTCTGATTTTGAATTCAGGACAATAGCTTTATTCACTTATATTAAAAAATACTTATAATGTGATTCCTATTTGCCAGATTCTGTCTTAGTCCTGAGGACACAGAAATTAACAAGCTGGATACCATCTTCGGCCCTGTACAACTTGCTGTAAATCATGGGACATGGATGTTAACAAAGTAATTGCACAAATAATTGTGCACAACTGTATCAATTGCTATCAAGGGAAAATATTATGTGTTCGGAGAGTATTTAATGAGGAAATCTAATGAAAAGCATAGGTTTCTATTTCCTGAAGTAAGATTCATCCCCAGGGGAAATGTGAAGGTTGAAGAGTTTTTCCTCAAAATGCTTTCCAAAACCATGTGGTTCTCTTCCTAGTTGAGGGAACTAGTTTCTTGTAGTCCTTTGACAATGACTCTGTATTACTTATCTTTGCATTCCCAGAACTTAAGAAAGGTGCTGGTTATATCATCTTTGGATATATCCAAAGAGTGGAATGGGAAAGTGACTAATGATTGTCCATCTTATTTATTTATAATACACAGAAATTAAGGACATTTCCATTTCTATGTAATACAACCCTCCAGCTGGGCACTGACCGCTACCCAAACTGTCTTATCTCCATCCCCTCACCCAAGGAAGAGGAGTTCCTCAGCCACCCCTGTGTTGCCTCTTTCTGACTCATTCCTTTGAACTTCCACCTGTTAGATAGGCCTAGAGTTCTCTTATCAGGGCACTACGCATGCTTAAACCTTTTCTAAATTTGCCAAACTAAATATCCTATAGCTGATTGAGGACGCTTGGTCCTCACTAGGAATGGTGAACCATGATGAGGATGAGGAATAATGGTAGAGTACAAGGAAAAAGAGAGAAAAGCTCTATGATATATGTAATTTTGATCTTGGTAATTCCTGTTTAATACTGCATTTCCCTTCCACCAAAATCATTGCTGGTAAATTTATTGAGCAAAGTAAAATAAATTATAGAGCATTAGAGTTGGAAGGAACCTTGAAGTTTGTATCAATTAGGTTTCTGATAAGTGGCAGAAAACATTTCAGAAAACATACCTTACCAATAAGGTACTGTATTAGTTGACTCAAGTGTTAAAAAAGAAAACAGTCTGGAGGTCCTGTCTAGTACTACATTGCCTGATCAAAGTTTTAGAATCTGGCTTCTATCTCTTAGCCACATTGTGAAATTGTGGAAGATACTACAGATTTACCTGCTCAATATTCATGCATGTTTTTCTAGGATGTCTTCCGTATTTCAAACTATGTAAAACTCCAAACTGCATTTCTAGTCTTCCTTCTGGCTGTGAGTAGATACGATTTGAGTTGTGCCAAACCATGGCATTTTCATGGGACACAGATTTGAAACTGGATGAGGGGTGGATAAGGTTGATATGTTAGGCATCCATTTTTATGGCTTCTATTATGGCTGAGGCAATGTGGTCCATCAGTAGACAATTCCTGAGTCAGTGATTTTCTGTGGTGGGGGTGGAAGCTTTCCTGATCACGGTAGATGCAGCCCAGGTCTGTGGTCAGTAGATTCTTAATTTAGTACTTTTCCCACATTGGTAATGGAAGTTCTCACAATTACAGCAGAGATAATGTGATTCTGAATGCTAGGAAGTTTTCTGGGAAGTCCAGCCTATATCTAGCTCTTCACCTACCTCACATTTGGTAGGCTTCGATGGAACTCTCCTTCTGCTTAAACTAGTTATAGTAGTTTATATTGTCTGCAACTGACCCTTATCTGATCTGACTTTATTCTTACCTTCTGTGTAGGAAGAGGAGGGCTGTAACAAACACAAGCCATATATTAGCCAAGATTCAATTTCATAGGAAAAACACACGCTTGCCTGAGTCTCATTCTGTCCCTCTCAAAAATTACAACTAAAGTTTTATTTGAACTGATTGCCTCCAAATGGGTCATGTGCCCAATTTAAAGAAATTACTGGGAACCCAGGACAGCATTACCACCTTGAGTCACATGTTCATCATTGGTGATGAGACAGAGTGTATTCCACGTGGCAAAACACTGAGGGATTAGGAGTCTGTTTTCATCAAAGGCATGCCATAAATCAGCAGGTCCTAGAACACAATGCTACTATCACTTTCCAATCACTCAGTCTTTGCAAGTTGATAGTGTACAAAGCTGACTTATTTCTAATGAGCATAAAGTCCTAGAGTGAGATCCTTTAAGACAAAAAGTCTTTTTGAACCTTCTTCACTCATCATCCAAGACTTACTCTCCATCTGATATCATTTTCTAAGCAAGGCGTCGATTATTTATTCTTGATTTGGATAAAAATTTGTATCTTTATTTGAAACTGTTTTTGTAATGGTTTCTCCATCTTTAAAAATAAGTATTATGTATTGAGCAACACTTAGGTAGCAGGCACTGTACATGGTCTTTTATATATTGCATTCACTTTAGTCCTCTATGTAAATTTTGTGGAAAATTAATTGGAATTTTCTTGTTTATCAGAGAGACAAATCCTATTCAAAGGGGTTCAGGGAAAAGAAGGTCACTGCACTACATAACATCAAAAACAAAGACAGAGTTTTAGCTTGAGACACTTAAAATCTAAATATCCAACAATATAAAGTCAGTTTAGTTAGTGATTATTTAAGGGAAAACATACTATAAAAAGTTTAAACATTATTTTAGAAAAATTATATAAAATTATTAATAATATGGTAAATATAAAAGCCAGAATATAAAACAATACAGAGTAATTTAATTTTATATGTATGTGTTATACACATATGTACACCAATAATTGTATATATAATCAAACACAAAGATATCACATTATTTTTATGATTTCATCATAGACCATTAAATATGTTACCATAGTCTGAAACCAGCTTTGAAATGCATTTAGGACAAACCCAAGAACAAATTACCCATTTTTTAAAACAAAGTTTAAAAACATTTATAGAATATGAAATTATCCAGTCCCTGACAATGTTATATTCACAACTTTTGACAACCAATAAAAAATTACTGGGCATGTAAATAAGAAGGAAAATATGACATGTGAGAAGAAAAATCGGTTGACAGAAACCAATCCAGAAATGGCACAAATGATAAAATTAGTAGACAAGGAATACGTGTTAAAGAAAATAGAGAAAAATTGATCAGGTTACTTAGAGACATGGAAGATATAATCAAAGACCAAATTAAAAATCTAAAGGTAAAAAATACAATGTCTGTGATAAAAATATGCACTGGATGCAATTAATAGAAAATTAGACACTACAGAAGAAAAGGTTAGTGAATTCAAACAGATAAAGCCATGTCTTCATTTAAAATGAAACCCAGAAACAAACAAACAAACAAACAACAAACAAACAAAGCATCCGTGAGCTCTGGGATAGTTTTAAGTTGCCTAGTACATGGGTAAGTTGAGTCCCTGAAGTAGAAGTGGGGCACAGAAAAAATATTTGAAGTAATAATGGCTGAAACTTATCTGAATTTAAAACTCAACAGTAAGAAAACAAACAACTCAATTTACAAATTAACAAAGAGAAGACTATGGAGACATTCAAATAATTGGTGGTTGCCAGGGGCTGCAGGGGAGGGGAGTAGACTGAGTGAAGTGAGGGATGGATGAATAGGTAGAGTCCGAGGGAAACTCTTCTCTATAACACTGTAGCAGTGGATACATTCATTACACATTTGTCGAAACCCATAGAATGTACAACACAAAGAATGAACGCTACAGTTTATTCTATTATTAGTTAATAACAATGGATCAATATTGGCTCATCAATTGTAACAAATGTACCACACTAATGAAAAATGTTAATCAGAGAGGAATCTGGGGAGTGGTTGAGGGAGTATGTGGAAACTCATGTACTTTCTGCCCAATTTTTCTATTAATCTAAAACTGCTTTGTAAAAAGCCTATTAAATAAAATTTTCTTTAAAAAATCTGAATTTGATAAAAACCATAAACAAACAGATTAAAGATGCTCAAAGCAACCAAAGAACAAGAAACACATAGAAAACCATATGAAGCACATTAAAATTAAATTTCTTGAGCGGTATGTAGTGGGTAGTCATTTATGTCTGGTTGTTTTTCACTTACCATAACTCTTTTTGTTGGGTACATGAGAAGTTTTTTGCTTTTTATTGCTGAGTAATATTCAACTAGTATACTACTTTTTTTTTTTAAACCTATTCAATAGTTGATAGGTGAATTCTTTACAGTCTTGGGCTATTATAAATAAAGCTACTATACACATTGAAATACAAGTCTCTGTGTTAATACATATTTTTATTTCTTTTACATAAATATAAGGAATGGAATTGCTTGTTCATATAGTAAATATGCAAGACAGTTTGAAATAGTTTTCAAAGTGGCTGTATCATTTTGCATTCCCACAAGAAGTGTCTCAGAGTTCCAGTTTTGCCAGCACTGGGTAGTGCTAGTTTGTTTGTTTGCTTGCTTTTAGTTTTAGCCATTCTAGCAGTGCACATTGTGATTGTAGTTTACTTTTTTTCTGATGACTAATAATATTGAACACCTCTTCATGTGCTTCTTTGCCATCTGTATGTCTTCGATGGTTAAGTGTCTGTTTAAATTATTTCCCCATTTTTCTATTAGGTTATTTGTGATTTCACTACTGAGTTACAAGAGCTTTTAAAATATTTGGGTATATGTTCTTTATCATGTATGTTTTCTCTCAGTCTGTGATTTGCTTTCCTTCTGTGCCTGGCTTATTTCACTTGCGTCTTATTTTCTAAATTGTGTTTCAAAAGGCAAAGATTCTTACTTTGAGGGTAAATTTATCAATGTTTTCTTTCATACTTTGTCCTTCTTTCTGTTCTGTTTAAAGAAACACCAAGTTTAGACAAAACACTGTTTATTCTGGCTTTATGTCCTTCTTACTTTTCTAGTATTTCCTTAAATTGTTTTGTGAATCTTTGTTTTATTTTGTATTTATTCTTAGATGACAAAATTACAGAGTATCAAAACACTTGTGAACATTTATTAGTTCATGAAATCTAAAATGATGGAAACTCCTAAGGTAGGAAATAATTAAAGTAAGTTACCTGGTCCAAGAGAAAAATCCCTAGATGGAGATCACATAGCTCTGAGGTTTACTGGTATTTCTTTACCAAGAGTCCTGTCACTTTGGGAAAATTGTTTCTGTGATTCAGTTTTCTCCTTTGAAAACTGGAAGATTAAACTGAATAACACCTAAGTTGACTTCTTGATCTAATATCCTAAGACTTTCAAGTAGTTTTAGAATCAATTTTTAATATTGTTTCTTAGAAGAAATATAATAAATCTATCAGATATTGAGGTTTCTTCCAGAAACCTAAAATAGTCATATTAAAGAGATGTCTGATCTATCAAGTTACATCAACCAACAATGTTCATTAGTCATTCAGTTTTTCCAGGAAAATTATATTATGAAATACTTGTGTGGTTTTTATGTGTCAGACATTTCCCTAAGTGCATATGTTGGGGGGATGAGGGGTATGTGCATGTGTGTGTACACTCAATCACTACCACCTTTATCTCCTGGGTTCAAGCAATTCTCGTGCCTCAGCCTCCCTAGTAGCTGGAATTACAAGCGTGTGCCACCACGCGCAGCCAATTTTTGTATTTTTAGTAGAGACGGGATTTCACCATGTTGGCTAGGCTGATCTCGAACTCCTGGACTTAAGTGATCTGCCTGTCTGAGCCTCCCAAAGTGCTGGAATTACAGGCATGAGCCACCACGGCCAGCCTCATTTAATTATTTCTAACAACGAAGCAAAGTAACTGCTATCCATATCTCTTTTTATTTACAATTTTATAAAATAGCAACTTAAGGCATAGAGAGGTTAAACAAAATCCCCCAGATCATGTAGTCAGTTAAAGACAGACCTGGGATTTGAACTTGGCTGGGATTGAACTTAACGAGAATGCAATACTAACTGTCATGAAACCTGTATTAGTCTGTTTTGAATTGTTATAAAGGAATACCTGAGGCTAGGTAATTTGCAAAGAGAAGAGGTTTATTTGGCTCACAGTCCTGCAGACTATACAAGAAACATGGCACCAGCATCTGCTTGGCTTCTGGTGAGACTTCAGGAAGCTTACAATCATGGCAGAAGGCAGAGGGGAAGCAAACATGTCACATAGCGACAGAGGGAACGAGAGAGAGGGAGAAGGTGCCAGACTCCTTTAAACAAACAAATCACACTTAAACTCACAAACTGAGAACTCACTCATTACCTCACCAGCAGCACCAACCCATTCATGAGGGATCCACACCCACGACCCAAACATCTCCCCCAGGCCCACCTCCAACATTGGAAGTCACAGGTCCTCATGAGAATTGGAGGGGACAAGACGTCCAAATCATATCAAAACTTGACAGAGTTTTCATTCCCTTTGTAATTTTAATGTTTAAGGTGCAATTTAAGACAGAAAATGCAGGACCATTGCTGAAATTTCACATTAGGCACTTGTCCCCTCTCCCTCTGCCCCATACACTCAACAAAGTCTTCATCTCTCTGATAGTAGCCATAGATAATCAGAGAACAATCTGAAGGGCTTATGATTCTGGACAAATCCAAGGACTGAAGTACCTTTCTTTTTTTTTTTTTTTTTTTTTTTTTGAGAGGGAGTCTCGCTCTGTTGCCCAGGCTGGAGTGCAGTGGTGCGATCGCGACCTCCCAGGTTCACGCCATTCTCTTGCCTTAGCCTGCTGAGTAGCTGGGACTACAGCATCTTTCAATTTTTTAAGCTGAGCCCTCTCTGTTTTCCGAAAAAATAAAAAAACACTCCCTATGAGAGATCAGTGATATCCCTCCCCCACTCTCTAAAATGTATTCTTTGCTAAAACCAACACTATTACCATAACTGCTTAGTTACAGAATTCTTATAAATTAGAGTAAAAAATGTAACAGGTGATATTTAAATCAATCAGCTCCTGCAGGTAACCTTTGCTGGAGTCCTAGGCTCCATCCACATGGATTACATTTATCCTAAATCGTCTCTCCTGATATTCAGAACACCAACTCTGTGCAGATCATCACTTTCACATTATACGGAAGGTACATGGTATCTGATTAATAGAAAAACAAATAATCCCATTGTCTCTTTTATCTATTTCTCCACTAGACAAGTATCTCAAACTTTTGACTTATTTTTGATGAAGTGAATCATGGTAGACCCATATTGTAGCTTTCTGTGGGGAAAAAATTTTCCGTGGGGTCATGAGCACATAATAAAACTTCACTCAATCCTTATCATAATATGTGTATAATAGCATTTATCCTAACATGCTTTACTGAATTTTTGTGAATTACTGTTGATAAATAATATAGTAGGTGATTTTCTAAATTGCATGACATGTGCGGTATCACTCAATGCTCTCAAGTATCCTGTGGAAAAGCCAGGGCTACAGAAGGAGAATAACTTGCCCAAGATGACAGAGCTAGTGATGGAGATAGGATTCAAATTCTAGTTGCCTGACTCCGGAACTCACATTCGCAATCACTATACCATACAGCCTCTCCCACAAAATAGGTATAATTAGGATTTACCTTTACATCAGTGTTGCACTACAGGTTTATATATATTAGTCCAGCTAAATGTCACCATGACTATATGAGGTGAATATGGTCCAGGAACACTGGACTACATATTAGAATCCTTGAGGTCTCTGACTAGCTAAAGTACAAATGGATGAGCCCTTTCCTTTCTTTGATTCTCATTTTGATCATCTTTTAAATGAGGTAGATGGATTAGTGGATGAAGTCCTAATTAGAATCCGTTGTCTTTATTCAGTTACAGTGACCTTTAAAAGGGAAGAATGGAAATTTTAGATGGAGAGAGACATCTACCCTATAATTATGAGAATATATAATTAGGGCTAGTTGTCAAGCACTTCCACGGAGTTCCAGAGATGAAAATAACAAACAAGAAGCAGAGGTGGTCTGCAGATGACTTAGCGTTTAAAACTCCAACTTTGTGTTCACTGCTACAGGCTCTTGGGCTTATCTATTATGGTACCTGGAAGGGAACATGTTTTCTATCACAAACTTAGCCCTGGAACTTATGTGTATATTTTGCTATTTTCTGCTCCAGTGTATTATTTCCTAATAATATGAGATTGATGGACACTTTAAAACACTAATTTTTGTTTTGTTTGTTTGTTTGTTTTCTTTCTCGATCTGTTTGCTTTGGGTAGTGAGGCTTATTGCTTCTTCTTCATAAGACTAACACCAAGAAGTGTAAATTTAAGTATCAGGTCTTTATTGTTAGGCAATGTGTAATGGAAGCCTTAAAAATCAACATACATTTTGGATTAGACATTTCATCTTTACAAATATATCCAACAGAATAATTAGAGATTGGTATAAATATTTATTTATAAGAACATATACTGAAACATTATCTGTTACAATCTTGAACTGAAAAAAATAGTTATTCAACAATAGGGGGTAACATAAACATGAGGGTGTATGTTGATATTATTCATCAGTTAAATAATGTTTAGAAAAATCATGGAGAAAAAGTATAACTATTGGGCTAAAAATGTACCGTATTATAAAACAGCAAAGAATATTTACCTCCAACTGTATAAAACTGTACAGAATGTAGATACATATAGGTGTATAGAAAAATGGAACAGTATGAAAGTTTTAAATTTTTGAAGTGTGGTAAAGTGAATAAAGGAGGTAGAATTATTAAGTTACACTTTTAATTCTTTCCTGTCTCCCAAATTGTCTTCAATGAGCAGATGTTTTTTGTGGAAAACAAAATAAAACTTAATACATTGTATAAATGTTCAAAAACAGAAAAAAGTAAAAGAAGATTACTTTCCATAATCATCCATAATCTCACCACAGTTGTTAGCATTTTGAGGTGTTTTACTTACACTCTATTCTATTTATAAATATCTGTGATCATTTTTATTCACATAATTTTGTTACAATATAATATTCCAGTCTGTGTGTTGGCATGGTAGCTATTTATTCATCTAGCAAATATTCACAAGCTTACTCTGTGTGCTGAATTGCATTCCCCTCAAATTCATTTGTTTAAACCCCAACCCCCAGTACCTCAAAATGGGACTATATTTGGAGATAGGGCCTTTAAAGAGGTGATTTAGTTAAAATTAGGCCAATGCATAGGCCAGAGGTGTCCAATCTTTTGGCTTCCCTGGGCAACCTTGGAAGAATTGTCTTGGGCCACACATAAAACTAACACTAATGATAGCTGATGAGCTTAAAAAAATAAAGGTCCATGAATAATGTTTTAAGAAAGTTTATGAATTTGTGTCAGGGTGCATTCAAAGCTGTCCTGGGCTACATGTGGCCCACAGGCCGCGAGTTGGACAAGCCTGACATTGGCCTTAATCCAAACTGACCTGTGTTCTTATAAGAAGAGGGAGTTTGAACACAGATAGGCACAAGGGGAAGATCTCATGAAGACATACAGAGAGGATGAACTTCTGCAGGCCAAGAAGAGAGACCACAGAGTAACCCAACCCTGTGTGCCTTGATCATGGACTTCCCAGCCTCTAGAACTATGAGAGAAAAAAATCTCTGTTGTTTAAGCCCTCCAGTCTGTGGGTATTTTTGTTATGGCATCCCTATCATAAAACCCTTATGGCAGCTCTTACTGATAAAGCAGGCACAGTTCATAGTGTTGGAGATGCAGCAGGACATGGGACTTAGATTCCGGTTGGGAGAGATTGAAAATAGACAATGAATATACAAAGCATCAGGTGGTGATAAGTGCTATAACAAAAAATATTCAGTGTAAATGAGAAGAGAGAAAAGCTCTTTTTCATATATTTCCCACCTCTCGTTTCCATTCAGCTTCATATAACTCCTCTCTCAGTTTATGTTAAATTCATGGCTTTTGACAAGTACAGCCCAAATATATCGATTCTTTTTTAAAGCAGCTTTATTGAGCTATCATTTACATACCATACAACTCACTTATTTAAAGTTATACAATTCTGGGCTTTCAGTATATTCACAGCCTTGTCAAACTATCGTTACAATCCAATTTTAGAATAGTTTGGTCCACTCCCCACCCTGCCAAAAAAAACCTTATACACACCAGCAATCACTCTCAGTTCCCACCGACACACTCCTCCCATGCCTACGACCCTAGGTACCTGTTAATCTTTTTACTTCCAGAGATTTGCCTATTCTGGACATTTCATATAAATGGAATCATATAATATGTGTTTTATTGGTGACAGGATTCTTTCCCTTAGCATAATAGTTTCAAGATTTATCCATGGTGTAAAACATATCAGTAGTTAATTCATGTTTTTGTTGTTGAGGTGAAATTCACATAATAGAAAATTAACCATCTTAAAATGTAAAATTCAGAGGTATTTTATATAGTTACAATGTTGTAAAACCACCACCTCTATTTAGTTCCAAAACATTGTCATCACCCCCAAAGGAGTCCCTGTACCTATTAAGCAATCACTCCCCATCCTACTCTCTGCTGGCAATTGCTAATCTGCTTTTAGCATCTAAGAATTTAACTATTCTGTATATTTTATGCAAATGGAGTCATCCAATAGGTGACCATTTTTGTCTGGCTTCTTTTACTTAGTATGATTTTTTTCAAGGTTCATCCACATTGCTGCATGTATAAATACTTCACTCCTGTTTTGTGACTGAGTAATAAATAGTTCATGGTTTGTGTATATCACATTTTGTTTATCCAGTTATCCAGATAGATATTCAGGTTGTTTCTGCCTTTTGGCTATTGTGAATAGTGCTATTATGAAAACTCATGTACAAATATCTGCTTGAATACCTGTGTTCCTTTTGGGGAGTGTAGATCTAGAAGTGGAATTGCTGAGTTATGTGGTAATCCTCTGTTTAACTTGTTGGGAGACCACCAAACTGTTTTTCACAGGATCTGCACTGTTTTACATTCCCACCAGCAACGTACAATTTCTCTACATCCTTAAAAACACTTGTTATTTTCCATTTTGCTAATTATAGTCATTCAAGTGGGTGTGAAGTGGTATCTCATGTGGCCCCTTCAAAAGCAGTTTGTGTTTTTTCACATACATGGATTGCATTTTCCTATTTTTTATACTACTTAGAATACTTGGTTGAAAACTCTACATTTCAGATGATACATTATAGCAACTCTGGATATGAATGCCCCAATTTTTGAGTTGTCATTTTGTTTATTTGCTTAGTGACTTGGCTGAACTAATCTTTCAGAGTTTATTTCCCCTGCAGTTTTCTGCCTCTGGTCTTTATGCTCAGATATTTTTTTCCCTTGATTTTATCTTCTAGCCTGGCCACTTGGCATTCACATCGGGTCAGCACAAGCCACTTCTTGGTCAAAGAATGTGCTTGAGTTCCATTAGCCAGTTATATTTTTGTTTTTTACCTTTGGATTCATGTGTGGCCTGAGGCTGCTATCACAGTTCAGGGGTTTTATGTATTCGGTCCACATTCAGCCATGAACTAGGAACTTGGAGGTTCCCTGCCTGATTGCTTTTGAGAGGCGATAGCCTTGGGTACACACAAAATCTTCGAGACTACCAAGGATGAATGTGATTTTATCTTTAAGCACCACTTTCTGGGAGTCTCTCCTGGGTCAGTGTTTGGTCAGAAGTTGTCTTTAAGCTCCCAGTGCCAGTGAGATTTCTCCCCTCTGTTGATGGCTCTTTGTGGCTTATGAAAGGCTTTGAGGTCTGCTCATCTGCCCCATGTTCTGCTCTGATTGGCTGAGTCGCTGCAGCCTAGTGCATGTGCGCAGCCTCTTGGAACCCAAGATTTGATTGTGATCCCAGGAGAGCTCTTATTGGCTGTCTCTTTTTCTGGCTTTCTCTATTAAACTTCAGGCTGCTTTGCCATTTGCTCATAGCATAGAACTACCAGCTTCTTCTTAACTGCTCTCCACCAACATCTCCATTGTTTCTGCCAATACTTTTAAGCATAGGGTTCCCCAAATCCTGTTTCAAATAAAGTAATGCCCTCAGGCAGAATCACTATGTCCTTTGCCCTTAAGACATGCCCCTGTACTACTTCATAACAGCTAAGGGTGAGGACCCACTTTTCCTGCTGAGCAAGAGGGGAGTGACAGCCCTTGGTCTTCATGGCTTGCCCCTTCCAGTGTGCCGTCTCTGTCCTATAAACACACAGGAGCTGGGAGATATCAGGATCCTAGCATTGTCAGCCTGCCACACCTGGACGCAAGCTATAAGCAAGGATTGGGTGAGTAAAGGGAGGGAGAACCTGTCCTCTCCATGGCACCTGAATGGAATCGATTTGCAACATGAGGCTCAGGAGCCATAAATGTTACCTGACGAAATGTGTTAGAATGAGGTAGAGGTTGGGATGAGGAGGACTGTAGGCAGGCGCAAAAGCCCTGCAGAAAGGAGCAACCAAATGGCCAGAGGATTAAAAAATAAGAGTAGAAACAAGGAAGGGAGAACTTTAGTGATTTGTCAGTAAAAAATAAAGCTTATCTGGAAGCAACAGTAAGAAGCAGAAGACTGAACACCCACTCTTTTGGCCCCTTGATGGGTGGGGAGTGAGTGAATAAGTAGCTTGCACTGGGGAAGAGCTGCAGGGTAAACTGCCTATAGGAAAGAGCCAGACTCCAGGAGGAAAGACAGGGAGAGATTGTTCTTTGAAAATTTGGAGGGTATAAAATTTCTTACCCTGGGGCAAATGTTCCAGGGGAAAAATTAGAAATGATTGATGGGGTGGGCGGAGACTAAGAGGAGCAAGGGGGAGGAAGCACAGAGTAGTGAGGGAATGCATATGTAAGTGAAGACAGAAACTTAACACAACCTGTTCATAGGTTAGGGTCTGATGTGGAAGGAGGAGGCATGGTTGCAATGACTAATCTCAGACTTCATGCAAATCTTAACCAGTGCCTAAATGGCTGCATGTGAACTGTTTGAATTCAAATTTCAGCTTTCACACTTGTTATTTGTGTGAATATGGGCAAAACACATAAGCTCCCTATGCCTTGGGATTTGTTTGTCTTTCGTTTGCTTTGTTGTTGTTGTTGATGAAGTTGTTTGTTTGAGATAAGATTTAATTTCGTTGCCCAATCTGGAGTATAATCAGGGCTCACTGCACTGTCAACCTCCCTGAGCTCAAGAGATCCTCCCACCTCAGCCTCCCAAGCAGCTTGGACTACAGGCTTATGTCACCATGCCTGGCAATTTTTTTGGTATTTTTTGTAAAGACAGGGTCTCACTCTGTTGCTCAGGCTAGTCTCGAACTCCTGGGCACAAATGATCCACCCACGTCAGCCTCCCAAGGTGCTAGGATTACAAGCATGAGCCATCACATCTGGCTGCCTTGGGTTTTTTATTTGTACAATGAGTGTAGCATTAAACAAGCTGTTGCTGTTAATAAAAATACTTTCTCTCTATTTGGGTACATAGCTAGATTATATTTCTTAGCCTCTCTTGCAGTCAGTGTGACCATATGACTGAGTTTTAGCCAAGGGTATGTCAGCAAAACTGATGACTGCATGGCCCATATAGAACTCCAATACCTATTCCTCCATGCTCTTTCCTCCTCTTGACTGACTGAAATGGCAACACCCAGGATGACTTTAGAAGCAACAGGGTAAAGGTGGCTGAACCATCATCAACCTATCACAAGGGTAAAATTTCTACGGGGTCCAGTCATTCCATATTTGGGTTTATTTGTTAACGTCAGCTGGCCTACTTTAATGAATGCATTGGGGATAATGACAGCACCTTCCCAATACTGTTATCATAATTAGATGGGTCAAAATATGAAAAATGTTTAAATCGTTGCAGGTAGAGTGTCAGAGTTATGAGTGTTGTGAGTGCTATTCATCATTACTCCCAGCAAATTTCTTATAGGGTAGAAAGTTTGTGTGAGATCCTTAGTCCAGGTTTGAGCTCCTCCAGTCTTGTACATGGGCAGAGAGCCCCATTCTCAGCAAGGCAATCACAACGTATAGGAGAGAGTGAGGCCCATGAACTGTTCAAATCCTCTACAGTACTGTTACCAGCAAATATTGATTTGTTCCATTTGTTTTATTTGTATTTTAATCAAATATTCAGGAAAATTTTCTCATTACCTTGTGGAAGTCTTAATGATGAAGACCACTCGTTGATTCTCAAGAGATTAGGGGAGCCAGCATACTGATTTAGTGCTAACCTCATTAGAACAGGAACTGTAGAGGAGAGGATTAACAGCAGGATGAGCTGCACCATTAAATATCAAATTGTTATCCAATTAGATGCTCTTGTTATGAACAGCATATTATTTCCAGATATCAGATACCAAATCTCAAGTAGTTGCAGCATCTTTCTAATTCTAAAATGTGTGATTACCCTGACTGTACTCTCGTTCATTATTTATCTTCTGCACTAAGCTGGAAAAATCAATCCTGAACTTGAAACTGGTTCTTAGCACACAGAAGATGTTGCACACACCCGTGAAGACAGATGTTTGGTAAAGAGCTCATGGGCGTTCTGTCAGTCTCACTGAGTTAAGTTGGCACCAGAATATAGGGCAGGCAAGGCTGTTTGCCGGTGATATTTAGAAGGGATCATCTGATTGAATAGCACATGCTCTCCTTTGACAATTCTCCTTGTCATTCATTCATTCATTTATTCTACAAACTTATGCATTCTCCAAATTAGAAAAAAATTATAGGCAGAGTCAATACATATAAATGCGGAGAAATGTGTTCCAGATATTTGGGACAGCAATGTGGATGCTTAAGGCTGAAGAGAATGTAGTATATTCAAAAAAATGTAGGTGAAGTTTCTTTAAAAAAAGACAAGAAGTATGCAACCTACAAAAAAGGGCATAAAATTGTTAAAAATGTAAACCTTGAGCACATATAGACAAAAGGAACATTTAAAATTGTGTTATGTGCACATGCCATGGAGTCCGTTGCCCAGTAAAATGAGAGGGACATTTTCAGACCTAACTCAGCCAATCCACAACACAAATAAGATGAAATAAACAAATAGAAATAAAACATCTTTTCAACAAAAGCCAGAGTGGCTCAGATTAGAAAGTTCTCGGAAGTCAGATATGGTGATGCTATAGAGGGAGGATGAAACAGAGCTGGGAGCCATGTGCTCACAAAACAGAGGTGGGCCATTTTCCAGGCAAAAAGCAACACCAGCCAAAGACACACATTTTTCCAAAAACAAATGAGCAAACAAAATACCTTATACACCAGAGTGAATCTTTATGAGGGAAGAAGAGTGGAATTTAAGGTGGTGGACAAGTGAAAACAAAGCAAAATAAAATAAAACATCCTTGGCATGAATTTTGATGACGAAGTGATAACATGCCATGAACTTAAGAGTACAATGACCTCAATTATGTGTACTTGGCCCAAATGTACAAAATACAAACAACAGTAAAGAGCACAAAACAAAAAACATCACTCAGAAAAGACAAGGACAGTAATGTTTCCCCATAGCTATACCTGGCTAGAGAATTCATCTCTTAATTAACATAGTGAGATTAAAAGCTAACGCCAGAACAATACTCATAGTATTAAAAGTTCATTCTCTATGTGTTTGTATTAATAGTTCATTCATAAAAAGCAGAGCATTGTAATCTCACTATGCAGGTTTAGTCATTCTGAGTTAGTCCTTTCATTGTCTGAAGACTTGAATTAAAACTCTCCAGGAAATTATGTGAGTTTCAAAAATCTGACTTTTAATTTAAACTAAGTTAATCTGACTGGATTAAAATATTGGCACCACTTGTTATTATTGGAGACTTTGGTTATTTAACATCTTTGTATTTAAAAGTTATTATTTTAAAAATGGGAATAATAATGTTCCTACATCCTTGAGTTTATGAGACATAAATAAAATATACAGAAAAAAATTTAAAATAATATGTGGCATACAGAAAACACTTGAAACAGATATTAACATTATCACTTACTATTAATTTATTTATTGTTATCTTTTAGAAATATTATCAAGACCAGAATGGAGTGATGAAGTAATCAGCCTTTTATGACTGAAGTCCTGAGTAGATT
Organism: Homo sapiens; assembly: GCF_000001405.40. NCBI lineage: Eukaryota > Metazoa > Chordata > Mammalia > Primates > Hominidae > Homo > Homo sapiens. Next base: position 126,066,167 of record NC_000008.11, read on the forward strand.
TATCCCTATCTGGGTGTGCTGCAGGTTGTCTTTAAACTGTGCTGCAGGTTGTCTTTAAACTGTACTTTTCCCAAAGTAGAGTATGTGGAATATCAATCTCTGAATGTTTTCTGGGAAAATAAAAGACTACTGAGTAAGTAAGTTTGGGAAGGGCTTAACCAACCAAGCAAGCCATAAGCCATGCTGTGTGTGTGTGAATGCACGTTCGTGTCGGTGGCAGGGTGGGATGCCTGTTAAAATCTAGCTGGATAAATATACGAGGGAAAACTCATCTTTAGACATTTGTAGTCTGGTAGGATACAATACAGGTTCTGCTTGGGTTCACACCCTGCTTACTGGTTCAACAAGTTACTAGGTCTGTAACTTTGGGGAATTACTTAACATCTCTGTGCCTCAGTTTCTTCATACATGTTACGGGGATAATAATAGTGTCATTCCTACATGGTTGTATTTGTATTAAACGAGTTAATATAGATGAAAGGCTTACAACAAAGCCTAGCATACAGATATTGCTTAACATGTGTTTTCTATTCTTACTATAATCTATGTATATCTACATAAATCTATATAAAACTTAAGGGCCTTAAAATGAAAAGTGCTCCATTTGGTGCTCAAGATAGTGAGTCCTCTGTCTTCTGATTAATCCAAATGTTATCATGTAGAAAGTTCTAATTTCAGGCGGCATGGCAAGGCCAGCCTACTGACGGTCAAACCCTGCCCACACCCCGGGCATTTATTATTGCTCAAAATCTCAATGTGTCAAATTTGGGGCTTCAATTCTCCATATTTGTTCATTTTCCAGAACTGGGTTTGCTTAACTCTCAGTCCCTTTCTGGAGAACCCTAGAATTGAAGGATTCTAGTCCCTTCATCTGTACCCAGGTCAGGTTCATGTGAGGTGACACCAGATGGCAGCAAAGAGAGATGAGCTGCCAGAGGCGGGAGTTGTCATTTGAAAAAAAAATCGAATTGTCATTGTACTTGGCCACTGCTCTTACTAAAAATATTTCACTCATTTAATGTGCCGGCTTCAGCAGAGCTGAACTTTGTCCATTTGGGGTGTGTGCTATTGGGGCAGGTGTCTGTGAAAGAATGAAAGCGAATAAAATTCTCTTCAATTGTTATCACTCTTCTTCATTCTCATCCCAAGTCTTGTCAAAAATTGAGTGAAATAGGAGTCAGACGTTACTGTTTCAGTGCCTCCTCCAAACTCCAGCCATTTAAAATACTCTCAGCCCACATATTAGTGAGAGGGAGCAATTCTCTCTGTCTTCAGGGACTTGAGGAACACCTGAACTGGGAGATAGGGAACAGAAAGTAAGGTTTTCCTATCTATTTCTTGCCATATAACAAACATAGCATATTCCTATCAATCATTATACATCTCTTTCTCATTTTATAAAATCCTGATTTTATTCAGGAAGCCATGTTCCCACCCTTGTAAAACAAATCATTATTGGTAAAAACAAATTATAATTGTCCCATTTCTTTTTGTGAAATATTTACTTTTCTAGATGCTTTTGCACTGAAATTATTTCATAAATCAATGACTTATGACATTATTTACAAGAATAATTTTCCATAATGAAATAAATGAGTGACATCCCCATAGAGCTAACCACCACCCTGCCCTTTCATGTTTTCCCTGTTGTCTCTTCTCTTGACCTTGGAAATTGTAACACCACCTTACAGTCACGAAGAGACACTTCACTAACATGCTCAACATGGTACAGCAGAAAGCCAGAGAGATTTTGCATATCTCATGAGATTGTGGGGTTGTGGAAGCAGCTCTGAATCTGCTGATCTTGGGTCTCCTAATGATATAACACTCGTCGGTATTAACGAAGTCACAGTTAGTTGGATTGTTCACTGTTTGCAGTATTTGAAGTTGCCTTCCCAGTGAAATACTACACAAGGTCTCACTTGTTAAAATAGTTGATTGCATCCCAATCAGTTGCAGGTTGAAGGGAGCAGGCTGATTAACCCATGGGAATGAGTACCAGCTTTGTATCCAAACACAGTTGATTTCAAGCCCCAGGTCTGCTGCTTATAAGCTATGTACCTTTAGATAAACTACCCAATATCTCTGCATCTCATTTTGTCATGTTGAAAGTGGGGCTAGTGGTAGCTAAGAGGATTATTGGGAAGATTAAATGGCATTGCAAAGAAAATGTCTGGTACATAGAAGAAACTCAGCAAACTTTATCTCACCTTTTTCTCTACCTTACATCTAAATTTAGGTTCATGAGGGGATTGCAGTGGTATCATGGGAAAACTTTCTTTGTGAAATGTTTTTAATTAAACAGGATGCAGAATCTTTTGTCTTTAAACAGTTCTAGCACAATGTGTTCTGAGTCAGGAGGGTAGACTGGATGAATACTTTCGATGCTTTCAGTTTTTGGGTTATTCGTAACTCCTGCTCACTGAGGATGTTGACAGTTTCTTCTAGGTTGATGGTACTGTTCTGTGTGAGTAGTCCACCAGATAATTTCCCTTAAAGATCATCTGGGAATTCTAACATCAATGAACATAGTTGTTCATCTGCTGAATAGCACATACCCTGATTCCTGCTCTGCCAGAACTGAGAGGCTTGTACATGCTTAGCTTCTTCTGTCTCAGAGCTAAATGAGTCAAAGGCAGTTTTCGTCTAGGAGGGGAGCTCTGACCTGCTGTCTTAGAGTGGGTTCACTAGAAACAGTCCTTGACATGGAGATTCATGTACCAGTGATTTATTAAGAAAGAGCTCCCAAGAGAAACTGGTAAGGGATGGGGGAGGAAAGACTGGGAAGGGTGCAATTTCTGGCAAAGTACCAGCCCAGCCTAATCCTGCAGGGTGCTCTGTGGCACAAATTACACATCAAAGTTTATCCAGCCCGGAGGCAACAGAGCTGAGCTTTATACTCCCACAAAGTCAGCCCTTGGCAGTGGACTGTGTGTGTGGTAGGTGGGTGAGGAGGAAACTCCCGGACGCTTTGAGCTTTCTGTGCTTACAACCCAGGAGGCTGGAGTGGTCTGCAGGCAGCATTCTGAAGGAAGCTGCAGATGCAACTCAGTAGAAGCAAAGCACACCAAAACTGATGCCTATGTGCACAGAACAGGTAAGTAGCTTCAGAGGGAATCTGGGCAGAGCTGACTATGTTCAATAAATCTATCTCCCTGCCTCTCAGAGACAACACACTTACTGGACCATGGAAAAAACAACACACTCAACTGTAAATAAAAACTTGAGTTGACCCAGGCTATCCAACCCAGGCAATTGCAAACTATGTGATACTGGGAAGGTTTACTGTCTGAATCTCTTTTTTTTTTTTTAGAATTTGGTAACAGATTTGGAATATGAATGTAGGGTTTTAAAAATTCATTTCGCTACATTGTATAATAAAAATATCTGAATCATAGCATTTAAAGGGATCTTGAGCAGGCAAGTTCTCTCTGGCTGGACAGATATCTACCTATCTCAGAGAAGTAAGTATCTATCTTGTTTGTATCACTCTTCCAATTTGGTAGTTTTCCTGATTTTAGATATTTCCAGCAAAATAACAATCATGATAAACAATGATAACATCCCTGCAAAAGCAAAAAAAGTTTCTTTCCTAAAGGGTTATGCCCACTGAATTGTCACTTTTTTGAGGAAATCTTTGCTATTACCCTGATTAAATTCCCAGTATTATATGTTTTTATAATACAAAATAACACTCCCTGTAATTTATCAGAGTGGTAATTTTAAATTATTTGGTTTCTGATTAATATTGTTTCCTGCACTAGAATGTGAGTTCCATGAATTTAGTAACTAAGGGCAAAGCCCCTCAGAAGGTCATGTGTGTTTTTGTGTGCTTTGTATGTTTTTGAGTTGTTGATCACCCTTCTACTCCTACACCCTACACAGTGACTGATGCATATTAGTTGCTTTACAAATAGGTAACCATTTTAGTGTTGTAAACTTAGCATTAGCCCAGGGCTAGAGTGAGCAGGATTTTTTGATTGAGGAAAAATTTACACACAATGATTGTCACAGATGATAAGTGTGACATTCAATCTGAATTTTCAAATGTATTTGCCTTGTATCCAACACCCTAGTCAAGATACTGTCAAGAACATTTCAATCACACAAAAGTGGTCCTTCATGGCCCTTATCAGTCAATCTCCACTTTAGTCAACATCTCTTCTAATTTCCATTAGTTTTGTCTTTTCTTGAAATTCATATAAATCAAACCATATAGTATGCACTCTTTCATGTATGGCTTTTGTCTTAGTTCATTGTGTGTTGCTATAACAGAATACATTAAACTAAGTAATCTATAAAGAATAGAGATTTATTTCTTGGTATTCTAGAGGCTAGGAAGTCCAAGGTCATGAGGCTTGCAAGTGCCTCATTGTGGCATCATCCTTTGAAGGAAGACAGAAGGGCAAGCAAACCGAGAATGTGGAAGAGGGGAAGGGGGCCAAACTCATCCTTTTATCAGAAACCTACTCCCAAGAAAACTAACCACTCTTCAAATAACGGCATTAATCCACTCATGAGGGCATGGCTCTCATGACCTAATCATCTCTTATAGGTCTCTCCTCTCAACGCTGCTGCATTGAGGATTAAGTTTCCAACACATGAACTTTGGGGGACACATTTAAACCATGGCAACTTCTTTCTCTTATCATTGTTTTTGAGATTATCTATGCTGTTGGGTATATCAATAGTACATTATATTATCCTACTGATGAATATTTGGCCTGTTTCCCCTTGTTGGCTAATTTAAGTAAAGCTTCTATGAATATTCTTTTACAAGTGTATGAATAAATATATTTAGCTCACATGGGCAAATAATTAGGGGTGAAATTTCTGGGTCATAGGCTAGATATATATTTAACTATATTAAAAACTGTCAAACCATTTTATATTCTCATGAACAACAGATGAGGGTTTCAGTTGCTCTGCATCCTCATTATTTGGTTTTGTAAATAATTTAAATTTTGGCTATTCAAGAAGGTGTGAAGTAGTATTCACTACATTTAATTTGCATTTCCCAAATAACCAGTTATGTTGAATAATTTTTCATATGCTTATTGTCCATTCGTATATTTTTATTAAAGTGCCCACTCAAGTATTTTTATTTGGTTGCTTTCTTCATTTTTAAATGTAGGGGCTCTTTTTATATTCTTAATATAAGCTGAATGCCAGATATATGTTACACAAATATATACTTGCAGTTTTGGCTTGCCTTTTGGTTTTTAAATCTATCCTTTGCTATTTTTCTTCTTTGTGTCACATCTGATTTTGTTCCCTTTTTCATTTCCTGCAGTTCTTTCATATTAAGTATTTTTTTATGGGCCAGGTGTGGTGACTCATGCCTGTAATCCCAGTACTTTGGGAGGCCAAGGTGGGAAGATCATGTGAGGCCAGGAGATCAACTTGGGCAAGTACAATAATAGGTGCTTTGCCATGATTAGAGATTTGGAATTCCATCTTTTTCATCTGAAAAATCTTAGACAGCTTAACCACTCTTAGCCTCAGTTTTCTAATTTAGAAAAAAAGGATTAGTGAGACATTATTTAATATGTGTCACGTGCCCAGACTAGTATCTAGTGGAGTTGATATTCAATGCAGTATTATGATGTAGTGGGTAAGATTATGCATTCTTGAAATAGAATATCTGGGTTCAAATTCCTGTTCTACCGTTTATTTACCTTTTGATTTGGGGCAGTTACTTTACCTTTGTCTCAGTTTTGCTCAGTGGGAAAAAGAGTGATAATAGAACTTAACCATTCAATAGTTGTTGAAAGGATTACAGGGGTAATAAATACAGCATTTATACTGATGACAAACAGTAAGCACTCAATGTTATATGTCATCATTTTCCCTTAATGTTTTATTATTCCTATCAATACCACCACTGCTTTACAATAAATGCCCACAATTAACAATTGCTTTCCAATTGTATTTTTAAATAGAAACTTCGTAAATTTGCCTTCGTGCTTTTCAATAATTTTCTTTCTGTCTTACGTCTAATATTCTACAAATATCTCATGTCTAGAGATAATTGGTTAGCCTTATACCCTCCCTACGCTTGATTTCTTTGCCCACATGAGTGACACTGCCAAAAATATCCTGTTTTCCTCTACTTTTGCCAGTGTTCTTACATCCAGTTCTTTGTGGCAAATGAAGCATCTTCTTGAGATACTTTCTTCCATTGCTTCTCCTAAGATCTATCCCTCTTTTGGTTGTCCTTGTGCTATTCCGAAATATATGCATCCCAGGTTTCAGTTGCCCCCTTAACCACACTTAACAGGTAGTACTTTTGCCTTAGGAGTGTCTGGAAGCTGAATGAGCACTCATTCCCATAAAAATTCAGTAACACAATAAACATTTTATTTTCAAATAGTCTTTAAGATGTGCATGAGGGGGGATAGGGAAGTTTGGCCCACCAGAATGATCACCAAGACATACAAAGTAGACCTGGGCCCTGGGCTCCCAGAGAAGAAAAAGAAGAAGAAAGTGGTCAAAGAACCAGAGACTCAATATTCAATTTTAAACAATGATGATTACTTTGCCAATGTTTCTCCTATAAGAGCCACATCCCCTTCTAAGAGTGTAGTCCATAGGCAGGCACCTGAGATGCCTCTAGCGAAGAAAAAGGAGAAAAAGAAGGGTGTCAGCGCCCTTTGCGAGGAGCATGTGGAACCTGAGACCACGCTGTGTGCCAGACAGACAGAGAAGTCACCCAGCCCCAGGAAGCAGGTACTTGGCCACTTGAAGTTCCTCAGTGGGGAGAAGAAAAAGAAGTCACCTCAGGCTATGTCCCATGCCTCCAGGGTGAAAACCTCCTCAGACCTCAGACATAGTGAGGAGGAAACCAGAGTCGGAAAGAAACTTAAAAAACACAAGAAGGCAAAAAATAGGGGGCCCAGGACCCCACAGCCTTCTCAGTCCAGGACCCTTGGTTCTGCAAGGCCGGGATGCTGCAGACACTTGCTCAGTGGGGAAGGAGGGTGAGGAACAGGCAACCTTGGGGCAGAAACAGAAGCAGAAGAGCCCCAGGGAACACAGTGGGAAGGTGAAGAAGAAAAAAAAAATTCCACCAGGAGGGAGACCTCCTCCCAGGCCACTCCAAGCCCTCCAGGTCCTTGGAGAGCAGCCCCCATAAAGGAAGTAAAACTAAACCAGTCAAAGTTGAGGCTCCGGAATATATCCCCATAGGAGATGGCCCTAAGGCCCCCGCGAAGAAAAAGATGAAGTCCAAGAAGAAGGTCACCGAGGAGCCGGCTCTGAAAAGGAAGAAAAAAATAAGAGGAAAGAGAGTGGGGTAGCAGGAGACCCTTGGAAGGAGGAAACAAACATGGACTTAGAGGTGGTGTTGGAAAGGAAAGGCAATATGGACGAGGCGCACATAGACCAGGTGAGGCGAAAGTCCTTGCAAGAAGAGGTCCATCAGGAGTCAAGCAAAACGGAAGCTTCTGAAACCTGGAAGTGGACGGGAACCCAGTTTGGCCAGTGGGATACTGCTGGTTTTGAGAACGAGGAACAGAAACTGAAATTTCTCAAACTTATGGGTGGCTTCAAAAATCTGTCCCGGCAGTGGCGGGTGGATCACAAGGTTAGGAGTTCCAGACCAGCCTGGCCAACGTGGTGAAATCCCGACTCCACTAAACATACAAAAATTAGCTGGGCGTGGTGGCATGTGCCTGTAATTCCAGCTACTTGGGAGGCTGAGGTGGGAGAATCGCTTGAACCAGGAAGGCAGAGGTTGCAGTGAGCCGAGATTGAGCCACTGCACTCCATCCTGGGTGAAAGAGCGAAACTCCATCTCAAAACAAACAAACAAACAAACATACAAACAAATCTGTCCCCTTCGTTCAGCTGCCCACCCCCCCCAACCCCCAGCACGATTGCAAGGCCCAACATGGCCCTCAGCAAGAAGGCAGCCCACAGCCTGCAGCAGAACCTGCAGCAGGACTACGACCGGGCCATGAGCTGGAAGTACAGCCGCCGAGCCTGCTTTGGCTTCTCCACCGCCCCCCAACAAGATCTTTTATATTGACAGGAACACTTCCAAGTCAGTCAGCTGGAAGATTAAACTCTAGAGTTTTGTCTTCCTGCCCCCACCAAAAAAAAAAAAAAAAAAAAGATATGCATGAATGACACATTACAGGGTGCTCGTTATTCTGCTAAAAAGACCAGGTATTAGTTTTCAATTACTGTCATAAGAAGCTACCACAAACTTCATGACTTAAAACAACACCAATTTATGACATTAAAGCTCTGTAGGTCAGAAATCTATTATAGGTTGCATGGGACTTAAAGTGCTGACTGTAGGCTGCATTCTTTTCTGGAGGCTTGAGGGGAGAATCCATGTTCTTGCTCATTCTGGTTGGCAGAATTCAGCTCCTTGTGGCTGTGGAACTGAAGTCCCTGTCTGCTTCCTGGCTGTAGTCTGAGGGCAGTTCCAAGCTTCTAGGGGCTACCTGTATAAGGAAATACAGGTAGTCAAGGAAGACTCACAGCCTCCTCTCTTCATCTTCAAAGCTAGTTCTTATGTTCAGATCAGTTGATTAGCAAACTTAATTCTCCCAGCAACCCTAAGTCCCTTTTTGCCATATATATACCATATTCACAGTTTCCGGGGATTAAGTGGACATCTTTGGGAAAGAGTCATTTCTTGTCTTTTCTTTCTTCTTACCACAAACTATGAAACTATATCAGATATTCAGCTGTTGAAAGTTACTTTCTGATCCAGCCACTGCTTTAGATTCTTTCCCCACCCTGTTTAAAGCATGTACATCCTAATTGCTCACTTCCTTTATATAAAATATTGCATTATTATAACATGTACTTTCAAAACGAAAGCCTCACTTCATTCTTCTATCCATAAAAACAAAAGCTTTCCAGTTAATAGGAATGCACCTGTCAGTTATCTCACCCCCAAAGTCTTAGCTATCTAACTAGCTATCATGTGTCTAACTATCTACCATTTATCTACCTATGTGGAAATTCCATGTGGAACTGTGACTTACTTAAACCTCTTTTCTTGATAAATTACCCAGTCTCGGGTATGTCTTTGTAGCAATGTGAAAATGGACTAATACACCTATCACACTAATATCATCTACCTTCTATCATCTATCTATTCTAATCTATTTATCTATTGACCTAACATCTATCATCTATTTATATGTCTGTCTAATCTATTTACCTACCTATCTATAATCTATCATCTATCTACCTATCATTTGTCTTCTATCTATCTACTTTCTCATCTATCTGTTTATCTATCTACTGATATGGTTTGGCTCTGTGTCCCCACCCAAATCTCCATCTCAAATTGTAATCCCCACATGGGGAGAGAGAGACATGTAATCCCTATGTGTCGAGGGAAGGAAGCAATAGGATTATGGGGGCAGTTTCCCCCATGCTGGTTTCATGACAGTGAGTGAATTCTCATGAGATCTAATGGTTTTATGGGTAGTAATTTTTCCTGTGCTCTCACATGCTGTCTTTCACCTGCAGGCAATGTAGACGTGCCTGCTTCCCCTGCTTCCCATTCACCATGATTGCAAGTTTGCTGAGGCCTCCCCAGCCATGTGGAACTGTGACTTAATTAAATCTCTTTTCTTTACAAATTACCCAGTCTCGGGTATGTCTTCATATCTATGTGAAAATGGATTAATGCACCTATCTATAACCTATCTATCATCTATCTATCTTGTATCCATCTAATCTATTTATCCTCTACTTTTCTATCATCTATTATCTATCTATCTATCTATCTATCTATCTATCTATCTATCTATCTATCTATCTATCTCTACCTATCTCCAAATAAATGCAGCATTCTAAGAGTAATTCCTATATTAACTGCTAAGGGTTGAAAATGGAATCTTCCTGGCACTTATAGCTCTCTCTCTTTCTGTGATTACTATTATTAATACATGCCTCTTGAAGACAAGGGCTTTTCTCTGGGAGAGTGAGAACTCATGCTGAGGCCCATCCACACTCACAATCCCTTTGATTACTATGTAATTTCATATTTAATCACACCAGTCATGATGAAAATAAAAGTTTTGTAGGATATTATACTTTGCAAAATACAAATAGAATTTTACATGAAGTCCTGTGTCAATCCTGTGAGCTAGGCAAGGATCAACTTCTATACTTCCTATTTTACATTTGAAAAAAGTGAAGTTAAAGGGAATTAATCTTGCCTAAGGTCACATAACTAGTCAGTTACAGTGGGTGAATTTGAACTCAACTCCTTTCCTTTTCACTATGCCTACAATAGTTAATTCTGCAAGTTGCTGTGATAATAAATTTCTGCTTTTGACGCTGTTATAAATGTGATAGTCTAGTTTTTCCTTAAGATGATAAAAATGTCATATATATATATGATATACTGACCACCAAAATCTGTTTTCTAAAACACAGTTAGCTCACTTTTTATATATATTTTGAATTTAATTCCACACAGTTTATACTTCCTTCTACCTTTCTAATATAATTTTTAGATGTTTCTTTACTTTTAGGCTATGTGTAGTCTCTTACATTTTTTCCTTCTTCTTTACCTTCTTATGATTCTACATGGATCTCCATGTCTTCTGTGTCTTGCTCCTTCCTCCCAAGAAGAAAAGTAATTTGTTAAATATATTCACACTAGAGATACAGAGTCAGATAGAAGAAACTTAATTCAAGTTGCTAGCAAGTGGTAACAAATACTTGAACCCAGGTGGGTTTAACTCCAAAACCATGTTGTATCTCACTGTATTGCAACATGATGCTTTAAATAATTCTCCACATGGCCTGGTTTCCAGTATTTTTAACATATGTATTACCATTGTCCCAAATTCCAGATAGTTCATGTTCCTCTTAAAATGTTATCCTGGGCCCGGCACGGTGGCTCACACCTGTAATCCCAGTACTTTGGGAGGCCGAGGTGGGTGGATTATGAGGTCAAGAGATCGAGACTATCCTGGCCAACATGGTGAAACCCCGGCTACTAAAAATACAAAAAAAAAATTAGCCGGATGGGGTGGCACGCACCTGTAGCTACAGCTACTCAGGAGGCTGAGGCAGGAGAATTGCTTAAACCCGGGAGGTGGAGGTTGCAGTGAGACGAGATCACACCAGTGCACTCCAGCCTGGTGACAGAGCAACGCTCCATCTCAAAAAAAAAAAAAAAAACTTATCCTGAACCGTTCCCTTTTCCAGATGTGTATTAATTAATGCCAAATTTACCCTAAGATTGTTACCTTACCATGAACTTGGTATGGGTCTTCTATGACTCCTGCTTAAGATTTCAAAGCTTTATAATTAGTGGTGACAAATTTGACTCAGATAGTTAACTAGTAATCGTCCAAACTTCTTGGATCTTTTTTCCATCTGAACTCTGGTTAAATGACACTCTCTCATTCTCAGTTTGGACAATTGGTTATTTGGACTAAAATGCAGGGCATGGCATATGACTCAATTAACTTCTAATTTGTTGGTGTTATCCTATTATTCTGATCTTATAGACCTTGAAAGTTGTTACTCTGTTTTGTTAAAAATCCATTTTTTTCTATTTTCTCCCCCTCATTCAATTTTACATAAGTAGAGTCCCAACCAGATATCTCTTTCTTTATTCAAATAATAGAAAATGAGGTATAAGTGTCTGATGACAGTTTAATATGTTATCTCACACAGTCCTGTCCAGAATTATTTTCATTTAAATAAAATAATATTTAAAAAAAAACACTTTAAAGAGGAAGGAATGGATCTAATTAGAATACCAGCATCAGCCCAACATGATAAATCTATTTAAGAACCCCAATTTTGTTGCAAAAGAGATTTAAGGTAACTTGCATAATACAGAGCAAGATATAATAGATTAAAATTAGGGGTAAAAAAATAAAGAGAAACAAGGCGGGACCTAAGAATAGCAAGGATGAGACTAAATGTGCATATTATAAATACTTACCATGTTCCAAAAATTATTTTATAAGAGTTGGCAACTAAAAGGAAATTTTAAAAACTCTGCCTGTTACATAGTTCACAGTGTTTATAAGATATAAATAGATTTGTTCTATTCTTATTGCTGGGAGCAGACAGAAATTTCTCCCCAGGATCCTCAGAAGAGTACAGTGTGTGATGTAATGATTGATGTGCTCAACAACACCCTCTCAGTAGACTCAGGAACAAGTACAGTGAGCTGTGTCTTCTTATAGCCACCCCCAATAGAGTTTGATGGTCTCCCACAAAGACAGTTCAGTAAAAGGGCAAGGCAAGAAAAATAATCCCCTAAGGAATTGATTGGATGCACTAAGGTACAGGTTTCCAAGTTGATTGAGTCTAAACTGGGGACATATTTCAGCCATTCAGGTAGATTGTGTGGCTAGCATACACTTTAGGAGATTCTTGGCTGTATCCAGCAGGACTTTGGACAAATAAGAAGCAGCAATGATTTTCATATTACATTAGCTAATCACCACTTGGAAGGAAGTTTTATTCCATGCAGCCAGTTAAAAACAAACCCATGTGCCTTGTAGACAATTGAGCTTGTGGCTGGGCTGACATGAGCTTCATTAGTTAATTTCTTGGAAGTCAAAAAGGTTGAGCATAGTGAAATTGATCACCCTTGCTTAAAAACTTTATTGCCAGGCAAGACTCTTGTGTCAGCTGGAGAGCTTCCCTCTGTTTAGGAGTTCATAGACATTTCTAGCACAGAGGACATCATTAGGAGGTCTTGGAAAGGAATGGGGCAAATAGTATACCCCTGACTTGCAAAGGTCCTTGCTCTGTGTTGAAGCATTTTATTAGCACAGCCCCTTGATATCATCAAATTCTTGGCATCCAGGGTCTTTGAACTTTTTAGTTCCCTGGTGCCAAATTGTCTGTAGCTTCAATTTCCTTTTATATAGCCCAGAGTTTCTTTCTTTCTTTTCTGTTTTTTTTTTTTTTTTTTTTTTTTTTGAGACAGAGTCTCACTTTGTCACCCAGGCTGGAGTGCAGTGGCATGATCTTGGCTCACTGCAACCTCCGTCTCGCTGGTTCAAGCAATTCTCCTGCCTCAGCCTCCTGAGTAGCTGGGATTGCAGGTGCCCACCACCATGCTTGGCTAATTTTTTTTTTGTTGTTTTCTTAGTAGAGACAGGGTTTCACCATGTTGACCAGGCTGGTTTCAAACTCCTCACCTCAAGTGATCTGCCTGCCCTGCCTTGGCCTCCCAAAGTATTAGGATTACAGGTATGAACCACTGTGGCCCACCAGAGTTTCTTCTCTTGTGAGGCTGAGGAAACTGCTATCCCTGGCACTCACCAAGCCGAACTGTGTATTATCTTGCAGAGCTTTGTACACACCACAGTGACAGCACTTTGCCTGGCACAGTGGTGGGTGTCTGGGGAGGAAGGTGAGGAAGAGACACACTCCTTCCTTGTTCTGCTTGCACGTTTCCCTGGGGACCTTCTACCCTGCTGTACTCAGGACAGTAAATCACACAATCTCAGGAACTGTCTCATAGTTGATTTCATCTAAAGGCACATAAGAAAGTGTTTTAAAGAGACTGACCAGTAACTCTGAAATCCCAAATCACTCCTCACAAATAGGCACCAACTCTGCCTAACTTATAAAGACAGTGTTGACATGCCTGCTGGGGCTGCCTCTCCTCAGGTCCTCTTATGTCTCTATTTTTTCCAACTGTAACTGGGAACAGTGACACCTTTTCTCAGCATTGTTTTGAGTATTTCAGGCATTAACATATAAGTAAAGTGTCTTTTTGATACAGTGCCTCACCTTATCTCTATTTATATCAAGATATTTAATCATTTCTAACTACCCTGTTTTTTCCTTTCATCTTGAATTTTTGAAATTAAGATAAACTTAAAAATCCATATCTACATTTGATGTTAGTGTTTCCTTTTCAAAAATAAATTAATAATGGATCTTACATTCAATAGCTTCTTAGAAATGAGGAATATTATGACAATACATAAGTAGATAGATAAAGTGTATCACTTTTGTAGTCTCAAACCACATTGATTCCTATATAACAACTAAAGGAAGCAGTGTGCTTTGTGGGAGAACAAGCAGAGGCTTTGAAGTTACAACATATTTGAAAACTAGCTCTTTCCATTTGAGCAAGTTATTTATTATATTTAATCTCTTTGAGGCTCAATATTCTTGCCCATAAAAATGGAAACGCAGTTACATATAATAATACATATTTAATTAAGGGTGAAAATAGCATCTAGTTAGGGTTTGGCACATAGTAGATATTCAGTGCATAACTATAATTTCGAGCTAGCAACGTGCTAAATTTTGTGGGGGCTACAAAGATGAATGGAAGGAAAGTAAATTAGACTGTAATTTTTGATTGTTTATTTTCTATTAGGCTCTGTGGTTGATATTCTATGTGTGCTTATCTTAACACTCCTGAAAAGCTATGAGGAATTTTTTTAATATTTCCATTTAACAGGTTAAGGAACTGTGGCTTACAGACGTTACATAATTTATTTGGGATCAGTTCTTGCCCTGAAGGAGTTTGTATTCTAATTGGAGACAGCAGTAAAATGCATCTGAAGATCCACGAAGCTGTACAATGTAAAAGAGGCATCATAAGGACAGACATGGCATCTCTAATTGAGTGAACATAGAAAATAAGGACCAGGGAGTTAGAAGGAGAAATCTTCCTCAGTTAAAGTGTGTATCAATCAGGATTGACTGCCTTATGCTGCCATAACAAACAACCTGGTTGCTGGTTAATTTCAGATCAACCTGGTTGTTAAAAGACGTACTTTTAGCTCATGGCCATCAGAGGTTGGACATATCATAGTTGCTTAAGAAACCAGGTTGATGCAGAAGCCACCATCTTTGATTTTGTTGGTTACTCCGCCAGAGAGATATAAGAGCCCTGGAGAATCTTATAATTAATTAATTTAGTAAATGCTTGGCAATTGAATGCTGTGGCCTAGAGTCACTTCCACTTTCAAGTTATTGGACATACCAGGCATGGCGGCTCATGCCTGTAATCCCAGCACTTTGAGAGGCCAAGGCAGGAAGATCTTTTGAGGCTAGGAATTTGAGATCAAGTTATTTGACAGAACTGGTCATGTGACCCTTGAAAACATAAAGGGGCCAGGAATCATACTTCTACCATGTGCCTGGTAAGAGGCAGATCTGGAAATATCTGGTGAATGGCAGTAATAATTAACGCACAGGAGCCTAGCATAACTTGTGTTTAATTATTTTTATAAATAATTATTTTAAGTATCATATTTAAGCATTGGTATTAGTTCTGATTGAAAAGCCTTAGTTCTGGTTGAAAATTGCCCTGCTGAAAGGATGTTTGTGCATGTATAATGTAGGTGTGCTTCTTACTTGTGTCCACTACCCACATACATTAGATTAATCACAGCCATCACTACTGATTTTCTTTCAAACCTTTACTAAGCACTTGCCAGTAGCACTCGCCGTATCTGTCTAAAACCCTGCTTATTATGCCTTCCCCTCTGATCATGGAAAGTAATTTATCCAATAAAATTTATTAAGTAGTTTCTGTTTACATAACACATTTACAGGGCACCTCGGAAATGACAAAACAATATATGATTATACTAGAAACATTTATCTCACCATCTGCCCTCTACAGGGTTGCTTAGGCCAGAAACTAGAGAGAGATCTTGAACTCTCTTTCCTCTTCTTCACCATACATGCAATTTAGTCCTCAAGCTCTGTTGACTTTATATTTTTCAAATATTTGATGCACATTGGAATCATTTGGAATATATTTTTTTAAATACTGGATCTGACCTCAAGAGAGTCTTATGTCATTGGTCTAGAAGAGGCCTGGGCATTGAGGTTTTTATAAGCTTCCAGGTGATTCTCAAATGCAGTCAAATTTGAGATCCAAGAAGTCTCAGTTCTTTCTTCTTATCTTTATTCATACCACCCACTTTGGTGAAACTTCCTCTAATCTCTAATGTAGATTACTTTAGAAATTCCCTATCTGAGCCCCCTGGCTCAGCCTGGGCTAGGGGCCCCAGGACTGTGTTACCACTACACTCGGCCCTTATACAGACTGTACTTATATTCTATCTTTATCGTTTATCTCCTCTATTAGATTATGAGAATCTTGAGGGTAGCAGTCAATATCTATGCCTGACTTGTAGTTCACAATATGGCAAATAAAAGGTGCCCAGAGCTAGAACTCTGCAAACTAAATGCCCTCTTTGCCATCTGGCTTCCTGTTAGGTTCTGCCAGCAGGGGCACTAGAAGGAGATAGAAAGACAGAATTTTTGGGAAAAGGAACTTGTTCCTTGTCTTCTTGCTGTTCCTGTCACTACTACCATGGCAGCAGCTTTTAACTTCTGCAGCATTAGTTGGTTTGAGCCTTTAACTTCTTTTTTCACACTCTGAACCAGCCTCTTCAGTGTCTCCTCCTACTGTTTACATATCACTCCCAGAGAAAAATTCTGATGGACTATTTGGGTCATGGGCCATCCCCTGGGCCAATCACTGTTTGCCAAGAGAAGGAGTTCTGTGCTTGGCCAAGCCTCTGTGGCCATGACCACTACTGTGGCAGGGACAATGTCTATCTGACACTGGAAGAAGAGCCATGGGAAAGAGTGCTGGGGAAGCAAAAATATAAGCTACCTCAACTGACTTTAAGGTTAAAGGGGGAAACATTTCCAGCTTCCAGGGAATCTTAGATATTGAGTCAGCTTTCAGTCCCAAAGTAGCAATACTTACCCTTTCACATAGAGCTTCAGGTTCCTTATGCTAATACTTCCTTATTATTATTATTTTTACTATTACTATTATTTAGAGATAGGTTCTCACACTTTTGCCCACGCTGAAGTGCAGTGATGTGGTCATAGCTTACTGCAGCTTTGAACTCCTGGGCTTAAGCCATCCTACCACCTCAGCCTCCTGAATAGGTGGGACCACAGGCTCACCACCATGTAATACTTCCATTATTGCTGTATCCTAACTCTAGGAGTTCCCAGACATACCCAGATGGCACAGATTCCGGGGCTTAAGGCTCTGTTGGGGCCTGATAGACGGAAGCATGTTCAACATGATAAGGAAGCAAAGAGGCCTGAATAAATAATTGCTTGCTGGATTTCAGAAAGCCTTTAGAGAAGACATTTGAACGAGATCCTAAAAAATCAGTGGGCATGAGAAAAAAGGAGATCATAGAGGATTCTGAACTATGAAAAAATCAAATGCGAAGAAGAATGGAGGCATGAAAAGGCATAATGGGATTTGGAGAATCATTTTGTGTGGCTGAGTATAACATGTATGGGGTGGGGGCTGATGCGTCTGGAAAGACAGATTGTGGCCAGATTGTGATGGGCTTGCGATGCCATCAATTCTCTTGGAAAACATCTGCTTCCCATGTGCTGGCCAAAGCTACAACCATTTTCACACATACTTTATTATGGGGATCTTTTTTTGCAAGTATGCCTGGAATCAGCTTGCTTCCAACAGCCCAAGGCCAATGAGAAGATACCTGGGAGGTGAAGGGCATAGGAATGAAATGAGCATTTTCAAATTTGTTACCTTAACGCATTTCAGATTTCAGTTCAATATCTTCAAGCTGTTGCAAAGCTACAGTAAGCTTTTCATCCTCAGTATTTCTGCACCTGCATGTTTCTGTGCCCACTGCTGGGTCAGGCTCCATGCAGTCCCAGAAATGGCAGAAGACAGGGCTGGGAATTCAGGTAAGAGAACAAATCTGCCTGAGGCTGACTCATCTGAAAATTGAAATACGTAAACAAAGTTTAGCTGCAATGGAGCAGCTGGAGTACAAATAGCTGTAGGCGTTGGAACAATATAACAAGGCTGAAAGTGATGCTGAGACTTATACATTATTTCTAAGTAAAAAATAAAGGGCAAGACAGAAAAAAACCCAGCATTTTAGAAATGCATTTAGGGAAATGTTATCACAATCTGCACACTGCTGCATATCTTTCTGAACCACCAACACCTGATTTCCCCAGGCTGGGTTTAAAGCTGTTTATGATTAGCCTCACCTTGCTTTTGTGGTTAATTAATTATACCGTTGCCTGGTAGCACCGCCAGTTTGAAAATAAGAGATGGGGTGGGATGTGATGATGATTAAAAGCTATTTGCAAACTCAGAATTTCCTGAACTAAACACTGCAGGAAAAGCAAGGATGAACTGGAAATACTCCTGGCCCTAGGACTAGGTGAACTTGGCTAGTTGCAAGTTGTAGGATGTGGAATAGAGTGACCAACTCATCCTGGTTAGCCCTGGATTGTTCTAATTTTAAAACCAAAAGTCCCATTTCCTGGCATGCCACTGGTTTCAAGCAAACTAGGACATCTGTTCACCCTGGGGAGGGTTGGAGATTTGGCTGGCTGAAGTTCAATAAGACAGGTGAAGAAGGTCAAAGTTTGAAGAGAATGACGGATGCCTCAGAAGATGGTGTAGAGATGGAGATCAGCCTGTATGGAAAGGCACAATGCCCAGGGAGGCACGGAAACAGGCAGTCAGAGAGATATTAAGAAAAACTGAGATCCAGAACAAATAATACTTCTAAGTCTAAGCAGGCAACCCACAATCGGGTGGAGTAGGGGGATTCACACTGTGCAGAGGTTCTAGGGAAGGTCTTTAATTCTTGAAGAAGAAACTGGAGATAGCAGGCAGGGATACACTTCCAGAGTATAGGTATTAGATTTCTCAGTAGGTTTGCAGAGAAAGAACAGAAGTTTGCATAACTGAAGTGTTCATTGGCTTTCTACTGGTCTGAGGATAAAACCTAAGATCTTTACGTGGACATGAAGAGCTTTCTGAGCCATCCTCAGCAATCTTCACTCTTATTTCTCACCATTCTTTTATTCCAGTCACATTAAATCACCTGCAGTTTCTCAATCATGTCAGGTTGACCTGGGCCTTTGTATATGGGGTGCCCCTTCCACTCATACTAACTTTCCTTGTTCTTTAGGATTCAGCTCAGATGTCCCACAGCCCCACTCTCATCCTACTCTCAACTCTTTCCTGACTTCCTACAGTGGGTTTTAACGTCTCCTCAAAGTAGAATGCAGATGGATTATTGCTCAGTTTTGGCTAGGGAAGCTCCAAGTAGCCCCAGAAAGTCAAGGTGCCTGATAAGTTACTGGAAGGCCACAGTGAACCTTCCAGTAGAAAGAGTTTCAAATGAGCATGAATGCCTAAACTGCTGATATCCCTGTTGCGGCTCCAGATCCTTCTGACTTATCAACCCAGAGGTAAGTCTGCAGTGCAAGATTTTTTATAGCACTATTAATGCTTTGGCAGGGGTAAGGGGATCGGGAGGTGGGAGAGGCAGAGCTTGTAATATGCATTGTAAAAGAGTGTCACAGCACCCTGGCCTCTACCCACCAGATACTAATAGGACCCTCCAAGTTATGACAGCCAAAAATGTCTCCAGACATTGTCAACTATTCCATGGGGGATAAAATTTGCCCTAGGTTGAGAACCACTGTCCTAGTCTGAAGGAACCTCTTGTGGAACATTGGCAAGACCCTTACTGAGCAGAAGCCTAGCACCCTGAGCATCCAGGAGAAGAAAATATTTGTGATCTACGGGCTCAGTGAAGAATTATGGAGGACTTCAGGTGAGCACTACACTCCCTTTGGTGACTTTTCCAGATGACCTGTGATCTACATTGGTCCAACTGCATAGCCCTTATTTGCTATTTTAAGAGTGGATCCTCCATTGGCCAGGTGTGGTGGCTCATGCCTATAATCCCAGCACTTTCGGAGGCCAAGGCAGATGGATCACTTGAGGTCAGGAGTTCAAGACCAGCTTGGCCAACATGGCAAAACTCTGTTTCTACTACAAATACAAAAATTAGCCAGTGTGGTGGTGGATGCCTGTAATCCCAGCTACTCAGGAGGCTGAGGCATGAGAATTGCTTGAACTCGGAAGGTGGGGATTGTAGTGATCCGAGCTCACAGCACTGCACTCCAGCCTGGGCAACAAAGCCAGACCCTATCTCAGGAAAAAAAAAAAAAGAGTAAAGCCTCCCTCATCTCAGTGTAACTCAAATCTAATGTAGAATCAAGAGATGATTTTCAGTCTATCAGTGAAAGTATGAGTGTGTCTCTTCTAGACTCTAAATACTCCAGAGTAACAGCCAATTATTATATTTTAATTTAAGATTTTTGTGTCTCCCATCCAGGATCTAGAAGGAAGCTTTGCATGGATTAGATAATTCAATAATATTTATCAAATCAAAGTTGGGAGTCAAAAGAGAATTTGGAAGCTTTGATCATCAGGAAAGAAGATGGAGTTTATTGACCCAATGGAAGAGAAAAGCCACTTTTCTGTAAAGTGTAAGGCGTGGTATCCAAGGCTACTCTCTGGAGACGACCATAGGCTTCACCTGGGAGTTGTGAGAAATGCAAACTCTCAACCCCATCCCAGACCCTCTGAATCAAAAGCTGCATTTTAAAACATGTCCTGTGCACATTAAGCTTTAAGAGGCATGGTTTTAGAGCACAGGCTTTGTATCCCTGGAATCAAAGTTCAAGTCTTTCACTTATCAGCTATACAAACTTAAGCAAGACATGCGAAGTTTTTGAGACTCACTGTTTCTGTGAAACAGGCATATTCATATACACTACCTACTAGAGTTGTGAAGTTCAAATGAACAAAAAAGAATATTGGACACAAGTCATGGTGCCTGACTTTATACAGTAAGAGTTTAATTGTTTGATGCTATTATTTTCTGAAATTTCCATCTCTTCATTCAGGAAAAAATGTTGGTTGGACAACGGACAATCACCTCCTATCAAATCCATAATTTGAAGATTGACTAAGTCACCTACTTTGCATTCAGATGTTGATAATTATCAAGCCAGCCTAGGTTAAAACAAGTTTTTTACCTTTTACAAATATATTTTTTTAAGAATTGTGTATCTTGGGGACAAAACATTATAATAAGGTTAATGAGAAAAGGAGCAACACAAATCTGTTTTCATTAATCTTAACAGAGCTTTAATCACAGCACAGGGGGAAACAGCTGCTCTGGAAGGGAGACTAGGAGCAGATCAGTAGAAGCTGATTATCCATTAATGAGAGGGCTTTGGTGGGGAGCCCTGTGGAAAACCCACCAGACTCAATCCTGCCAGCCATTTGCTGAAGAGGTGGTGTATATGAATCGCTTGTTTGATGTAAAAAATTCAAAACAGATTCTTCTCAGCAGCCTGGGGACTGTCATACATCACTGATCTCTTATCTGTTTATGTTAAGGAAATAGCATCCTTCAGTAAGTAAATGTGTGTGGTATTTAATTAAACTCATTGCTGAGCTCTGTGTGTGTGTGGCTAGTCCTCATTTGGGGATTATCGGACTGTTGCATTTTGCCTTTTTTCTCATTTTTTCCTTCTTCTAGCATTTCTTCCTCCAGCTCAGAATTGCAGGAGCTTTATGTTATATGGAGTATCATGGGAAGTACTTTAGCATTTTTTTTATTGCACACATTATTTAGAAAAGGAAACTGAGGCTCAGAGAGCTGAAGTCACTTGTCCAATGTCCTCTAGCTTAAAGAATTATATTATTTAAACCTAGGTTCTGGGTGGTTTCATAGCCTAAGCTTGTAACCACTTATGCAATATGTGTATAAAGTAAAAACTAACTATGGTATATTGCGGTGGTTCTCAGAGTTAGTCCCCAGACCAGCAGCATCAGCATTGCCTGGGGACTTGTTAGAAATACAAATTGTTGGGCCCTGCCACAGATCTATCAGAAACTTAGGAATGCAGCCTGGGAAGCCCTCTGAGTGATTCAAATGGATGCTAAAGCTTGAGAGCCATTGGTATTTAGTTGGTATGCTAGGTACTAAGAATTTAGAAAGACAAAAAAAAAATCGGTTCTTTGATTTTGGGGAGTTCAGAGTCTAGTAGAGAAGACTAAAATATAAAGACAATTATAATAATATTTTATTAGTGTATTATAAGTGCAGTGAGATAGTATACACAAAAAAATAGGAAAGTGCGGATTAAGATACTAACCTGGGTGGGAAGTGAAAGCTTATTGGAAAATGTGATGCTTAAACTGAATCTTAAAGCATGAGAAGTCTCTGGCTGCAGTGACAGGAGAAAGTATTTTAGGCAGGGGGACAGCATAAACAGAAGATGAAATGAACATGAATACTGTCTATGAAACAGCAGTCACTTTGGGGATGCTGGAGTAGGAAGTATAATGAAGGAAGCAGTGATGAGTTCATGTGGCGGACAGTGAGCTGCCCTCTGTCACTCTGCAATTTGACCCCCACCTGCTGAAGCTCAGGAGTTTGGCTTCTTGAAGCCCTGGCTTGGATATTTTACAGTCATTTGTCAATTTATGGCATTTACAACTGCCTTGTGGTTCCAGATGAGGGGCACCACATATCACAAAGGCTTGTTCTTCATGATCTATTGAGCACCCAGTAATTCATGCACGTTATTTATACCACTCACTCATTTCTCCTTCTTTCTCATGAAGTCGTCCATGCCATTAACATTAGCTAGCAGACATCAAGCTGCCTAGTGGATAAAATGTTGTTTGACAAGGGCTCAGTGGCTAGGGATGTAACTCATAGTTTTTATCATAAATTTCAACTCAATTATTTGTTTTCCCAGGTAATCTATCAGTGAATAATATACCCACATCACAGGACTTTGGCCTGTGAATTTGGTCTGTTTTCCAGACCAGTATTTTAGCATGGGCATGGGTGACATTTGAGCACTTAAAATAAAATAATGCAGCTACATTCTCTCTGGCATGGTGGAATGAACATGGAATTGGGAATAAGAGAGACCAGGTTTCTAGCCCCAACTCTGTACTTTACAACTGTGTCCACTAAATGACATTGGAAGGCCTATTTGTTAATCCTGTGAAGCTTCATTTTTTAAAAATCTGCATTGGCTCTCCAAAATGTGCCTGGAAGTTGCTGCAATTCTCAGAATGTCTGAGAAGCTCCCCAACAGTCTTAGTCTGCAGCCATGAGGCAAATAATTCTCAGCAATTTTCTAGGAAGCTGCTTTGATACTCACATGTGCATGTTCATCTGGCAGCCACCACCTCCAGAGAATAAAGCTTCCGATTTACTTCCACTTTCCAGACTCCACAGATGTTCCTCTCCTTGGCAAAATGTAGCCCAGATCTAAATGGAAGGTGATTCTGAGACATGTAGTTGGCAACCTTAGCAGGACATGGTGGTGCCACCCGGTTGATAACAGACATCTCAGCCCACTTTCCACTACACAGGAGCCAAATGATCTTCTTTAAATCCCAAAACAGAGTATTTCACAACCAGGCTTCAAATGACTCAGTGGCTTCCCATTTCTCTTAGAATAAAACCCAAATTCATCCGGATGGCCTGAAAAGCTTGTCCAGCCGATCTCTTCAATTTCATCTAATTCTAGCTTTCCCTTTCATCATTATGTACAGCCAAACTGACTTTTATTCCTTTTTTTTAACATGCCAAACATTTTACCACCTCAAAATTCTTATAGTTACTGTTCCTTCTGTTTAGAATATCTTCCACCTTGATTTTTCTTATCCTTTTATCTCAACACTCTAAAGAGTCCTCCCCCAGTTTCTTTTTGTCGCCCCTTTTGTTTTCTTCAGTGGATTTATTGCAATCTGCTCTTTTTGTGTGTTTAGTTATTATCTGTCACACTCACTGGAATATAAGCTCAGTGAAAGCTGGTACTATATTTATCAATTGCCCCCCTAGTTCTCTGTCTTGGCTTAGTTACCAATTTTCCTCTTGGAACATAGATCATCATAGGCTGAATTTGCTGCTTCAAATAATCAGAGGGCATCAGTTTTTTTAGTGCTCAAGATCCTATAGTTATTGTACCAGCCTTAATGAAAGTACAAAGGAGATAAGGGCAAGACGTGCTCTTTGCAATGCTTAAACAGTTTTAGTATATCTCAAGCAAAGAATCCTAATAAATCCAAAATTCGACAGCTTTTTACTGTTGGTGTTCTACAACCTCTCTTTCCTCTCACTACCTGGAATAGTCAGAAATCTCATGTTAATTTATGAACCCTGATGTCATCATCAGGACTGGACTGTGGACTGAAAGAAGATAAATACCAATAATAATTACCAAATGTTGGATAACTATCATATGCCAACAATATGATAAATTATTTATGAACCTCACAATATTGCATGGAAAATAATTATCTCACTTTTCCAAATTATTTTTGTAATTTTTCTAATTTTTAAAATAATTTTCTAATAATTTTTAAAAATTATTTTTATAAAAATTAAGAACTTGACCAAAGTCACAGAGGTTATTTGAGGTTAAACTAGGGTTTAAATCTTGGTCAGTTTGGTTCTAACGCCCAAATTTACTTCCCTGTTTCTGCCGTATTCTAGGTCTCTTTTGATTTTATAATACGTTGTGTTCGTGATAGCATTATTTATCTCACCCTGTATTCACACTCTTTGTCGTTTTACTCTGGGTTAAGCTGTAAGACTGCTGTTTAGACTGGCTTTGGCCAATAGAATGAGGTAGGAGTTCTAGATCTGAGCCTGGTCCTCACATGAGTATGCTCACCCTCTTATTTGTCTGCCTAGACTAGTTCTTTGGTTTAGGAGAGAATGAGAGACACATCAATGCAGAGCCATCCTCAACTAGACCCAGCCATGCTTCTCCAACCCCCCAAAAGGCTATACTCATGTGAGAGCTCATCCAAGTACAGCAGTACAGCCCAGTTGAGCCCAAACAAGATCAATGAAGCCTCAGGAAACCAAACACAGTCAATAAGCCCAACCAAGGTCAGCAGAACAGTCTAGCTGAGCCCAGCCTGGATAAGCCAATTCCTAGCTGACTCATACGCTCAAAAAAATGATAAATGATTGCCATTTTAACCATGGTATGCCGGGGTTGTTTCTTTCACAGTAATAACAAATTGATACAGACACTAATTAGCTCTGCAAATGTGCTTAAAAATAATGCTTACAACCATTTAATAAGACTTTATGTATGAGACACAGTGCAGAACACTTTACATTCATTATCCCTTTAGATCTTATTCAAAACCTCTCTGAGGGTTTCACAGATGAGAAAAATTAGATGAATAGAAATGAAATAACTTAGTCAAGTTTACACAGCTTGTTTAAGTGGCAGAGTTGGAATTTAAACCTAAGTCTATCTGGCTCTGAAGTTGTTCTTTTTTTGTTTTACCAGGTTGACTTTATTCATAATCTAGACTTCACATAGAAAATAATCAGCTGTGTGAATATGACTGAGTTCTCTGGGTCCATTTTCTTCAACTACAAACTAGAGGGAACTAAATATCTTTTTTTCTTCTTACCTTCTTTGGTTCTATGTTCCTACATACAAAAGTTATTTGAGGGCAGTTGGAGTTAAAGCATGTATGCAGTTTGATGATAATGATGATGACGATGACAATGACAACATATATCACAGAGATGAAAGCATGGACATACTTTTTCCAAGAAAGAGAACTAAGACAATTGTTGCAAGTGAGTGTAAAAATTAACTCTGAAAACTTATATGTAAAACAGAGGAATAAATCTGGGCCACAAAATCTTCCTTTCTAATGCAATAAACAACAACAACAACAGCAACAAAAAAGTGTCAGCCAAGAATATCAAATTTATCAAATAAGCAAGAAACTAGATATAACGTGGGGCTTCAAAGAGCGGATTTCAAGATCTCAGCAGAGGCACATGCCTTTGTGCACTCTTCTGCCCTCTCTCCTATCTCTATATGCAACACATATACAAAGGACATCTCTCTCTATATATCTATATCTCATACACATAAACTATCATATATGTGCCATTATATGTATATATATTCACATACATATTCCATATAAAATATGGATTCAATAATTAAGAGTTAAAATATGACTAAATAAGAGAATAATATGAAAAAGGAGATAGATGACAAAATAATACCATTGTAGAACTAATATGTAAATTAGGAACAACAAGAAACAGATGAGACATATCAGGAAATTGAAATTAGTTACAAAAGAAAGCTTCGTGGTATCATAGGAATTGTCAATAAAGGGCTCTTAAAAAATAAAAAGTTCTTAGAGACTTGACAATACATAGTGTGGTTACATCGAACAGAACTGCAGCCACCCAGGCATAAAGGGAAATTTGCTTATAAGGAGGAAAATCAAATTTACCTCAATGTTCTCTGTAGCACCAATTATGCCAGAAGACAATTGAGCCAAGTTTGCATAATTCTAAAAGAAAATTAAACACAGTGTAAAAGTATATCAAATACAAAGTCACAGGGAGATATTCTTGAACAAGAGCCCTTCTTAGCAAAAATAATTGATGAAATCCTGTAAACCAAAAAGGCATTGTGAAGAGAACTAGCAAAGTAGTAAAGAAATATGTGTAAGCAGTTCAGAAATACTTTTGCTGCCAGTGCAATTCCTTTATCTTTTGATAAGTTAGAAAAAGTATTTTAAATAATATGAAATATAGTCCATAACAGAAATATTTTAAGGCATACAGATTATAAGATAGTTATATAATTTTTATTCTCATGGCTATATTAAGATAGATATCTTGAATACTATGTAATGTTAATTATTAATATTTATAGAGGTGGTTTTAGATGATTTTATTAACTTGTTATTTGTTGCTATTTCTTGATTTTTGAAAATATGTACATGTAAATATATAGTTAATTCATCATTATTATATTTAAAGAGCAGAAGAAAAAAATTAGATCTTAATGTGCACATGTACCCTAAAACTTAAAGTATAATAATAAAAAAAAATTAGATCTTAACTTACTATAAGTAAGCTATAAGTAAGAGATGGTAGAGATGGAGAAATAGAAAAAGCAATAAAGAAAACTTTCTGTTAGTGTGGCATGGTAAAAGGAGCGTTCTCCTTCTATGAGCATCTGTTACCTAGTAGATATTAGGAAAATCTGATTTTCCTCCTTATAAGCAACTTTCTCTTTATACCTGGGTGCCTAGCAGGTCTGTTGCAGGTAACCACACTATTGCCAAGTCTCGAAGAATTTCTCTCTTATTATTGATCATCACTATGATATCACAAAGCTTTCTTTTGTAACTAATTTCAACTGGGTCTCTTGCTTTACTCTCTATAACTTAGTTCCATCATCTACATGGGTGGGGATATGTTGTTACCTCAGAGTTGGCTGTAGTAATGAAATGAAACAATGTATGTGATAAGGTCAAAACAATTTTATGAATATGTTCACTTCTCTTCTCTCCTTCCCCTGACAAGCAGGAGTGTTCTGATTTTCCAAGACAAATCTTGGATTAAAGGATAGTTAATGGAGAATACAGTGAAGAGAAAATGGAAAATAGCAGGGAGTACAGACCGCCCTTGGTAGTGGAATTGGTTACATGTGTTTCATTTGTTTAGGAAAAAATGTGTCCAAATTACTGTCTGCAGTTGTAACCTCCCAGTTCCCATTCATGTGGTTCTAGGGTGGGGCTGAAATCTGGACTTGGGAGGTGGCACATATCTGCTTGTCCACGGTGATTCAGAAATAAACAAGTGGCATAAGTCAGATGGAACAGAGAGATTCCAGGGTCTTTGAAGGGCCTGAGGAAGACGATCTTTCTCTTCTGAATCTGAATCTAAGACACTGAAGCCTGGAACCACTCACCTCTGCATCTTGCCAATCAAAGAGAGAAGCCTCCTGAGAGTGGAACCAACACAAAGCCAATATCAGGAGGAAACAATTCAACCCATTGGATCCAGCAGGGCTCAACTTTGTGTTACTGAGCTAATTAATCCCCTTTTATTTGCAAGAGGAAGAGTTGGTTTAGCTATTTGCAATGCAAAGAGTCCTAATTGAACAGATGGGATTGTTTCTCTTTGTCTTTACATTTGTTTGTGTATTTGTTTTTGTTTGCTTGTTTAGTACAGGTATGGAAGTAACTACAGTGTGTGAGACCACAGATGAGATAAAAAGAATATTGAGAAATATTTCTGGACACTATTGGTTTCCAGCGTGGAACCTGCCTGATGAACTTCAAGAAATATAAGCAGATGACTAACATTATTTTAAAATTAGCTTTAGTGGTATGAATTTTACTTTTTTCTCCACTTTTTAGTACTCTAGGACTAAGAGCCATTGTTTGTGATTTTATTGCTAAAACATTGAAAACACCATTTTAAGGGCTTTGCTCATACCATTCTCTTATTTGGGAAAGTCATAACTCTTTCCCTGCCTTCCCTGCTGCACAAGCTCCCTTTGTTCAGACTATGCTCCTACCCAGGCTCCAGTACCACTCAGTTCCAGCATTTCCCCATCCATTAATGCCAACCTTTAGTTCACCAAATGGGCTCCCCTGCATGTCCGTGGCAACCACTTCTTACGTCTCTCAATACATTTGCCACTTGGTGATACAATAGTCTCCCACTAGGCTATAAGCTCTTTGAAGACAGGAATTCACCACATCATATTTCTGTTTTTAGTACTTATCACAGACCTGGCCTATGGTAGGTGCATGGGAAATCTTCTTTTAACCTCCTTTCTCCCCTCAAATTCACTCTCCCTATTTACCTATGCTATCTTGTTTATTGATGGCATCACCTCTTGCCCTGTGGTTCACACTCAGGTTTGGCTAATGGGAAGCAGGAGATAAAAGGGAGAGAAAGTGAGGTTGAGATGTTTTTCTGTTGACTTTTTCTACCAACCCACCGTGGGTTGGTAGAAACTCTCTACTTGAGGCTAATAATGTGATGTATCTATCGCCCACCAGGTTACTTAAGGGGTGTATGTCTGCTGCCTAAACCCTAAAGGCTGGGTGCTGAACCAAGGCCCTGGTGCCCAGTGGAGGAGCAGGTATCCCTGAGAACCCAAACATTTGGAGAGTGTCTAAGAATCTACCAAGAAAACTAGTCTCATTGCTCAAACACAGTAGACAAAGAGCGAGAAAAGTAGCTTAAAAACAGTTTAGAGACAGAAGTAGTGCAGATCTCTAGAGCTGTCCTGCTGTAGTCCAGGAGTACCCTGTATGTAAGTTTTAATAAACTCATCTACTTGTCAAGCTGGACTTGTCTGAGTCATTCTTAGGTCTCTCAGCACCTTCCCAGTTTGGGGGTGGGGGACATTACAGTCCCAAGTCTTTCTTGTAACAATTGGTGTCATGAATAGGATCCAAGGAACCAAACGATGAGTCAGGAAGGAGTGTGTGCATGGGAAATCCGGGGTGGTTTGCAACATGCACCAAGGGTGGAGTTGCCTGACTGCTCAACCTCTGTGGGCCACCACGTGAGTACAAAGATGCTCAGAAAACTTTGGCAGGGACTGAGCACATACTGTAAGAAGCTAAGATATTAAAGTATGGTAAGGACAGCAAATATGCTGTTGTTGCAATAAAACTGGCTCTCAAAAATTGTTACAGCAGGAAAGGGAGAAAGGGTAGAAACTCCTGCGAAAGTTCAAAGGCATGCCAGGTTTTCTAGAACTCCAGCTGGTTATATATTATGGCCTATTCTTGTGCAAATTTAAAAACTGATGGGGCCAGGCAAGGTGGCTCACTCCTGTAATCCCAGCACTTTGGGAGGCCGAGGCAGGCGGATCACTTGAGGTCAGGAGTTGAGAACAGCCTCACCAACATGGTGAAACCCCATCTCTACTAAGAATACAAAAATTAGCTGGGTGTGGTGGCACACGCCTATAGTCCCAGCTACTAGGGGGGAGGCTGAGGCATGAGAAATGCTTGAACTCGGTAGGTGGAGGTTGCAGTGAGCTGAGATTGCGCCACTGCACTCCAGCCTGGTGACAGAGCAAGACTCCATTTCAAAAACAAACAAATAAACAAACAAACAAAAACTGATGGAAAATTATGACAAAGAATTTCAGAGCTCAAATGGTTAATCTGCAGCTACAGCATTAAGGAGAGTCTTTTAAATGTCTCTATTTCTCTTTCCTCTTCTACCTGCTTTGAATCTGCTGTTACTAAGCTACCAATGTTGAGATAAAACTCACTAATTGAAAGATACTTGGAGATTTTGTTTTTCTTATATTGTTCAACCAGTTGTAGCTAAAATGTAAACAGTAAAAGCTCATTTGAAACTGAAAAGGGGGTAAAAGAGGTTTTTTAAAAATAAAACTGTTATAGAAACTGTTTACCCAAAGTTTTGGTCCACAACCTTCCTTGGATTGCCTATTAGGGAAAAGTTTAGCCATGTGAATAGGTCCCAGTTTTGTCAAATATAATTTGGATCCAGCTGTCTGTTGTAAAATAATGAGATTTGATGCTGTCTCATGGATAAAGTTCTGAAGTAAAGCTATTGGATCTTTGTGTGTGCTTATACATGTTTAAATGTGTTTATATACATGTACATGTACATGTAGTGTTATATATTGTGTCCAGCATGCTACCAAATTGGCTCATAAGGAAATGAGTACTTATAAATGAAATAAGTCTGAATGCTTTTTAGGTCCACATGAATTTAATAATTGTTAATAAATAAGCTAGCTTTGAAATTATTGGTAAGATAAAAAGAAAAATGTCTTCAAAAGTGTCAGACACATTTTTGCCTGGGTTTACTCATTAGATAAGTTTTCTATTTGCTTCTGCTAGATATTTTAAGGTGTCAGGGTTTGACATAAAGTTGGTAAGACCCTAAACCCAGCCCTAGCCTGAATGATCTTTGTGTGATTTTTTAATAAGCAAGACTAATTTGATATTGTTGGTTTAATAAAAATAGCTACATTGTCTGAGTTATTGGCAAAACACATGTCCACGTGTTTAGCTTTAAGGTTCTTGCTTAGATGAATATCTAATATTTACAGTCTATAAAAATAATTAATAAAAATACTTCAAATAATAATTTATCTTGATTCTCAAGAGTAATCTAGATAAACTGATAAAAATAAATAAATTAAATTAATGTAAATAAATGTTTATAAATAAACATTTTGCGTGATTTAAAATCTTAAAATTATTTGAGGTACTCATTGAATGTCTGGGTCATTTCCAATTTAGAAAGAGTTATAATATAAAATATTGGTCACACTTCTGGGCTCATCAATAGAAAATAAAATATATGATATGGGGAAAGCATTGATGGACCTCAGTGAGCCTGATAAAATACAGACTGAGTCCAAAAGTAATCAAAAAACAAAAATGGGATGGGCCATATGGGTGCCTGTACACTTGCCCTAGCCCACACCAGCAATAAGCTTGAAGTGATACCACCTTCCAAGGGGAGACTCTGAAATCACCCAAACAATCCAAAAGTTACATAAGGTACAAATAGGCTGCCCCTAAGCCCCTCCAATAGCCCTTTAGGGGCCTGTGAAGAAGCCAGATGGCACTTGGAGAATGATGGTAGATTACTATGAGCTAAACAATATGGGGCCCCCTGAACATGCAGCTGTGCCTAATATTGCTCAACTGTTGGAGTAAGTGGTCCCTAAGCTGGGCAATGTCCATGCTGTGATTGACTTGGCTAATGCCTTTCCTAGTATTCTTTTAGCAGAAGATTCACAAAACCAGTTTGCCTTCACTTAGGAGGGCCAACAGTGGACTCTCCAGATGCTACCACAAGGGTACCCGCACAGCTGCACCATTTGTCACAGTGTGATTGCACAGGACCTGTCTAGACTCTCTTTGCTTCCCTCGATTTCCCTGTTTCACTGTTTTAATGATAACACGTTGACCTCAGAGTCTCTTAGAGATCTGGAGACGGCTCTATAAACCATCTTGGATGGCCTAAAGGACAGAAGCTAGAAAGTCAACCTCAAAAAGAAACAAGAGCCCAGCATAATCATCCAATTTTCAGGAGTTACCTGATTGGATAAGATGTGAAAAATACCAAGAGCTCTCATTAACAAGATAGCACAACAGTCTGTTCCCTAAACAGTAAACTAACTCCAGGTTTTCATAGGTTTACTGGGCTACTGGAGGATATTCATTCCTCATTTGGCACAAATCCTACATTTGTTATGCACGCTAATAAAAAACAATAAAAATGGGACTGAACATGGAGAGCAAGAGGCATTCGACAAAACAAAAATATTGATAAAACAAGCTCAAGCACTAGAGACCCCATTGTCACAGCACCCTTTTATATTAAAAGTCACTAGAGATGTCACAAAGATAAATTGGGGTTTATGGCAAAAGCAACCAACAAAATGATACCTGAAGGGTTTTGGTGTTAATTATGAAAGAGGACAGAATCCTACAATATAGTCCTAGGGCAACAGTTACTGGCCATGTATAGGGCATTGCATCAAGTGGAGGCCACCACAGTAAAAGCTGCTTACCCCATAAAAGGGTGAACAGAAGGCCTCCTAGCTAAGCTCACCTCTGGTGTGGCACGATCACACACCCTGCAGAAATAGCATTCATTTCTAAAACTAAGGGCTGTCCTGTCCACTAGTCCTTTAAGTCAGGAGCTATAGGAGGATCTCAGACCTGTCTACTTTGAACACATGGAGGGAGCCAATATGGCAGTGGACCCATCTGTGAGGCCAACCACCATGTATGAGGGGATCCTGCTGATACCCACTAGAACCTGGTACACTGATGGGCCTAGCAAAGGTATCGAACACTGGACATCAGAACAAAATATAGACTGGAGGTTCACTTACCATATAACACAACAGGGCAGGCCTCATAAAAAAAAAAAAAGAATGGCCTGTTAAACACCCACTTATGTGGGTTTTTAATATGTCCTAGGATAGCTCTTTAAGGTCCTGGACTAAGACTCTCCCTGAAGCCATACACACTTTAAATAAGTCACCCATTATTACACATTGAATCACTCTCTATGAATGGTTGGCAAGGCCTGCAAAACAGGCCCTGCAAACTCTCTGGGTTACCTCTGAGACACTGAACCGTGCCTCTGGAGCAGATGGTCAGACTGTACTCCTGAGAGCACCAATGGATCTGCCAGGTGGTGATGACTGCATGGACCCACAGTTAAGCTGGAAAGTGACTCTACACTGGATCAGTTTTATGGCACCAGAGGGCTCCAAGGAGACTGCTGGAGGGGAGGTGGTCCTAGCTGTGCTCCTGCTAGAGGTCCAAAAGCCTTAAAATATCAAAACATGGCAGCACCAATACCTGCTGGAGTGATCATAATGCAGACAGCTTGGACAAGGCCAAACACTTAGCATTTGGTTATTGTGTCTCTTCCTAGGAAGGAAAGCCACGTCTGGTACTGTAGTGCCAGGCCTGAAGCCTGCTATGGCCTCCCTAATACAGCCCATGGAAAAAAAAAATACAATGATAGCAACGTTACAAAAACTAGATACACTCATGAGAGTCCTTACTAAACACCTGTGTTTATGCCCATAGGCTGTTTTTCCTGCTACCCATGGCAGCTGGTAATGTCTTTCTGGACTGGGCTGCAACTACAGCAGCAGTCAGCAACCAGTGCGATTGTTGACTATATGAATACGTCCCCCTATCAAATCATAATTGTATGCCTTGGAATATTCTGCCTTTCTCCTGACAGAACTGGAGTGACTGGTTCAGCAGCACTGATAGCGCAGTCCAGGCTCAATGGGGATTGCATCCACCTGGAGGCTCAATTGACAACTCAATAGAGACCCAATAACATATGTCCTTGCAGATGCTACCTGTTGGGTCTCTATGCCCGATAAAGGGAATAATGTCACAGATGCTTTAAATCCTTTGTCAACTCAGATCCATGATATAGCCCAGTTAGGTTTTTTGACTCATTCTCAAATTGGTTACACACCTTACCTACTTATTGGAGTTATGTCTCACTAATAGACAGTATAATTGTAGTTAGCTTCTGCTTTTTATGCTGTTATGTACAATGTAGATGTGGCCTGTATACACAAGCCATTGCTATACATTATAGGCCCATATAGTTCTTCACCTCTTATTTTGCTCAGGGATCATTGAAAAAGATTCACAAAAAAAAAAAAAGAGTAAGAGCTGGGGAATGACATGGATTGTAGTGTGATGGGTCCCCCACCAGATTACTTAAGAGTGAATGTCCGCTGCCTGAACCCTGAAGGCTGGGTGGTGAGCTAAGGCCATAGTACCAAGCCAAGGAGTGAGTGTCCCTGAGAACCCAAACATCCTGGAGAGTATTTGAGAACCTACCAAGAAAAATAGTCTTTTGCTCAAACATAGTGGGCAGAGAGCCAGAAAATTAGCTTAAAAACAGTTTAGAGATGGAAGGTGGTGTGGATCTCTAGAGCTGTCCTGCCATCATCCGGGAACGCCCTGTCCGTAAGTCTAAATAGACGCATCTGCTCATGAAGCTGGACTTGTCTGTCATTCCTTGGTCCCTGAGCACTTCTCCAGTTTGGAAGTAAGGGGCATTATAGTCCCAAGTTTTTCTCATAATAGATACCTTTTCAGGGTTCCCTGTGCAGGTCCCTCTCTTTGGCTGTTCACACCTATGAGTGATAAGGGCTCCTATTTCTAGCTCCAGGTTTCTGTACTATCTTTTGTTGCTTTTCATCAACCCTGGCCACAACTTTATTAAACTTTCTATAAATTGCCTCTTTCCTAGTAGGCACCAGTTGTGCACAGGTAGGCAGGTAAGCAATACATGTTTTAAAGAATCAGTTCTTGGATAAATGGTAAAAATAGAGATTGAAGGTATGGGTAATTGCCACAAATAGTATTGGAATGTCCCAGATTTGCCTTCACTGTGTAGTGAGTGGGCCTGGCTGTCTTGAATGAGCACCATGGAAGATGGATGGTGCATTAACTTGGGCTAAGGATAAGGAACATTCATGAGGGTCCTGAAGTCGGTCAGAGGTCAGGTGCCATAGGTTAGATCAAATTTGCTGAGATGATTGTTGGGGAGATGAGTCATTTAAGTGAGGCAGGAAGAGGCACAAATAACCAAGGTCAAAGCAGACAAACTATAAGGCTTGGATTTAGACACAGAGAAGAAATAAGTGGGTCAAAGCTTAGAAATCGAGTGGAGTTTTCTAGGGCAATTCTCATAGATGTTGGTCTCCTGTCTCTGCATCCTTTCATATGTGACTCATGAGGTGTGTTTATGTGTGTCTGTGTGTGTGTGTGAGAATAAGTTTAACAGGTACTTACACATTTTTTCATCACTGATACCACCAAACTACATACCAATATAAACTCTCTCTCAATCTCTTTCTCTCTCTCTCTCTCTCTCACACACACACACACACACACACACACACACACTTCTACCCCTGAAGTTCATAGATGGCACACATCTCTTGCAGTGGCCATACAGATGCCAGCAGTGGTTTCCAGGAAATGCTCCTCTAGAAATTCCCTTTTTATGTCTCTTTCATACAAAATAAAGGAAACTTGCATCTATTTCTCTGCTTTCCTCTGCTTACCCAATATCTCATGATGATCTGCTTTGCTTTCTGCATCTGAATCAACCTATTTTGCCTCAGGAAATAGCCTTCTGTGTTATTTTACTGCTTCCACCTTGACAAAGGAGCCTGTGTGAAGTGGAATTGACAGGGTTACAGTATTTTCTGTCATTTCATTATTGAGGGTTTATTGGTCATTCATATCAGCCTCACACTTTTGCAGACCTTCTCAGAGCTGCTCGCCTCCTCAGCTTCCATCTAATGTTACTCCCCTGATTGAGCTCTTTAAGTACTCAATCTTAAACTTGGTTTTTTCACCAAAATCATTCATAATCACTGTTATTATCGCTTATAATTAGTATAGTCATTTTGGCTCAGAATAGCTAACAACATTAGCCTTTAGTCTGGTAAACCTTGGCAATTGTATTTGGTGGAAGATCTAGTGTGTTAGTAAGAAAATAGCTACGATGCCTGAGTCTGTTATTTTTCAAGGGTCAGATAGATTCCATCTGGGTCATAGACATGTTATCCCATAAAATCCTTATGCCAACTATTACAATTATAATTAAACTTTATAGGTGAGAAAACCAAGGTTCAGAGTGGTTGAATGAATTGCCAATATTACAGAGCTAATAAGTAACAGAGATGGGATTTAAACCCCGACCTGGTTCTTGTACCTTTTTACTGCACTACATTATTTTGGACTGCAGAGAGCATTTATAAAATCTGGAGAAAAAAGTTGGCATCAGATCACCCACAATAATAAGACGGGGTGCCAGAAAGTGAGACTGAAAAAGCACTGGGCCATACTCAATTTGCAGTGGACATTCACAGGGCTTTGTTGTAATTAAATATGTAGTTGCAGCTTATATTCCATTGGTTCAGGTTTAGTTATGGGAGCAGGTGTTGCAGAAGGAAAAGCAAGCAATCTGAACCACAAAGATAGGAGCAAAACAGAAGGAAGCGTAAAACGGTGAAAACCTATGACCTTCTCTTTTTTAAGAGATGCAGTAGCTGCTGTTGTGTGTCACCCAGATCTCTCATTAAACAACTAAAGTACCTGTTGCCCCAACCGCTAGGAGTGTTGACCACAGACAGCTCTCATTGGAGCCTCCCTCTGAGCTCTTCTACCAGCTGAAGAGAAGCAACTTGTCCAAGATCAATCCCCTTTCTAGACACAGCCCACATCCAATGATAGGTCAATTCTCCTTGTGTCACATGAGGCCTCTCTATAAGGCCATCCAGCTCCAGAGTGCTGTGAAGTCACCTGAGGCCTTTGTTCTGACTGCATCTTTTTCAACTTGCCCCTCGGCCCAATTCTCCTGCTTTCACTTCTCTACAAGTGTTCGCCCTAACATCACCACCCAGTAAATTTCCTGCACAGAAATCAATGCCTCAGAGTCGATTTCCCAGGAGACCTGAACTGTAATATGGAGTAAGTCGTGAATCTCTGTTGTGGCAGCCAACTCTAGTTAATCTCAATATTTCTGAGAGAGTTATGACTGTTTGTCAAATATTTACTGTAGTACCAGTAAATATATCAGGATACAATAAATATTAGGAGTACTTTCATAAGTGTAAGAATGGAAATATTTTACTGATTTTCGAAGGAGCAATTTAGCTGCTGTTGGAGGATAAGTCAGTGGTCTGGGCAGAATTCAGATCTGAATAAGAACATCCATGTACATTACTTTATCTCCAGGGTCTTGAATGCTGATGACAGCATGAAAACGTCTTAATAATCACTAACACATGGTGAAATGCTATGCCTCTGCTTGGTGTTTTAAGAAGCTCTTTCTTCCACTTTAAAAATGTCTATAAAAGTCCCTTCAGGATTGCCAGGAGTTAAGTCACTGTGGTCACAGGCTTGCCCTCCAGTGACCAAGGCAATGAGAAAATATTCCTGAAACTCTTCTAGGTGTGAGAAACACAGGGCACATTATTGCACTTTTAAGGGGTGTGGCATGTGAAGGACAGAGTACAAACATTTCAGGGTTTTGGAAACTAGATGATATACCACCATCGAAGCTCTATCGCTAACCAAATCCCCTCACCTTCAGTAATACCAACAACCTGCTTTGTGGCTCACTCTTCCATTCTCGTAAGTCTTTGCCCATCTTCTGTGCTGATAATCCTGCTGTTTCTTTAAGACCCAGATGAAACAATGACATCTAGTCAGAATTGTTTACCTCCCTAAGGGATATAAATACATCTAAAGTTTTTTGGAAAACAATTGAATTTCATTCATGTTCATATGTTTAGATATAGGCATTTCACCTCTAAAACCCTCTTAAGAAAATAATTCAAAATGTAGTACAGATTTTTCAAATATAAAGATATAAAAAATTCCTAGCCATGACCATAAAAAAATATTCCCTTTGTTTTTCTTTCATTCTCTTTCTTCTTTTAGTAGAATTTAAGTTTTGTCAGGTCAAGAAACATGTTTGTTTTCTTCACTGCTGTATCCCCACTATTTAAAACAGTGCGGTAATGGTAACCATGGTAAATGTGCAGTAAATATTTGATAAATGGTTAAATCTTCAAACGTGCAGAAGGTAGTTGGAAAAACATGAAGTTTAATTGAGATATAAAGAAGACTTGCATACAAGAAGAGTAGTACTTTATTTCTGGTTGGAAAGAGTTAACCTTGTAAAGATGCCAAATTCCCTGATAATCTATATATTTACAGTATTTTTCACTTAACATACAAATGGAAAAAAATAGTACTTTTCTTTTTATGAGGAGAAATAGGAAAGGTTTTGTCCTACCATATATATGTGTGTATACATCTATGCAGATACACACACACACACACATAAACAGAAATAAAAATGGTGTGGTACTGAAAAAGTGCTTTAAATGCTTTACCTGATGATGTGACAGCTTTAACTTAGTGAGGTATGAATGCAAGAGATGTGTTATTCCCACAGTTACTATTAACCATGCTTTGTTGAATCTTCCTTTTCCACTGGTTAGCAGCCATCTTATGTAATACGATTAGTAAAACAATCTACTTTCAGTCCAGACCACTGTAAAACTTTAATCTCCAACTCCTACCCTCCATCCACCCTAGTTGCCCTCCTAGCACATTAGGGAAACATACTGTGAGATCCATAAATTCCTATTTTCTGTAGACATTTCAGCTGCTACCAAGAAAGTAAACTCCTGATGAATCTACTGTACATCCAGGCCTAACAACGACTGCCTTGATGACTCAGAACAGCAGTTTCTCATATGGATAAAAAAGCAGACTGGGCCTTTTAGCACCTTTCTGAAGATATTGCATGCAACATTAAATACATTTTTCAAAACATCCAGGTGTGAAGGGGATAAAAGAAACCATAGGTTATAAGCATTCACCATTTTCTCTCTCCCACTTCTCCCAATGGAGGGAAGTAGATTGCTTGCTAGGTCAGTACTGGGTTCTTTTTTAGTTATACAAAAATTAGGACAAAAGGCAAAGGACAAGACAAAACAAAAGACCTGAGCCAGATGAGGGTTGTTATAGGCTGGGAAGAAAGAAGGTTTTTGAAGGGTGCAGATAATGGGGGAAACAGAAGAGATTTGTTTTGTTTCTCTCGGACAGTGGAGAGTCCAAGAGAAATGGAAGGTGAGTTATGCAGAGAAAGGAGTCTTTTGTTGTGGTTGTTTTGTTTTTGTTGTTGTTTTTTTTTTATTATACCTTAAGTCCTGGGGTACATGTGCAGAACATGCTTGTTTGTTACATAGGTATACACATGCCATGGTGGTTTGCTGCACCCATCAACCAGTCATCTACATTAGGTATTTCTCCTAATGCTATCCCTCCCCTAGCCTCCCAACCCCCTACAGGCCCCAGTGTGTGATGTTTGTTCCCCTCCCTGTGTCCATGTGTTCTCATTGTTCAACTCCCACTTATGAGCAAGAACATGTAGTGTTTGGTTTTCTGTTGTTGAGTTAGTTTGCTGAGAATGATGGTTTCCAGTG
This sequence comes from Homo sapiens, assembly GCF_000001405.40. Lineage (NCBI taxonomy): Eukaryota > Metazoa > Chordata > Mammalia > Primates > Hominidae > Homo > Homo sapiens. The sequence continues at coordinate 126,105,386 of NC_000008.11, forward strand.
TCATCCATGTCCCTGCAAAGGACATGAACTCATCCTTTTTTATGGCCGCATAGTATTCCATGGTGTATATTTGCCACATTTTCTTTATCCAGTCTATCATTGATGGGTATTTCGGTTGGTTCCAAGTCTTTGCTATTATGAACAGTGCTGCAATAAACATATGTGTGCATGTGTCTTCATAGTAGAATGATTTATAATCCTTTGGGTATATACCCAGTAATGGTATTGCTGGGTCAAATGGTATTTCTCATTCTAGATCCTTAAGGAATCACCACACTGTCTTCCACAATGGTTGAACTAATTTACACTCCCACCAACAGTGTAAAAGCACTGGAAAGGAGATTTTTTTAAGGGAAGTTTTCTGGCTGCTACAGCCACCCCCTTTGAAACTTCTGCTTCCATTGCTTTTTTTTTTTTTGAAATATACTACACTAAATATTTCAAATGGTTTTAGCTACTGAACTGTTTGTATGGGAATTTGCATAGCACTAGTTGCAAAGCAATTGGGTTACATGAGCTATATGAGATATTTTATTTACCAAACATGCCACCTGTGTATTCTGGTCAAGAAGAATTATTCTAGATGCTTATGAGGCCCTGGTATTTAGATAGTTAAACAGTGATCTTCAAATGATGCTCTGGTGGTTTCCTCAAAAGTTCTCTAAAACAAATACTTCGTTGAAATTATTTTGGTTCTGAATAGCCTTGAATGCATCCTCAGAAATCCTAAGTTCATGTTCCAGCTTTACTTTACTAACTGCACAAACCAACTGTGAACCTCATGAAGGCAGGAAAGACATATTATCATCTTTTTATATTGTCATGGTTTTAGCGATTGGCCACCTGGGGCACATAGTAAACACTCAATATGGGTGAATAAGTGGGTATGGCTTCAGACATTTTCAATAAATTCTTTAGTTGTTTTCATAAAGTACTGGATTAAAGCATCCTTCTGGTATCATGAGTCAACTTTTAAAAAATCAATTACCTATAACTTCAGGCAATATTGTTCTTTCTTAGTTGGGTATATCAACTGAATAACCATGCATCCTACCCCTCACCCTTGATGCTGCCTTAAATAAGGATAAATGTTCTCTGAGTTTGTATAAATAAATGAAAGAGAGGCAGAGAGAGAAAAAGATATGGGAAAGAAGAGAGAAATAAAATAATATGGGAATTTAAGCAAATTCTTCGGGGAAAGAAAATCTATTCCAGTATTGACTCCTTCATTGAAGTAACCAATCGATATATACAAGAAGTCCAAAAATATTTTTAACATATTGGAAATATTGCTGGATGTTTTAGATGAACTGTTTACATATAGGAAACTGGTAAAATACAGGTGTCCTCATACACGTCTTCTTTTATCATCATGGTTACTCTTACTTAAATTTATTAGCATGGATGGACACTTAGTAATGTGCTCACATGGAAGAGGCTACATGTGTTTACACAGTATGGTGACTGCTCACCAATTTTTTTCCCAATTGATCAAAGTGACACCAATTTTTCTTTCCTATTTTTTTTTTCTTTTAATAAAGGAAACACATCAAGTGTTTCTCTTGTGTTTGAGATGGAGTCTCACTCTGTCGCTCAGGCTAGAGTGCAGTGGTGCGATCTTGGCTAACTGCAACCTCTGCCTCCTGGGTTCAAGCGATTCTCCTGCCTCCGCCTCCTGGGTAGCTGGGATTACAGTCGCATGACATCACGCCCAGCTTTTTTTTTTTTTTTTTTTTTGTATTTTTAGTAGAGACAGAGTTTCACCATGCTGGCCAGGCTGGTCTTGAACTCCTGACCTCAGGTGATCCGCCCACCTTGGCCTCCCAAAGTGCTGGAATTACAGGCATGAGCCACTGTGCCCAGCCATCAAGTGTTTTCTGAAGACATTCTGTTCCATCCCAAAGGAGCTCCGCAATAATGTTCTTTTATCATTAATTGCTGGATGTTCTGAAATGTTTTCTCCCCTGAAGTCATAAGTCGCAAGTTTCTGATGTTTTATCTTCTCTCTCTCTCTCTCTCTCTGTCTCTCTCTCAGCATCCTGGTTCTCTGAAGACAAGTGTCATGGAAATACTTTTGGATAGGCAAAAATGCATTCATTCCTTGGTCTATTCAAAGAGTCAATATCTCTAAGAACGGCAGCTGCGTTATCCAAAACATGGATTTTTTCTCCTGCAAGTATTGTGATGATTGATACTTTGGAGTTTTTTCTGCTGCATCTCTCATAGCAAGGTTACTCTTTAAAAACTATTGCTCAAATACCATTCAGGACATTGGCATGGACAAAGACTTCATAACTAAAACACCAAAAGCAATTGCAATGAAAGCCAAAATTGACAAATGGAATCTAATCAAACTAAAGAGCTTCTGCACAGCAGAAGAAACTATCATCAGAGTGAACAGGCAACCTACAGAATAGGAGAAAATTTTTGCAAGCTACCTATGTGATGAAGGTTTAATATCCAGAATCTATAAGGAACTTAAACAAATTTACAAGAAAAAAATAACCCCATCAAAAAGTGCACGAAGGATATGAACAGACACTTCTCAAAAGAAGACGTTTATGTGCCAAGAAACAGGAAAAAAAGCTCATCATCACTGGTCATTAGAGAAATGCAAATCAAAACCACAATGAGATACCATCTCGCTCCAGTTAGAATGATGATCATTAGAAAGTCAGGAAACAACAGATGCTGGCAAGGCTGTGGAGAAATAGAAACACTTTTACACTGTTGGTGGGAGTGTTAGTTCAACCATTGTGGAAGACAGTGTGGCGATTCCTCAAGGATCTAGGACCAGAAATATCATTTGACCCAGCAATCCCATTACTGGGTATATACTCAAAGGATTACACACACGTATGTTTATTGCAGCACTATTCACAATAGCAAAGACTTGGAACCAACCCAAATGCCATCAATGATAGACTGGATAAAGAAAATATGGCACATATACACCATGGAATATCATGCAGCCATAAAGAAGAATGAGTTCAAGTCCTTTGCAGGGACATGGATGAAGCTGGAAGTCATCATTCTCAGCAAACTAACATGGGAACAGAAAACCAAACACTGCATGTTCTCACTCACAAGTGGGAGTTGAACAATGAGAAAATATGGACACAGGGAGGGGAACAACACACACCAGGACCTGTCAGGGGTTGGGGGGCAAGGGGAGGGAGAGCATTAGTATAAATACCTAATGCATGCGGGGGTTAAAACCTAGATAACAGGTTGATAGGTGCAGCAAACTACCATGGCATATGTATACCTATGTAACAAACCTGCATGTTCAGCACATGTATCCCAGAACTTAAAAGAAAGAAAAAAACGATTGCCCAAATCAAGAGCTCATAACTCAACATCAATAATAATTTTAAAAAAATATTACGTACTATAGAGCACTTAACCATTCTAAAAGTTTTTTGTGTAACAACATTTTCAATCCTCACCACAGCCCCAGGAGATTAGTTCTGCTACTATTCCTGCTTTATAAATAAGGAAAATAAAGCACAGAGAAGTTAAGCAATTTCCCAAGGTCTCACATAAAGTAAACAGTAGAGCAAGGGACTGCCATGTGGTCATCTGCTTATAGTCACCTCTCTCACTGCTATGACACACTGCATCTGATTGGCATAAAATGAAATCTATGGACATTTTTAATGAGTATGCAAGCTTCCTAGGGCCAATGAACCCCCTGAGACTTTTACACAAATGTGTGTGCATATGTGCTTGTACTTACCTGTGAATTTCTCTGGGAAGAGACATTATTGCCTTCACTGGGTTCTCAGAATGCTTCAAGGCTGCAGAAAAAGAGGTTAAAGAATAATATAGGGGGAAATAGCATAGTCTTTGAGACCTAAGTCCTCATGGTTTAAATCCTGGCTGTGTCACCCAGCAAAAAAATGAGCTTTATTGAGTCATTAACAGCTTTAATTTTCCTGATGTGTTACACAGAGAATAACAATGCCAATTAATTGTGAGAACCAAAGGAGGAAATACACACCCAGCATTCAAAAGACTGTGTGGCATATAGAGCGAAGAAATATTCCTGATCCCTCTGAAGGCCTGTAGGCAAAGGGTATGTTCCCCGTCAATCAAGATATAGGATGATGTCTTTGTCTGTTTCTTTTCCCAGGATCTTAGTGATCTTTTCCAAATGTTTGCAGCCAGGAGCAGTAATTATGAGTGAAGCTCTGAGGCACAATTCCGGCTTTTGTGAGACACAGTTCTCACCTTTATGCAAATGATGCTCAAAGTTTTCTCCAGGCCCAGGTGGGTCTTTTAATCCTAATATACATTTCTCTTGGCAGAAGACCAATTAGGAAAGAAATAAACAAAACAACAACCCAAAGCTTGCCAGCTTTGAAGTACACTTGATATTTTTTTTCAAAATTGAAAATCTGAATGTAAAGGAGAAGGCAAATTAAGCAAAGGTAATTAAAATATTACTGTATTAATTTTCTGTTGCTGCTATAACAAATTATCACAAATTTAGTGACTTAAAACAACATATTTATTTTCATAAAGTTCTGACAGTCAGAAGTCTCATGCAGGCCTCACTAGGCTAAAATCAAGGTGTGCACAGGGCTGCATTTCTTTCTGGATATTCTAGCATAGAATTCACTCCCTATCTTGTCCAGCTTCTAAAGACTACCTACATTCCTTGGCTTGTGGCCCCCTTCTATCTTCAAGGTCAACAATGACTAGTTGTGAATTAATAAAATATTTATATAGTGGGTCTCTTCCTTTAGTCTCCAGCACAGATCTATAATCTTTGTAATTTCCTGAGTGATAATGGGTGCTAGGAGAATATTTTGTTCTAATGTTTGGTTTTTGCCCCAGTTCTTGACACAGGGCTCCTGAGACCTTCATAATTTCCTGGGTGACTGGAGCATCTTTTGTTCTAATGAGGTGATTCTTGGTGGGCTTCTAGATGACCCCTGGTCACCAGAAAGACCAAGCCATGATTAGAAGCTTGGAACTTTCAGCCCCACCCACCCCCTTCTCTGGGAAGGGCAGAGGGGCTGGAAATTGAGTCAATAATCAATCGTTCCTCCATGATAAAGTGCCAGTAAAAATCCCTAAACTATGGGGTTTGAGGAGCTTCTGAATGGATGAACATATCCACCTGCAGGAGGATGATACACCCCAACTCCATGCCGACAGCTCCTGTACTCAAGACCCTTCCACACTTCGCCCTATGTGTCTCTCTTCATCTGGCTGTTCCTCTATATCTTTTATTATACCTGTTATTAATAATAATAAACCCATAAACATTAAATAAGTGTTTCCCTGTGTTCCATGAGTTGTTCTAGCAAATTAATCAAATCTAAAAAGGAGGTTCTGGGAGCCCTAGTTTATAGCCAGTTAGTCAGAAGTATAGGTGACCAGCTACTACATGCAACTGGCTTTTGAAGTCCAGGGCAGTCTTGTGGGACCGAGCCCTCACCCTGTGGGATCTGACACTGTCTGCAGGTGGATAGTGCCACAAGTGAATTGAATTAGAGAATTGAATCAGAATTAGACACCAGCTTGTGTCCTCTGGTGAACCTGCTGGAGAATTACTTGGTAGGTGTGGAAAACCCCTCAAGTATCTGGTGTTTGAAGTGTTGGATTGAGTGAGAGCCGAAAGTAGAGAAAAAAAACACTTTTTGTTTGTTTTTTTAAATCTCTCTATACCAGTCCAGTCTTTCTCACATACTCACTCTGAAATTGACTTTTCTTCTCTTGCTCGCTTTGTTTCCATTTTTCAGTGCTCTTATGATTACATTGTGCTCACCTGGATAATCCTTGACACTCTCCCTGTTCAAGGTCAAATGATTAGCATCCTTAATTACATCTGCAACCTTGATTTCCCTTTGCCATGTAATATAACATATTTACACGTTGTGGACCTCTTTGGTGGGCCATTCTTCTGCCTACCAGTTACTTTCTCAAGTAGGTCTAGCATGATCACCCTATTTGAAATCCCAACCCACACCCACTTCCTTGGTTTTCCTTATGTGTTTAAGACATGATTGCTGTATTTGCGAAGTAACAGGGAACATGATTTTTTGGAAACTATATGGACGAAAAAGTCAACTTGGCCTGGGTTTAAAACCTTGTCCTGCTATTTTTAATGTGATGCTTTTTGGAAATGTCTTAATATATTTGAGCCTCAGTTTTTGAGTTTGGGAAATGGTAATAATACAGCAAGTGCACTGGACTGTTGTGAATATCTAAAAAGATTGTATACTGGATATACCTGACCAATCTGCTTCATGTCCTCAAAGAAGGCAAATTATTAAGAAAAACAACAGAACAGAAGAGTCAAAATCCAAAATTTAAAGAAAAATTAAACATTTAATTGGAGAAAAAAAGAAAGTGGATGTACCTGGCACAGAAGCACACATGAGGTGCACTCAATATCTACTTCCCTCCCAGCTGCTTCTCTCCTCCCACTCAGTTCCCAGTCTGACTCTACCCATTCAGAAATAAATCCCCTTCCTCCTCCCTCTTGCCCATGACAACCACTATTCTTTCTGTTTCTGTGAGTTTGACTGCATTCGTTACTTTGTCTCAGTAAAATCGTGCAATATTTGTCCTTTGGTGACTGGCTTTTCTCACTTAGCATAGTAGCCTCCGGGTTTATCCATGTTGCAGCATGTATCAGAATTTCCTTCCTTTCAAGAGCTGAATATTATTCCACTGTATGTATATACCACCTTTTGTCTCTGCATTCATTCATCACTAGATGCTTGGGTTACTTCCACTTTTTGGCTATTGTGAATAATGCTGCTGTGAACATGGGTATACACATCTCTGAGATTCTACTTTCAATTCTTTCGGATATGTATACAGAAGTGGAATTGCTGGATTAGATGGTAATTCTATTTTTAATTGTTTGAGGAAATGCCATACTATTTTTGTAGCTGTACCATTTTACTTTCCCAACAACAGGACAAAAAGGCTCTGATTTCTCCACATACTCAACAACACTTTATTTTCTTTTTAAAAATTTTACAGTAGACATCCTGGTGGGTGTGAGATGATATCTCATTTGGTTTTGATTTTAATTTCCCTAATGATTAGTGATGTTGAACATCATTTAATTTGCTCATTGGTTGTTTGTATATTTTTTGGAGAAATGTCTATTAAAGTTATTTGCCCATTTTCAAATCAAATTATTCTGTTGTTGGCAGAATAATTGTGGTGGTGAGTTGTAGGAGTTCTTTACGTACTCTATTAACCCCTTATCGGATATATATTTACAAATATTTTTCTCAGTTTGTAAGTTGTCTTTTCAGCCTGTTGATTGCACTCTTTGATGCACAGAAGGTTTAAATTTTGATGTAGTCCAATTTACTTATTTTTACTTTTGTTGCCTGTGCTTTTTTGGTGTCATATCACTAATAGGAGTTATAAGTCTTTAATCCTAACACACATACATATACCTACACACAGAAACACCCACACAGAAACACACACACACACACACACAATTTACAAGAGCAAAATGAATTTGCAATGCTTTAAGAAAAGAAATTATTAAAGGCACCACTACCAAATAGAATAGCAGACAAAATGACAATAACAGCAACAACAACAACCTGTTGTATATCTTTCTTCTGTGATCAGAAGTTTTTCATCTTCAGGTCTTATGATGTCTTCTCTGCGTATATATCTTCTTATGTCTTCTGTAAGAGTAGCTATAACCCTGGTGAGAACAGGGGAGCTGCAGTCAGTAAATCAGAGGTCTAACCAGAATTGTATTACAGCTGTGTGATCTGTGATCTTGGGTAGGCCATTTTCCCTTTTGTGACCTCAGGCACATTACCTGAGATCCCCTTCAGCTTTCACATTCTGTGCTCAATTATTTTTTTCACATTCAGGATAAAAGACCACATTCTTGGTTCATCACTTGTGCCAGTTTTGTTCTTGAGTTTACTGGCAAGCAATTATCCTTTTGCATCAGTCACCCTCTAGAATATAGTCTCCCTGTTGAGCTGAGAACTATTAGTACTTTCTAGGCAACTACTTCTTTTATTGTGGTCTTTCTATGCCAGGTACCAATTGATGGGTATCAAGATAGAGAGATGCAAAGTTGATTCATCACTCCCACTAGGCTACCTTCATGCCCACATTCCTAGTCTCTATTCCTAATCATTCCTGAGTCTCAGACATCCTCCTCTTTTGAAGAGTCCTACATTAGGGCCATGGATCACTTGCCTCAACTTGGGTTTTCTCCCTGTACTTTCTTTGTATTAGGCCAAAGTGACATTTCTTAGACTCCAGTTTTACTCCTGTCCATTTGAGTAAATGACCTGAGTAAAAGGGTCTCAGAAATGATCCTTTTCTGTATTTCTTTGTGAGCTTGGTGGAAACTTTACAGAGAAAATGAATGTCTGAAACAATTAAGAGCCAACCAAATTTAAGAGTTCTCCTTTAAATCTAATATTCTAAGTCACAGGTGAACCAGAGTTTCATAACAACAGTGATCTCAACTCAGACCCAAAATGGTCACCATTTCCCATGAATAACTTGACTCAAAACTATCTGAGCTAGTTTAGATTATGATTAAAAGTTTTCCTGAAAATGATGAACCAACTTTTATTTTATTTTATTTCCCAGTCTGCTCTTGAGTAAAACTAGCATGACATAACTTATGCCACACAAATGGGCAGTCACAGGTGTGTAATAAAGATAAATAACAGATAATCCTCAAAGCATTTTTTATTTGTCTCTAATGTGTTTTCACACCTAAGTTTGAAACTGGGGGCATCTGATGTGAGGAATTAGTGAGGGCCAAATTCTGAATTCACAGAATGCACACACACATACCCTGGAGGATTACTCAGAAAATTACCCATTGCCTACAACTTCCCCAACATATACACACACATGCACACACACATGTACATGTCGGCATATATACACAGTAGTCCCCCATGATTCACAGTTTTGCTTTTCATGGTTTCGGTTACCTGTGGTCAACTGGGATCTGAAAATAGTTGAATACAGTAGAATAACATATTTTGAGAGAGAGAGACAGCAGAGCGAATGAGCACATTTATATAGCTTTTGTTACAGTATATTGTTATAATTGTGGTATTTTATTATTAGTTAATGTTACTGTGCCTTCTGTATAAATTAAACTTCCCATGTATGTATAGGAAATAACACAGTATATATGGGGCTCAGTACCACCCACAGCCTCAGGCATCCACTGCGGGTCTTGGACCATATACCCTGTAGATAAGGGGGGACTAACGTGTATGCATTTCTTTATTCCTCCTATTCCAGGCTGGGCTTAGAAAAACTCTTTTACATCATGATACTAAGTACCAGCCTAAATCAGGGCACTTTTATTTGAGCAAGTTTGTTGTAACATACTTTTTTTGGTGCAATAGAATGAATATAGATGCTCAAACCTCTAAGCAGCCAATGACTTCCCTTAGATATGTTCTGCTCAAAATGTCACTATCAAAGTTCTCAATGTGAAAGCCAGATTTCAATTCAGGAGCAGTGCTATGCTGAGTCTAATCTGTCCCCGGCACAGTTGCCTCTATTCCTTGTTGGAGTTCCTAGTCTGACTCTAGCTTATCGAAAAAGGGCAGATGCTGAAAGAGGAGAAAGCAGTGTCTGAGAACTTGAAGAAGGCAGTTTGAGAATCCAAGAGTGAGGCAGAATTAACCATAGATTCCAAAAACTTTTATTGCATGCCAGAAAGTATGCTAGAAGCTTGGAACTCCAAAGAAAATAAAACTCAGTACTCTTTGCTAACCTGGAAAGACACAAATACGGCCAATAAGGATCAGTCATAAGAGCGACAGAAGCTGATGCTTTAGAGCTGACGTCACAATCAGAAACAGAGAAAGAAGAAAGAGAGCTGGACAACTGCCTTGGGTACCCATCTATCACACTGAAACTACATTGAAAATGTAGTAAGTTGGAGTAAAAATACTGCATGTGTTTGGAAGAATTATTTGATAAGACAGTAGTGTAATCTGTCAGAGAAGACATCCACGGGATATGCATGCTTAAGGAACAAGAGGTGGTAAAATCTCTGAGAGTAAACCTGTGTCAACTGCAGAATACTCCTTGCAGAAACTCTTTATGCTGTAGTTCCTAAATGCAGAAAGGGTAACTAAGTACTTTGCCAAACCTAACTCATGGACCGTAGTGGTGGAATCAGCAGCCTGATTTCCAAGAATCACCGTGTGTCCTATTGTTCTGCCTGGGGACAGACTATGGAGAGCCTTATGTGCTATGATGAAAGCATTTAGACTTTATTCGGTAGACAACAGGGAGCTACTGCCATTTTTGAGCAATAGACTGATATATTATCACCTTTTGGTAATCTCTTTTGAACTAATAAATTTGGTTTGTGTTATCCCATGAGCAGAGATATATTGTGGTTAACCTTCTCAAATCTGTTTTAGAAAGAGAGAGAAAATAAATGTATACGAAATAAAATAAACAAAAGAAACCAAACAAATAAATGAATAGAGTGCGCTTTCGGTTAAAAAAAAAGTGAAACAAAAAGTATACATTATATAAATCATAGCCAACCAGAGATTCAAATGTATTTTTTCACAAGAGCCCTTGATAAATGGTCAATAAATGCTAAGTGGGATATTGTTTTGTAATTTCTCTTAGTTTGCTTTTGGAAGTAATTTCACCAACCAATTTATAATTGTAGCATGTAGGAACATACACATAGCCATTTTTTTTCTTACAGCAGGGGAATAGATTGCAAAGATCTAGTTTCAGACAGCCAAATGATTTACAGTAAGACCTACTAAACAATTCTGAAAATATAATTCAGATCTCTGAAGCTTTCTGCTTTTTAAAGTTAACAGTGGTGAAAAGGAACATTAGATTTGATTGAAAAATAATACACACATTATAAAAAGTCATAGTCCAATTGACTCTGCTAGGTACCAAAATTTACATTTATTTTTATGCAATGCTAACAAAGCAGCATTTCATTAACACTATGTTACAAAAAATCCTTCCTTTGTTTTATCTTTCCTACCTTTGTTGAAAACTCCCTCAGCCTGCTGATTTTTGACAACCTGTTGGAAGGTAACGATACACAGATTTTTCTGTGCACCATATTACAGCACAGCTTCCTGACAAGCTAGTCTCTGGCTAAACAAATCATTTGCGCCCTGTCTGATTTGTTTCCATGTTAGTAATTCAACTGCAATTTGTTCCTTCCCACAGCTAAATGAAAATGTGGTCATCAGATGCAATCCTTCCTGTTTGGGCATCATAAATAATAGGTTTCTGGAGTGCAACACATAAATATTTCACTAACCACAATGTAGGTTTTAGGAAATGGCAGAATAAAAGTAGTAGAAGAAGAATTTCCTATAGATTTCATTTTTACTGTAGTTAGAGGCCATTTTACGGCTTGGTGCATTCATTAGTCTCTTTAAGAAAGTGTTTTTCACCCAAAGAAACTTTATAGTATAAACATGTGCTTTCTAATTCCTTGACATATCAGGTTTCTATTTTCTTCCTGGTTGAGTTGGGATGTAATATATCATCAAGTATTCCCAGGACTGATTTTAATTCACTGACTTTTTTTTCTACATAGAATTGTTATCTCCTGGGCAAATGAAGAGCCACTGTAGAATAATGAAATTTATACTGAAGCTAAATTCTTCTCACTCCTGCTGGGTGAGTCACCTGAAACTATAAAAGAGAAAAAAATAAGTGGAGTACATGGAGATGGTAAGGTGAGGGGGTGGGATGTGATGAACAGTAGTACAGTAAACATAATTCTTTTCTCCAAGTTAAAAGACTTGTACTTAAAAATATATTCCCTCTGGCCTGAAAACCTATTTCCCATGTCCTGTGGTCTTCGTTCCATGGGTGTCCTGAAAATAATTGGGTATTTAAAGAACCTCAAAAAACTGCCGATCACAGAGCCAACTGCCTCTTGGTACTTTCCCTCTGAGACTCCTATTAATTTTTAATCAGCTTGCTGCTCTTTCAGGTCTTTAGGACTCTGGTAAGTAAAGAAAAATGCCATGTGGACTGTAGAGGAGGAGACAGCAAATAAATACAGAGGGAAAGTCCCTCTCTTGAACCTGCAGAGACAAAGGCCAGTGTGGCTTCAACAAAATGGAGTGAAGGCAGTTTTGGGGAGAAAATCACTCCTTCAGCTGGAACAGTTGTGCAAATTATAATCCTATTTTTTCTACAGCTACTTGACTGGTACAGATTGTGCATTCCTTGACCTTTATTTCCAGAGTTGAGTGCCACGTCTGTGCTTTTGATATCAAGAGGGCATAATGACTTGTCTCTCTAGGAATTTTCCTAACTTTTCTACTTTTTCTAATAGATGCATAATTTTTACTCCTGTCTTTAATGTCTGTCTCCGTCTCTCTCTGTCTCTTTCTCTTCCAGTGTTTCTTGGCTGATATAGCACACAATTTTATATTTGGGTCAACCATAAGCCCAATCTATGAGAAAGGGTTTATTGTATTTTTTATCTTGATAAACAATAACCTCATATAAAGTGGTTCGAAGTAATAACTAAATATTTTTCTCACCACTCAATGACCCCAAAGTATATCTGATACCTTAATCTCAACCTTTTGTTGACTTGTTGTCATAAGTGATAACTAGCATTACAGATTTATGATTTGAAAGCATAGTAAACATCAGTTGGAGAAATCACTGGGAGAAGTTATTTGATTTAGCCTTCAGTTCACAGGTGTATTGTTGACCAAAGGAAGGTCTTGTCTCCCAGAGTTGGAGATTTCCTTTCTTTATGGCTCAATAATATTTCATTGTGTGTATATATGCATTATCAAAATCCCAATGGCATTTTTCACAGGCATAGAAAAACAATTCTAATATTTATTTGGAACCACAAAGATCCCAAAGTAATACACACACACACACACACACACACACACACACACACACTCACACACGAATATACAACACATTTTCATTATCCATTCATATATTGACAGACACTTAGGTTGTTTTCATATCTTGGCTACTGTGAACAATGTGGCAATAAACATATGGGTGCATATATCTCTTTGAGATACTGATTTTATTCATTTTGCATATATACTCATAAGTGGGATTGCTGGATCATACGGTATGATCTTTTTTTTTTTTGTAGAGACAGGGTCTCACTGTGTTGCCTAGGCTGGTCTTTTTTTCTTCTTCTTTTTCTTTGTTTTTTGTAGAAACAGAGCCTCACTTTTCTTCTTTCTTTCTTTCTTCTTCTTGTTCTTCTTCTTGTTCTTACTTGTTCTTCTTCTTCCTCCTCCTCCTCCTCCTTCTCCTTCTCCTCCTCGTCCTCCTCCTCTTCCTCCTCCTCCTCCTCGAGACAGGGTCTCACCATGTTGCCTAGGCTATCTTGAGCTGCTCTTGAACTCCTGGGCTCAAGCGATCCTCCTGTCTCAGCCTCCCAAAGTACTAAGACTATGTGTGTGAGCCACCACATTTGGCCTGTATGTTCTATTTTTAATTTTTGGAGGAATCTGTGTATCTGCATGTTGTTTTCCATAAAGGCTGCACCAATTTACATTCCCATCAACAGTTTCATGGGTTCCCCTGTTTCTATACCTTCACTAATGTTTCTAATCTCTTGTCTATTTTGTAATAGCCATCTCAGTAGGTGTAAGGTGATATTGTGGTTTTGATTAGAATTTCCCTTATGATTAGTAACATCGAGCACCTTTTCATATACCTTTTGGTGATTTGAATGTGTTCTTCAGAAAGATGTCTATTCAGGTCCCTTGCCCATTTTTTAATTGGGTCACATATTTTTGTTTTGTTTCGTGTTGCTATTGAGTTATATGAGTTCCTTAGATATTCTGCATATTAACTCCTTATCAGATAGATGGTTTGCAAATGCTTTCTCCCATTCTGTAGTGTGCCTTTATATTTCATTTTATTTTATTTTTATTGTTCCCTTGGTTTTACAAAAGCTTTTAATTTGACATAATTTCACTGGTTTATTTTTATTGCCTGTGCTTTTGATGTCATAGCCAAAAAATTATTCCCAAGCCTAATGTCAAGGAGTTTTTCCCATGTTTTCTTCTAGTCATTTTATGGTTTCAGGTTTTACACTGAAATCTTTATTCTATTTTAAGTCAATTTTTGTATATGGTGTAAGATAAGCGTCCAATTTTATTCTTTTGCATAGAGTATCCAGTTTTCCCAACACCATTTTATTGAAGAGATAATCCTTTTTCCACTGTGTATTCTTGGCACCCTTGTCAAAGATTGGTTGACCATATATGTGTGGCTATATTTCTGGGTTTTCTATTCTGTTCCATTGGTCCATATATATTTTTGTATGCCAGTACAATTATGTTTTGACTATGAAAGTTTCGTAATACAGGTTGAAATCACTATGTGTGATGTCTCCATCTGTGTTATTTTTTTCTCAAGATCACTTTAGCTATTTTGGGTCTTTTGTGGTTCCATACAAATTTTAAATTTTTTTTCTATTCTGTGAAAAATGCCATTGGAATTTTGACAGAGATTGCATTGAATCTGTAGATAACTTTGTGTCCTATGGACATTTTAATAATCTTAATTGTTATTTCCAATCTATGGACATGGGTATCTTTCCTGTTTTTGTGTCTTCTTCAATTTTTTTCATCAATGTCTTCTAGTTTTCAGTGTAGAGATCTTTCATATACTTGGTAAAATTTAATCATAAGTATTTTATTATTTTGATGCCATTGTAAATGGGGTTGTTTTCATAACTTTTTCAGATAGTTTGTTTTTATTGTGTAAAAACACAACCGATTTTCTTAGAACTGTCTCTTTTATACACGGGATATTTTCCAAGACCCCTCAGGGATGCCTGAAACCATGAACAGTACCTTACCAAATACATACTATGTTTTATTCTATACATACATACCTATCATAAAGTTTAATTTACAAATTAGCCACAGCAAAAGATTAATAATAATTGATAATAAAATATAACATTATAATAATATTCTGTAATAAAATTTATGTGGATGTGGTCTCTCTCTCTCTCAAAATATTTTATTGTACTGTGGATCTTACCAATATCAACGTACATTTTTTTCTTTTCTTATTAAGAACTTTTACTTTTTTAGTAAAAGGAAGCATTTTACAGATTCTCTTTTCAATATTTGAATTTCCAGCATTACTATTCTTGTGTTTGGGGGCTGTTATTAAGTAAAATAAGGGTTACTTGAACACAAGCACTGCACTACCACAACAGTAGAACTGATAACAAAGATGACTACTAAGTAACTAATGAGTAGGTAGTATATACAGTGTGGATAAGCTGAACAAAGGGATGATTCATGCCTGGTAGGATGGAGTGGACAGTGTGAGATTTCATCATACTACTCAGAGTGGCACACAACTTAAAAGTTTTGAATTGTTTATTTCTAAAATTTTTCATTTACTATTTTTGAACCATGGTTGACCTTGGGTAGTTGAAAGCACAGAAAAAACAAAACAAAATAAAACAAAAAAACACACAGATAAGTAGGGGGAGGTCTACTTGTATGTTGATTTTGTATTCTAAAAATTTACTGAATCTATTAGTTCTAAGAGATTCGTGGTAGAGTCTTCAGGATTTTCTATATATAAAATTAGGTCATCTGTAAACAGAGACAATTTATCTTCTTCCTATCCAATTTGGATGTATTTTATTAATTCTTTCTCTTGTCTGATTGTTCTGGCTAGCCCTTCCAGCAATATGTTGAATAGAAGTGTAAAAACCCTAGTTTTATTCCTGATCTTAGAGGAAAGAGCTTTCAGCTTTCTACCATAAAATATGATGTTAGCTGTGAGCTTGTTGTATATGACTTTAATTATGTTGAGGTATATGACTCACAGTTCCACATGGCTGGAGAGGCCTCTGGAAACTTATAATCGTGACAGAAGGCACCTCTTCACAGGACAGCAAAAGAGAGAATGAGTGCAAAGCCGGGGAAATGCCAAATGCTTGTAAAACCATCAGATCTTGTGAGAACTCACTATCACAAGAACAACATGGGGGTAAGCACCCCCATGATTCAATTACCAATTACCTCTCACTGGGTCCCTCCCCTAACACGTGGGGATTATGTGAACTACAATTCAAGGTGAGATTTGGATGGGGACATTGCCAAACCATACCATATATATTTCTTTTTGAGACAGGGTCTCACTCGGTTGCCCAGGCTGGAGTGCAGTGGCACAATCCCGTTCACTGCAACCTCGAAATCCTGGGCTCAAGCAATCGTCCTGCCTCAGCCCCCTGAGTAGCTGGGACTACAGGCACATACCACCCTGCCTGGATACTTTTTTATTTTAATATTTTTGTAGAAACGGGGTCTCTCTATGTTGCTCAGGGTCTCTCTATGTTGCCCAGGCTTATGTGATACTTCTGCCTCAGCCTCCTAACGTTCTGGGATTACAGGCATGAGCTGCTGCACCAGTCCTATATTCTTAATGACAGTCTGTAGGTTCCCTATGCTTTTTTAACTTGTTTTAATTCTTGTTTTCTTTTGTTACCCAATTGGCTGACTATAAAGGATCTGTCTTTGAGTTTACTAGTTCTTTCCTCTGCATGCTTGAGTCTACTATTGAAGCTCTCTGTTGAATTGTTCAGTTCTGTCCTTGTATTCTTTAGCATCAGGATTTCTGTTTCGTTCTTTTTTTATGAATTTTATTTCTTCATTAAATTTCTTATTTTGTCCATGCCTTGTCATTCTAATGTTGTTTAGCTGTCTGTGTTCTGCGTGTCTTTGAGCTTCTTTAGGATGATTATTTTTAATTATTTGTGAAGCAATTCACAGATTTCCATCTCTTTGGCATTGATTATATAACTTTATTAGTTTCTTCTGTTGTTTTTGGTTTTGGTTTTATTTGTTTGGTGGTGTTCTGTTTGCCTGATTTTTTGTTGTAGCTTTGCATTGGTGTCTATGAATTTAAAAGAGTAAATCTCTCCCTCAGTTTATGAATGGACTTTGGCAGGTAAAGACCTTCTCCTGATGAGTCCTCAGGCTGATGAGATTGCTTCCAGGACTGCACTGAAGTGGGATTGGAGCTGGGTTATGTGGCTGCTTCTAGGTCTGTGGTGGAGTCTGTTGTTGGTGGGCCTGTTACTAGGAGTTTAAGTAGACATGAATCCTGTCTGGCCTCTATGCAGTCTGGACTGCCTTTGGGACGGGATGGCACTGGGGTAAGTGTCCACTTCAAAATCTGCCAACGGAGAGCTTGTTATCATGTGCATGGATGGTTGTGACTCCCTCCAAGTCCCTGGGAGAGCTCTTGCTGGGTCACTGATTTGGTGACCCTCTCAGCTGTGCTGAGAGGGATTGTAATTGAATCATAGGACTGCTTCAGGGTTGGCAGCTGAGCCCAAGGTCTCAGGCCTGCTTCTGGAGAAGTGGAGGGGCATGTTTCCCTCCTGGTCCTTGGATGGGCAGGACTGTTCTTAAACTAAAGCTGAAAGGGGCTTGTCTTTTCATTATCTTGACAGGATCTTTTGAAGAGAAACTCTTAACTTTTGGTGAAATTCAAATTTATCAATTTTTTATTTTATAAACTGTACTTTTGAAGTCAGGTGTAAGAAATCTTCACTTAACCCCAAATCACAGAGATTTTCTCTATTTTTTTTTCCTGAAAACTTATGGTGTTAGATTTTTGTTCTATGATCCATATTGACTTATTTTTGTATATTGTTCAAGGCATGGATTGAGGTTCCTATCTTTACATTTGAACACCCAGTAGCCAATCAACATGTCTATTCCTACTTAGATTTAAACCTAAGTGGGAACAGAGATATTGGTTGTCTGAAATTCAATAGGGTAATTATAATAAAAGCCATCGTTAATTGAGTATTCAGTGTGTGCCAGTCATGACTTTAAACACTTACCTGCATTTTCTCATTTAATGCTTCTGAGAATGCTATTAAGTGAATACCATTGTTATAATGTGGATAACAATGAAAAAAATAGGAACACAGAGGTATTAAATAACATGCCTTATCAACACTTTGTGTGTTTCAGCACAAAGTGTTTATAAGACTATCTTTTTTCCACTGCACACTTTTTTTTTTTTTTTTTTCAAAAAATCAGATGACTAAATATTTGTGAGTCCGATTCTGGATGGTTGACTTTTTCCCACTGATTTATTGATTTATTTGTCTATCTTAAGTCAACACCAGGGTCTTTATGACTTTAGCTTTATGACAAGCATTACAATTTGAGAGGCTAAGTCCTGAGACTTTGTTGTTTTTCCTCAAAGTTGTTTTGTGTATTCTCTGTCCTCATTTACATATGAATTTTAAGATCAGCTTATTGTAATTTAAAAAGTCAAGATTATGTCTTATAACATATTTAAAGATATGTATACTGGTTTGTTTTAATTTTAGAAATTACATATTTGTGTGACAATAATGTCCTTTTGCTGTGGATGGCTTTTTAGCTGTTTCAGAGGGACATTGTCTTTCCTTAGGCAAAATTATACTAAAGCCATAGTCAACCCCCAAATCTGTGTGGCTAACAATAAAGACATTTATTCTTAGGCTACTCATCCATCACAGATTGACTACAGCTGTAGTCCATATTGTTTTCATTTTCAAACCTAGGTTGAAGGAACAGTCACGATCTGGGAGAGTGCAAATCTTATAACACATGTCTTATTGACTTACATTTTATTGACTAAAGCCAGACAGGTAGAAAATCTTAATGTCAATGAAATATAAAGAAAAATCCTCCAAGAAAGCACAAAGGAAAGGGGTTATAATTATTTTTAAGAGAATAAAATATATCACAAACACTAAATACCTCTTTAAATGATGAGTTTTAGAAAAGGGGAACAATTTGCAAATGGACAGGATTAACTTAATATGAAATGAGTTTTTCATGGGAAATTTTAAGTATTTAATTATTTGGCTATGTCTCTATTCCTCCCCAATATTATCTTTCTTGATTCTAGACAAGAAACCTTTGAGCTACTTTGACTTCGCAGCTTTGTGCCACATTACATATGTCTGCAGAAAGTTAAAATATTATTTTCTATATTACTGCCCTCCTTTCCCTTTTCTTCTATCATTTAATACTTGCTCAGAGATATGTGCAGATAATTTATAAACATATGCAATTCAGTAAGTAATCAATTCTTTCTAAATAGATTTAAACCTAAGTGGGAATGGAGATGTTGATTGTCTGAAATCCGATAGGATAATTATAATAAAAGCCATCATTAATTGGGATTTAGTGTGTGCCAGTCATGATGTTAAGTGACTTGCCTGTATTTTCTCATTTAACGCTTCTGAGAATACTATTAAGTGGATACCATTGTTATAATGTGGGTGACAATAAAAAAACAGGTACATAGAGCTATTAAATAACATGTCTAAGAAATCATAAGCATTTGAATCATGATTCAAATCTAGGCCTGTCAGATTTCATAACCTAAGCTTATAATACTATAATTCAAGAAGATGACCTTCATACAGTCTCAAAGCTCTTAATTGAAAATCTCTAGGATATTAAAATGGGCAAAGCTTTACTTTTAATATCTAAGGTAAATAGTACATTTTCTGTGAAACCATCTGTATCTAGAGAACAGATAGCATTCCACATACAGCAAAGAAGGCTGTAGACCTCAGACTAATTTTGAGGAAATTGCAATCAGGATGAGTAAATAACCTAAATTATCAAATGTTTCAAATCAATATAGAGGTGTTACTTTAAAGTTCAGATAGAAACTGGAATTTTTCTAAATGAGAAATTGTGATTAGGATTCTCTGGCTGACAAAAAGTCAATAATCATGTATTAGTTGCATCACAATATAATCATAACTATTTTTTCTTCACCTAAAAAGAGAAGACCTCTCTGGAGGAAATGGGGAGATGTTCATTAAAGGTTATAAAGTTTCAGTTATGCAGAATGAATAAGTGTTGGAAATCTAAGGTACAGAATGATGATAGAATTAATAATACTGTGATATATACTCTAAATTTGCTATGAGTAGATATAAAATGTTATAACCACACACATAAAAAATAATAAATATGTGATGTTATGGGTATGTTAATTAGCTTGATAGTGGCAATAATTTCACAATGTATGTGTATATCAAAACATCACACTGTACACCTAAAATATATCCAATTTTTATTTGATAATTATACTTCGATAAAGCTGGAAGGAAAAAAGAAAAAACTCTAAAATCCTCAAAAAATGCTAGCAAAGTGAATCCAGCAACAGATAAAAAAGATTATACATCATAACTAAGTGAGATTTTTTTCCAGGAATGCAAGAGTTGTTGAACATAAAAAAAAATACCACATTAATAGAATGAAGAAAATAAAACACAGAAGCATCTCAATTCATGGAGAAAAATCATCTGACAAAATCCAAACATCCTTTCATGCTAAAAACACTGAATAAATTAAAAATAAAATACCACTTACTCAACATGATAAAGAACATTTATGAAAATCCCACAAATAACACTCTAATCAATGGTGGAAGACAGAAAGCATTCCCCCACAAATCAGAAACAGGATAAGAATGTCTGCATTTGTGATTTCTAGTAAATGTTGTATGGAGGTTCTAGCCCTCAAAATTAGGCAACCCCCTTCCACCCTCACACAAAAGCATCCAAACTGGAAAGAAATTTGAAATAGTTTTATATATAGAAATAGTTTTATATATAGAAAATGCTAAAGAATCCACAAAAAATAACCTAGTAAAGCTGATAATTAAATTCAGCAAAGTTGCAGGATATAAGATGAACACACAAAAATCAATTGGATTTCTATACACTAGCAGTGAACAATCCAAAAGAAAATAAAGTCCACTTACATCAAAAAGAAGATACTTAGGAATACATGTAACCAAGGGAGTGAAAGACTTATACACTAAAAACTACAATACTACAATACATTGCTGAAAGAAATTAAAGAAGAACTAAATAAACATAAATACATCTTTTGTGCATGTTTGGAAGGCTTAATATTGTTAAGATGACACTAATACCCAAAGTGATCTATAGATTAAATTTAAGCCATGTCAAAACCATAAAGGTTTGTTTTTTTAAAAAAAATCTTTTTGGAGAAATGGAAAAGCTTATCCTAAAATTCATGTGGAATTACAAGAGACCCCAATAGCCAAAACAGTGTTAAAAAAGAAAAATGATTATAGGTTTACTTTACATTTGAAAATCCATGTAATCCCTCAAATTAACAGAATAAAAAAATCTTCTCATAGATGCAAAAAATGTATTTGACAAAATCCAAAACCAATATGTATCAAAATCCTTTAGAAAATAAGAACTAGAAAGAAACATTTTCAATGTAATAAAGAATATCTATCAAAAATCTGATGTGAACATCATACCTAATAGTGAAAAACTTAATGCTTTTCCTGTCAGATTAAGAATAAGGCAAAATATCCACTCTCACTATCTCTATTTTACAGTGTACTAGAGATCCTAACCATGATTCCTCAAGGATCTAGATCCAGAAATACCATTTGGCCCAGCAATTCCATTACCGGGTATATACCCAAAGGATTATAAATCATTCTACTATAAAGACACATGCACACATATGTTTATTGCAGCACTATTCATAATAGCAAAGACTTGGAACCAACCCAAATGCCCATCAATGATAGACTGGACAAAGAAAATGTGGCACATATACACCATGGAATACCATGCAGCCATAAAAAAGGATGAGTTCATGTCCTTTACAGGGACATGGATGAAGCTGGAAACCATAATTGTCAGCAAACTAACACAGGAACAGAAAACCAAACACCACATGTTCTCACTCATAAGTGGGAGTTGAACAATCAGAACACTGGACACAGAGAGGGGAACATCACACACCAGGGCCTGTCAGCGGGTGGGGGGCTAGGGGAGGGATAGCATTAGGAGAAATACTTAATATAGATGACAGGTTGATGGGCGCAGCAAACCACCATGGCACGTGTATACCTATGTAACAAACCTGCACGTTCTGCACATGTATCCCAAAACTTAAAGTATAATAAAAAATAAAATAAAATTGTAAGCTATTTAAAAGAAGAAGTTAAACTAACTTTATTTGTAGATCACATAATCAGATCTGTAAAAATTTCTAAAGATTCGATCAACAAAATCTTCTAAACTAATAAATGACTCTCTGAAGGCTTCAGGGATATAAAGTCAGTACATAAAAATCAATTATATTTCTATATAATAGCAACAATCAGAAATTGAAATAAAAATTTAAAAGGCCATACGGAATCACATCAAAAATAGAAAATACCTAGGAATAAATTTGGCAGAGGATTTGCAATATGTACACTGAAAAATGACAAAATATTTCTGAGATAAATTAAAGAAGACCTAAGTAAATGGATAAATATGCAGTGTTTATTGATTGAAAGGGTCCTTACTGTTAAGAATGCCAATTATTCCAAAATGGATCTATAGTTTTAAAGCAATCCCAATAAAAATCCAAGAAAACTTTTTATAGAATTTGACCAGCTGATTCTACAATTCACATGGAAGTGTCAAGGCTCTAGATCAGTCAAAACAAGTTGGGGAAGAACAAAGTTGAAGACATTCCACGATCTAATTTCAAGACTTCAAGACTTACTACAGAGCTATAGAAACCAAGACAGTGTAATATTGGAATAAAGGTAGACATGTTTATCAGTGAAACAGAATAGAAAGCCCAGAAATAGCTTCTTTACTACTGAGAGCTGATGCCAGTTGAACATGTGAATCTGAGAATTCCTGTGTTCCCAAGACTGAAATGTCAAAGTCTTTAATCAGAATTTTAGTGATAGATCAAACTCTACCTATAATGTTTTCTTATCTAATGACATTCAGGAGGTGATAACTTGAGTCTCAGAGCTTTCTAAGGAGTTGCCTTTATTAAAGTTATCTGGAAAGATAAGGGGTGGAGACATGTCATGGTAGCTCTGTCCTAGCACCACCACTGCAACTAGAGTAGCTCCATTTTCATCTATTGTATTTAGTGTGTCTCCCCACATGGTTTTGGTAGACATGTCAAAATTTACAATAAAATCTTTTTTTAAAAAATTATTTTAAGACTTCCCTGGACCTGGACAGAATCATTTCTCTTACTAGCTTTTAACCCCTATTATATTATCTTTGAAAGCAATATGTGATGATTGACTTTATGTAATGCCAGGAGAATCTATAATTCTGTACCATCTAGAATTTACAATGCACTTAACTTTTTTTTTTTTTTTGAGATGGAGTCTCACTCTGTTGCCCAGGCTGGAGTGCAGTGGTGTGATCTCACCTCACTGCAAGCTCTGCCTCCTGGGTTCACATGATTCTCCTGCCTCAGCCTCCCGAGTAACTGGGACGACAGGCGCTGGCCACCACGCCCGGCTAATTTTTTGTATTTTTAGTAGAGATGGGGTTTCACCGTGTTAGCCAGGGTGGTCTCGATCTCCTGACCTCGTGATCCACCCGCCTCAGCCTCCCAAAGTGCTGAGATTACAGGCGTGAGCCACCGCTCCCGGCCACTTAACTCTTTTTATAATGCAAACATACCTGTGATGTAGACAATGTAATTAATAGCATTCCTGTTTTTCTATCGAAAAACTGTAAAGAAGTTAGGCTCCAACGAAGTTGTGGTAGAGCTAAGAATCAAACTCAAGTTTTTCTAACTCCAAAGCTAGTATTAGTCTCGGCAACTCTACCTCTAGTGCTTAGTATATTTTATTCTAAGATACTTGAGATGTACTTCCATTTTCTGGTCTGGCATGTAACAAACTCGGAAGTTGCACTCTATCCTAACAAGTAAAAAGCTGACAAACTGAAAAATTGACAACTCTTCTCATATCCTTAAGAGAAGTGAGATCATAGGGCAAAACCCTATTCCCAGAACTGGAGAAACAGACAGGCAAATACAGAGAATGACAACTTACCAAGTAGAAACCCACAAGCAGCACCTCTCCAGGAAACGGTGCTGGGTAGGGAAACCTGAACTTTAATTGAAAATTGCTGGAGACTCAATGTGGACATGTCTGAGAGAGAAAAACTCTAGGGGACCTAGCCACGGGTAGGTGTGTTGGGGCAGGTGTGGGGCGGGATACTTTTGTGAGTTTTACTATCAGGCACTCTATGTGGCCTATCAGTGAATTGGAGAAAATTTCTCTAGTCTTTCCATCCATGGGAGGGGACAGGGGACCATGCGAGAACATTCTGTTCTCAACAAGGTCTGCCCTCAGAAGAAACTATTTAACAAGATCCTAATCTTCAGGGGTTTTGAAACAGCCTCACTGGGCAAAGGGAAAAATTCAGTTCCAGCCAGCTGTAGTCTTTCATGTGGAAGAAGAGAAATTCTTAACTCTAGCCTACTCCAGCCATCCTGTCCCACCAAAGTGGAGTGAGATGAGCATTGAGAAGCCAGAGTCAAATTCACAGTCCATAACCCAGGCTCCCTAAAAGATGAGACCTAATAGCAGGACATATTACCACCACTTTATCACAGTTGTATTCATAGGAGTTCTTTTCCCTAGTATATCATGTCCAGCTATCAAGGAAAAATTAAAACACATACTAAAAGTTGAGATACTTACAGTATTTGGGAGATTTAGGAATAGGGCCTACAGAATAGGACACTGATATTGATATGGTTTGACTTTATGTCCCCACCAAAATCTCAACTTGAATTGTAATCCCCACATGTCAAGGGAGGGACCTGGTGGGAGGTGATTGGATCATGGAGGCAGTTTCCCCCATGCTGTTCTTGTGAAAGTGAGTGAGTTCTAACAAGATCTGATGACTTTATGTGTTTGGCAGTTCTTTTTTTGCTTTCTTTCTCTCCTACTGCCTTGTTAAGAGGTCCTTGCTTCACCTTCTCCTTCCACCATGATTGTAAGTTTCCTGAGGCCTCCCCAGCCATGTGAGTCAATGAAGCCTCTTTCCTTTCTAAATTACCCAGTCTTGGGCAGTTCTTTATAGCAGTATGAAATGGACTAATGCAGATAAAAGAAACTGGCTAAAGCTTACTTTGGTCTTGCAGACTTTCTGAATATAACCTGCTATGACTTAGGATCTACTGAATAGTGTCTCCTCCAAATTTTTCTCTACCCAGAATCTGTGAATTTAATCTTATTGAAGAACAGGGCTTTTGCAGATATAGTAAATTTAAGGTCATACTGGAAGGCATTGGGTTCTAAATCTAATAAGACTGGTATCCTTATAAAAGAGGGAAATTTGGACACACAGACACATACACATGAGGAGAAGGCCAAGTGAAGACAGAGGCAGAGGTTGGAGTTAGGCAGCTACAGGCTAAGGAATGCTTAGGATTGCCAGAAATCACAAGGAGATAAGAGGCAAGGAGGTTTTCTCACCTACAGGCTTTAAAGAGAGTGGGGCCCTGCCAACATCTGGATTTCAGACTTCTGGCCTTCCAAACAGTGAAAGAATAAATTTCTGTTGTTTCAAGTCACCCTGTTTGTGGGTTTTAGTAGCCCTAGGAAATGAAATAGGGTCTGTTTAGAGAGGGTCTGTAGTTCCATTCTCAACTCAATGGTCCCTGGAGTGAAGTTGGCTCAGGACTTGAAAGCTTTAGTAATGGTTTCCCTGGCATATCAAAGGCAGAATGTGCTCACCAAAGGCAGATAAGATAGGAGTGAGGAGAATGACGGAACTTTTCAGAGGACTTTAGTCACCTTTTTGGTGCAAACAGTACGGATTCAAAAACAAAGAGCGGGGATCTCATCCTCCATACATCACTGTCTAAAAACAAGACCTCCTGTGAGGCACTTACTCTCTCCAGGCCTTTTCCCTCTCCGATAAAAAGGGACTCATTTCCCTGGGTTTACTAATTTTCAGAGAGATGGTGATATCTGATAGCCAAATGATCGTGAAAATGTTTTGAGGAGTCTGGGACTATTCAATCCATTGTCGTAGAGGCTACAGAAATATAAAACAATCTTATTATTTTTACTTTTATATTTCTGTGAGCTAGAGTCTTCAAATATGAGATGAGGAAAGTAAATGGCTACTTTGCTTCCAAAGTTTAAGTGTCTATCCTTTCCCAACCTAACAGCAAAGCCTATAAAGGAGAGAATCCATGTTCTGTTTTGCTATTAATCCAGCTTGTAGTGTTCACACCTCAGAAAAAAAAATACAATACCATTATAACCCACCAAGCAGGAAATACGAATTACCCTTCATCTTCATCTCAAATGGAAGAATTAGCTGTTTAAACAATTAAGGCACGTGACCACCGTTGGTTTGTTTGCTGTCAGATCCATTTCCTGCACTTTCTTTGCTCTGCTCTGTATTGTAGGAGGGCACAGCCCTGAAAAATGCAGAGATACTAGAAGATCCAGTAGGAATCTCTGGGGGCTGATGGAAGGGAGGAAGGAAAGAGGAGCAAAGGTATTTCTCTCTCTCTCTCTCTCTGCCTTGCTGCTGCACTGTCTCTGGCAGGGGCTGTGTATTCTCTGTGGCATCAGCACCTTCCCTCCCACCTTCCAATTCCTTCCCCATGACCCCAGCTCCCATCTGTCAGGATCACTGTTATTTCAGCATCCAGTGTTTCCTCCTGGCTCTTGCTCTGGTAGTCTAACCCCCACTGATTTTTCCACCATCTGTAGGGATAAGAGTAGCTTCCTAGAGTTTCTCATTTCATATCTTTTCACTTTCCCCTTTTCTCTTTTATGTCTTCCACCATCTTTGTAAGTAACTCCCTGTATTAATGCCTCTCCATTTTAATTTATCTGGCATGGGTTTTGTTTTCCTGGATGGACCCTTATTGAATCAACAAGTTAAATTAAGTAAGTAACTCCCTGTATTAATGCCTCCCTGTATTAATTCCTCTCCATTTTAATTTACCTGGCATGGGTTTTGTTTTTCCTGGATGGACCCTTATTGAATCAACAAGTTAAATTATTTTGTCTCTTGATGGAAGAATAAATAATTATTTCCAAAAATTTTCTGACTGTGGCCTTGGAAAAGATTCACTGCCTTTAATATATACTATAGATTTGAAAAACTACAGCTGCACAATTATTTATCATGATATAAATGAGTGGAACATTTATGCACATGAATAAGTCTTTAGTTTTCTCCTTTCTCTACAATGTGTTTTGAGAACATTGATGAAAATAAACTTTGCAAAGGTGGTAGGGTTTGTTAGTAGGTAGTAGTGAAGAAGGGGTGTTCAGTATGTTAAATTTTTCTCAGGAGTTAAAAATGTTTCCGCATATAATCAGGACATACCCCCAGTCCTTCTAATTAGTAAAATCTTTCTTATCCTACAAAATTCAACTCAAATATTACTGCCTGGGACAAATACATTCTTCTCTTCTTTATGGGCACACAGTGATTTTACACATCTCAATCTTCTGTGTGGGTAGGTCTAGCCATATGCCTTGGTTCTAGCCTTGAAATGGAAACAGAAATGAGAGTACCATTTCTGGGCATGTCTTATAAAAACCTCTTGAGTTGGATTATCTGTGCTTTTTTCTCCTTCTGCCTGCTGGCAAGGAGAAACACATGAGGATTTTGAAAGTGATGTGTTTAAGATGGAAGAGCCTGTGTCAGCCTGGGTCCCTGGAATACTCCCAAGGTGGAGAGTCAACCTACCAGTTCATTTGCCCATCCAGGATGACTTTGTGAATCAAAATAAACTGGTTGTAAGCCACTATATACTTGGGCTCTACTTACAACAGTGCATATTACTAACCAATAGGCCCCTTCTGAAAGGCTTTAACTCCTGTATAATCAGTAGTTTATTGTATTTTCCCCTATTTCACCTTTTCATACCTCCTTGGCAGCCCAGATCAAACTGGATTAGAGTTTTTTGTTCATGGCACTCTTGCTCTCTCTCACCAGAGAATGAGCTTCACAATGGCAGGGAGGGTCTCATTTACCTTTGTATCCCCAATGCCAAGCATTAAGGATGGAATGTACAAGGTTTCACAAATTGTATGTTGAACTGAATGGACTGGTATTGGACTTCTGCCTACCCTGTCTTTCCTTCCCCCATCCTTACTAGGGTGAAAATTTT
This sequence comes from Homo sapiens, assembly GCF_000001405.40. Lineage (NCBI taxonomy): Eukaryota > Metazoa > Chordata > Mammalia > Primates > Hominidae > Homo > Homo sapiens. Next base: position 126,133,402 of record NC_000008.11, read on the forward strand.
GTTCTTGAACCCTGATACTTTTTAATGCTCACTATGTGTAAGCAAACATATCACCCCACCCACTTACCCATCTACTTGCAGTTTTAACTTGAGACTTCTGTTTGTCAGCATTCCCCACCTTCCACTGCCACCACTGCTATTCTACTGAACTGCTGACCTCTGAGCCCCAGCTAGCTTCACTATGACTCACAGGCCTCAGCATGGCGGTGATGCTTATAATATCCTGGGGGATGAAAATAAGCATGTTTTTATGAGCACCTGATAAAATACTCTTGAATTTATGCTCTAAGCTGTTATTTATTTAATTGAAAAAATAATCTTCATACCTGGAACTCTCTTATTTCTAAATTTAAACATCATTAGCTATAATCTAGGATTAAACAAACTAATAACCTTGAAAATCCATGAGTCCTGAAGTCAGAACTAAGATCAATTCAATGAAATGTAGTTTCAGGGGGATTTCTGCTGGAGCAGAACAAGGATAATACAACAGCAGAATATGTCTTTATATTCTTTACTCAACAAAACGGTTGAGTAAACGGTGCCTTTTTAGCTTCTATTCACCTTACTGATACTCTGCTGGTAGGAATTATACAGATTCCTATGCTATTCCATTGCAAAGTAACTGAGTTAGAAAATGTCAAGGATAGAAAGTCCTTTGCAATTCATGTAGGCTGGTGATTCCTGCTATGTTGAGGAATGTGGATTGTTTGAAATATACTCTCAAAGTTGTAGACTCACACACTTTACATATAACTCCAATAGTTCAAGTATTCCCTGGAGGACATCCATAATCTCTCATTCATCCATGGATGCCCATTAATAAAATTTTTCTAGGAACTAACAAATACGTGTGGGTATCTGCTATCAGTTTTACTCCCTACAACACGAAACTGCAATACATGCCACATTCACTCATTTATCAGTTTCTCCAAATCATGTTTTATCTACTTCTAGCTCCTACACACTGGGCTTGTAGAAAATTCAACCTCAATCTTTATCAAGAAGCCTATCTCATCTATTCCCACAGGATTATGTAAAGATTTTAAGGTCTTACAACAGGCAGATCATCAAGAAAGTTTACACTACTTACAGCTGATGTGCCACAGGTACCTGTGCCATTAAGACAGTGAACTTTCTGGCTGCATTGCCAAGCTGGGGTAGGTAATCTTTTTCACTGTGGTTCTAGAAGCTCTTACTCCAAGTGTTCTATCATATCGGTGTCACCAACCTACCCCATCAGAGGTATTGTCACCCATTGGAGAGGGGGGGGATTGTGACCATATGTGAAGGCGAGAACACAGCTATGACTGACTCTTGAGGCCCCAAACTCCAATTCTATCCCTAGTTCCAGGGGAGAAACTATACGTTTTCTCATCTCCTACAGGTTTCATTCCTCTTCCTGGGAGAATTCAGCATGCATCTTTTCAATTGCTGAGGCTGTCTGCAGGATAGGAAGGAAGTCTATGAAAACAGTTGAGCACCTGGGCACCAGAAACAGACTACTTGGGTTCAAGTTCCACCTTGACTACTGACCGGCTCTTACAAATGCATCAGCTTCCTAGAGCTGTGGCAATAAATTACTACAGACTTGGTGACTTAAAACAACAGACATCTATTATCTCCCAGTTTGGGAGGCCAGAAGTCCAAAATGTTATCAGGGTCAGTTCCTTCTGGAGGCACAGAAGGAGAATGTTCTATGCCTCCCTCTGAGTTTTGCTGGCCGCCAGCAATTCTTGGCATTCTTTGGCTTGTATGTATGTCACTCTAATCTCTGCCTCCATCCTCACATCACTTCACTTCTTCTCTGTGTTTCTCTTCCCTTTTGTTCCTTCGTAAGAGCCCTTGTGTTATTTAGGGTTCACGTCCACCCTAATCCAGGGTCATCTTATCTTGAGATTCGTAATGACATCTGCAAAGACAGTTTTCCCAACCAAGATCACATTCACAGATTCTAGGTGGACATTTATTTTGGGGTACCACCATTTAACCCACTACAACAAATGTAAGCAATTTTGTTAACCTCTTTTGTCCACAGTACAATAAGGATGATGATAAAAACAGTAAACTCTCCCAGAAGTTTATTGAGGGTTAAATGAGTTATACATAAAGCATTTAAAGAATTCTTGGTAAATAGTAAATATTCCTTGAGATAGTATTTGCTATAAGGTGAGTGAACTTCTGAATAGAACTATTAATTCTGTGCTTGATCACTCAGTTCAAAGCCTCATTAACAAAACCCAAAGCCAGAGAGCATGAGTGCTAATAAACTCTTGTTTGTGAAGACAGGGGAAATGTACCCAGTGGAAAACACAAATCCCTCTGCTGCATCCTGTATCTGTACTGTTTTACTATTAATAGATAGATTTTGGTGGTGAAAATGCCAACAGCCTGGCCGGAAGACTTTTATTTAGCCCAAAGACTATCAAAATTTCTAGTGATACAGTATTAGAGATAAAAAGAAGGTATGTTAAGGAAACTAGAACCACACTAGTTTTAACAGAGAGAATATAACATAGGGAATTGGCAAATCAGGGCGAGCTGGAAAAGCAAGAAAAGGAAACACTGAGATGGTACAAAGACAGTAATGGCAGGTAACAGCCACACTCCCAGCTAAGGAAACAAAGGAGAAGTGTTGGGGTCATTGGAACTTAGAAGCTTAGAGGAGCCTGTGGAGTTAGGAACCTAAGACAGGGTAGTGCCCATGTGGTGCTGGTATCTCTGGAGCTTGAAAAAAGTACCTCAAGCTGGGACTTAGACCTCACAGGAAGGGGCACTGTCCATCTTGTACTGTGTTTCTGGCAGATGGATGATGAGGATAGTCTTGAGAGCATTGGGAAAACTAGAAATTGGTCTCATCTGCTGCTCCTAAACCCAACTGCCACTCCTTGGATGAAGAAACCTTGCTGGAGTGACAACAGCAAGCAGGAAGGAGCAAGTCCCTTCAGTCCCTTCTTTCTCCTCTAGTCTTCTGGGCTTCTTCCAGTGCCCTCTGTGAACAGAACCAACCAGGAGGCCAACAGGCAAAGGGTAAAATGATTTGCAGAATCCCAGCAACAGTGTCGTGAAGCTGAGAATAAACAGTGTACTTGGAGTCAAGAAGCAACAGCTTAATGATTAGCATTTGGTAACTATGTGGCAAGCATTTACATGTATTATTTCTATAAATCCTCATAATGGTATTACATATATCATGTAATATATAATGTAAGAGTATAATCAACCTTTGATTACACCACCACTACCAACAGCAACTAAGGTTAGAAAAGTTAAGCTCCCGATCCCAAAGAACAAGTAAGTGGCCAAGCAAGGATTTTAACCAAGTCCTGCATGACTTAAAGACCATAGTCATTTTAGTCTGAAACACCATGTGAATATTAGAGTTAAAATCTAAAATATACTCAGCCAGCCTCCTGTAATGTGTGAAATCTAAAAAAAAGTGTATATTTACCAAGCATAAATGTGACATTTTGCATATGGACTGAAAATTTGCCCCATTATCAGAGAAATAATATATGTACCTTGATGGCACAAAAAAGGATTAATGTGTTTTAGTCTATTGCAATTGTCATATTAATAACAATATGGTACTGCTACCAAAAAAAAATACACATGACTATTTTCTGCAGTGTCTAGAACAAGAAAGGTGATAACTCATATCTATTCTGCAATGGTGAAGTCACAATTGAACTTTTGTTTTTTTCAATTTGGGGAATTTTATCATCAGAACAACTTTGGAAAACTGTGCAAAAATGACCACGATGTAGGGATTAAAAACCTCTCCTGCTATCCTAACCCAGGCCCACCTCATCTGGTATCAGTATTAGAGTAATAACCTCCTGACTGGGCTCCCTATCTCAACCTGGCCAGTCATTCGTTTTTCACCCTGTGGCTGGTAATCTTTCCAAAATGCAATGTGCTGATGTCACACCTGGCTACAGTTTATCCCACAGCCCTTGCAATGACATTGAGATCATCTCATAGGGCCTCAAAAACCCTCGGCTTCTTGTACCCATTTACATCTTCAGATACACGTGCACAGGTACACAGGCACCCCACACCCCACAACTGGATCTTGCTGACTCTTCCTGTTAGACATCCTATTTTCTTGACTGGTTCACCTTCCTGCCTCTAACTTCCATTTACACTCCTACCTTATACCCACTCCTTGCCTGCTGTGTTAGTCCATTATTGCATTGCTATAAAGAACTACATGAGACTTGGTAATTTATTGTTTTTTAGAAAAAGAGATTTAATTGGCTCATGGTTCTGCAGGCTGTACAGGAAGCATGCCTGGGAGGCCTTGAGAAACCTATCATCATGGTGGAAGGCGAATGAGGAAGCAGGAATGTCCTACGTGGCTGGACTGGGGGAAGAGAGTGAAGGGGGAGGTTCTCACATGAAATCTTGTGAGAATTCACTCACCATCACAAGAACAGCAGGGGAAAATCCAGCCCCGGTGATCCAGTCACCTCCCACAAGGCCCTTCCTCTAACATTGGGGATTACAATTCAACATAAGATTTGGGTGAGGACACAAACCCAAACCATATCAGCTGCTAACCCCTGCTCATCTTTCTAGGAGTCAACTCAGGGTTCATTTTGCCTTGAAACCTTCCTGGAAAGCCCCTCTTCCAGATTTCTGGGTTTCTAGCCCCTCCTTTTGCTAAACACTGGGCTCAATAAGATCATCTTATGAGAGAACATGAAAACAAGTCTCAGCACGGGATTTAAATTCCACAATTCTTGGGAAAAGAAAATCAAAGCAAACATTTTCCTGGTGAAGGCAAGACTTGATGAACCACTCTGGATCTCTGCATTTTGTTCATTAGATAAAGATCTTCAAGGAGTTAAATAGAGGCTATTTTATTAGCCATGCTGTTATTCTCTTTTTAGTGCTGCCTTTTCTTACCATATTAATCTTTGGTGTGCAACTAATGTCTTTTCTGCATTAAAGTCAGGAAGCCTGGTTGATACAAGGGCAGTGAACTGTTAATTTCAATATATTGACTCTGATAGTTAGCCTCCACAGAGGGAAAAATAAATGGACTCCTTTCTTGCTTGTGGAAGCATTAAATGTGTGAACAGCATATATATACCTGACAGATACTAAATATTAAGCAAATGTCTGTTACTATTATAGTATTAATATTATTTTTACATGCTGTCAAATGTCAAGTCAAGGGATTTGCTCTCAAAGTGCTGCTTCTAGGACAAGCATAGGACCTTTGATTTGTAATCTCAAGGATGAATTAGCCAACATGAGGAAAGGAAGCAACATGACTTAGAGACCAAGTGCAGATTTTGGGAACACAAACTTGAGTTTGAATTCTGACTCATCTACTTATTAACTATGTGGGCTTGGGCAATTATATGGTTTGAATCTGTGTCCCTGCTTAAATCTCATGCTGAATTGTAATCCCCAATGTTGGAAGTGGGGCCTGGTGGGAGGTGATTGGATCATGGGCCTGGATTTCCCTTAAGTACTGGCATTGCAATAGTGAGCAAGTTCTTGTGAGATCTGGCTGTTTAAAGTGTGTAGCACCTTCCCCCGCCTCTCTCTTGCTCCTACTTCTGCCATGTAGGATGTTTCACTCCTACTTTGCCTCTGCCAGAATTGGAAGCTTCCTGAGGCCTCCTCAGAAGCAGAAGCCGCTGTGTTTCTATACAGCTTGGAAAAGCATGAGCCGATTAAACCTCTTTTCTTGACAAATTACCCAGTCTCAGGTATTTCTTTATAGCAATGCAAGAATGAACTAATATAGGCAAGTTATTTGCCTTCCCTGATCTCAGTTAGTGGTTGGATTAAATAAGATCATGCATACAATCAACCTAGGGAATTAACAATGCTTGGAGCAAAGTAAGTGCCCATATTTGTAAATTTTAAAAATAATTTCTTGTTATTTGTATACATTTATTTTGACTAAAGTTCCTTTCCCTTCAATCAGTTCTCCACATTATAACCAAAGATCTGTTCCTAAAGTGTCAATCTGACCACATTGCTCTTTACTTACTCCTCTTCCTTGGTTCTCCTTTATACTCAAGAAAATTATAGCAGGTCTCTTGGTGAATGCATACCAGAAGCCAGGAGCTCTGCTAAGCGCTCCATTTATATTGTCTAATTTAATTCTTGAAACAACCCTGAGAAATAGCTACTGTTATTATCCTCACTTCACATATAAATAAACTGATATTAAGAATGGCTAAGCAATTTGTCCAAGATGACCAGATATTAATTATGCCTAGTGTTCCATTATTGGAATGCTAAGCATGTGGGAGTTATTTATATCCTACTGCTCAAGGTTATCACCAAGGTCTGATTGCAAAAATTCAAAAAATTGCAACCTCAGGCATAAATGGGTTAGTGGTAAATGTCAGAATTCAAGTGTTTGTTTGATTTCAAAGAACATGTCCTTTCTAGTTGTAAAATTCTCCCTCTTAAACAGGCTCTTTTAGTGAAGAAGATTGGGCTCCTCATACTCTTGCCCTGTTGTTCCTCAAGCCTAATCCCTGGTTTCTCTTCCTTGGTGACCCTGCCCTTCACCCACACTGATGGCTTCTTACACTGTCTTGCCTCTATACCCCTGGATCAAGATTCCCTTTTTCTATAATATTTTAATTCTCTATTATACATGGTTTTCTCATTGACTCTTGAGTCTCACCATTCAAGACTCAATTCAATTCTTATCTTTCTTGGAAGCCTTCCTCAACTATCTAGGTTCCCATAACATCCTATGCATGTTTCCATGACATTTCACCTGAAGTATACAGCCACTGGATACATCCTAGTAAATGGCTTAATACTAGTCTACTAGAATTTTCATAAGAAGATATCACAAACTGAGTGGCTTAATTAATAGAAATGCATTTTCTCACAGTTCTGGAGGCTGGAAGTCCAAGATCAGGTTGCTTTCTGGTAAGGCCTCTCTTCCTGGCTTATAGATGGATGCCTTCTTGCTGTGTCCTCACATGGCCTTTTCTTTGTGCATGCATAAATGGAGAAAGAGAAAAAGAGAAAGAGAGAGAGACAGAGAGAAAAAGAAAGATTTCTGATCTCCTTCCTCATCTTATAAGGACACCAATATGTTCTTATTGGAACCCCACTATTAGGATATAATTAACCTTAATTATCTCCTGAAGGCCCTGTCTCCAAATACAGTCACATTGAGGGTTAGGCCTTCAATATATTAATATAAATTTTGGGAGAGACACAATTTAGTCCATAACAATCTGTTTTTTAAAATAGATATATAAAAATGTGTTCCATTATTGGAACACTAATACATATATATGTATGTATTACACTGAATCTCATGAGTACATGATTTCCGTCTATAATCCCCAGTTTCCAACATGTAATAATCACTCGGCATATATTTCTTGAATGAAAGAACAGAGAAACAAACAAACGAACATCTTTCATTGACTCTTAGTTGTGTATGGAATGTAATCTAAATTCCTTTATCCACACACAAAGACCTCCATTGTTTGGCCCTACTTACTTCTCCAAACGTGCCTCTATCTTTGTCCTAAAGCAGGATTCTTAAACTTTAGTCTGCATAACAATTCCATGGAAAGCATGTTGAAAATATAAGTTTCCAGGTACTAGCTCTAGGGAGTCAGCTTCTAGCAACCCCTAGACACATTAGGGGTTTCTGAATGTGAATGTGCAAACATTAAGAATGTAAGAAACACCAGTCTAGACAAATCCTCAACTCCTGGTTATAATAGATATCTATTTATATCTTGAAAATTGCTCCACTTAACTCTGGCCTTTTACCTTTCATCACACACAGTAACTTCAGGTTTGCTGAAGAATTAGTCCCCAGACAGGTACTTTTCTTCCCATTTCAGTGTGTAAGGGAGAAGTATTAACAAGTTGGTTTCCAAGGTCAGGTTAGAATTTAGTTGCTCCTTGTGAGGAGTCCCGGATTAGACTAGACTTGCTCAGAAAGACAGGGTTAATCATTTTGATCCTAATAATAATTTTAAAAATCCATCAGTCAAACAAATAATGAGCCAGATTAATTCTGTCTGTACTGTGTTGACTTTATGGAGCTGCACAGGCTAAAGAATAGGAGAGGTATCTGTTAAAATCATAGTTTGAGGGGATTTAACTCTGCATCCTCCTAAAGAGGGAAGATGATAACAGCAAAACTTTGGAATCTGGAAAGGTTCTTAACTTGAGAATTTGGATAATTTACTAGCTTTTGGGAAATCTGAGAAATGACAATATTGGCCCTGTAGAACTCCCAACAGGCTTAGAAAAAATACGTATATTAGGTTGGGGCAAAAGTAATTGTGTTTTTTGCCATTAAAAGAAATGACAAAAACCACAATTACTTTTGCACCAACCTAAATAGAAGTATTAGGTAAATCTGTAAACTCTTGACTACAACTGAAATCAAGAGGTCTACCTAAAAAGCTTCTAAGCCTAACAGTTCACTAGGTTATTCTGTGAAGTTGTGTGACACGTGAAAGGAAAATAAATCTTTGGTCCCCAAAATCACTAAGTTAAAGGGAAAAGTCAATCTGGGAACTGCTTAGGGCAAACCTACCTCTTATTCTATTCGAAGTCATCCCTCTGCTCACTGAGATAAATGCATATCTGATTGCCTCCTTTGGAGAGGCTAATCAGAAACTCAAAAGGATGCAACAATTTATCTGTCACCTCCCTGTGACCTGGAAGCCCCCTCCCTGCTTCGAGTTGTCCCATCTTTCCAGACAGAACCAATGTATATCTTACATATATTTATTGATATCTCATGTCTCCCTAAAATGTATAAAACCAAGCTGTGCCCTGACCACCTTGAGGACCTTGTCATCAGGACCCCCTGAGGCTGTGTCATGGGCGCACGTCCTCAACCTTGGCAAAATAAGCTTTCTACATTAACTGAGACCTGTCTCAGATTTTTGGGTTTCACAGACAACATTAGCAAAATAATGGAGATTTATTCTATGGAAAGTAAAAATGCAACGGATCTCTGAACTGTTGGGAAATTTAAGGAAAGTGTAATTATCCGTGTATCAGGGCTTTCATACAGACAACATGGGAATTAAGTGAGAGATTTCAAGGTGATTCTTTTACCTCTACCTCTGCTTCTCACTTGACTCTTTCAAAACGTTGGAAGTAAGACTCAAACCCCAAGCAGAACACTGAAAGAGTCTTCTCTTGGGGTGAGGGTGGGGTTGGGAGAAGAAAGATAAGGAAGTAGTTGAGAAACTACTGGTTTCCCAACTAAGCAGTCTAGGCAGATGACTCTACAATGAAACACATGGTTGATAAGCTCTATCCACATAAGAAGAGCTTCCCATTGTTTTTAGTGCCCCACTCTTAAGTCTAAATAGGAAACACAGAATCTTTAGGCAATTTAGAAAAGTCTCTGACATGAAAGTTAGAGATAAAAGCAAACAGAAAAAAAGAAAAAGAAAAAAAAGCCTGTTGAAAACAGAAACTATGCAGGGAGATAAACTCTACCAAAAATAAAAGAAAATAAAAATTGTCAATATCCCCAGAGAGCTAAAATAACATATTGTATACGCAAAATAAGTTCAGAAGATGTTATAAATAAATTTTTCAGTGGCATAAAAGAAAGAGCACTTGAACATAAATTTAATTTTCTCAGCAAGGCAATTTTTACTTCTTTAGAAGGGTGTGACTCGTAGATGGAGCAATGGCAAGAGCACACCTGAACAAGGGAGGGGAAGGGGTTTTTATTCCTCACGCAGGTAGCTCCTGCGTGTCATTAACTTATTGGCTAGGGTTGGACCGCACAGTCTAAGCTAATTCCGATAGGCTATTTTAAAGAGAGCAGGGGTACGACTAGCCAGAGTGGTGGGGTGAGTACTTTGGTAGGAAGGGGGGTTACAGAACAGGTGACTCAGGATGATTCAGGTTAGAGAAGGTGACCAGGGGTGACTCAGGATGGAGCAGGTGACCAGGGGTGACTCAGGATGGAGCAGGTGACCAGGGGTGACTCAAGTCAAAGCAGGTGACCAGGGGAACAGATGTGAACTACTGATTAGAACTGGCATGAAAGTTGTTTACCGAAACTAGAGACAAGGGGGTGAAGAGAACAAGGAAGTTAAACTTTAAAATGGAGAACAAAGAATAAGAGAGCTGAACATACTGGCATACTGATTCTTTGAAGAGAAACTTGGAGTTCACTATATTTAACAGGAGATAATATAAAAAAGGGAGAACCCAGGAATAAGAAATATCCTTAGAAAGTTAGAAAATGATTAAAATGCTACAGGAAGGTTGGAAGGTAAAGTTGATGAAATCTCCAGAAAAGTAGAAAAAAGACATAGACATGGAAAATTGGGAGAAAGGAAATAAATAGAGGAACTGTCAAAGAGGCTTAATATATTAATCAAGAGTGTCAGAAAGAAAGAACAGAGTAGATGTAAGGAAGGGAATATTCATTAAAATAATTAAATAAAATTATCAGGACTGGAGGTCTTTAGTTTTCAGGTTACAAAAGCTCACATAGTGCCTAGTACAGTGGAAGAAAATAGACCACATCAACATACATTATCATGCAAATAATAACACCAGAAACTAAATTAATATTCTAAAAGTTTCCGAAAGGAGAGAAAAAACTAAAGATAAAATATAAAGGAAAGCCTGGACCTGTAATCCCAGGACTTTGGGAGGCTGAAGCAGGTGGATCGCTTGAGTCCTGGAGTTTGAGACCAGCCTAGGCAACATGGAAAAACCCTGTCTCTACAAAAAATACAAAAGTTAGCTGTATGTGATGGCACACACCTGTGGTTCCAGGTATTCTAGAGGCTGAGAGGTGGGAGAATTGCTTGAGCCCAGTAGGCTGAGGCTGCAGTGAGCTGCAATTGTGCCACTGCACTCCAGCCTGAGTAACAGAATGATACCCTATCTCAAAAAATAAATAAATAAAATAAAAATAAAAAATAAAAGAAAAAGAATTTTAAAAGCAACACCAGACAATATTGTTTGTGGTGAATTTATTGAAAATAATATTTTAAAAGCTAAGACAATTTTAAAATAAGGCCATTATTAATATCAAAGGAAAAACATTGTGCAGGAAAGGAAAAGCAATCTCATGTTTGTAGTCAAAATAAAGTAAATATTAAGTATTAATTGAAGCAAATTATGATATAGCTATTATAGGAGGATTGAGTTGGGCGACAGAAAGCGTACTATGTGGAGTTTTGGAGTGGTGGTTAGAAATAGATAAATTCTCAATATTAAAAAATTTCAAAAGAAACAATCAAAACAGATGAAAGTAGTTGCATCTTTGGAATATAAAATGAAAGGTGAGAGTGAAGGAAGGCTGGGAAGAAAATGTTATTTTTATAATAAACCTCTAAAAACCCTTTGACTCTTTAAACAAAAACTAAGTCTGAGATTAGAGGGAGAAAGAAAGAAAGAGAAAGAGGGAGACAACAAGAGGAGAGAAACTGTCACTTGATAATTTATTGAATTTGTGATTGTTATAGAATATTTAATTTGTTTCTTTTTTTAACTTTTATTTTAGGTTTGGGGGTACATGTGAAGGTTTGTTACATAGGTAAACACATATCATGAGGGTTTATTGTACATATTATTTTATAACCCAGGTATTAAACCCAGTACCAAATTGTTGTCTTTTCTGCTACTCTCCCTCCAACCATTCTCCTGCCTCAAGTAAACACCAGTATCTGTTGTTTCCTTCTTTACATTTTAAGTTCTTATCATTTAGCTTCCACTTATAAGTGAGAACATTATTTGATTTTCTGTTCTTGTGTCAGTTTGCTAAGGATAACAGCCTCCAGCGCCATCCATGTTCCCACAGAAGACATGATCTTGTTCTTTTTTATGGCTGCATAGTGTTCCATGGTATATATGTACCATAATTTTTTATCAGACCTGTCATTGACGGGCATTTAGGTTGATTCCATGTCTTTATTATTGTGGATAGTGCTGCAATGAACAGTCGTGTTAGAGACTGTTATGTATCTTTATGTTAGAATTTATATTCCTCTGGGTATATACTCAGTAATGGGATTGCTGAGTCTAATGGTAGTTCTGCTTTTAGATCTTTGAGGAATTGCCATACTGCTTTCCACAAAGGTTGAACTAATTTATACTCCCACCGACAGTGTATAGTGTTCCCTTTTCTCCACAACTTCACTAGCATCTGTTACTTTTAAACTTTTTAATCATAGCCATTCTCATGTGAGATGGTATCTCATTGTGATTTTGATTTGCATTTCCCTAATTATAAGTGATACTGAGCTTTTTTTGATATACTTGTTGGCCTCATGCATGTCATCTTTTGAGAAGTGTCTGTTTATGTCCTTTGCCTACTTTTTAATGGGGTTGTTTTTCTCTTGTAAATTTAAATTCCTTATAGATGCTGGATATTAGACTTTTGTCAGATGCATAGTTTGCAAATATTTTCTCCCATTCTGTAGGCTATTTCCTCTGTTGATATTTTCTTTTGCTGTGCAGAAGCTCTTAAGTTTAATTAGATCCCACATGTCAATTTTTGCTTCTGTTGCAATTGCTTTTGGTGTCTTTGTCAAGAAATTTTTGCCTGTTCCTATGTCCAGGATGGTATTGCCTAGGTTGTCTTCCAGTGTTTTTATAGTTTTGGGTTTTACATTGAAGTCTTTGATCCATCTTGAGTTGACTTTTGTGTATGATGTAAGTAAGGGGTCCAGCTTCAATCTTCTGCATATGGCTAGCCAGTTATCCCAGCCCCATTTATTGAATAGACAGTGTATTCCCCATTGCTTGTTTTTGTCAACCTTGTCAAAAATCAGATGGTCATAGATGTGCACCCTAATTTCTAAGCTCCCTATTCTGTTTCATTGGTCTGTGTGCTTGCTTTTGTACCAGTACCATGCTGTTTTGGTTACTGTAGCCTTGTGTTACAGTTTGAAGTCAGGTAACATGATGCCTCCAGCTTTGTTTCTTTTGCTTAGGATTGCCTTGACTATTTGGGCTCTTTTTTTGGTTCCATTTAAATTTTAAAATATTTTTTTCTAGTCCTGTGAAGAATATAACTGCTAGTTTGATAGAAACAGCATTGAATCTGTGAATTGCTTTGGGCAGTATAGCCATTTTAATAATATTGATTCTTTCTATCCATGAGCATGGGATGTTTTTCCATTTGTTCATGTATTCTCTGATTTCTTTGAGCAGTGTTTTGTAATTCTCATTGTAGAGATCTTTCACCTCCCTGGTTAGATGTATTCCTAGGTATTTTTTTCTTTTTGTGCCAACTGTAAATGAGATTGCCTTTCTGATTTGGCTTTTGGTTTGGCTGTTGCTGTATAGGAATGCTAGTGATTTTTGTACATTGATTTTGCATCTTGCAACTTTGCTGAAGTTGTTTTTCAGCTGGAAGAGCTTTTAAGGTGAGACTGTGGGGTTTTCTAGATATGGAGTCATGTTCTCTAATTTGTTTCTTATAGGCCACCTGTCACAGAAATGCAATTTGTAAAATGGCAGCATATGTTTATGTAATTCACCATATAAACAGAATAGTAAGAATTTAATATTTGTTGATAATTTAGTTAGTTAAGCTTTTAAACTTAATTTTGTGTGAAGTACTTAACAAAATTTTAGTTAAATGTATTACTTTTGTTAAGGATATAAAATAAAATATGCAAGCATTGGTGGTATGTAGAGACTGAAGGTCAAGACTATCATTTTATATTTCATTTCATTCATATAAAATACTTTCTAAGTTCCCTTTTGATTTCATCTTTGACCAGCAACTTATTTAAAAATGTGTTTTTTTCTCTAATATTTGGATTATTTCCATATATCTTTGTGTTATTGATTTCTGATTTAATTCCATTATGTTAAGAGATTATAATTTGTATGATTGAATGCATTCAGTCTTAAAATTTATGGTATATATTGGTGCTTGTTTTATGCACAAGATAAGGTACATTTCAGTAAATGTTTCACATGCACTTCAGGAAAATGAGTATTCTGCTGTTATTAAGGAAATTATTCTATAAATATCAATTAGATCAAACTTGTTGATAATGTTGCTCAAGTTCTTATCTTCTACTTTTTAAAATAAATGATTGAGAGGAGAGTATTGAAGTCTGTGACTGTAATTGTGAATTTTTCTTTTTTTGCTGTTCTATCAGTGCTTGCTTCTTATATTTTGAAGATCTTTTATTAATTGTGTATTTTTGGATTTTTATATCTTGTTGATGAACTGATCACTTTATTAACAAAAAATGACTTTCTTTACCTCTGGTAATGTTCTTTGTTCTAAAATCTACTTTTTCTATTATTAATATAGCAACTCCAGCTTTTTTAAAAACTAGTGTTACCATGATTTATCTTTTACTATGTTTTAAATTTTAACCTATTTGTGTCTTTATATTTAAAATATGTTTCTTGTAAGTAGAATTTAAATGATTGTTCTATTTTATTCACTCTATTATATTCTGAATTTTAATTGGAGTATATGGATCACTTACAATTAATGTGCTATTAATATTTTGTGTTTAGGTCTATTACCTTGCTGTTTGTTTTCTATTTGCTCCACTCATTCTTTTTCTCCCTTCTTTTGGATTAACTGAATATTTTTATCACTCGATTTTATTTCTTCATTGAACAAGTATAACTTTTTTGTTGTTATTTTAGTGCATGCTTTATAACTTAAAGGATGCATTTTAAAAAAAATATTTCAATAGGTTTTGGGGGAACAGGTGGTATTTGGTTACCTGAATAAGTTCTTTAGTGGTGATTTCTGAGATTTTGGTGCACCCATCACCTAAGTAGTGTACATTGTATCCAATATGTAGACTTTTATCCCTCACCCACCTCTCACCCTTTCCCCCAAAAGTCCACTGTATCATTCTTAAAAGCATACATATTTAAATTACCACAGTCTACCTCCAAGTGCTATTATACTACTTTGTATGACAAAAGAACTTGATGACAGTATCTTCCATTTCTCCTTCCCTTAGTTTCATGTCACTTTTGTAATATATTGTACTTTTGACATGTTATACTTCCCACAATACATTGTTATGATATCTGTTTAAGGAATCCATCACCTTTAAACATTAATAAGAAAAATGTTGTACATTTTCTTATGGAGTTACCATTCCCAGTGTTCTTGTTTCTTTGCATGGAACCTGATTTCCATCTGGTATCATTTTTCTTTTTCATAACAGACTTCCTTTAACATTTATTCTGGTGTAGGTATGTTGGAAATTAGTTCATTCAGATTTTATATGTCTGAAAAAGTCGTCATTTTGTCTTCATTTTTGAAAGATAGTTTTCCTGGAAATAGAAGATGCTACTCCACTGCCTTCTCATTTGCATTATTTCTATGAAAACATTTGCTAACTGGAGCTCTCTCTGTTCCAGAAAGATCTCTAGGCATTCAGAGTACCTGCTTGCTTGGTCAAGCAGCCTGAATCACCCCACCCCTCCTGCGTAGAGATCTTAGTGCTGGGAGACTCTGCTTCATCCCCACGAAAATCTCCAGGCACTAGAAGCACCACTTACCAGGATCAGCAGCCTGAGCCATCCCACCCTTCCTGTGCAGAAACTCTGATGCAATGGAGGACCTCTCCACTCCAGGCTCAGGCAGATCACCAGGCATTCAGAGCACCTGTTCACCTGGTTCAGCAGCCCTAGCCATGCCCCCTTTTTGGACATAGATCTTGGTGCAGTGGGGCTTTCTCTGCTCAATGCCCAGGCAGATCTGTCAGCATCTGGAGTACTTGTTCACCTGGATCAGCAACCTGAGACACACCACCATTCCTGGACATAGATCACGTGGCAGAGAGGACCTCTCTGGTCCACACCCAGACAGATCTCCAGGCATCTGGAGCATCAGCTAACCTGGATCAGCAGCCTGAGCCAACCCACCCCTCCTATGCAGAGATCTTAATGCAAGGAGACCCTCTCTGCCCCAGGCTCAGGCATATCTCCAGACACCTGGAGTACCTATTTCCCTAGATTAGAAGTGTAGGCCATCCCCTGAATCTGGAGTGGGGAGGTTGCAATGACCAGCAACTTATTTAAAAATGTGTTGTTTTTTTCTCCAATATTTGGATTATTTCCATATATCTTTGTGTTATTGATTTCTGATTTAATTCCATCATGTTAAGAGATTATAATTTGTATGATTGAATACATTCAGTCTTAAAATTTATGGTATATATTGGTGCTTGTTTTATGTACAAGATATGATACATTTCAGTAAATGTTTCACATGCACTTCAGAAAAATGAGTATTCTGCTGTTATTGAGGAAATTATTCTATAAATATCAGTTAGATCAAACTTGTTGAGATTGCACCACTAGACTTTGGTCTGGCAACAGAGCAAGGCTCCATCTCAAAAATAAATAAATAAATAAATAAATAAATAAATAAATAAATAAATAAAAATAAAAAATAAAATAAAATAGAAGTATAGGCCATCCCCATCCCTGTGCAGAGAACTTGGAGCCAAGGATGTTTCCCAGCGTTATGCCTAGGCACACCTCTGGACATTTGGTGGCTGCCCACCAGATTCTCCCTCTGTGCTGGTGCCTGCCATCAAGGGAATTTTAGGCAGACCTGCCCAGTTCAGCTCCATCTTTTTTGGGCCCTGACCCTCATGGGCTGAACAGAGAGCATTCTAGGAATCAGCCCACTTCCTGATGCAACAGAGAGCTTCTGACATTAAACAAGAATCAAGTATATACCCAGTCAGGTTGGCCACAACTGGCTCTGATATATAAGTGCCATCTATGGGCTGGCAGTTAAAACTTCACAGCTCAATATGAAACCTGTGGAAAGAAGTGCATAGGGCTATAAAAGCAAAGCCAAAAAGACCCTACCGAGCATTTGCTACAGTCACCACACCTGGGGCAGGGGAAGGAAAAGAGAAAGAAAAAATAATAATATTACAGGGAAATAAAGAAAATGAAAAAAAATTCTACCTGCATGAAAATAATTACAAAAAGTAAAAGTGCCAGTGTCTCCAGATAAGAAGAAACCAGGACAAGAATTCTGGCACCATAAAAAAATCTGAATGTAGTGACATCACTAAAGGATTGCACTAGATTTCCAGCAATGGTCCCTAACCAAAACAGAATCTCAAAAATGACAGATAAATAGTTCAAAGCATGGATTTCAAGGAAGCACAATAAGATCAAAGACAAAGTTGAAAATCAACACAAATAATCTTCTAAGCTAATCCAGAAAATGAAGAAAGAGATAAACATCTTAAAGACAAATCAATCAGAGCTTCTGGAATTGAAAATCTCACCTAAGGAATTTCAAAACACAACTGAAAGCTTCATTGATAAACTGGTCCAAGCAAAAGAAAGAATTTTAGGGATTGAAGACAGGTATTTTGAACTAACCCAGTCAAAAAATAAAGAAAAAAAATTTAAAAAATCAACAAAGTCTTCAAGAACTAGGGGATTATGTAAAGTGACCAAACCTTGGCATTCCTGAGAAAGGAGGGGAAAAGTAAACAACCTGGAATATATATTTGAGGGAATAATTTAAGAAAACTTTTCTGATCTTGCTAGAAAAGTAGACATATACAGTAGCATATGTTAGTATATGCTAGGAAAGTAGACAGATACAAGAAATCTAGAGAACACCTGCAAGATACTATACAAAATAAACATCATCAGACTGCCCAAAGCCAAAACTAAAGAAATAATCTTAAAGACAGCTAGAAAGAAATGGCAGATCATGCACAAAGGGAACTCCATCAGGCTAACGTGGATTTCTCAGCAGAAACCTTACAAGCCAGGAGAGAGTAGAGGCCTATTTTCAGCATTCTTAAGGGAAAGAAATTCCAGCCAAGATTTTCATGTACCATCAAATGAAGCTTCATAAGCAAAGGAGAAATAAAATATTTTTCAGATAGGCAAGCGTTAAGGGAATTTATTACTACTAGACCAGCCTTACAAGAGGTTTTTAAGGACATTCTAAACATGTAAATGAAAGAATGATACCTGCTATCACAACAACACACTTAAGTATATAGTCCAACAGATCCTATAAACCTTATATATAAAGCAACCACATAACAGAAACTACAAAGCATTCAGCTAACAACTACACAATAGGATCAAAAACTCATTTCAATATTAACCTTCAGTGTAAATGGTCTAAATGTTCAACTTAAAAGGCATAGAGGAATAAGCTGGATAAGAAAACAAGACCCATCTGTGTGCTGTCTTCAAGAGACCTATCTCATATGTGACAACACCCATAGGCTCAAAGTAAAGAATTGGAGAAGGATTTACCATGCAAATTGAAAGCAAAAAAGAGATGGGTCACTATTCTTATGTCAGTAAAACAGACTTTATACCAACTACAGTAAAAAAGGACTAAGAAGGATTTACAAAACGATAAATGGTTCAATTCAACAAAACGATATAACTATTATAAACATAATGCACCCAACATTGGAGAAGACAAAGTTAAGTACTTTGTTATAAGACAAGTACTTGTTCATAAGGCAAGTACTTCTAGACCTAAAATGCCACACAATAATACTGGAGGACTTCAATACACCACTGAGAGCACACTGAGAGCATTAGATAGATCATCAAGGCAGAAAACTAACAAAGAAATTCTGGACTTAAACTTGACACTTGAACAACTGGACCTAATAGACATCTACAGAATAGTCCACCCAGCAACCACAGAATACATTCTTCTCATTGGTGCATGAAACACATTCTAAAATCAACTATATTCTGAGGCATAAATGGAATCTCAATAAATTCAAAACAGTTGAAATCATATCAAGCACACAGTTAGACCACAGTGCAATAAAAATAAACATCAATACCAAGAAGACCTTTCAAAATTACACAAGAACATAGAAATTAAACATCTTGCTCCAGACTAGCTCTTGGATGAACAATACAATTAAGGCAGAAATCAAAAATTTATTTGAAGTTAATAAAAATAGAGACAAACTTACCAAACTCTTTGAGATATACATAAAGCAGTGTTAAGAGGGAAGTTTGTAGCACTAAACACTTTAATCAAGAAAACAGAAAGATCTCAAATTAACTATCTAACATGGTAGCCAGAGGAACTAGGAAAAAAAGAACAAACTAACCCCAAAGCTAGCAGAAGAAAAGAAATAACTAAAATCGAGTGGAACTGAACAAAATTGAGACCCCAAAATACATACAAAGAACCAATGAAACCAAATGTTGCTTATTTGGAAGAATCAACTAGATTGATAGACTGGTTGCTAGATTAACAAAGAAAAAAAGAGAAAAGATGCAAATAAGCACAGTCAGATACATAGAGGTGAACATAGATATACATACAGTCAGAACATAGAGGTTATGTTAAAATTGATCCCACAGAAATACAAAAGATCTGCAGAGACCATTATGAACAGTTATACTTACAAATTAGAAAATCTAAAGGAAATGAGTAAATCCCTGGAAACACACAATTTCCCATGATTCAATCAGGAAGATATTGAAACACTGAACATACCAATATCAAGTTCCAAAATTGAACCATTAATAAAAAGACCTACCAACCAAAAAAAGCCCTGGACCAGATGGATTCATAGCCAAATTCTACCAGATGTACAAAGAAGAGCTGGTACTAACACTACTGAAACTATTTCAAAAAAAAACAAAAATCAAGAAGGAGGGACTCCTCTCTGACTCAGTCTATGAAGCCAGCATTACCCTGACACCAAAAGCTGACAAAGATGCAACAAAAAAGGAAATTACAGGCCAAGATCCCTGATGAACATAGATGTGAAAATCCTCAACAGAATACTAGCAAATCAAAATCAACAGCACATCAAAAACTTAATTCACTATGATCAAGTAGGCTTTATTCTTGGGATGAAAGCCTGGTTCAACACACATGAAACAATAAATGTGATTTACCACATAAACAGAATTATAAACAAAACTACATGATTATCTCAAAAGATGCAGATAAAGCTTTTGATTAAATCCAACATATTTTCATAATAAAATCCTCAAGAAACTAAGCATCAAAGGAACATCAAAAGAGCCATCTATGAGAAACCCAAAGCCAACATCATACTGAACAGGTAAAATCTGGAAGCATTCCCCTGGAGAACCAGAACAAGACAAGGATGCCAACTCTCATGACTCCTATTCAACATAGTACTGAATGTGCTAGCCAGAGAAATCAAGCAAGAGAAAGAAATAAAAGGCATCCAAATAGGAAGAGAAGAGGTCAAACTATTTCTCTTCATAGACAATATGATTTTATACCTAGAAAAAAACCCTAAGGGTTCCACCAAAACGCTCCTGCAACTTCAGTAAACTTTCAGAATACAAAATCAATGTACAAAAACTAGTAGCATTTCTATGCACAATAATATTCAAGCAGAGAGCCAAAACAAGACTATAATCCCATTTACAGTAGCCATACAAAAACATAAAATACCTAGGAAAACATCAACCAAGGAGGTAAAAGATCTCTACAAGGAGAACTACAAAATACTGCAAAAAAAAAAAAAAAAAGGTGACAAAAAAATGGAGAAAAGTCCATAGTTACTGATCGCAAGAATCAATATCATTACAATGGCCATACTCCCCAAAGCCATCTTGTAGATTCAATGTTATTACTATCAAAGTACCAACATTATTTTTCAAAGAATTGGAGAAAAACTATTCTAAAATTCATATGTAACCACAAAAGCGCTCAAATAACCAAAGCAATTCTAAGCAAAAAGAATAAAGCCAGAGGCATCACATTACCTGACTTCAAACTATTCTATGAGGCTACAGTAACTAAACAGTATGGTACAGATACAAAACCAGAAACATAGACCAATGGAATAAAATAGACAACCCAGAAATAAAGCTTCACACTTACATTTATCTGATCTTTGAAAAAGTTGGCAAAGATAACTGATGGATAGAGGACTCCCTGTTCAATAAATGGTGCTGGGATAGCTGGCTAGCCACATGCAGAAGAATAAAACTGGACCCCTACCTTTTATCATCTCCAAAAATTAACTCAAGATGGATTAAAGGTTCAAATGTAAGAACTCAAACTACAAGAATCCTAGAAGAAAACCTAGGAAGCACCATCCTGGAATTGGCCTTGGCAAAGCATTTATGATGAAGTCCTCAAAAGCAATTGCAATAAAAACAAAAACGGACAAGTGGGGCCTAATTAAACTAAGGGGCTCCTACACACCAAATAGACTATCAACAGAATAAACAGACAACCCACAGAATGGGAGAAAATATTTGCAAACTATGCATCCAACCAAGGTTGAATATCCAGAATCCATATGGCACTTAAACAGACATTTAAGGAAGACATACAAGTGGCCAATAAACATATGAAAAAAATGCTCCACATCTCTAATTATTAGAGAAATGCAAATCAAAACCATGAGATGCCATCTCATACCAGTCAGAATGGCTATAATTTAAAAAATAAAATAAAATAAACCCCAGCAGATTTTGGTGAGGCTGTGGAGAAAAAGGAACACTTATACACTGTCAGTGGGAGTGCAAATTACTTTAGTTGTGGTAGAAAGTAGTTTGGAGATTTCTCAAAGGACTTGAAACAGAGCTACCATTCAACCTAGCAATCCCATTAGTAGGTATATATCCAAAAGAAATCAAATTATTCTACAAAAAGACAAATGCACTCGTGTGTTCATCACAGCACTAATCACAATGGCAAAGACATGGAATCAACCTAGGTGCCCATGAATGGTGGATTGGATAAAGAAAATGTGACATATATACACCATGGAATACTACACAGTCATAAAAAGGAACAAAATTGGCCATGCGTGGTGGCTCACGCCTGTAATCCCAGCACTTTGGGAGCCAGAGGTGGGCAGATCACCTGGGGTCAGGAGTTCAAGACCAGCCTGGCCAACATGGTGAAACCCTGTCTCTACAAAAATACAAAAATTAGCCAGGTGTGGTTGTGCATGCCTGTAATCCCAGCTACTCAGGAGGCTGAGGCAAGAGAATTGCTTGAACTCGGGAGGCAGAGGTTGGAGTGAGCCAAGATCGTGCCACTGCACTTCAGCCTGGACAAGTAGGGTGAAACTCCATCTCAAAAAAAAAAGAAAAAGAAAAAGAAAAAAAGAACAAAATCATCATGTCTTTTACAGTAACATGGATGCAGCTGAAGGCCATTATTCTAAGCAAATTAATGGAAGAACAGAAAACCAAATATGAGTGATCTTGCTTATAAGTGGGAGCTAAACGTTGGGTATTCATAGACATAAAGAAGGCAACAGTAGACACTGGGGACTGCTAGAGAGGGGAGGGAGGGAGCGGGGAAAGCGTTAACAAACTAACTGTTGAGCACTATGCTCAGTACCTGCTTGATGAGATCATTCATACCCCAAACTTCAGCCTCATATGAAATACCCAATTAATAAACCTGCACATGTACCCCCTAAATCTAAAATAAAAGTTGAAAAAAATAAAGAAATCTGTTGACACCTGTGTCTTTGTTTCTCTGTGTGTGTCTCTGATTTCTGAGGCTGAGGCAGGAGAATGGCGTGAACCCGGGAGGCGGAGCTTGCAGTAAGCCCAGATGGCGCCACTGCACTCCAGCCTGGGTGACAGAGCTAGACTCTGTCTCAAAAAAAAAAAAAAAAAAAAAAAAAGGAATACTGGGAAGCTAATTAGAGTTTTGTCCTTGGAGAAAAATATTTGTATGCAAAAGAATCCTTGTCAAAATTTAATAAGTTGTCTAGTTGAAATTTCTTTTGCCATCTCAATTTACAGATGAAAAACAAACAAAGAAAAATTTTTTTAAAAGGCCAGCAAAGTTTAATTGAGTTTCCTAACATCACAGAGCTAATTAATGTTAAAGGTAGTACTGAAACTCATCTTCTGCATCCTAATTGAAACTTTTTTTCTCCTGGATTGCCAACAATTAGGTAGTTTTTTGGTGAACTATTTATCATTAATATTGTTCCTGGATGAGAACCTCCCCATACCCCACATACACATCAATTATTGTGTCCCTGTAATTTTTCTAAGCCTGACTCAGAGAGGGAGAATTTTTTAAACGAGATTTTGTAAACTACCTTCTCGAACCACCTATTTTCCACTCCTTCCTGTAACATGACAATCTACAAAGGAGACCACAGAGAAATTCTTGGTTTCTATTCTTTTTTAAAAGAACTCTTTCCTGACTTCTGAAGAGCCATAACTGCGCAAACTTTCAGGCATCATGTTCTAAAGATGCCAAGTTGCCTAATCTGTACCCATCACAGTAGCTGGGTGGCTTATACTATAAGCCAGTACATGATAAACCAATGTTTTTCAAACTTGAGAAAATGGACCTATTGGCGACTTTGATTTTCTTTTTCTCTCCATGGCAGTCTGGCTTAACATCCATATGTGCATAACTACTATATTCACAGAGTTGCTGTGATTGGCACGGTGGTGGGAATCCTAGGCCACAGTCATTACTTTCTTGATGTTTATCAAGGAAGCAGCCTCAAACCCAAGAAGATAATATATTAGGGGTTGAGCAGTGGCGATTGGTGAGTGCCCACCTAGATTAAATCCAGATATTATTCAAAGCCGAGTAAACACTGTAGTTCTCCAGCTTCTCCCTGCCATCTTCCACTTCCTTACCTGGAGTGCTCCACATTGAAAAAAATTGAAAGATGACCCCCAGTGTCTAAACGAGATGGAGACAGGGTTAGGTTCAAAACCTAAGTTTCTCTTTTGACAGCCTTTTATAGCTCAGGGTCATGATATGCCAGAGTTTCCATTTATTGCAAAGCTTCTCATATGGATTCACGGAAGTCTTTAAATTCTCAACCTTGAGAAACACTGCAGAAACACTGAAGATGGCAACAAGGGTCTGAGTGAGAGTTGATAGCAGAGCTATATTAAAGAAATTAGTTGGGATATTAGCGGGAATATAAAGCAATTATGGAATAAAGGACTACTTAAAGTTATTTAATAATCTTGAGTAAATACTAGCAGAATCCTCTACTAGACACACATACATATGCACAAATGATTCAACACATTTTTTGCCTGTCAGCTTGGTTTGTTCCTACTCTTTCTTTTAATTTTTGTATTTAATTAGGATCAATATTGGCTTTTGCAGCATCAAACATTGGAAACCTTATTCATTAATATTCCTCTAACATTGGCAGTAGCAACAATGTTATAATTGCACAAATACTAGCGATGTACTTACCTAAATCCTTTAAATCACCTCTAATCTAACAATAACCAGGTAGCTATAATTATCTCAGTTTTCAGCTGACAAACTAGCATCTCAGAGAGGGTGAGGAACTTGCCCAAGGTCACACAGCTGGCAGGTCATAGAGTCAGGATTCTGTTTGGTCCCAAAGTCCTTACTTTTGCTGTTAAAATTATAGCTGAAGTTAAGTTATTCCTCCCTGATTACTCTGTTCTCCTAACTCCAAGGGTGGTCATCATTATTATAATCTTGGAGCTGCTTCAAAGACATGGCGGCCCTGCAGATTCAACTACAGGATGAGAAAAGCAAATAAAGAGTGTTCATTTTCAGCCTTTATGTGAGCCTTTTTATCTTCAAAGTCCTTTGTGAATATTAAACAATTAATCCCCCTGGAAGCCCTCAGTATTGGGAAGAGTGAACGTTTCCATTCATGTTGACAGATTCCTATTGCTGTGGGTGAAGTTTCGCCTTTCAGACTGTGTTTCTAAAGCCTGAAAGCCTTTCCAGATGAATGAAGCACATTTTTATTCACATGTCTCTCCCAGGTGTATGAGGGAGTTGCTGAGGTGTCTAAACACAGTGCTTTTTAAGTACCTTCGAGGAGTTAAAAATCTTTGCAGGCTCTGCTTTCTGAACACGTACACATGCACACGTGCACACACACACACACACACACACAGTTTTTATGCACACACCTACACACATATATAGTTATTATTAATCAGAGAAGTTGATGGTATGTGTATGCATGTTACTGGTGCTTGTGTGCTATTCCAGACAAAATGGCACATAAAAGAGACTTCTCTGTTACAGCTAAAGTCACAGCCAAGCTATACAGTTGTCTCTGTGGTGCGCTTGCTTAGTACGTTTGGTTGTTAACTGAAGGGTTAGTTGTTCAAACTCACCCAGGGATGATTTGATCGTCTCTTCAGGAACTTGTGAGCAATGCATTTCAGGAATTCATTACTCCTTTGTGAAGCGCTGGTGCAGTGTTCTCTAAACTGGTCTGTTCTGCTAAATATCACCCCAGGTACTTGTTAAAACCACAAGTTCCAGTACCTTGAGGTTCTGATCCAGTTGTTCTGAGAAGGTGCCTGAAAATCTGTCCTTGTAAAGACATACCCTTCATTTCCGGAAAATTATCATCATCATTCAAGTTCACATAGAAGCTGTGTATAAAATAAAGGAATTGGCTCCAGAGTCACACTGTTCAGGACTGAATTTCTGCTTTTTCATTTGCCAGCTCTGAAAAATTTCCCAGCCCCCTTCTAAAGTAGCCAGCAGTGACTCTTGATCATAGCATCATGCTGTAATTCTCAACACATTGGTATCTGATGTTTTCATCTTCATTTTATTGTTTGCTCATTGTCCGTTTCTCTTAATTTGCCACCGCCCAACTCTTCCCACAGTGGTCTTGTCCTTTGTCAATTTAGCTAAGCTGAGGGTGAGTTGAGGCTGCATTTGGTTGGCCGTCAGAACTTCCTGCATGAGATTTGAGAGGTGAGAGTGAAGTGGCAGCCGATGTTCTCCAAAGGTCATCATTAGTTAGAAGAGGTGAGGGACAGATGCAAAGAGGCCAGTAGTTTCCAGCTTGTCATCTCTTTTCCTCACTACATGTCAAGGCCTCCTTCTGACGTCCAGCCCTGCAGACCAATGACAACCACAGGCTCCTACCAGGTGCCACTCTGTGAACCCCCAGAGGGGGGCAGCCACCAAGAGCCAGGCTTCTATACCATTCTGGGAGCCAGACTTGCCTATTGCCACTCTTTCACTCACTCAAGAGCTGATTAAGTTCTATTCTGATGGTTTTTAAAAACTGTATATTCCCAGCAACTCCCACAATTGTGTAAGGTTGAATAATGCCTTATTTAATATCATTTGTTGTGATTCCATCTTCATGATTAAACCCTAATGGCTTCATGTAAATTGTGTGAAGTCTAAGACCTGGACTGTCTTGTTCATCACTATTTCCTCAATTCCTAGAACTGAGCCTTACACGCATTCAATAAGTATTCGCTGAACAGCTGGTGAAAGTGACAGTTTCCTTATCTATAAAATGGGGGTACTAATGCTTCTCTCATTTAGTTGGGTAAGAATAAATGAAATACGATATAAAGAGCTCATTAGTGTTGCTGGCAGAAAGTAAGTAAGCACTGATATATGATAGTTGTTGCTGTTGTTATTGTTGTTGTTACGGCTTTAAAAATATCAAATCTGCCACATGGAATCAAGCACTTATAAGTGTGTGATACAGTCTGTCTCAAGAGTCAATCATCTCCCAATCAAACTGAATTTAGCCTTGCCTCTGCCCTAGAATCATAATGGCATCCCAGGGAACTAAAGAGCCAGAGAGAATGCTAATGAGTCCCAGTCCAACACCCATGTTCAAGAGATGAGAGAACAGAGGCCTGATCAGTGAAGAGATTAACCAAAGCTATCCACTAGTTAGAACTAGTAATACGTTTTATCAAAGCAGTAAAGAGTTCTTTCTGTGAACTTACAGAAAATAAAAGTTTTAAAACACTTTGTCCAGCTGAAGCAATCATAGCTACATATATGTATGTAGCTATGACTCCATGTGGCATGGCCCTTGTGGCTGTGTGTTATTGTTGCCTAACAATGTTTATTAACCCTGGTAATGGTGTTCTCCTTTTCCAATGGGTAGAATGAGGATGGATCCTGGTTTCCTGGACAGTGCAGTTCATGTTTATGCC
Source organism: Homo sapiens (assembly GCF_000001405.40). Lineage (NCBI taxonomy): Eukaryota > Metazoa > Chordata > Mammalia > Primates > Hominidae > Homo > Homo sapiens. The sequence continues at coordinate 126,160,297 of NC_000008.11, forward strand.
CTAGTTTAATTATTAAGTCTCCCCTTTAACTCTCAAATGTGTCCAGTTTGTTCAAAAAATTATATCGTTTTCTTATCTGTAAGGAACAACTTTGTTCTTTACTTTCTGTCTACACATTCTGAATGGAGCAAGCTACAGAGGTGAACCTGTGATTTGAGCCTGATCAATGAGTACTTCACATTCACTTGGTGATGATGACCATTTTGGAGATGGTTTCATGTTGTGATCAGAGCAATAAACCTTCTGCGGGGACTTCCAAGTAAGAGACAGGCTCTCTCATCTTTTGGGTTAGCCAACAATGAAGGCACACTGTACCTGAAGCTGCCACGGGCTTCTCCAGGGAGCCTGAGCATGGAGCCAGCATCAAAATAAACAAACAAACAAACAAACAAAAACCAAGAGGGGATGAGGAGAAACTGAATCCTAAACTCTTATTGTGGATTTTTGATCAAGCTCTGTTTGAAGGTCAACCAACTCTGGATGTTTTTGCTTAAATTAGATGAGTCTCAACTAAAGAGCATCATCACTAAAATAGTGACTGAAAGAAAAAAAATAGGCCAGGCGTGGTGGCTCACACTTGTAATCCTAGCACTTTGGGAGGCCGAGGTGGGTGGATTGCCTGAGCTTAGGAGTTCAAGACCAGCCTGGGCAACACAGTGAAACCCTGTCTCCACTAAAATACAGAAAATTAGCCAGGCGTAGCCTTGTGCACCTGTAGTCCCAGCTACTCAGGAGGCTGAGGCAGGAGAATTGCTAAAACCTGGGATACGGAGGTTGCAGTGAGCTGAGATCACACTACTGCACTCCAACCTGGGCAGCAGAGCAAGACTCCATCTCCGAAAAAAAAAAAAAAGAAGAAGAAAAAGAAAATACAGGGAATGGGATATGTGTGCCACTGTCTTAGACCCAACCCACATTGTTTCTGGGCCGCAGCTGTTACTCTGATAAGTTAGAGGGGAAGACATGCTTCTGCATATCCTCACCTCCCCACCTGACCCCCATGCTATGCAACTTGGTTACACTGGACTTTGCAATACCGAACTCACCATTTATTCATTTAATAAACATAAATTGGGCACGTTATGATCTCAAAAAGTTTATATTCTATTTATGAAAAAAATTAAAAAACAAAAGGATAACTGCTAAACATAGAGTGAAATGCCAGGCCTTATGAAATGTGATTGTGGGATTATTGCTGACAGATTCGATGAGTAGGTGAGTAACGAAGGCTTCAGAGAGAAGACATCTAAAGCAACTTTAGGGTATTCACAAGAATTTACTATGTAGTCAAGACATTCTGAGGAAACCCATGAAGAGAGAAGACAGGCAAATCATAGAGATGGCATATATTTGGGGAAATAAAAATATTTGTTAAAGTGCAGAGTACACAGGAGAAACTTGGAAGAAGGGTCTAAAGAGAGAACGGGAAGTTCTGGTTTACCGCACTGAGAATTTTAGACTTTTATACCGTGGGCAGTAGAGAACAATGAAAAGGAGGCCAGATCAGGTTGTTCTGGCTTCTCTTGGGCTGCTATAATCAGACTGTTTTGTTCTTCATTTGGCCACCCTTTCAGGCAACCACACATAGAATTACATGGTCTTCTTTCCTGATATATCCCCACAAAACCTGGATCATTTCTGAGAGAAGGCACTGCCCAGGAGAGCTGGAGTCTGACCATGTGTATTGCACTTAATTCAGAACTGTTCTCTTCTTTCTGAGCCCTTTGGCTAATTTATAGACAGCCTCTGTTGTTTTTTGCATTTTACTCCATCTTCATTTCCCTTATCAATTTTCCTTTGCTTTGGACTAGCCATTCCTTAATCTCTCAGGCCACATCTCCTCCCTTTCTTGTTTTATGGATACAATGATCAGATTTGCACTTTAGAAAGACAAGAGTTTCAAACAGGGTATAAGGACAAGAGTTTCAAACAGGGTAAAACTGAAGTCAGTGAAAGAAGATGGAAGGTTGTTACAAAAATGCAGCAGACAAATGGGGGTATATCATTGGGGGAGGGATGATGGAGAGAATGATTTGCAGCCATAGCCATTCCACATGTGGGGTGAAATGAATGAATGCAGTTGGGGTCTGTGTATCAAAAAGCAGTTAGCATATGTTTCGAGAGAAATGCCAGCATGTGGAGGCTTAAACTACATTTGGAATTGAATTTCCAGGCTCAGTAAATTTACAATATGCTTCCTCAACCTCCCCACCCCCCTGCTCCTCAGCTCAATGAAATAGCTAAATAATTAAATCCTGAAATGCTTCTAGGATATGCTTTGTTGTTGAAACACATCTGCTGTATGTTGGAGAAGCCCTTCCCAGCAGATGTTCTTTTCCTTTGGCTTGTTTATCTATGGAAATGAATATCTTAAACCTTCTCCCCTGCCAGGTTTAATAAAAAGGAATTCTTTCCACACTCATCTTCTTCACTATGCTTCTTGTGGTCCTTTATCAAACCATTAAGGACATATGCTGTGCAGTTAATTATATTTTCCTCCTACTGCAGTGCACCAATCCAGGGAAAGGCCATCTTCAGCTCAGAACACAGTGCAGAAGAACTAATCTGCACACAGCATTCTCTCCCAAAGAAACAGTCTCTGTAGTTGGATAAAAAGATGCTGGAAACCAGATCTCTAAAGAGACTGTGCCCTTTCTCATTAGCCCTGGTACAGGGCAGCCTATTCTTTGAGCCATTATTTAATAGAGTTTAGTAAAAGTATGACCCACCAATAAACTAGGAGACCGAGAAAACAATAAATTGAGACAGGAGAGTTTGATGACACCAAAAACTGTATATTCATCCAGTTTGGGAAAGACTAAAAGTTGTGGAGAACAAGGAGGTAGACAGAGTTTCATATGCTCTTCATAAAAATCATGAACATGAAGAAATGCTTAACAAACTGCTAGGCGACATTATTAACGGCCTCTGAATTTATTGAAACCCCGAGTGAAAGACACACTAGGGAACTCTTAAGAGAGACATTTGCTTTCTATTTAGCATGAAGAGGGTCAAGATTATATCGATTCAATAAAAAGACATAACTAAGTCATCTTTGAAATACAGATGAGGGAGGAAGAAAAAGAAAATTTTAATTAAAGTTAAGTCTGGTACAATGTAGCAGCATGAGAGGCCATAAGGATTATTCTTAAATTATTTGCATATGTTATAATAAAAAGAAAAAATGCTTTCTTATATTAAAAGTGAGCTAAGTATTTGACTCATGAATTTCATTTTGTGTAGCATTTAATGTTACTAAGTCCTTAGAACCTGAAATTTTAATCATGGTTAATTTTTTTTTTTTTTTGAGACAGAGTCTCACTCTGTCACTTAAGCTGGAGTGCAGTGGTACAATCTCAGCTCACTACAACTTCTGCCTCCTGGATTCAAGCCATTCTTGTGCCTCAGCCTTCTGAGTAGCTGGGATTACAGGCATGCGCCATCATGCCCAGCTAATTTTTGTATTTTTAGTAAAGATGGGGTTTTGCCATGTTGACCAGGCTGGTCTCGAACTCCTGGCCTCAAGTGATCCACCCTCCTGGGCCTCCCAAAGTGCTGGGATTACAGGCATGAGCCACCATACCTGGCTTATTCGTGGTTAACTTTTCTTAACAGTATTTGGCTTATATTTTATAGATCAGTATCCTGTTATAAGAGAAGTATTGTATTATAAAAAAGAAGCCAGTCTACTTTTTCTTCCCATGGAAAGAACACTTTTTTTTCCTTCTGTGTAGGTAGTTGTGAATGTTTTTCTTCACACTTGAAATTTATGTTTCTGCCAGGGTGTGTCTCCATGTGTATGCATGTGTGACTCCGATTTTTCTTAGTGACATCCTTCCATCTGCATACTTAGGTCTTTGGCTCAGAGCAGATCTCTTAAATACTCTATCACTGCTTGTTGCACTTACTGATTTCCTTTTCAGGTTCAGGCATACATCAGAGATATTGTGAGTTCAGTTTCAAACTACAACAATAAAGCAAATATCATAATAAAGTGAATCACAAGAATTATTTGGTTTCTAAGTGCAGATAAAAGTTTATACTATACTGTAGTCTCTTAAGCGTGCAATAGCATTTTGTCTAAAAAAGCAATGTACATAACTTAATTTTAAAAATACTTCATTACTAAAAAAAATGCTAGCACTCATCTGAGCCTTCAGCAGGTTGCAATCATTTTGCTGGTGGAGGGTCTTGCCTTGATGTTGATGTCTGCTGACCAATAAATGTGGTGGCTACTGAAGGCTGGGGTGGCTGTAGCAGTTTCTTAAAATAAGACAATGAAATTTGCTGCATTAATAGACTTCTTTTTTCACAAAAGACTTCTCTGTAGCATGTTATACTGTTTGATAGCATTTTATCTACAGTAGAATTTCTCTCAAAAGTTAAGTTGATCCTCTCAAACCATACAGCTGCTTTGTCAACTAAGATTATGTACTATTGTAAATCCTTTGCTGTCATTTCTACAGTGTTCACAGCATCTTCGCCAGGAGTAGATTCCATCACTTTCTTTGCTCAACTATATGAAGCAGCTCCTCACTTGTTCTAGTTTTATTATGAGATTGCAGCAATTTAATCACATCTTCAGGCTCCACTTCTAATTCTAGTTCTATTGCTGTTTCCACCACATCTGCAGTTGCTTCCTTCACTAAAATCTTGAACCCCTCATCCATGAGGATTGGAATCCACTTCTTCCAAACTCCTGGTAATGTTGATATTTTAAAATTAATCACAAATGTTCATAATGGCATCTAGAAGGGTGAATTCTATCCTTGAGATTTTCAATTTACTTCACCTAGATCCATCAGAGGAATCACTGTTTTCGGAAACTATAGCCTTATGAAATAAATTTCTTAAATAATAAGACTTGAAAGTAAAAATTACTCCTTGATCCCTGGACTGAAGAATGGATATTGCATTAGCAGGCATGAAACCAAATTAATTTCCTTGTGCATCTTCATCAGAGCTCTTAGGTGACTGGATACATTGAGAATAAGCAGTAATATTTTAAAATAAATCTTTGTTCCTGAGTGGTAGGACTCAACAGTAGGCTTAAAATATTTAGTAAACTATGCTGTAAATAAATGTGCTGTCATTTAGGCATTGTTCTTCCATTTATAGAGCATAGGCAGGGTAGATTTAGCATAATTTTTAAGGGTTCTACATTTTTGGAATGGTAAATGGAGATTGGCTTCAACTTAAAGTCATCAGCTGGATTAGCCCCTAGTGAGAGAGTCAGCCTGTCTTTTGGAGCTTTGAAGCCAGGCATTGTTTGCTCTCTAGCTGTGAAAGTCCTGGATGACATCTTCCTCCACTCTAAGGCTGTTTTATCTACATTGAGAACCTGTTGTTTAGTGCAAGCACCTACATCATTATCTTAGTTAGATCTTCTGGATAACTTACTGCAGCTTCCATATCAGCACTTGCTGTTTCACCTTGCACTTTTTATCAGTTATGGAGCTGGCTTTTTTCGTTAAACTTCACGAACCAACCTCTTCTAGCTTCCAACTCTTCTTCTACAGCTTCCTTAACTCTCTCAGCCTTCATAGAGTTGAAGAGTTAGATCCTTGCTCTGGATTAGGCTTTGGCTTAAGAGAATGTTATGGCTGGTTTAATCTTCTATCCAGACCACGTAAATTTTATATCTGCAATGAGGCTGCTTCCCTCCCTTCCTTCCTTTCCTTCCTTCCTTCCTTCCTTCCTTCCTTCCTTCCTTCCTTCCTTCCTTCCTTCCTTCCTCCCTTCCTTCCTTCCTTTCTTTCTGTCTTTCTTTCATCTCACTCTTGTCACCCAGGCTGGAGTGCAATGGTGCAATCTTGGCACACTGCAACCTCCGCCTCCTGGGTTCAAGTGGTTCTCCTGCCTCAGCCTTCCAAGCGGCTGGGATTACTTACAGGTGCCTGCCACCATGCCTGGCTAATTTTTGTATTTTTAGTAGAGACGGGGTTTCACCATGTTTGCCAGGCTGGTCTCGAACTCCTGACCACAGGAGATCCACCCACCTTGGCCTCCCAAAGTGCTGGGATTACAGGCGTGAGCCACCGCAGTGGCTGAGGCTGCTTCGCTTTCTTATCATTTGTGTGTTCACTGGAGTAGCACTTTTAATTTTCTTCAAGAACTTTTTTTTTTTTTTTTTTTTGCATTCACAATTTGGCTGTTTGGTGCAAGAATCCTAGCTTTCAGCCTATCTCTGCTTTTGCCATATCTTCCTCACTAAACTCGATCATTTCTAGCTTTTGATTTAAAATGAGAGACATGCAACTCTTCTTTTCATTAGAACACTTCATTGTAGGGTTATAATTGGCCTAATTTCAATATAGCTATGTATCAGGGAATAGGGAGGCTTGAGGAGCGGGAGAGTGATCGGGGAATGACTCGTTGGTGGGACAGTCAGAACACACACATTTATTAAGTTCACTGTCTCATATGGGCATGGCTTATGGTACCCCAAAACAATGACAATAATAGCATCAAAGATCAGTGATCACAGGTCACCCTAACAGATATAATAATAACGACAAAGGAAATATTTCAAGAATTACCAAAATGTGACACAGAGACACAAGTGAGCACATGCTATCGGAAAAATGATCCTGATAGACTTGCTCGACGTAGGGTTGCCATAAACCTTCAATTTGTAAAAACATATCTGCGAAGTGCAACAAAGCAAAGCACAATACAACCAGGTATGCCTGTATGGCAATTATACAAATATTGGCAAGATATTTCTCTCTTTCTTAGACTTGTGCAATCATCTTCTCTTTTGGCCCCTCTCTCTATTTTCATGTCTTTGATTTCTCAGGATTTTCTCCACAATCTTGATTTGATTTTTTCAGTCTTATCTTTTTTTGCCTCCATCTGTCTTCAATATGGTTTGTAATTTTCCTACTATAATTTTGGTGTTTTTGAATTTTTTTTAGCTCACCTAACTTTGTTTTTACCCTATTCTGCTGTTCTTTTACTTCAGTCTATTTTTTCTTTGTGACATGACTTCTATTTAATAGATACTTTTTTTGGTTTATTTCATTGAAACAATGTTTAAAAATCATTTTGAATTGCAAAAACATGCCCAATATTTTCTTAGCTCTCTCTACTCAGGCTTGAATAAAATAAGGTGTCTCTAGATTGGATGTTTGCCAATAATACATGGATTTCCCTTAACTCTGCTACCCATTTGTCCAATGTTGGAGTCCCATCTCCAATCTTCAAGTGGAGATTCGGTAATGGGCAGAGTTCCTAGCCCATTTCCTGATCTCTGTAAGATATCTAGGTTACATGGGTCTATTTAATTGAGCTAGGAACTTCTCTAGCCCTGATGCATATGATATAGTCTATCCACTCTCCAGCATGCACTGCTTCTACATATTATTTAAATTGTCTTTCACTGTTTATTATTGAGAATCATACTTTCTACACACTGCCCCACCTCCATCAACTCCTGACATTTTCTGTTTTGCTATATGTTTGAGGGGTCGAAGACATAGAAGAGAGATGGATGACTGATTGAAAAAAATCGGTGCCCATGAAGTAGAAGTATAGCTTCCTGGTTTTAATCCAGTAGAGACCTGTGTGTCTTTATCAGGTGGACAGTCTGAGATGGAAAAATTGTCTTTCAATTTCCTTTGAGGAATACTTTGGACATGAGTAAAACTATTTGCTGAAGACTGTGTAGATGGTTTTTGAATTTTTTATCGCAACATATTTGATTGGATTCAAAATTATTAAAAATCTTTCCCAAATTCAAGTCTTAATCTCAGGAGAGGTAAATTTTTGCCTTGTTCACTGTCTTCATGGGCAGCACGACAATGGATGGAGGAGCCTGTAATAAGAGCTGCTAAAATGCCAGATGCCTTTTAAAACTGGAAGGCACCCAGCAATTAGCATCTGTTCAGTGATTGGAAAATAGTAGATGGCTTACATACAAATGAACCTTTGGAATACAACCCATTCATAATGTGGGGACTAGGTGTACTCTAAACATTGCAGAATAATTATTTTAAAAAAGAAAAAAAGCTAAGACTTGGAAGAAAATCATTATTGTCATCACAAGTTTGAAGATGAGAAAAGAAGATAAAGAAGAAATAAAACTCCATCCTGTCACACACATATAATTCATTTTAGATGAGAAAAATAATGTACAGCAATGAACTAATGTGTTCCAGGTGACAGAAACTGCAGGAACTGCAGTTCAGACCCAAGTCTGTCTGAATTCAGAAACCAGATTTCTGCTGCCATGTATATCATTTCTCCATGAGCTCAAGAAATGCTGAAAGGGTTTCTCTCAAATTTCTGGCCACATGTAAATGACCACATATACATATAATGCAAAGAATTTCTGTTTTGGGGTCCTTAATGTCTTCTGTTCCTGCTAAATAAAATTTCTTTTTCCCTTGAGGCCTGGCATAAGCCCAGGGAGGAAAGAGCTGCTGGAGACCAAGCCAGTGGAACTCTACCACACTTGATCCTTTCTCTCTCCTTTAATGTCCAGTCCTTATCTTTGGACCAGGCAGGCACTAATGTAATCAAGTGCTTGAATAAAGCAACCTACATTTCATAAGTGTTGTGAGTTTTCTGGCAGTAGATACAATGTTTTCTGCATTATGTCTTTCATTCCACCATGCCTTTAACATTTGGAGTTCAGTGCTATCTAAATGATGGGCAGGCATAGAGGAAGGGTGGATAATTTTTGTTAGGGAAAAGAGCAAGTGTAACAGATTCATAACTCTGTCGAGGTAACGAAAGTAACTGGTACATGGAAAGTAATGTCAGGAACCCTCTGCCAGCACAGCAGCTCTGAACCAGAGAGCTGACGATTCTTCCCTCTTTTGAATGGACTGGAGGGTAGGAAAGAGAGGGATGTACACTCATATTGTGTACATTGGCCAGTCACATTGTCTGCCACCTGATACTGTACAGTGTACTCACTGAAATTTTAAAAAGACAAGATCTGTTCCCATGACTATCTTTTATAATTGGTATTCTCATACCAATTTTACAACTGGTGGGTTTTAAAGAATCTGGTATCATCTATCTTGGTGGATGTGAGAGCAATAAGTAGGCAAAAACCATGGAATAGTTCTGGCAATACTAACATAAACAACTAAAATTCCATTTCCTACTCACCTTCCTCCTCCTCACTCCTCATTTCCCTGCTTGTCAACTTTTTTTATTTTATTTTATTGTTGCCATGCTTACAGGTTTCTATAAAAGTCTTTCACCTGTATTCTCAAAGCTGATTTTAGAGCCTGGACAAAATAAAGATTAAAGCCAGTTCTGGGGATGAACCACTAATTCTTATTGAACAATCATAGGAAACCTTTCATGGGTAAAAGAGAGCTTCTTTATGTGTCTTTAAAAAGCGAGTGTGTCATCCATCTTCCTCAGGCATTGTTTTAGAGAAAGCGCTTTTAAGAACTGCACCTTTATGAGCTGTGTTTACATAGCATCAAAGAGCAAAAAATAAACAAGCAACAAATCAAAACAACAACAAACGTCAATTGTCTGGGTACTGGTTCCAAACACATTAAACAGTGGATGTTTGATTTTTTATTTTTGAATCTAGATGTTAGATGCACATATCTGATTCATTGTTTCATGCCCCAAAACACCTAGCTCTCTGTCTTGCACCTGGCATATATATCCAATACATATTTATTGAATGAATAAATGCATGATTGAAGACGACACATGAATGTGGGTAACTGATGGCATTATATTGAAAGGAGTTGAAGAGATAGTCTTGAGACTCTCTTTTGTATTGAGAGAAACACAATTTTAAGAAAATAGAATTTCTCTGTTGTTTTTGTGTATTAGGACTCTGAATTCTCTAATGCAATATTCTCAGTCATTGCATGCTAGACAAAAGTAGTGGATGAGAGACAGTCTTTCTTTAACTGAGATGACACTTCAGCTAAAATTGCAGTTAACACTATAGCCTTTGTTAGCAGTTCATCCACATATCTGAATCTACAATTGTTATACATAATACAATGGGTCCAAAGGTGAGTATGCCTAGGTTTATTCTGTGTGATAGATGGCAGAACAAGAGTCAAAAGAATGAAAAAAGCAAAGTAGTAGATTTTAGCCAGATACAAGAAATGATAGTCCAACAACATGAACTTCTACTCAATATAAGAGCAGCTGCATAAAATAGCAGTTTCTACCAACAGTGGGAATATTTAGCTCATTGATATGCATAAAGTGCTTAGAATACAGTTTTGCATATACAAACATTACATAAACATTTCTTAAAAAAACCAAGGTGAAAATATCTGAAGTACTGAATAGATGAACCCTGTGTTTTATAAAAGCTTTGAATCAATGAATTTTGTAATGGCTGGGATATTTTGGATGAAAGTGCAGAAATTGACTCTAGAATTTTTATGCCAAATAGAATTTTACTGGAAGAATGATGCAGGGACGTAGATTCATAATAGTGAAGACAGGCTGAAGAACACATTTGGAATAGGTTTCAGGAAGTCACAGAGGTTCCAGGCACCATCTCCTGGATGAGTGAGAACTCAATTATTTTCAGAATTTTTATTGTTCTAACTCATAACTCAAGTTTCATGAGACGGGCATCTGATAGACCTTGCCTCTTGGGTCACACCCCTGCCTCTTGGCTAGGAAAAGGTAGGTCATTCAATTAAACTGCCAAACCAGACTGTATGCACTGATGAGAGATTCCTCAAGAGAAAAAGGAAGTGCTCTTTGCAAGAGAAAGTGCAATGGATATTGGATAAGCAAAAGCAACAAAGGCCTACAATATCCTTTAAGCCCCTTCCAGACCTATGATTCTGGAAAACTCTAGCCATATGATACTGGAAATTTCAAATGCATGAGCTCCATGACCTCCTCATTTGCTCCATGAGTATTTTGGCTACAGGCACATCGTTGCTTAATATTCCTATCTGATAATGACAAGAAACTCACACTCCCGAACACAATGGTTATGCATGCTGTCTCCTCCCACATGTGCTTAGCCACTCTGGGTAAGAGAAAGACAGACTGGAAAGTGGAATATTCTGGGCCTGACAGAATGGACCCTGCAGCCAGCCATCTTGACTGTGAATCTTGAGTCAACCACTTACTTATGACTTTATGCAATTAATTAAACCATTATACATATCTCAGTTTTCTCATTTTACCAAACTTATAGGCTTGTTATATGAAAAGATTAAATTTGATAATGCATTCAATGCAATTAAACAGACTGGCACCAATTTGGTTTCCACAGTAAAGGACTGCTGACATTTTATTAATGTTAATATTATAATTAGTACTATCATCAACCACTATTACTTTATTGTGAAGGATTCATCTCAGACACCAAGGCTGGTACAAGGCAAATTTGCAAAGATGACCAAATTCTTCTTCAAGCCATTGTGCTTCCTGAAGGGAGGAAAAGTACTGAAGGTAGAAGCAAAGTGTTACAGGAAAAGCAGAGAAGGAGAGCTCAACGCCTGCGATTCTTAACACTTAACACGCCTTGTAATGGCTCTACCACACAGTGTAGACCAGACACTCTTAGACTTTCAACAGTAACCACAGTTAAAGCAAAACAGAACAAAACAAATGAGAAACAAAACAAACAACAACAACAACAACAACAACAAAATCCCTTATCTTCTCTCTCCAGCCAGGGCATAGCTTTTTAAAAGACATTTTTTGGGGCCGGGCACAGTGGCTCATGCCTTTAATCCCAGAACTTTGGGAGGCCGAGGTGGACAAATCACGAGGTCAGGAGATAGATACCATCCTGGCTAACACGGTGAAACCCCATCTCTACTAAAAATACAAAAAATTAGCCGGGTGTGGTGGTGTGCGACTGTAGTCCCAGCTACTTGGGAGGCTGAGGCAGGAGAATCGCTTGAACCTAGGAGGCTGAGGTTGCAGTGAGCCGAGATCACGCCACTGCACTCCAGCCTGGGTGACAAAGTGAGACTCTGTCACAAAAAAAAAAAAAAAAAGACATTTTTTGGTCTCATTAGAAAAATACTATCCATTTGTAAGCAGAGAAAGTATGACTGTAAACTACCTTACTCTGTATTACACTAACCAGTTGCTGTTGGCATTCAGTACATATATTCTTGCAGTACTGATTTCCATGTAGACGCTTTTTATAAAAACAAATGAAAATAAAATATAATTAAATGATACTGAAAATTAAGAGAGTACCAGTTACAGTACTGAATGGGATAGCTCTGCACACCCTGTGAAGTAAAAGACCCTTAGGACATAGATCCCCTTTCAGGCTACAGAATAATTTAGAGGAAACCCAGTCCCTTGGGATCAATGTGGCAGGAGTTAGCCAGAATGACTCTTCATCCAGGAAAGCCAGAAGCAATACTACTGCCTTGATTCACAGAACCCTGAGCCACAGGGTTAACACATCTGCGTATGCTCTTTACTTGTCCTCATTTAATTGGAGTTTTTATACAATTTTGAAGTGAGGTGTTTCAGTTTCTTAGGGGTCATTAAAATATTTGGTTCCTGTGACTACTGACATACTAATGTGTATTATATGTCGACATGTTTTTTATTCAGTAGTTTCTCAAAAAAAAACTGTGAGAGAGAAGTTAGCAAGCCCATTTTATAGATGAAGAAACTGAAGCTCAGAGAAATGAAAATATTTGCCCCATTTTACACACCTTCTAATGGCATAGTAGAACAAATTTCACATTTTGATATAAAATTTTATTCTTTACTCTCCAGGGTTGCTATTTCATTGTTTTGATACTGAGGTTGTCATTTGCCTCTTTTGAAAAAACATGTTGGGTCCTGAAATAGGGTTTGTGGGATGTCAATCCCAATAACTCTTGTCTGAAAGTAGAAGCCAGTGAGATAGACTTAGGAAACCAAACAGCTGAGATGGAGCAGGCTCAAAGATGATAGAAAAACAAGGCATTCCTCTGGGCTTTTGGCCTGTTCTCTGAAGCATTCAGAGGGGATCATGAAGAGTAAAAGCATAGGTAGATTACATTTCACTGTTAATGGATTTTAACTCACTTTTAATTCAGCAGCAAATGGAAGCATCTCTCGTTCTTTGCAAATCTAACATCCCATTATTCCTCTGAAGTATCATTGGCTGACTGTTTTAGTCAATGTTGGCATGGATACAGATCTAGTAAAAGTCAGGGCATTCTAATACAATTTACATTTTTTCCCAATTACCATTTAACTCATCTGATATTTGCCACATGGTAAACTTGTCCACAATCCAGACATGAGATATCTGATTTTTAAAAATTTTATAAATAACATTTAGTGTTATTTTTTCTTAATTGAAAAATAATATATTTGCATTAAAGGGCTTTTGGAAAACATGAAAATACATAATAAAAGAAAGAACACTATGGTCCAACCAACCAGAGACAAAGACAATTAACAGTATATAATGTATGATTTTTTTCACTATCCATATGCACATATGTTTTAACAAGACTGAGATCATATTACCTGTATCAATTTATAACGTACTTTTCTCAAATTTAATAAAATACCATGAGTACTTTTATAATTCATTAATAGTCTTCTAAAACCTTATTTTTGAAAGCTGCTTATGTGTTTTATAATTTTAAAAGCTAACATTTTTTGTTCTGCAAATTTAAAATATTTATTGGAATAAAAGTATAAACATAGGTTCAAGAAAACAACACGACACTACTTCATATTTGATACGCATTTTTTTCCTGATTAATATGAGTAGTGTTCAAAATTCTCTAAAGGACTCATATTTTTCTTCTATACCTTTGTACTGTAAGTGTACCCAACAGAAAAGTTCCCTCCTTTGGTCATGAGCTCACAATAGATGTGGTCATGACAGTTGTGCTCCTACAGATGTTTCTTGGCCTTGTCCAGGATATACTGCAAAATTGTCTATGGCATTATCTATTAATCACAGGACAGACACTCAAGTACCCTTGATCATCATGAATTGTATCTTCAGGAGCAAAATATGGATGCACTGGCTCAGTAGCAGATATTTTAGTGAATGCAAAGATATGGGATCCATTACCAACATTACAAAAGGAAATGATCCCAATATCCATAGTCAGGAAAAATCCCACTTGGTGTAACTAGGGGCTCACCTTGAATTCCCATGTGTTATGGGAGGGACCAAGTGGGAGATGATTGAATCATGGGGGCAGGTCTTTCCTGTGCTGTTCTTGTGATAGTGAATAAGTCTCACGAAAACTGATGGTTTTATCAATGGGAGTTCCCCTGCACAAGCTCTCTTTGCCTGCTGCCATTCACATAAGGTGTGACTTGCTCCTCTTTGCCTTCCACCATGATCCTGAGACCTCCCCAGCCACGTGGAAACATAAGTCCAATAAATCTCTTTCTTTTGTAAATTGCCCAGTCTGGGATATGTCTTTATCAGCAGTGTGAGAACAGACTGATACATCCAGAGACCAAAGGCATAGTGCTGGCAGTAAAGTATTGCCCTTCTCTTAAACCCCCAGTCCAGAAGCCAAGGGCTGAAAAAAATAGAATTTTCCCTTGCGGATTCACAGATTCTACGAAAAGGTCCATATCCTGGTCTTTGCTTGTGCCCAGGTAATGTTCCCAGTGCCCAGTCATGGCGGCTGGAAGTGAACAGAGGGGAGCCCAGATACAAAAAGCAGAGTTGAACCTCTCAGCGGGCTCTTTCCTATTCTGTTTGAAATGCCCGCAACTGACATTCCTCAGGTCATCAGAAATGATAAGCTGGTTATTGGCTATCTTAGAAACTTTTTATTATTGGATACTCATGTTTTTCTAACTTTTTAATTTTTATAACAGCATTGTTACTATCTCATTGTATACAAACCCTTTAAAATATCTTTATCTGTGACGAACTCCGAGTACAGAAAAGCTAAGTAGCCGTCTTAAACGATACAGATGTGTTCTCCATGTAACAAGACATTTGGAGGTAGAAAACCAGGGTTGGGGCCATGGCTCAATGATAGCACATATTCAGCTCTTCCTGTCCTTTTCTGCCCTGGCCTGAGGTTTTGCTTTCTGTTTTTATTCTTTTGGACCTCAGTGTTGCACTATGGCTACCATAATTTCAGGCATCACATCTGCACTCAAGGCAGGAAGAAGCGAAAAGCAACAATTGTAGTCACCTCTAGCAGACTGCCACTGATACCTTAGGGGCTATTTCTGTGACATGTGTCTACTCTAGATGCAAAGAAATCTAGGAAAGCAAGTGTTTAACATTTCTAACCTCCCCATAGGATGTGGTCAAGGGAGAAATGAGATGAAAATAGGTGTTAGGCTGGCCAATGAACAGTGTGTGTATCTCTAATACAGAATAAAAATGTTCTGCTATAGGAAAAATTTCTAGAAGAGTGAGTTTAGAACTGTATTTTTTCTCTGATATGTTCATTGCAGAAACTTAAACCAAAAAATCATAAAATCACAAAGAAGAAAATGAAATATTTTATAATTTTACAAAACAAGAAGACATAACCAGGGAATTTCTAGACAGTGTCATATATATTTCTACTCTTTAACCTGTACAAGCTCAGATAACTCTATGTATCATAGAAGCAGGAATTAGGGGGCTTTTATAATAGACATCATTACTGGCCCTAAGAATCTTCCATGAAGGCCTGATAGACAAAGGTACTGAAGTTCAATCCAACTGACTGTTCCTTAGTTTGTGCTAAATAAAATTGTGTCTACCTTGAATAAATTCATTGGCTATTAAGGGGTACAGGCATTAAAATAAGTAAATATATATTGTGTTATATTTCATAATATAATTACAAGTAAAGTATTGAAATAGCAGAGAGCAGGAGTAGTTCTTTCTGGGAGAAAAATCAAGAGACGTTTCTTAGAAACAATGATTCCGAAACTCAGTTTTAAAGTTTAATTGTAATTTTCCATGTGGACAAGGGCAGGTTGCAGTGATGGAAATGAATGTTTTAGATTCAGAAAAACCAGCATGTAGCAAGTATCAAGGAGTAAAACCAAAGAGTACATGCTTGAAATTACAAGTAAATGAGGAATTAACAGATTGTAAAGTTTGAGAAATGGAGGTTTCATAGGAGCAGAAAATGCTGGAAAGATCAACACGAAGCAAGACCCTAAAAGTTCTTGTGGCGCATGCAGCAAAAGGGCCACTCTCTTCTGCCCTGGCGCTAATGAGGAGTCTTGAGATGGGAAGTGAGGCAGGGAAATGTCTTAATCACATTGTTTGTTGGAAAGATCACTGGGTCTGCAATATCTCTTATAAATGCACAGGAGAAAAACCTCAAGGCAGGCAGCTAGTTTAAGAAACAGTTGCAACAATCTATACTGCCTCCTTTAGAAACTTCTCTCCTGGAAAACAAACCCCTACATAACTATTGACGTGCTCTCATGGGAACTTCTTTGACCTCAGAATTCCAAGGATAATCATTGTCAATATCATCATCATTCTCATATCGGTAACTGTAATATCTTGAATAATGTCTACATTCGCATCATCAGAACTAGGAACTTTATGTATGTTGTATCACAAGAATACCATCAACTGCTTTTAAAACTATATTCTTGGGTGTCAGCATTCTGATTTCTTGACTATCAGTCTCAGTCACAAGATGGGGACTGAGCATGTCAAGCTCAGTTTTCACTTCTTCCCCATCCACCAATTTTAAAGAAACAGTTCTGCATTTATTTAATTAATGTTGTCAAAGATAAAGGGTTTCTCTACCTCCACCTCTTCTTACCTGAGTCCAGTGTAAGGAGTTTCTCTACACTTACATCCTACCTTTCTACTCTCTTTGTTGGCCAAACATATATCAAATTTAAAAAAAATAAAGGAAGTCTTTTGTATTAGAATTCAAAGCATAAAAAAGAAACAGAATTTCTTAGCTTAATAATACTAAAGAGGTATGGAAAAAAGAAACTGTAAAAGCCTGATTGCCTTATGAATGTTCGAATCTGCAAACCAATATTCCCTTCACCTCTTTTTTCACCTGCATACAACTCAAACCCTCTCAGTTATACCCAGGGAAAAATCTAATGGGCTGGAAATACTCCTGAGGCCAGAAAGAAGAGTAATGAGGCAGAGCATCTGAAAGTAGTAAAAAGATGAGAGAAGAAGAGTCAAAGCATGACAAGAGAGGAGTAGAAGGGAGGAGGAGCTCAGAGAAAGGTAGCCGTTTAGGCCAAGCTAGTTAAAACTAAAAGACCTACAAGCTACCTTATAAGCTGGTAGGCTAGGTAGACTAGAACAGAGGTCATTTCCAATTCCCTGCTATTTCTTAAACTCTATGTGGCTTATAATAGGCAAAATAACCCTGAAATCAGGACAGGGCTTCACAGGTGCTAGCTTAAGACTATCAGAGACTGAATCTCTTACTAAATATGAGATTTGAGACAAACTACTAAATACTTCTATTTCTCAGTTTTCTCATCTATAAAATGAAGATAAAAATACTACATATTTCCTTAGTTGATGAAGGGAATAAATACGATAAAACATGTGAGGTGCTTAGATTGGTGCTTAGGGTTCAGCAAACTTTTTTCTACAAAGGGCCAGATAGTAAATGTTCTTGGCTTTGAGGGGCACATGGTCTCTGTTGAAACTACTCCACCCTGCTCTTGTATCAGGGAAAGCAGCCGTAGACAATATGGAAACAAATGAGCGTGGCTGTGTTCCAACAAAACTTTCTTTGCAAAACAAGTGGTGGGCCAGATGTGACCTGCTGCTGTAGTCTGTGGGTTCATGACTTCAAACATTACTAGACACACTAAGTGATTTCATAAATATTAGCTATTTGTAGGCTATTATTATTAACTGTATCCTTCTATATCCTTCTACTATATCCTTCCAGATTTTTTGTTTGATAATTAGCCAAAACTAATTTCTACATTAATTTTCATGTTAATGTCCTATCCCACTCTTCCAAAGTCAAAATCATAATAAAGAGATTATATCATATTGGAGTTTCCCATAAAATTTATATTTAGAAAGAAATCCTGCTCTCTCTCTCTGCATGTGTGTGTGTGTGTGTGTGTGTATACATCTAGACTAGATTTTGCAAAGCTACCTTCTGCCACAAATTTTTATAATCTCAAATGTTCACAAATCCTTTCCATGAAAATTTGAGTTTTGAGACTTCTTTGTAGGGCACAGGCTTTTGCACAGCTTGCAAATGGGTAAGAGCCAATTTTTAACAAGGCTAGTTCTCCTTGACACCGTCCTCACTGCCATCAATGTTACTATCATCCAGAAAGTCCCCACTTCTTAAAGGGAGCACCTAGGTTCCAGGAGCAGCTTCTGCCAGCATCTTGGCACCTTTCCAGTGGGCCCATCTGTTTGCACTGCTCAGTCAAGGCCTAATGGCTCAGAACATATGGCTGGGACTTCTCATCTTGGAGAGTTGGAGCTGACAAATACTTGAGAACACATTTTCTACAGGAAGTAAGTTGGCCCAGGAATCTTAGTCTATTAGAAAGCCTTGGCTCATAGAGATATTACCTGAAGTCCTTGAAGAGGAAGAAGAACATTTCCATTTTCACAACTTACAAGCCAGGAGTTAAGGGATATGAATATACATTAGAATGATACTGTTCAATCTATACAAACACAGAAAGTGAGGCTCAGAAAATGAAGGACAAGCCCCAGTGATTGATACTGGGATGAAGTGACAGAAACTGAACTAGTTTGTAAATATGTTGTCTGTCACAACAGGGCTCTGTAGATTTACATTTTACATTTTATATTCTTAACCAGAATATCTCATTTTACAATCACTCCAAATAAGTGGAATTTTACCATACATTGGTATAGTAAATGGTTTTGGATAGAAGATGATGCAAAATTAAATCTGAGCACAAAAACAACTGGGCAAAAACTACCCGAAAAACCCTGTAGATTGGTGCAAAGAGGGCAAATGGTTTACATCTAAACTTGGATACTTTAAGCAATAGGACTCATTTTTATGAGGCTCTGTGAGACCATGCAACTAGTTTGTAGACTTTTTTTAAGATCTAGTTATTCTTGAGGATGAGTCAATTAACAAAACAATCATGGTTGCTGTTTTCCTGCAACTAACAATGTAGTGGACGTTACCCAATCAATTAAAGTCCTAGCACACACAAAACCAATGGCACGCTCAAAGAGTTTAGCTGGAAAGAGTTTAATTAAAAGTGTAGGAGTTATAGGCAAGACTAAGGAAACCAGAAGAAACAGGGAAGCGTCTGAAAACTGGAAATAGGAGCTAGCTGTTACCACCTCTAGCACTGAAGAGGCAAGGAGAGGGAACTATCCCATCAGAACCTAGTGAGAGTCTTGGAAGAGGACTTCCTAAAAGGACCTGTGGTTGCAAAGGACACAGCCACTGACAGAAAAACCACAACAAGGCAGGGAAGGAGTAAGTGTGGAAAATCAGTTTTTCTGCTCTCTGAACTCTTTCCCATGGCCCTCCATGGCCGAACCCCACCAGAAACCAGAGTGCAGCAAGCCGGGTTGATGCAACCTGTGAAGTTCAACTCCCCAAGATATAGAATGCGGCTGAAAAGAGTGGAGAATGAATCGGTGGCAAGGAGAGGGTTGAAAATGAAGATTAATACTCTTCCTTGCAATATCTTCTGAAAGTCTAGAATCCATGAAAGGCACATTGTAGGCCTTTAATGAATGCTTATGTAATGGAAAATGGTATAATGGAAATAAATGAGTTTTGGGGTCACCTAAATATGGGCCACAACTCCATTTCTGTCATTTTATAACTGTGGTATATTGGGCAATTTTCTTAAATTGTTGGCTCCAATTTCCACAACTGTAAGGTGAAGATAATATTGCTTTCTTCTTAAGGTCTTTGAAAAAATTAGGAAGTTTTTTTAACAACCTGGTTTGTAGAAAACTTTCAAAGAGTATTACGTTCTTTCCATTTTTCTTTTATGTCAGTGCATCCTTATTACTATAATAATTCCTGGAATTTATAACCCAGTAAGTATAAAATTCAATGTTGAACATAACTGGCAAATATTTTAACAAAGTTAAAAGTGGTTTTTAAAAATCCCTCAAAATAATAGCATAAGTAAAATAATGTTGGTCTTAAAAGAGATTAAGGAACCCAACCTAAAGATTATAGCCATCTAAAATTCCACTCCCTAAAATAGCTTTTTGATTTTTCACATCAGAGAATTCTGGACAATTGTTTAAAACTGTTGTAAAAGTTATCATCCCAGAGGTGATATGATGTGATTCTAATCTCTCCCTATCCCACTTTTATCCTGCAAAGTTACTTGTTCAAACACAGAATTGTTTATATCACTTTCTTCTCTTAAACCTGTCTCCCACATGCCTATAACAAAAAGTTTAAACCCCTTAGCAAGACAATCTAAGATTTTCCCAATTTCCAAAGTATACATCTAATTCAATCTAGCACTCTGAGTACTACAGATCAGCTTCACTGAACTATTTATGCTTTGCAATATATTTGTATACCCCTGTTCATTATATTGTTCTCTCTGCTCACATCTCTCTTCTTGGCTGGGTGAAACCTTATCCATCTTTCAAATCTTGGCCCCAATGTTGTGTTGTGTGTTCCATGGAAAGTAAGTCACTCCTTCTCTGTTCCTATAATGCTTCGTTATAATTCCTACTTCTGCCTTATGTTATAGCTAGTCATATGCCTAGAATCCTAGTTGTATTATGAGCTCAATTCAATCTATATTCAAAGTATAGAGCCTATATTTACCAGATACAGTGAATACCTTATGATTGCACAAATATGTTGAAAATAAGGAAGATTAATTATTGTGAGCTTCTAAAGGAAGATAAATGTAAAGTGAATGTTAAACTTGTAAGGTGGAAAATATATGTGCTTTAATAAAAGATAATGAAAAAGTTGTGTTAGTTGGTGTGAATGCCAAGGCCAGTGCTTTGAGGGCTTGAAAAAGCAAAAGTATCAGCAAACCAGAACAAATGGGTAGAGACAATCTAGGGAGAGGCAGTGGAAGCTAAAGAAAGCAGGAACAACTGATCCTTAATCTCCTATTTTTCCCACATGGTCTTTCCCAGCAAATTCAGTCCCCAGGAAACAGCTCCTAATTTGATTCAGTTCTGTAGCACACACAGTCTTTAGCATTTTGGGGATGCCTAACTAAAGTTCTTAAGGTTGCCTTTCCTTCCCACTAAACTATAAGCTTCCTGAAACCTGAAATTACATCATTGCCCTCAATCCATGTATATACATCAGAAAGTTTTTGTTGAATTAAATGACCTAAAAAAGTCCTTAAATCCCTAACCCTGAGTTTGACTTTGTTGGAACAGACCATAAAATGGTACTACAAAGGTGAGGGTCTTTATTATTCATCTGGTCCTCCCTTTTATCTATCTCTCCCTCCAGAAATACTTCTTTATTCATTTATCTTATTTTCATTGAGCCTGCTAAATGGTGGTCCTGTCAAGGTGCTTGGATATAACAGAGAACAAGACTAAGTCCTTAACTTAATAGAGCTTACTTCTTGCTGAAGGAGACAGATAAACAATGAATAAACAAATACAAAATAACATATCTTAAGGAGTGATAACTGCTGGGAAGAAAATGAAAGCTCAGTATGGGTCACAGAGTGATGGAGTAGCAACAGGAAATGATTTTCCCTAGAATTGTCAGGAAAGGCATCACTGAGCAGGTGCTCAATGATCTGAGGCACACGTATTGTGAGGAATAAAGCCACGTGGTGATGCTGCAGTTAGAATATTCCGAGACTTTCTCAACTAATATTGATGCTGTTCTTAAGCTCATTTGCCACATTACTTGCAGTGAAATCTGATTCATAGAGCATAATTTTTTCTTCGTAGTTCTTCAGCATCCATTACGAATTACTTTGTTAGTCTCTGAACATTTTCTTTTAATAGTTATTCAATTACTCACTAATATCTGAAATGAGATATGGTCCCTGTTAATTTTCGGGTTATTTTTTCCATAGACACATTGAAAATTAGAATCCCCTTTGCTTAATTTTCTCTGTTCTTTCTCCCTCTATAAAGTCTCATTAAGTTTATTGCCCATCCACAGGTTTGATGGCTGGCATTGACAGCCAGCAGCAAAGTGAAGATTGTCTCATATTGGCTTCAGTACATGGCATTCAAGGAGCATTCCTCTTGGTCGGGTGCAGTGGCTCATGCCTGTAATCCCAGTACTTTGGGAGGCTGAGGCGGGCAGATCACCTGAGGCCAGGAGTTTGAGGCCAGCCTGGCCAAGGTGGTGAAGCCCTGTCTCTACTAAAAATACAAAAATTAGCCAGGAATGGTGGCACATGCCTGTAATCCCAGGTATTCGGGTAGGCTGAGGCATGAGAATTGCTTGAACCCAGGAGGCAGAGGCTGCAGTGAGCCTAGATCACACCATTGCACTCCAGCCTGAATACAGCAAGACTTTGTCTCAAAAAAAAAAAAAAAAAAAGGCATTCCTCTCAGGTTCATTCAATTCAAGACACATTTATTGAATGCCTACCATGTGTCAAGTGCTGCGTTACCTGTTTAGGATCTATCAGTGAGCAAAATATTGAAGATTCCCTCCCTTTATGAAGCTTATATTCTTGTACGGGGAAACAGGTGATAAACATAAGACAGACACTAATTACAAAGTATTAATAAAGTCTGATGAGTTCTATGGAAAAAAGACAATATTGAGCCATATGTGAAGGAATTGCTGCCACAGGGTTGCTGGTGCTAAGGAGCACTTTGTACTTTACAGCTAAAGGGCTGCATGAAGAGAGATGCCAGGTGGGTTTAGATGTCCATTGTGGCTGGAGTGCAGGTTAACTCAAAGAAGAGTTGTAGAGGAACAGAAGAGACAGACAATTGAAACTGATCCTGTAAGGCCTTGGAGGCCATTGTGACGTCATTGGCTTCCATTTGGAGTGGCTTTTACTTTCCCTGGAATACAGATAGCCTCTATGGCTTTGCTGTCTTTCAATACTAGTCTGAAAAAAATGCAGTTCTAAAGTAATTAGGGCTAATCATCTTCATAATTGAAGTTACATGCTACTTTGGAATTGACATTGTGTTTTTACATACATTCACCCATTTAATTCTCCAAAATCCTTAAGTTAATATTATGTCAGTTTTTTAATGAGAAAACTGATATTTGAAAATGTAAAGGAACTGCCTTAGTATCCCTGCTAAGGTATAAAGGATCAGAATGCAATTTCTATTCAGAAACATTTCATTGGAACAATCTCTACCACCCTCACTATTACCTTTCTATATTCAGTGACACTCTTCTTTTTCTGCAACTACTTCACTAGCCATTGACCTGATACACTCTCGTTCATTCTTTCCTTACCTTGGCAATAGTCAGTCTGACCATATAGCATCCCTGTTTCAATGAGTTCCCAATGACTTTAGTGGTCTGCAGGACTCTAAATGAGTGAGCTTCTCTCTCACACACACCCTGGCACATCGTTCATCTCTCTTCTTTGTACAATAGTCACATTCATTCTCTTTTATCCTCAGTCTTGCTGCAGGTCTATTGCAAATGGTGTTCTTTCTACCTTGAAAAAAGAAATCTCCATTTCCCTAATAATTTCTACTTTTCATATCTCAGCTCAATCGTTTCCTCATATCACCCTTTTCTGGCATTCCTGGGGTTTCAAAATCATTTGTTCAATGAATGATGCTCTAGAATCTCAATAAATATTTGTTAAATAAATGGATACACAAATGTGTGAAAGTCTGGGACTAAAGCCTACATTATTTTCATGATATGCACTGTTCTCACATAACATCTTATTTTCTGTTACTATAACAGAATACCTGAGACCAGGTAATTTATAAAGAATAACAAACCATCATGGCACATGTATACCTATGCAACAAACCTCCACATTCTGCACATGTACCCCAGAACTTAAAGTATTTTTTTTAAAAAAAGAATAAACGTTTTTTTAACTCTGAGTTCTGGAAGCTAGGAAGTCCAAGATTCTATGTGGCACCTGGTGAGGGCTCCATGCTGCTTCATAGCATGGCAGAAAAATGGAGGGAATCACATGGTGAGAGAGGAAGTAAGAGGAAGCCGAGGCAGCCAAGTTTGCTTTTATACCAACCCACTCGTGTGATAACCGACCCCCTTCAAGGAGAACTTACTCATGCCCTGAAAAACAGCATTAATCTCTTCTTGAGGGCAGACTTCCATGACCCAACACCTCTTAAAGATCCCACCACTACTCAATACCTTTACATTAGGAACCAACTTTTAATATGACTTATGGAGGAGACAAACCAGATCCAAACCATAGTACGTAAATATTTTATGCAGATCTATGATTTGTATGGAAGAGTAAATCAGCAGAAATCTACTCAACAGCAAGAATAGAACTGTGTATGGTTAGGCAAATAATGTGTCATTTATTTTGATGGTACATATGCGAATTCAAGTACTCAACACATATTTGCTGATTTGTTTATTAAGGGTAAGGTTGCAATTATCCTCTCTTTAACCACAAATCCCAGCTATTAATAGGCAATTGACAGCTTGCATTGCAAGTTCATTTACCCTAGCTCACTGAAACCTTTTAAGGGCCCTGTGATGTGGGCACTAATACAGCATATCTCCGACTGTCACTGGTTTAAGCATTTTGTCAATGCACTGGTGACTCAGACAGTACAAAACTTGAAGACTTTTCTAATTTTTCTGAGAAACAATCTTGAAGCTCATTTGTCAGTCATTTAACTAGTCAGTGAGTCGATTAACCATTTAGTAGGCTTATGTCATCATGTTTTTTTTTTAATAAAAGGAAATTTAAGCCAAATGCTTGTGAGTAAGTGAAGAGAAAATAAAACTATCTAACAAAGTAATGGTTCTTGGCTAGGGACACGTGAGAGACTATAGTGACATTGGCTAATGAAATGCTTTAAGAGCTTCTTTGCATGTCTTTTAACTATCTCAGAATAGTGCCAGAGTCAAAAAAAAATAGCTCATAACAAAAAAAATTGTCAATATTTTACCTAAATTTTGTAAACAGAATAGGGAGACTCTTCAAAGTTCTTAATATTCCTGCTTTTCTTTTATGAACTACTGTCACATGTCACAGCTACTTCTATAGCTCATACTCCAGTCCTTTCCTGCTCAGATATTTGCCAGCCCAAGTGCCTGAGCAGGAAAAGACTTGAGTATGAGTCAAGGCAATTATTTGATTCCTCTTCCCATTTTGTCTGGGTTCTGCATTCAAAGACTAGAATAGAAAATTGTCTAGTTATCAAGCTTTTGGCAACTTGGAAAGCAAAAGAAGGAAAGATATTTTGTAAGCCCACCCAGAATTCTCTTTAGTGAACAGAGGGGTAAGCTGTTCTCAATAATTTTGTCTCATTTCCCCTGAATTTTTGCATTCACAAAAGTGAATATTTTCTTGATGAATGTTAAGTGTTTACATACAATACTCCCTAGTGTGTAGTGGAAGAAACTGATGCTCAGAAAAAGTTGTAAATCTGAAATGGTTTTCCTTTAATGTTAATGATAAGTTTATTACTGCCTTATAGCAGGATAGGAAAGATAATTGCCTTGACTCATCTTGTCCTTTCATCCTACTTGCTTTTGACCTTGAACTTGCTCAAGCCCCAGGCTCTGCTTCTGTATGTTGTCTCTCTCTTTTCATACAAGTGACCTCTCTTAATGTATCTACATCCTACTTGGTTTTTGTCTTTGCTGCCCCTGGATCGGTAACGTCAGCTGTTCATGGACGTTCCAACTCGATGTTCAAGAAGGGACAGTGCTGTATGTCCAAGTTTCTGGTCTAGTACAATGCAAAACTCAGGTTTGAATTTGATACCAAATGTTTTTCAGAAAAGCCAGGTAGATTATCTCATGAACTCTGGGCAAAACAAAGTTGTGGGTGAGTCAGTTTAATCTTTGGGGAATTTTTTGCTTTTCCTTTTATCATATACTTTTGCATCTTATCATTTCCTCTCTCCTGACACTAAATTTAATGCCTCCAGCTGTTTTCAGGGCAAGGTCCCTGCTGTTTTGTCTCAAGCTTTGCCACATGCTAAAAAACCTCCCACTCAAGGTTCTTCTAAGTTTCTGTCACTCCTGCAGCTGCCAGAGGGCACTGAATGTAGGCTTGGAATCAGAAAACCCAGGGTTTGGTTTTCAGTTCTATTACCAGGTGATTTTGAGGAATAAACCTAAGTCTATATGCAGTGTCTATCACATAGTAGATGCTGGTTCACTTTACTAACCCCTCACCACCACCCCTGATTTCTACCTGGTGTTAATTTATTTTCATGGATTAAACTATTTAAATTTAATTGGAAGTCTCTGGAAAGGTCTAACAAAGGACTCCACTTTAATCAGAGCTCTCGAATAGACCTTTCCTCATTGATAAAAATATTCTTCATTTACACTGTTTCGTGTTCCTTCTGTTTAGTAGAGAAGACACTGACCATATGTGGCTATTTAGTACTTGAAATACCGGTAATACAAATGATAAACTAGATTCTTTCTATTTAAATGTAAATTATTTTAAATTTTAATCTAAATAGTCACATGTGTCTAGGACCACCATACTGGATAGCACAGTCTTAAATGATAAAATCTGAGACATTTTAACAGGCTTGTGGGGTTCATATTTATGTGAATTGGTTACTTTCTAACACCTCTCAACTATGGTAAATTTTATCCATTTTGCCTATTCTTCAGCTTATTACTGCTACATGACTACAAAGCTCCAAGTTGTATATGTTTAAGAACACATAAGGTTATTATCACTATCAACTTTTAAAATATGTCTTTATTACTTTACAATTATCCAGATTGCTGTTTTATTTCCTTTGTTCAAGGCAGATGCTAAAATGAATTCAGGAGAGAAGCCAATTTAGAGTCATCATTAATTTCATTTAGTAGGTTATCTCTTCAGTCCCTATGACTGATACTCTCTCCTGCTTATAAATGCATTTTCATTCCTTTAATTCTCTTGGGCAAGGTTTAACTCATTATTGATGGCCCGATCTCAGACCTTTATTAAGTCAGAATTCGGCAATTTGGAAGTTTTCCCCTGTGGCACATTTGCTTTGAATGAGGACTTCATTCCCTATATTTCTTCTCCTTGGATGGGATATCATTTAATAAATTACTGTTTCTGACTTTATATATAGAAGCCCAAATAAAAACTGAAATAAAATAAGTCAACTTTTATTTAATTTTCTGTATATATATTTTATTGTGGTCACAAATCGTTTACCTGATATGATAGTAAACTCCATTTCACCGGAATTATCCAAGCAAAGGTCAAGTTGTGAAGATTCTAAGGATATGAGCCTTGACTCCAAGTTCTTGGCAGGTAAGTGGTTTTGATGTTGTAATGATAAAATACCTGGAAGCTTGCCTCAATTTCTTATACTTTGTCCAGATACTAGAAACTTTCCTACAGTGATGTTTCTGATTTCACTCCTGGATATTTTCTGCTACCTGTCTGCTGCATTTTTCTGAGTTTCCTTCAAGAAGTTGTCTTCCCCTGCCAATTGAATGAATGGTTAGTTCCCCAGAGTCGTCTATTCAGCCTTCTTTCCATCCCAGTTCCTATAATCTCTTCTGTGTGAGATCATCTACTACCATGGCTCTACCTGTATCATGGGTATTGATGACTGCCAGACATCCTTAACATAAGCTGCTCGTGTACATGCAATACTGTCTACTTAGAAGTCTCTACCTGGATGTCCTACAAACACCTCATAAACAAAATATCAAAAATGAAACTCATTGTCATTTTCAAACCCCCAAAAGATATATATATATATATATATATATATATATATATATATATATATATATTTTTTTTTTTTCTTACATTCCCTATGTAGGTCGATGGTACTACCATGGAACCTGTTACTTTTTCTCCTCCTGGCCTGTCTCACATCCAAAAGATCAAATCCTGACTATACTACTACCCATCATTCAATCAGATAATGTTGATTGTGTGATTTCTATAGGCCACGTACTTTACCAGATGCTGTGAATGGAGATGTGAACAAGATGGACACAAACCTAGCCCAAATGAAGCTTAGAGTACATTAGGGAAAGACAAAATTAAAATTTTTAAAATAGATATATAAAAAGTAATTTTCAACCCGTTCTGTAAAACAGATGGACTCAAACAGACTGAGCCCTTCATGCATCTTTGCTTCTAGAAAAATTGCCATAATGGTCCTGAACTCATACTTGCACATAAAAAGGACCTAGATTCCAATATTCTGCATTCTTTCCAAACAGGTGATTACCTGTCTATATAAATTGCTTGGGGTTTGAATCATTTGCACACTAAAGAGCTTCTTCCTTAAAAACTCATTTTACTTGTAGAATTCACTTAGTCCAACCTCTAACTTAATATGAAATTCACTTTTACAAGGGTATGACCTGCTTTTGAACTATCAAGCTTTGGGCAAGCTCACACTCTGATGAGGCAGTCTACTTCATTTTTTAATAACTTTGCCTGTTTGAGAGATTCCTCTGAAACTTCTCTCCACTGCTGTTGGTCTAGAGTTATATAACATATCCCATATTTTCTCTTGTGACTGCATCTCAAACACCAGAAGATAATTTTCTGAAATTTATGTTCTAAATATTCTTAATTCTTTCCTGTGATCCCCATGCAAATTATATGGTCCTTAGACCTTGCACTGACCGAATCCTGATGACACTCCAATTTTTAATTGTCCATATTAAAATGTAATATCCATAACTGAACACAAAGCTCCAAATGTGAATGATGACAAAAATCATAAACTATTTATTGTATGCTTTCTCTGTGTGAGACACCACAGCAAGAACTTAATTGTCTCATTTAATACGATAACTTTATAGGATGCAAACTCTTATTATCTCCTTTTTTGCTGATGTGGAAATTGAGACTCAGAGTGGTCACATGGCTTACCAATAGTAAATGGATTATAAGTGGCAGAAGCCAGTTCTTATACTCAGCTACATGTATCTTCGAAGCCTTGCTCTTAGTCACTTCTTTGTTCTGTTTCCTCTGTGTAAATAAAACAGGTACAACAAATTTTCTTTACTTCTCTGTGCCTCTGTAATTTTAATCTGTATTTTATCACAGATCTTAATCTATAATCTTGGAATAAATGATGATACCTACCTCATAAAGTTTATGAGGAATAAATTATGAAATAAACATTTAATGTGCCTTGACTAGCACATGAATTTAAAAATGTGAACATTTATTAGTATTGCCACTATCATGCCATACAATACTTGATAATAATTAATAATAAATGATTTAGTACTGAGACACTGGATCCTAAGAAAATCAGAGTTATAGCTAGTGGCAGTTATCAAGGGAATGCAGAGGTTTCTGTATTCTGAGCATGTTCCTGTAATAGGATAGATAGGCGATGTGGCAGCAACAACTCCCAATTCGTAATGTCTTAAAACAAAAACAAGTTTTATTTCCCATTTATGCCATGTTTCCAGCACAGTTTCTCAGAGGGCTGTGCTCCATGCATTTACTCAAGGTCTGGGAATGATCATGGCTACACTATCTTGCAGCCACCATATTTGGAACCTGTTGCCACTCTGATGGCAGCAGAGAACAAAAGAAACCCAAAGATCATGTATGAGCTATTCACTGCTCCAGCCCAGTAGTGGTTCACTTTTTACTGGCCAGAACTAGTCTCCCAGCTCCACCAAACTCCACGGGAAGTTCAGGAGCCCAAGAGGAGAGGAAAACAACATGGGTGGAACCAGGAATACTAGTGTGACCACACAGAATTGCTTGCTCTGGACAGTCTCGGTCTGAACCCATTGTCCTAGCATCTATTATCCTCACAAATGCCCTGGTTTGGATGATAAGCTATATGGTTACTCTGAGTAATGTCAACTTCTAGCTTCCTAGCTACTTCATTAAAAGTTATTTTCTGAGAAAGGCCTTCCCTCTCCACCTAATCAAAAGTAGACTTCCATTTTCTTTCTATCACATCACCCTCCTTTATTTTCATCACACCACAGATCACTATTTCTTTTTTTTCTTTTTTTTTTTTTTTTTTTTTGAGACGGAGTCTCGCTCTGTCGCCCAGGCTGGAGTGCAGTGGCGGGATCTCGGCTCACTGCAAGCTCCGCCTCCCGGGTTCACGCCATTCTCCTGCCTCAGCCTCCCAAGTAGCTGGGACTACAGGCGCCCGCCACTACGCCCGGCTAATTTTTTGTATTTTTAGTAGAGACGGGGTTTCACCATTTTAGCCGGGATGGTCTCGATCTCCTGACCTCGTGATCCGCCCGCCTCGGCCTCCCAAAGTGCTGGGATTACAGGCGTGAGCCACCGCGCCCGGCCACTATTTCTTTGCTTATTCATTTGTTTCCTTATTAGGTTGATGCAAAAATAATCATGGTTTTTTGCCATTAATGTATATCTACGTTATGCATAATGGCAAAAACCGTGATTACTTTTGCATGAATCGAATATCATCTATGGTCCTTCATTAAAATGTAATTAATGAGAACAGGAGTCTTTTTTTGTCTTGCTCAATGCTGGCTTCCCAGTTTCTAACTCAGTAAATGTTTGTTGAGTATATGAGAGAATGTGCCTTTTTTTTCGGTGAAACATTAACTGGAAAAGGGACATGAAAGCTTCATTAAAATATTAAAAATTCTTCCACCTGAAAGGAACATTAAAAATATTTTGCAATATCAAGTATTGATGAGGATGTGGAAAAATGGAAACTCTCATCCATTGTTGTTGAGAATATAATTTGGTAAAACCACTTTGAAAAACAGTTCAGCATTTCCTAGTTGAGCAGATCATGAGGTATATTTTCTACCAACCAGTGATCTTATTCTGAAGTATGTGATCTAGAGGAAATTTTGAACAGGCTCCAGAAAACACGTATGGACTATTCTTAATATGAAGAATTATGTTAATCTGAATATCCATCTACAGTAGCATATACAAATAAATTGTGGATATTCATATAATAAGATATTAAATAGCAGTGAAAATGGAGGTACCACAGTTACACACATCAACATGAATGAATCTCAAAAGTCCAATGTTGAGAGAAAGAACAAAGCCAGAAAAGAGTACAGAAAGTAATATGCCATTCCTTAAAAGGTGAAAAAGAAGCAAAATTTAACACAAATCTTTTAAAGAAACATGCAGAGTTGGAAAAACTTTGAAGGAAAAGAAAGGAAAAATCAATAAGAATACCAAATTCAGAACCATGGTTATCTTTGGGGTCAGGGAGTGAGGTATCCTTGTGGAAGTATACACAGAATTTCAAAGGTCTCAGGTATATTATTTATCTTGAATTAAGTGATATGGGTCAATGGCAGTTTATTATTATTATTTGTACATTCTTCTATGTGAATGATCTATTTCACCATAAATATCTAATCAAGGAAAAGGAGTGGAATTGACTATTTTGGTTTCTGTGTGAATCTTGGTTACAGCTAAGTATTCATCCCATTGCGTAAGGATTCACATGAGTTTTCAGAAATGAAAGAGCCCTCCAACCCCCACTTCACCTGCAAAAAATTAATCCCACTTGTTATAATTTTCCTTCTTTTCCTTGTGTTTGATATTTTTCTCTCTTCATCTCCGTTTTCATCTTTTCATCTTTCTCATTTGTTCAAAGATGTAATTTACATAAAATTCTAAACTAATCTCAGTTTGAGCTGCAGTTTAATGACATCATCCAAGATGAGAAAATTTAGATTGGAGAGATTTATGTCTTCCCTTTATAATGTAAAGGATTTATGTTCCTTTTAAATCAAAGCTCAATCTTGACTTAATGTACTTTGGGGCTATATAAACACACACATACATATATGCATATATCCATGTATTGGGATTAATTATATCTGTACTTATAACCTCACACAGTATTGGAGATGATTAAAAGACACAGAGTATATAAGAGAACCAAAGAAAGTATAAGGTGCTAGAGCCATTTCTGGAACCGGAGAGGCAGTGTAAAGTCAAGGTTACAGAAGCAGACTCTAAAATGAGACAGCTTGGGTTCAGTCTTGGCTTTGCCCTGTACCAATGTCAGTTATTTAAACTTTCTAAATATCAGATTCTGCCTCTATACAATGGGGATATTGTAAGTAAAGGTACTTCACAGAATTGTTGGAATAATTCACTGTGATAATATGTGTTCAATGCTTAACACAAAGTCTGACACATGGTAAGCTTTTAATAATATAGATTGTCATTAATAATAAATAATAATTAATATTGTTATTATTATCTCAAGGACCTAGAAGAAAAGCTCTGGGGTCACTGCACCAGTGATAAATCTAGACTGGGTTCCATGTTTGTGCCTTCTGTTCAAATGAGTGTGTGGCAAGTGGGTCTTGAAAGGTATAGAATTCTCAGCAATGGCTGAAATAAAACTTTTTCTAATGCAGTGTTTGCAATGCAAGATATTCTATGTAGAATGAGCTTTATTACAGTCTGGCATCCTAAGGCAACCTGATTTGGAGTGAGATTTCACTAAAAGAGAGATGTCAAAAGAGAGAAAGAAGAGAGGGATGAATGTGATAAGTGGTAAGCAAAGTGAGGAGAAGGCAAAAGTAGGTAGATGTCACAGTGGCCCTGTGATACTTTGAAATCTGCCCACCATCAACAGGTGCATGCCTTGTGGAGCTAGACATGCAAATGTGTTGAGACCAGAGCTTTCTCTAGCAGTCAACAACAGGTGCAAATGACATTCTCTATTTCATGGAAGTGCTAGAGAGAGGAAGCGGAATTACTGATATCTCAGCAAGTGCCAGTACCCTAGAAAAATCTAGTGAAAAGAACAATTGTCCCAGAGTGCAGCAGCTTGGGTGGCGGGGAGGGGGGGGGGGAATGCTCTGAATTGTGTTGGCATTGATTCCTAAGATATAAGAGCTTAGAGGCAATCCAGAAACCGGCTGATTCAAACCTTCATGGTCCAGAACATAGGCAAGTAGAGCAGTAGTGGCACAGAGTCACTTTATGAGCTTTGCTACACCCCAGTGCTGTTTCAGTCTATCAGTTTCCCATTCTCTCAGGTTTCTAATGTCCCAGCCACTCACTAGACCTTTTTCTCCCAATACCTCTAAAAGATGACAATCCCTATAAATAATACAAGGATGGAAGGAAAAAGAAAACAAAGAAAAGGAAAAATCAACAAGTTTCCTTTAGAAAGCTGCCTATCACAGGAGAAAGAAATAAAGGGTATTCAATTAGGAAAAGAGGAAGTCAAATTGTCCCTGTTTGCAGATGATATGATTGTATATCTAGAAAACCCCATTGTCTCAGCCCCAAATCTCCTTAAGCTGATAAGCAACTTTGGCAAAGTCTCAGGATACAAAATCAATTTGCAAAAACCACAAGCATTCTTATACACCAAAAACAGACAAACAGAGAGCCAAATCATGAGTGAATTCCCACTCACAATTGCTTCAAAGAGAATAAAATACCTAGGAATCCAACTTACAAGGGATGTGAAGGACCTCTTCAAGGAGAACTACAAACCACTGCTCAACGAAATAAAAGAGGATACAAACAAATGGAAGAAGATGCCATGCTCATGGATAGGAAGAATCAATATCAAGAAAATGGCCATGCTGCCCAAGGTAATTTATAGATTCAATGCCATCCCCATCAAGCTACCAATGACTTTCTTCACAGAATTGGAAAAAACTACTTTAAATTTCATATGGAATCAAAAAAGAGCCCACATTGCTAAGTCAATCCTAAGCCAAAAGAACAAAGCTGGAGGCATCATGCTACCTGACTTCAAATTATACTACAAGGCTACAGTAACCAAAATAGCATGATACTGGTACCAAAACAGAAATATAGACTAATGGAACAGAACAGAGCCCTCAGAAATAGTACCACACGTCTACAACTATCTGATCTTTGACAAACCTGAGAAAAACAAGCAATGGGGAAAGGATTCCCTATTTAACAAATGGTGCTGGGAAAACTGGCTAGCTATATGTAGAAAGCTGAAACTGGATCCCTTCCTTAAACCTTATACAAAAATTAATTCAAGATGGATTAAAGACTTAAATGTTAGACCTAAAACCATAAAAACCCTAGAAGAAAACCCAGACAATACCACTCAGGACATAGGCATGGGCAAGGACTTCATGCCTAAAACAACAAAAGCAATGGCAACAAAAGCCAAAATTGACAAATGGGATCTAATTAAACTAAAGAGCTTCTGCACGGCAAAAGAAACTACCATCAGAGTGAACAGGCAACCTACAGAATGGGAGAAAATTTTTGTAATCTACTCATCTGACAAAGGGCTAATATCCAGAATCTACAATGAACTCAAACAAATTTACAAGAAAAAAAACAAACAACCCCATCAACAAGTGGGCGAAGGATATGAACAGACACTTCTCAAAAGAAGACATTTATGCAGCCAACAGACACATGAAAAAATGCTCATCATCACTGGCCATCAGAGAAATGCAAATCAAAACCACCACGATGAGATACCATCTCACACCAGTTAGAATGGCAATCATTTAAAAGTCAGGAAACAACAGGTGCTGGAAAGGATGTGGAGAAATAGGAACACTTTTACGCTGTTGGTGGGACTGTAAACTAGTTCAACCATTGTGGGAGACAGTGTGGCGATTCCTCAGCGATCTAGAACTAGAAATACCATTTGACCCAACCATCCCATTACTGGGTATCTACCCAAAGGATTATAAATCTTGCTGCTATAAAGACACATGCACATGTATGTTTACTGTGGCACTATTCACAATAGCAAAGACTTGGAACCAACACAAATGTCCAACAATGATAGACTGGATTAAGAAAATGTGGCACATATACACCATGGAATACTATGCAGCCATAAAAAATGATGAGTTCATGTCCTCTGTAGAGACATGGATGAAGCTGGAAACCATCATTCTCAGAAATCTATTGCAAGTACAAAAAAGCAAACACTGCATGTCCTCACTCACAGGTGGGAATTGAACAATGAGGACACTTGGACACAGGAAGGGAAACATCATCACACACCAGGGCCTGTTGTGGGGTCGGGGGAGCAGGGAGGGATAGCATTAGGAGATATGCCTAATGAAAATGATGAGTTAATGGGTGCAGCACACCAGCATGGCACATGTATACCTATGTAACAAACCTGCACGTTGTGCACATGTACCCTAGAACTTAAAGTTTTATATATATATATATATATATATATATATATATATATATACAAACACACATAAAGAAAGAAAGTTGCCTATCGAATTTCCTTCTTGGAAATTAGCACACTTGGAAACATGCACACTAGCTCCTAAAACATGTAAGAAATCCTGCACATTCATGTTAGATGTGGACATTTGTTATCCACATAATAGCAAGAATAACTTGTGGTGCACATTTTGGAAAATATAATAGAATTATGGTTTTCTGTCTGACAAAGTTTTATAGCTAGGATTCTCGGAATTGCAGGAATGAAACAAGGAAGAAAGGAAGGAAGGAGAAAGGAAGGTAGGAAGGAAGGAAAAAAGAGAGAAAGAAAGAATGAAAGCAGAAGGAAGGAAGGAAGGAAGGGGAAATGAATGAATCAGCTGGGTTCAAAGAAATATTCTAAGTCTCCACATCCAAATGTGACTGATATAGTAAGTCTACAGAGCAGTCCTAGAATGCACATTTTAGTAAGGACCCTATGTGATCCCAGTTTAGGTAGTCCCTTAACCACTTTTGAGAAATACTATTCCAGAGTCATAAGAGAAATTGAAGGAGAAAATGATTTTATAGTATTCGAGAACCAAGAATAGTCCATCAATGGTCTTGTCAACAAAGATCACAGAACAGGTCTCAAAGTGTTGTCCAAAATGTGATGTGCTTTTTAAAACTCAGGTACCTGGACTCTACCCCAAAGATACTGAATCAAAATTTCTGAACTGGGGATAGAAAATAGGTTTATTATTCAAGCTCTCCACATAATAAGAAAGCATGGCAACACTTGAAAATCATTGCCACATATAAGATAGGAAGACACTGAAGCATGATTTTCCCCAGAACTCTGAATTCAGAGGTTAATGAGCATTAATGCAATTTAGCATATGAGGTCTAACACTGACCACATAATAATTTATTTCTAAATAAACTCACAATCACTGAATCAAAAAGTGGCCTGCCTTTCCATTTTCATATATACATTTGGGAACAATAAAAGCTGCCCAGGAGTAGCCATCTGAAATAACATTTTACCCTGTTGCTAATCTTAAATCTAATTGCCGAAGAATTGCCTAGAAGATACAGTGAGATAATCCCTGTAGAGCTGAACTCTAGGAGAAATACTTGCCAAATTACTGTAATGATAAAAGTTTGAAGTGACATTCTATTCCCACAGTGGCTGCAAATAAATCTGCTACTATACTATGTATTGACCTTACAAAGACATCCAATAGAACAGATTGTTACATCAGGAAAAATTTTTGTGCTTAGAAACAAAATGCAGTGTCCTTAATTTATTTGTATACCAGAGAAAAGGATTGTTATGGCAAACACTTGCTGCTCTAGTTTTAAAACAAATTGAAAGGGAATACAATTGTTTCAATATCGTGTTGTTTACTATGCCTATTAAAAGCTCCAGATGAATTTCAGAATTTTTATTCCAGTTTTTTTAAGATTATTTTGTTCTCCATCAAAACCATTACTGTTTTGCAAAATCCATCTGCCTTCACTGATCCTAAATGTAACTACATTAACCCAAGCTGATAACTGCATGTGAATACATACATAGCTGAGGCCATTTATGAACAAGCACCTTAGCATACCGTTTTAACAACATATTCTTCTCAGCTTGACAAATATAAACATTGGTATTCCAAAGTAATTTACATTTTAAAATCCTATGCCAAGCTGATAAGATAGAATATTGAATTTCAGCACATAAATAAGCTTTTCCAAAACAAAAAAGAGTATTCTAGTAACGGCTTTTATTTAGACAGCATACTTTACCTATTAGAAATTCTACCAGCACACTTCACAAAAATAGAGTGGGAAAGTTTGTACTCTTTATAAATAAAAATATGATGAATGTATGCCGCATTTACACTGATTTTGTCTGACACGTCCCTCAAACTCAGAATTTTAATTGGCTAAGTTCTAAGGTCTCATTTTCAGGAACTTATGTATGGAAGTATAACATCACAGCTACTTCTACTGGAGCTTGAAAGGATAAAAAGAAATACGGCTTTATAACCAGGACAATATAAAAATATATACCTATAGTTACAGGATTACACCTGGAGTATGACTTTTTTTGAAAATGGCTAAGTAGCCCTGTCCAAATGCAGAATATTATTAATGGTTCATTTTTTCAAAAGTTAGGTAAGCATATGGAATGGGAGGATGAGGTTATCAAAATTCTTGATAAAATTAGCTATCCAAGCAGTGGCAGCCATATCCTAGTAGAGCTGTGTTCGTAAATAATTTAATGAGTATCGTCTAATGCTTCAAAAGCACTTTTCAACAGGCAGTGAAATCTAGTTTAAAGTGTTAAGGTTTTAAATGAATCAAAACTTACCTCCAATTTGGCTTAGCCATTGACATTGTCATTACAAGCTATGGGTTGTATGCCAATGAACTTCTGTGACCTTAGGAAAGTATTTTATATCTTTAGACTACTGTTTTTAATCTATAAAATAAGAATAATACTAGCAAAAATAATATCTATTTCAAATACCTGTGTCATAATAAATAACATAATACATTCAGACAATGTCTGGTATGAAATAAACTTTCAGTAAAAGGGAGCCAAAAATAAAAGTACTGGCTATCTAAATCTAACCCAGAACCTGTTCTTTTTAAAATATAATAATTTTGAGGAGATACAAAGACACAGAAATTACTTCAAAGCAAGAGGTAACAATAGGAGGTAAGAAAAGTTTAGGGAAAGAAGAAATTTAAACAAAGCAAAACAAAGCAAGAATCTCACTAAATAGGAAAAATTAAAAATTAAAATTAAAAGTATTCTTAAAAGTGGGGTGCACTCTTAGTGAAAATGTAAATGTTATTTGGAAAATAATTTTACCCTATTTTAAAAAGTCAAAGATGTACATACCCCAAGACTTACTAGTTTTACTTCTAGGCATATATCTGAGAGTTGTGTACCAGTAGACATGTACAGGAATGTTT
Organism: Homo sapiens; assembly: GCF_000001405.40. Lineage (NCBI taxonomy): Eukaryota > Metazoa > Chordata > Mammalia > Primates > Hominidae > Homo > Homo sapiens. Next base: position 126,198,379 of record NC_000008.11, read on the forward strand.
GCAATAGCCATGCTCATTGAAAAAAAAGTAGAAAACAAAATATCTTCCATGAATAGAACAAATAATAATTTATGGAAAATCCATATTATGAAACACTGTGAAAAGTTAAGTGTACGTTTTTGAATATCTTGATTTTGTTGTCTTGCTTTAAAGAGTGTTGGGCTTTTTGCAGATGAATTTGATTCCCTTAAGGCCTGTTTTGTTATGGTGGGTCTAGAGTAGCTTTCACTTCAGGGATAATTTAGCTCTACTGCTGAAGTGTGACACTCTTTCCCTCTAAAGAGAATTCACTAAGTGTACTCTGTGATCACCAAGGATACCCTGCTCTAATTGGTTGATGCTCTAACATCTCTCCATTTGTGTGAGCTGCAGACATACGAAGAATAAGAAAAAAGCAATTCACAACCAGAGAACAAATTACTACTAGAAACAAACCCAGAAATTGCAGAAAGGATAAAAAATACAAGAAAAGAATGTTTGTTTACGTGGTACTTTTTTCTTTAAAAAAAAAAAACTTTTATATATGTCTATATATTTGATGTGGATTGCTTATAGACAGTATATATAGTTGGGCCTCGTTTCTTTTTTTAAACTGAGTTTAGCAATCTCTGCCTTTTATTTGGAATGTTTAGATATTTATATTTAGTGAAATTATTATTGTGGTTATGGTTAAATCTATCATTAAAATAAATTTTAAAAAATCAAAACCAAGTGTATGAGAATGGATGAGATACACACCTTAAAGACTGCATCTCATCAACTGATATACTTAATACTAAAATATAAATATTAGAAAGTAATTAGCCTTTCAACCAAAGAAGTTAGAAAAAGTACAGCCTATTGAACTCTAGAAGTGGAAGAAAAAATATATTAATTATAAGAAAATAATAAAATAGAAAAGAGTAGAACAATAGATAAAAGCAATAAAATCAAAAACTGATTTTTGAAATAAGAAAATTGATACGACTATGTCTAAGCTAATTGAAGAGTAAAAAGGATAGAAGACAACATCATCCATATTGGGATTAAAGAGCGGATATCGGAGGAGACAAGATGGCTGAATAGGAACAGCTCTGGTCTACAGCTCCCAGCATGAGTGACACAGAAGATGGGTAATTTCTGCATTTCCATCTGCGGTACCGGGTTCATCTCACTAGGGAGTGCCAGACAGTGGGTGCAGTGCACTGTACGTGAGCCAAAGCAGGGCGAGGCATTGCCTCACTTGGGAAGCACAAGGGGTCAGGGAGTTCCCTTTCCTAGTCAAAGAAAGGGGTGACAGATGGCACCTGGAAAATCGGGTCACTCCCACCCAAATACTGCGCTTTTCCGACGGGCTTAAAAAACGGCGCACCAGGAGATTATATCCCGCACCTGGCTCGGAGGGTCCTACGTCCATGGAGTCTCGCTGATTGCTAGCACAGCAGTCTGAGATCAAACTGCAAGGTGACAGCAAGGCTGGGGGAGGGGTGCCCACCATTGCCCAGGCTTGCTTAGGTAAACAAAGCAGCCAGGAAGCTCGAACTGGGTGGAGCCCACCACAGCTCAAGGAGACCTGCCGGCCTCCTTAGGCTCCACCTCTGGGGGCAGGGCACAGACAAACAAAAAGACAGCAGTAACCTCTGCAGACTTAAATGTCCCTGTCTGACAGCTTTGAGAAGAGCAGTGGTTCTCCCAGCATGCAGCTGGAGATCTGAGAATGGGCAGACTGCCTCCTCAAGTGGGTCCCTGACCCCTGACCCCCGAGCAGCTTAACTGGGAGGCATCCCCCAGTAGGGGCAGACTGAAACCTCACGTGGCCCGGTACTCCTCTGAGACAAAACTTCCAGAGGAACGATCAGACAGCAGCATTCCCGGTTCACGAAAATCCACTGTTCTGCAGACACTGTTGCTGATTCCCAGGCAAACAGGGTCTGGAGTGGACCTCTAGAAAACTCCAACAGACCTGCAGCTGAGGGTCCTGTCTGTTAGAAGGAAAACTAACAAACAGAAAGGACATCCACACCAAAAACCCATCTGTACATCACCATCATCAAAGACCAAAAGTAGATAAAACCACAAAGATGGGGGGAAAAAGAGCAGAAAAACTGGAAACTCTAAAAAGCAGGGCGCCTCTCCTCCTCCAAAGGAACGCAGTGCCTCACCAGCAACGGAACAAAGCTGGACGGAGAATGACTTTGACAAGTTGAGAGAAGAAGGCTTCAGACGATCAAACTACTCCAAGCTACAGGAGGAAATTCAAACCAAAGGCAAAGAAGTTGAAAACTTTGAAAAAAATTTAGACGAATGGATAACTAGAATAACCAATACAGAGAAGTGCTTCAAGGAGCTGATGGAGCTGAAAGCCAAGGTACAAGAACTACGTGAAGAATACAGAAGCCTCAGGAGCCGATGCGATCAACTGGAAGAAAGGGTATCAGCAATGGAAGATGAAATGAATGAAATGAAGTGAGAAGAGAAGTTTAGAGAAAAAAGAATAAAAAGAAACGAACAAAGCCTCCAAGAAATATGGGACTATGTGAAAAGACCAAATCTACATCTGATTGGTGTATCTGAAAGTGACGGGGAGAATGGAACCAAGTTGGAAAACACTCTGCAGGATATTATCCAGGAGAACTTCCCCAATCTAGCAAGGCAGGCCATCATTCAGATTCAGGAAATACAGAGAACGCCACAAAGATACTCCTCGAGAAGAGCAACTCCAAGACACATAATTGCCAGATTCACCAAAGTTGAAATGAAAGAAAAAATGTTAAGGGCAGCCAGAGAGAAAGGTCGGGTTACCCACAAAGGGAAGCCCATCAGACTAACAGCGGATCTCTCAGCAGAAACTCTACAAGCCAGAAGAGAGTGGGGGCCAATATTCAACATTCTTAAAGAAAAGAATTTTCAACCCAGAATTTCATATCCAGCCAAAGTAAGCTTCATAAATGAAGGATAAATAAAATACTTTACACACAAGCAAATACTGAGAGATTTTGTCACCACCAGGCCTGCCCTAAAAGAGCTCCTGAAGGAAGCGCTAAACTGGAAAGGCACAACCGGTACCAGCCACTGCAAAATCATGCCAAAATGTAAAGACCATCGAGACTAGGAAGAAACTGCATCAACTAACGAGCAAAATAACCAGCTAACATCATAAGGACAGGATCATATTCACACATAACAATATTAACTTTAAATGAAAATGGACTAAATGCTCCAATTAAAAGACACAGACAGGCAAATTGGATAAAGAGTCAAGACCCATCAGTGTGCTGTATTCAGGAAACCCAACTCACGTGTAGAGACACACATAGGCTCAAAATAAAATGACGGAGGAAGATCTGCCAAGCAAATGGAAAACAAAAAAAGGCAGGGGTTGCAATCCTAGTCTCTGATAAAACAGATTTTAAACCAACAAAGATCAAAAGAGACAAAGAAGGCCATTACATAATGGTAAAGGGATCAATTCAACAAGAAGAGCTAACTATCCTAAATATATATGCACCCAATACAGGAGCACCCAGATTCATAAAGCAAGTCCTGAGTGACCTACAAAGAGACTTAGACTCCCACACAATAATAATGGGAGACTTTAACACCCCACTGTCAACATTAGACAGACCAACGAGACAGAAAGTTAACAAGGATACCCAGGAATTGAACTCAGCTCTAAACCAAGCGGACCTAATAGACATCTACAGAACTCTCCACCCCAAATCAACAGAATATACATTTTTTTCAGCACCACACCACACCTGTTCCAAAATCGACCACATACTTGAAAGTAAAGCTCTCCTCAGCAAATGTAAAAGAACAGAAATTATAACAAACTGTCTCTCAGACCACAGTGCAATCAAACTAGAACTCAGGATTAAGAAACTCAATCAAAACCACTCAACTACATGGAAACTGAACAACCTGCTCCTGAATGGCTACTGGGTACATAATGGAATGAAGGCAGAAATAAAGATGTTCTTTGAAACCAACGAGAACAAAGACACAACATACCAGAATCTCTGGGACACATTCAAAGCAGTGTGTAGAGGGAAATTTATAGCACTAAATGCCCACAAGAGAAAGCAGAAAAGATCCAAAATTGACACTCTAACATCACAATTAAAAGAACTAGAAAAGCAAGAGCAAACACATCCAAAAGCTAGCAGAAGGCAAGAAATAACTAAAATCAGAGCAGAACTGAAGGAAATAGAGACACAAAAAACCCTTCAAAAAATTAATCAATCCAGGAGCTGGTTTTTTGAAAGGATCAACAAAATTGATAGACCACTAGCAAGACTAATAAAGAAAAAAAGAGAGAAGAATCAAATAGACACAATAAAAAATGATATAGGGGATATCACCACTGATCCCACAGAAATACAAACTACCGTCAGAGAATATTACAAACACCTCTACGCAAATAAACTAGAAAATCTAGAAGAAATGGATAAATTCCTCGACACTACACCCTCCCAAGACTAAACCAGGAAGAAGTTGAATCTCTGAATAGACCAATAACAGGAACTGAAATTGTGGCAATAATCAATAGCTTACCAACCAAAAGAGTCCAGGACCAGATGGATTCACAGCCGAATTCTACCAGAGGTACAAGGAGGAACTGGTACCATTCCTTCTGAAACTATTCCAATCAATAGAAAAAGAGGGAATCCTCCCTAACTCATTTTATGAGGCCAGCATCATCCTGATACCAAAGCCGGGCAGAGACACAACCAAAAAAGAGAATTTTAGACCAATATCCTTGATGAACATTGATGCAAAAATCCTCAATAAAATACTGGCAAAACGAATCCAGCAGCACATCAAAAAGCTTATCCACCATGATCAAGTGGGCTTCATCCCTGGGATGCAAGGCTGGTTCAATATACACAAATCAATAAATGTAATCCAGCATATAAACAGAACCAAAGACAAAAACCACATGATTATCTCAACATGCAGAAAAGGCCTTTGACAAAATTCAACAACCCTTCATGCTAAAAACTCTCAATAAATTAGGTATTGATGGGATGTATCTCACAATAATAAGAGCTATCTATGACAAACCCACAGCCAATATCATACTGAATGGGCAAAAAACTGGAAGCATTCCCTTTGAAAACTGGCACAAGACAGGGATGCCCTCTCTCACCACTCCTATTCAACATAGTGTTGGAAGTTCTGGCCAGGGCAATTAGGCAGGAGAAGGAAATAAAGGGTATTCAATTAGGAAAAGAGGAAGTCAAATTGTCCCTGTTTGCAGACGACATGATTGTATATCTAGAAAATCCTATCGTCTCAGCCCAAAATCTCCTTAAGCTGATAAGCAACTTCAGCAAAGTCTCAGGATACAAAATCAATGTACAAAAATCACAAGCATTCTTATACACCAATAACAGACAAACACAGAGTCAAATCATGAGTGAACTCCCATTAACAATTGCTTCAAAGAGAATACAATACCTAGGAATCCAACTTACAAGGGATGTGAAGGACCTCTTCAAGGAGAACTACAAACCACTGCTCAATGAAATAAAAGAGGATACAAACAAATGGAAGAACATTTCATGCTCATGGGTAGGAAGAATCAATATCATGAAAATGGCCATACTGCCCAAGGTAGTTTATAGATTCAATGCCATCCCCATCAAGCTACAAATGACTTTCTTCACAGAATTGGAAAAAGCTACTTTCAAGTTCATATGGAACCAAAAAAGAGCCCGCATCGCCAAGTCAATCCTAAGCCAAAAGAACAAAACTGGAGGCATCACGCTACCTGACTTCAAACTATACTACAAGGCTACAGTAACCAAAACAGCATGGTACTGGTACCAAAACAGAGATATAGATCAATGGAACAGAACAGAACCCTCAGAAATAATGCCGCATATCTACAACTATCTGATCTTTGCCAAACCTGAGAAAAACAAGCAATGGGGAAAGGATTCCCTATTTAATAAATGGTGCTGGGAAAACTGGCTAGCCATATGTAGAAAGCTGAAACTGGATCCCTTCCTTATACAAAATTACATATACAAAATGGATCCATTTGTATATGTAATTACAAATGGATACATATACATGGATACATATACAAATACATATACATATAGATATACATATACATATACAAATACATATACAAATACAAATACATATACATATACATAAACATGGATACATATACATGGATACATATACATGGATACATATACAAAATGGATCCATATACAAAAATTAATTCAAGATGCATTAAAGACTTAAACGTTAGACCTAAAACCATAAAAACCCTAGAAGAAAACCTAGGCATTACCATTCAGGACATAGGCATGGGCAAGGACTTCATGTCTAAAACACCAAAAGCAATGGCAACCAAAGCCAAAATTGACAAATGGGATCTAATTAAACTAAAGAGCTTCTGCATAGCAAAAGAAACTACCATCAGAGTGAACAGGCAACCTACAAAATGGGAGAAAATTTTTGCAGCCTACTCATCTGACAAAGGGCTAATATCCAGAATCTACAATGAACTCAAACAAATTTACAAGAAAAAAACAAACAACCCCATCAAAAAGTGGGCGAAGGAAATGGACACTTCTCAAAAGAAGACATTTATGCAGCCAAGAAACACATGAAAAAATGCTCACCATCATTGGCCATCAGAGAAATGCAAATCAAAACCACAATGAGATACCATCTCACACCAGTTAGAATGGCAATCATTAAAAAGTCAGGAAACAACAGATGCTGGAGAGGATGTGGAGAAATAGGAACACTTTTACACTGTTGGTGGGACTGTAAACTAGTTCAACCATTGTGGAAGTGAGTGTGGTGATTCCTCAGGGATCTAGAACTAGAAATACCATTTGACCCAGCCATCCCATTACTGGGTATATACCCAAAGGACTATAAATCATGCTGCTATAAAGACACATGCACACGTATGTTTATTGCGGCACTATTCACAATAGCAAGGACTTGGAACCAATCCAAATGTCCAACAATGACAGACTGGATTAAGAAAATGTGGCACATATATACTATGGAATACTATGCAGCCATAAAAAATGATGGGTTCATGTCCTTTGTAGGGACATGGATGAAATTGGAAATCATCATTCTCAGTAAACCATCACAAGGATAAAAAACCAAACACCGCATGTTCTCACTCATAGGTGGGAATTGAACAATGAGAACACATGGACACAGGAAGGGGAACATCACACTCTGGGGACTGTTGTGGGGTGGGGGGAGGGGGGAGGGATAGCATTAGGATATATACCTAATGCTAAATGACGAGTTAATGGGTGCAGTGCACCAGCATGGCACATGTATACATATGTAACTAACCTGCACATTGTGCACATGTACCCTAAAACTTAAAGTATAATAATAATAAAAAATATATATATATAAATAAAAAAAAAGTGGATATCACTACAGATCCTAAAGATATTAACAGGAAAATAAGAGAATAATATAAAAATATTTATATGAACACATCCAACAACTTATTTAATATGAAAAATATTTAACAATCAGCTTTTGATTATATTGCTTTTACTTATTGTTTTATTCTTTTTAAAATAATTTTAATATATTCTTCCTTCTACTTCTTAGAGTTTAGTAGGCTGTAGTTTTTCTAACTTCTCTGGTGAAAGATTAATTTTAAATATTTATATTTTAGAATTAAGCATTTCATTTCAAAAATTAATGATCAGAATTCACTCAAAAAGAACTAAAATTCTGAATAATATTGTGATGGTCAATATTGAGTGTCAACTTGACTGGATTGAAGGATGCAAAGTATTATTTCTGCATGGGTCTGTGAGGGTGTTGCCAAAGGAGATTAACATTTGAGTCAGTGGACTGGGAAAGGCAAACCCACCCTCAATGTTGGTGGGCACCATCTAATCAACTGTCAGTGCAGCCAGAATAAAAGCAGACAAAAGAACATGAAAAGACTAGATTGGCTTAGCCTCTAAGCCTACATCTTTCTCCCTTGCTGGATGCTTCCTGCCCTTGAACATTGGACTCCAAGTTGTTCAGCTTTGGGACTTGGACTGGCTTCCTTGCTCCTCACCTTGCAGATGGCCTACTGTGGGACCTCACGTTGTGATTGTGTGAGTTAATACTCCTTAATGAACTCACTTTCATATATATACATCCTATCCTATTAATTATGTCCCTCTAGAGAACCCTAATACAAATATTTTGTCCATTAAATAAATTAATTCTTTACTAAAGTCATTCTGAAAATGAAAATTTCTGGACTAGATGGCTCCACTGGTAGATAAGACCAAAACTATCAGTAAAACATAATACTAATGCTATAGCAAACTTTTTATAAAATAGAATAAAATATACAGGGTATTATCTTAAAACCAAAACTGAAAACATTACAGAAAATGAAAACTATAGGCCAACATCTCAATTAAATGTATGTGGGAGAGCCCTTTATATATATTAGCTAATAAAACCCAGGAGCATATAAGCAAGATAATGTACTACAAGTAACTGTGACTTAGCCCAGAAATGCGGGATTGAGATTTTTGTTTGTTTTTTGTTTTTTGTTTTGTTTTGTTTTTGAGACAGAGTCTCACGCTGTTGCCCAGGCTGGAGTGCAGTGACGATATCTTGGCTCACTGCAACCTCCACCTCCTGGGTTCAAGCTATTCTCCTGCCTCAGCCTCCCCAGCAGCTGGGACTACAGGCGCGTGCGACCACGCCCTGCTAATTTTTTGCATTTTTTGCATTTTTAGTAGAGATGCGGTTTCACCATGTTAACCAGGATGGTCTCAATCTCCTGACCTCGTGATCTGCCCGCCTTGGCCTCCCAAAGTGCTGGGATTACAGGTGTGAGCCGCTGCGCAAAGCCAGGATTGATTTTTGTATTAAAAAATCTATCAACATAATTTAACAAATGAACAGGTTAATGTACTAAAAACAAAGTATTATCTCAAAAATATAGAAAATAATCTGGCAAAATTCAATACCCAGTTACGGTAAATAGTTAATGAAGGAACTCCCTCAAGCTGATAGAGAGCACTTATGTAAAGAAATTTATGACTACCACGATATATAATGGCATAGGACTGATTGTTTTCCTTCTAAACTTGAAGAAAAGGTAAGGATTACTGATCTCACCATTCCTAATGAATATAATAAGGCAAGAAGTATAAAGGCAAACAATTAGAAAAGAAGATAATCTTTCTTTTATTTGCAGAGAACATGACGCTGTACACAGAAAATCCTGAAGCATCTATAAACAGTTACTAGAATTAATAACTGAATGTATCAGGACACAAGGTCAAAATATAAAAATTAGTTGTATATTTATATACTAGCCATGAAAATTAGAAATTGAAATTAAGAACAATATTATTCACAATCATACTTTAAAAACATATGAAATTATCGGGGATATATTTTTAGAAAAAGTTGGATCAACTAGATTTAATGGACATTTATAGAATGTTTCATCCAAGAGCAGCAGAATACACATTATTCTCAAGCTCATGTGCAACATTCAACGAGATAGACTACATTCTGAACCTAAACTTGGTAACAGAAAAATAGCTGGGAAGTCCCAAAATATTTGGAGATGAAGCAACATGCTTGTAACACATGAATCAAACAAGTAATTCTCAAGACAATTAAAATATATTTTGAATTAAATGAACATTAAAATACAATTTATCAAAAACTAGATTTTAAGTCTTACAATATTTCAAACATAGTTTTAAAAAATTTTTAATTTTTCTTTTTCAATTTTTATTTTAGGCCCAGGGGCACATGTCAGATTTGTTACATGGGTAAATTGAATTTCACTGGAGTTTGGTGTATAAATGATTCCATCACCCAAGTAGTGAAGGTAGCTTTTTTATCCTCACCCTCCTCCCACCCTCCATCCTCAAATAGGTCCCAGTGTCTATTGATCCAGTCTTCGTGCCTATGTGTGCTCAATGTTTAGCTCCGACTTATAAATTAAAACATGCAGTATCTCGTTTTCTGTCCCTGCATTAATTTGTGTAGGATAATGGCCTCTAGCTGCACCCATGCTGCTGCAAAGAACATAATTTTGTTCCTTTTTATGGCTGTATAGCATTCCATGGTGTGCATATGTACCACATTTTCTTTCTCAAATCCACCATGGATGGGCATCTAGGTTGATTTCATATCTTTGCTATTGTGAATAGTGCTACAATGTACATACAAGTGCATGTGTCTTTTTAGTAGAATTATTTTTTGGTAGAACAATTTTCTTTGGGTGTATATCCAGTAATGTGATTGCTGGGCTGAATGGTATTAATGGTTCTGTTTTAAGTTTTTGAGAAATCTTCAAACTGCTTTCCACAGCTGCTAAACTAATTTGCATTCCCACCAACAGTGTATAAGCATTCCCTTTTCTCTGCAACCTTGCAAACACCTATTTTCTGACTTTAATAGTAGCCATTCTGAGAGGGTATTTCACTGAGGTTTTTGTTTGCATTTTTTATGAGTAGTGATGTTGAGCATTTTTTTCATATACTTGTTGCATGTAGCTATCCTTTGACAAGTGTCTGTACATGTACTTCACCCATTTTAAAAAATGGGATTATTTGTTTTTTGCTTGTTGATTTGTTTAAGTTTCTTATAGATTCTGAATATTAGACCTTTGTTGAATATATAGTTTGCAAATATCTTCTCCCATTCTTTAGGCTATTTATTCTGTTGCTAGCTTCTTTTGCTGTGCAGAAGCATTTTAGTTTAATTACATCCCACTTGTCTATTTTTGTTTTTGTTGCAATTGCTTTTGGAGACTTCATCATAAAATCCAAGTCCTATGTCCAGAATGGTATTTCCTGGATTTTCTTCTAGGGTTTTTATAGTTTCCTTTCTTTAAGTCTTTAATCCAACTTGAGTTGATTTTTATTTATGGTGTAAGGAAGATGTCCAGTTTGATTCTTCTGCATATGGCTAGCCAGTTATCCCAGTATCATTTATTGAACAGGCAGTCCTTTCCCCATTGCTTGTTATTATCAACTTTGTTGGAGTTCAGATGATTATAAGTGTGCCATTTTATTTGTGGATACTCTATACTGTGCCATTGGTCAATGTTTCTGTTTTTGTACCAACATCATGCTGTTTTGCTTACTGTAGCCTTGTAGGATAGTTTGAAGTTTGGTAATGTGATGCCTCCAGCTTTGTTCCTTCTGCTTAGGATTGCTTTGGCTACTTGGGCTTTTTTTGCCCAATATGAATTTTAGGATAATTTTTTTTGTAATTCTGTGAAAAATAACATTGATATTTTGATAGGGATAGCATTGAATCTGTAAATTGCTTTAGATAGTATGGCCATTTTAACAATACTGATTCTTCTTATCCATGAACATAGACTGTTTTCCCATTTGTGTTGTTGTCTCTGATTTTTTTAAGCAGTGTTTTGTATATCTCATTGTAGAGATCTTTCACTTCCCTGGTTAGCTGTATTCCTACATATTTTGGATTTTTTTTTTGTATGGCTATTGTGAATGGAATTGTATTCTTGAATTGGCTCAGAGTTTTGATGTTATTGGTGTACAGAAACATTGCTGACTTTTTGTACGTCAATTTAGTATATTGAAACTTTACTGACGTTGTTTATCAATTCTAGGAGACTTTGGGCAGAGACCGTGGAGTTTTGTAGATATAGAATCATATTGTCTGCCAAGAGAGATAGTTTGACTTTCTCCATTCTAATTTGGATTTGTTTTTCATTCTCTTACCTGGTTGCTCTGGCTAGGACATCCAGTACTATGTTGAATAGGATGGTGAGATTACCATTCTTGTTTTATTCTGGTTCTCAAGGAGAATCCTTCCATCTTTTGCCCATTCAGTATGATGCTGGTTGCAGGTTTGTCATAGATTGCTCTTATTATTATGAGGTATGTTCCTTAAATGCCTGGTTTTATGAGGGTTTTTTAAATGAAGGGATTTTGGATTTTATCAAAAGCCTTTTCTTCATCAGTTGAAATAATCATATGGTTTTTTATTTTAGTTCTGTTTACGTGATAAATTGCATTCATTAATTTGCATGTGTTGAACCAATGTTGCATCTCAGGAATAAAGCCTACTTAATTATGGTGAATTATCTTTTTGATGTGCTGCTAGATTTGGTTTGCTAGTATTTTGTTAGGATTGTTGTGTCTATGTTCATCAGGGATATTGGCCTGCAGTTTTCTTTTTTCATTGTGTCTCTGACAGGCTTTGGTATCAGAATGATGCTGCCTTCATAGAATAAGTTAGGGAAAAGTTTATCCTCCTTGATTTTTGGGAATTATTTCATTAGGATTGGTAGTAGTACTTCTTATGTGTCTAATGGAATTTGGCTGTGAATCTGTCTGGTCCAGAGATTTTCTGGTTGGTAGTTTTTTGGTTTGTTTGTTTTAGTTATTGATTCAATTTCAGAACGTATTCTTCATTTGCTCAGTATTCCTTCCTGGTTCAATATGGGGAGGTTGTTCGTTTGCAAGAATTTATCCATTTCTTTTAGGCTTTCTAGTTTGTGTGTATAGAGGTGTTTATAATAACCTCTGAGGGTTTTTGTATTTCTGTGTGTCAGTGATGTCACCTTTGTCATTGCTGATTGTGTTTATTTGGATCTTCTCTCTTTTTCCTTTATTAATCTAGATAGCAGTCCATCAGTCTTATTTATTCTTTCAAAAAAGAAACGTTTAGTTTTGTTCATCTTTTATATTGATTTTTGCATTTCAGTTTTGTTCAGTTCAGCTCCAACTTTGGTTATTTCTTTTCTTCTGCAAGCTTTGGAGTTGATTTGCTCTTGTTTTTCTAGTTCTTCTAAGTGTAATGCGAGGTTGTTAATTTGAATTCTAACTCCTTGATGTGAGCATTTAGCAGTATAAACCTTCCTCTTAACATTGCTTTAGCTGTGTCCCAGAGATTCTGGTATATTGTAGCTTTGTTTTCATTAGTTTGCAAGAATTTTTAAATTTTTACCTTAATTTCATTATTTACCCAAAAGTAATTCAGGAATTTGTTAAGTTCCATGTAATCATTCAATTTTTGAAAATATTCTTAGTATTGGTTTCTATTTTTATTGTGCTATGCCCCAAGAGTGTGGCTGGTATGATTTCAATTTTCTTTTAATTTTTTGAGAATTGTTTTATGGCCAAGGATGTGATTGATCTTAGAGAATATGCTGTGTGCAGATGAGAAGAATGTGTATTCTGTTGTTCTTGGGTGGAGTATTCTGTAGATGTCTGTTAGGTCCATGTGTTTAAGCATCGAGTTCAGGTCCTGAGTATCTGTTATTTTCCTGCCTCGATGATCTGACTAAAACTGTCACTGGGGTGTTGAAGTCTCCCACTAGTGTCATGTGATTATCTAAGTCTCTTCATAGTTCTAATAACTTGACTTATGAATCTGGGTTTTTCAGGATTGGGTGCATATATATTTAGGATAGTTAAGACTTCTTGTTGAATTGAGCCCTTTATCATTATGTAATAACCTTCTTTATCCATTTTGATTGTTGCTGGGTTAAAGTGTGCTTTGTCTAAAACAATAATAGCAACCCCTGCTCTTTTTTATTTTCCATTTGTTTGATAGACCTTTCTCCATCCCTTTACTTTGAGCCTCTGGGTTTTACTGAAGACAGCAGGCAGTTGGGTTTAGTTTCTTTACCCAACTTGCCACTCCATGTCTTTTAAGTGTGGGCATTTAGCCCATTCACATTCAAAGTTAATATTGATTTATGAGACTTTGATCCTGTCATTTTGTTGTTAGTTGTTGTGTAAACTTGATTGTATAGTTGCTTTACAGTTTTAGTGGGCTATGTATTTGTGTTTTTGTGGTAGCAGGTACTGATTTTTAATTTCCATGTTTAGCCTTCCCTTTAGGACCTCTATGGATGGGTGCACATTAGTTGGGGGAGGCTCTGGGTAGGTGTGCACTGGCAAGGTGTGCACTGGTAGGTGTGTGCAAAAGTGCTCAAAAATGCTGGCTCCGCCACAGAAAGAGCTATGGTGGGGGCTGCTGGCAAACTGAGGTTGCACTGCAAGTAGGTATGGCCAAGCAGGGACCTTGAGAGAGGCTGGCAGAGAGGGGGCACTAAAATCAGACTTGTCCCGTCCCACAGGCAAGACAGCCCTGCTCTGGTCTGGCAGGCAACAAAGGCTAGCGCTGCCTAGAGGAGTATGGTGAGCCTTTGGGAAGGGGTGACCCAGGCTGTGCTCCACTGCTGCTATTCCTATTCCAAACCCTCTGGGCTTTGCACAGGCTGGAGTTCTCTCTCTGCCAACTTTCCAGGCAATACTCCCTGGCAGTTCAGATGTCTGTGGGCATAAGCAAGGATTTCTTAGACAAGATGTAAAAATAATTAACCATATAAGAAAAAGATTATAAAAGGGACTTCATTAAAATTAAAATTTTCTGTTTATCGAAAGACATTATTACAGAAATGTATGAGGAAGTCACAGACTGGGAAGAAATATTCTCTACACATGTATATAGCAAAGGGATTCTGTCTAGAATATATAAGGAAAATACTACAATTCAATTATCAAAAGACAATAGAAAATGGGCAAAAGACTACAACAGACAGTAAGGGAAGAGGTGTAGACTAGAAGAGTCATGACACAAATTTCTGGCAGAATGGGAATGTTCTATACCTTGATTTAGCCACTGATTAAGGCAATTGCCAAAACTATTGAAAAATACACTTAAAATCTGTGTCCTTAATTGTATATAAATCGCACCTATTTTTAAAAGTATCTAGGAGAAACAATTATAATGGTTCCAAATGAAATGAAATAATGACTGAAATAGATGCTTGACAAGAAGAGGAACTTAGTTCTTTGATATCTTATCATGGGGAAATTTGCACCAGTCAGGGAAATTGGGGAAAGCCTCCCTGAGATTGTGATGCTTGATTCAACATCTGAAAGTTGAGCATAAATTAATTGAGGAAGGGGCTAGAGAAGCATTGTAGGAAGAGGAAGCAGCATTTGTGAAAAAAGGTATGGTGAGTTTGTAGTGGACAGAACTAGGAAAAGTGTAAATCAAAACTAGGGCAGAGAGACTAAGAGCCACACAGTAAAGAGCCTTGTAGAATCATTAAAGAATTTTCACTTAACACTAATGACAATTGGAGGCCTTTCAAGTCCTTTTATCAGCTCTGTGATGTGATCAATTTGCCTTTGGAAGAAATCACTCTGGCAACAGTGTGGACAATAAACAGGCAGTCAGGGTATTTATGAGGGTAGACCAGTTAAGAGGCTTGATAAAAACCATATTAAATTGGCCAGTTATTGGATGATGATGGTAGAGTCCAAAAGATATGAGAAATGCACAGTAGACACAGGACTTGATGATTTCTTTGTTTGCTTTTAAGTGAGAGGAGTAAAAGTCAAGATCATATTGAGTATTATGCCTGTGTTTTTGGCTTGTTCAATCAGATGGGTGGTGATACTATTGTCTAAAACAGATCAATGGGGAGGAATTAGATTTGAATAAAAATGTGGAGGAGGGTAGTAAAGGAAGACGATATGTTTCCCTTTGGGCACTGTATGCAAAATATCTTGGAGTCCCCCAGGTTTTGGGCACTGAAATGAATTCGGACTGTAAGAAGTCTCTTAGGGGGACATAAAGAGAAGAGAGGCAAGACTATTTAAGGAGAGCCTCAGCCTGAGGTTTTGGTCTGAAACAGTCTCTGCCAACCCACTGGGGAGCTTCAGATATTGGGTAGAAATATCCAGGACCGAATGCTCCTCCCATGTTCAGCCCTTGGCTGGAAACTGCCCCCAAGGTTCTGACCTTGGCTTGAAAGATGGGGCAGACCCTAAAGGTGTTAACAGCAAGAGGCTGTTAAGTTTAGTCTAAAGCCGCCTCCTTAAATAGTTTAAGTTTGGCCTAAAGGTTTCTCTATACATGGTGAACTATAATCTAACTGGATATATAAACAGACATTAACCTACTCTTGTACCAATCACAGAGTTGCAGCCAATCACAGGCCATCAACTGTTCAAACTGTGTTTAAATAAGGCAAAGGCAAAGCTATAACCAATCCAGCTGTTTTTGTACCTCACTTCCTTTTTCTGGATATCACTTTCCTTTTTCTTTCCATAAATATTATCTGACTATGTGGTAGCCCCCAGGAGTTGCTCTAAAATTATTGTGGTTGTGAGGGCTGCCAGATCATTCTTTGTTCAATTAAACACTGTTAAATTTAATTTGCCAAAAGTTTTTCTTTTAGTGCTATGAAATAACTGCACTCCTTGCAGCCAAGTAGCAAGGACTTTCTTGGATGGAGATTTAATCACACCCCTTCATAGCTGCCCCAAGTATTTTGGAGGTGTCCAAGAACTGACCATCAGAATGAGCAATATACTTGAAAATTTCATCCAAATTTCCTTATTCAGAACCCCGTTCTTCTAATTTCTAATTTCTTTTACATCCCAAGCACATATCTGCCAGGCCATATGGAGATTTTTGTCAACATACATTTATCTTGGCAAATATTGGATTCTCTATCCTGAAGCTAATTATCAGAAGAACAATCTTTGGCTGGCTACCTCAATGGCTAATCATCTCACCAGTATTGTTAGTATTATCCACACATTTGCTAGTCTTCTCTCTAATTACAGTTTAAACAAGTGCAATTTGGAACCAGCCCTGAAGAATATTCATTTCAGTTTGATGTGCAAATAGGTATTTTTCATGTAATTTATTTTGTTTTGAATTTCACATTTCCTTATCCAGAAATAGGGTATGGTCTTTTCAATAACTACATTGCAATTTAATGCTTTATCCTTATAACAATCTTCAAAACATCAATGTATTATATTTCTCTTATACTTTCCATTCACAAAGCCTTTATTTGTCATAATTGTGGCAAAGATGGAATCAGATGAACCCTAATTTTTAAGCTCCCTCTTTCTCTCCTACCTTTACTTCATTTATCTTTGAAGCTCTATTTGTTGGCTTTTAAATATAATTACTTTTTTCTAAAGTGCATATGGAACACAACAAACCATTTGTACCTAAAACTCTTTTCTACTGTAATTAAATATCACACATTGGCTACAGAAAAGGTAGGCAGAAATAATAATGGCTGAAGCCTAGTGAAGACAAAAAGCTTCTATACTTTTGTTGGCTTAGGATGAGGGACTCTGTTTATTACTTCATAAGAATATTATTTTTAGGAGCTTAGGAATATATGACCCAGTCAGATCCAACTGATTTTATTAAGAATAGTATTGGGGACAGAGAGATCAAAATAAGCAGGTCAAAGGTAAAGCCGAACCACTTGGCTTCAGGATGAAAGGACCCTTCTAAACAAGCTCTTCTTTCTTCTGTCCATGTTCATGCTAGAACTAAAAGATATAAGAAGCCATGTGTGCCTGAAGAATTTCTTTGTCTGACAGTGTTTTGAAAACGTGATGTTTATTTTGGGCCCTGTTTGCTTTCTGCCTGGAGAGCAGAAAGAACTGTGTATTCATCCTCAGTAGGCAATACTACGATAACCAAGAAACTATTGATGCTAGTGTTCATTTATTTGCCATACTATTAAATTCCTACCTTCCATGCCTAGTCTTGGCCCTGTCCATATACCTGGATTTGAATCTTTAGTTCTACGTACTGAAAAACTCCAAGATCAAAAAGTCATGGGTCAGTTCTCTTTCTCAATCTTGGTGGGAGTGTATATTGATAAAAAAGTTGATCAAAATAATAATTTCCCATTATATTGTAAAGTTGAAAATTATCCTACTCTATGATCCAGAAATTTCAATTCAAGGAATAGAGCATAGAGAAACTTTTGCGGTATATAACTCAGAAAAACTCTTTTTTTTTTTTTTTTTTTTTTTTGAGATGGAGTTTTGCTCTTGTTGCCCAGGCTGGAGTGCAATGGTGTGATCTCGGCTCACCACAACCTCCACCTCCCTGGGTTCAGGCAATCCTCCTGCCTCAGCCTCCCAAGTAGCTAGGATTACAGGTATGTGCCACCACACTCAGATATTTTTGTATTTTTAGTAGAGATGGGGTTTCCCCATGTTGGTCAGGCTGGTCTCAAACTCCTGAACTCAGGTGATCTCACCTGCCACAGACTCCCAAGAAAACTCTTTCACATGTTCACCAGGAGAATTTCCAGAAACATTTGCAATATAAAATATTATACCATAGTGAGTATGAATGAACCACAGCTACATGAAACAACATACTTGAATTTTAGAATCAGAAAAGCCAAGACTACATTAAGAGTTGATTTCAAGAATCAACCATGTACCCAGAAGACTACATTAAGAATGATATTGTTTTAATGGACAAAATAAATAAAAATAAACATAGGAATACTTATATCATAAATAAAAAATGTTTAAAAAATTAAAAAGAATTAAATGCAAATTTCAGGATAATGGTTACCTCTTATGGGTAAGCCAAGATTGGAATAAAAGAATATGAGTTGCACATAGATTTAATGGCATTGTTAATTTTATGCTAGAATCATGAGTGTTCATTTTATTGTTATGCTTTGTAACTCACATATGCATTAAATAGATACTTAGTCTATTCAAATGATTTTGTGATCCTCTATTGGGTCATGAACTAGAGAAAAACATTTTAGATTTTATCAGATTTGCTTGCTGTTAACAAATATTATTTAAGAAAAAGAATTCACTGTCTAATATGTTGAAGAAATTGAAAGTTAAACAAGCTCATTTATTATGGGGCATTCTTTCTTCTTAAATGCTCACATATGCAATGTGACTATCCAACTAGGGGATCTGGTATTCATTTTCCCAAACTTAACTGATAATGGAACAACTTGTAGGACTAGTGCAGTATAGAATGCACTCAAGAAATATTTCCTTAGGGTCATAGCTCCATTTTTACTCTCTTTCCATTTCTCGATGTTGCAAATTCTTTGTTTCACTTGTGATTTCTCCAAACACAATAGTAATCATTAGGATGCGTGAAGTGCATGAAGTGTAGTGCTACAAATGACTTAAGTGAAAATGGGGAAACTATTAGAAATGTTAAGAAACCTCCCATCTTCACAAAAACATCTAGTGGCCCTCCTAATCTCCTATTGAACCTGATTTGACTGTGTTAAAAAAGAAAGAAAGAATTTCAAAATACTTTACTCATGTTGGTTGTTTCTCTATTCAACTTATTGATTTTTATAACAGCTATCATTTTCTGCCATTTAGTGAAAATCTGTAAGCATTCATTGGTTTTAGTAAAATGGACTTTTGTCTCAGAATTATTTATATTGTAATTTATATGGGCTAATGCACTCTAAATTCCAGAAAACTGACTTAGACAAACAACTTACAAATGTATTCTGGAGATAATCATCAATAAACCTGTATATGCTTAATACTCTGGAATCTTAATAGGTTAAGACATTGCCAATGACTAAACTCCTTTATGAGTATTTCTGTCTCGAGTAGGGTGGAGTGATCTGAACCCTACAGTCTTAGGCTGGCTATCACAGCTGGAAAAGAACTTTCATGAGAATACTTCTTCATGACAAGAAACTCAAAAGTAGGTGACAGGATACCAGAGATAATTTGCTTATTTCTATTTATTTATTTATTTATCTGTTTGTCTATTTTATTTTCAGTGAGAAAACATCCTGCCTCAAATAGAACACAATATTAATCTCATCTTAATTTCTGCTCTGTAGATGGGAAAAATTGTTTACCAATTGAATTTTCATGGCTAGTCAGTTTAGGATCAATCATTTAAATTTCCTAAGTACCTGCATATCTTTTCACATACGTTCTGACTCAGAACCTTCGCTTTTTGGGCAACTGGTATTTGTTTCTCCCAACTCAGTGGAATGCAGAAGCTGGCATGCAGCAGGCCCTAAGGGTTGATTGTATGCACCTTATCCCAAGTCTGCTTGAAATCAACTCTCTTGGGGGTATTTACACTAGGGGAATGGTAAAATGCTACAAATTGCCTTTTGGTGGTCAGCTTACCAGCACACGGCTTCCTGACATAGAGAGCCTTTCTGGATACCTGCACTCAGTAGGTCCTGAGCTTTTGTCCAGCATCCAAGAATGAGGATGCACTGACAGCTGGAGAGTGAGCAAGGCAGAGAGTGATGAAATAGTTTTCCATGGAGAGGGTATGCTGGGGTGGTCCCCCTACCTGAAGGTGGGAAAGTCTCCCCAATGTGGCTGAGTCTGGGGCTTTTATGGGCTCAGAATAGGGGATAGTCAGGCTATATTGAAAACGGCAATATTCTATTGGTTGAAAGGCATTATTCAGAAAGAATAAATCAGAAAAGAGTGGGTAAACAGGAACAGAAGTTCTCACTCTGGGTTGTGGGTTCATCCAGGACCAGCAGTCCAGACTTTCAGCCTTCAAGCTGTTTTTTGGCTTGAAGGTGTGATTTCACCGGGGAGGCATCCCTATCTGTCTAGGTATTTGCCTGCCTCCAGCCACTATCAATTCCCCCTTCTGAAGAGGTATGTCTCTAGCTGCTGTCAGAATAGGGACGAAGATGGATCTTAACTGCTTCCTGCTGGCAGGGGGTGCTGTTTTGGGAAAGCAGCCCACAGATCTCCTCAGAGGCCTATCTAACAGTCCCCAGTGAAGGCAAGCCATCCTCTGAGGCTTCAGTTTCATGACCATTTGGAGTTTGATGGTCTGAAGGCAAAAAGAGACAAACTGGGTTATCAGAAGACATGTATCAGAACTAAACAAGGGGGTAGGGACAGCTTAAAAATCCTGAGGCTGCTGACATGCCCAGATAACTAGTGGCTAGTGGCTAGTGGCTATAGTTATGCCTGCTAAGATTTTGGTACATGGAGCTTGTCTTTGGTTAGTTCTCTTGGTTTTATTTTCCCAAATAAAGAAATATTTGGGTTATGGGCACCCTATTTACTCCTATCACCTGGCAGGATTTGCAGGATAATTGCCGAGAACTAGAATATTGACCCAGATTTTTCCATTACCCATCCCTTTTGTTTCTTCTGAGCTTCAGCCAGAGATCACTGGTTGGTTCATAGGAATAAGCAGGGTTAGTCCAAAATGTAGGCAAAAACTTACAAACAACTAATGAGACTAGAATTTAGTGCCAAGAGTATAAGTTTTGAAAAAATTTTCTCTCTCCTCATTTTTGTTAAAGAAACAAATCATGACAGGACTGAGTTGTTGCCAAAATAAACTTTAGTCTTATACTTAGTCTGATTATTTGCATAAAATACAGCAAGAATAATTATTTTTCACATAGGCTTTTAAAATTGGCTTTGATGGAACTCTGTTCCACAAGGAATCTCAGATAAGGCCTTTGAAAGATGAGCCCAGCCATGGGTTTGTACCCTCAAATGCTTATAAGTTGGGTAAATTCCTCTCTGCTTGAGCTCCCAAGATAACATGTGGCTCCCAGGCCTGTTACTAAGTGACATTCTTTACTCACCACAGGTTAGAAACCCTGTACAGGGACTGTGTAGACAAGGTATGAGGTCAGTTTTCCCAGGGGGCTTTTATTGGCTCTGCATGTCAAGCTTGATTCCTTAAAGGGAAGCATACCTTTCCAGCCAAAGCCTTGGTAAAACAACCAGTTTCTCCAACTGTGTTCTGTTGCAGAAGAAAATGAATTCTTATTGCACTGATGCAAATAACTATAGTGCCATAAGTTAAGTATACTCACAAATAGTTTCCAACTTCTAGAGAAACCAGGCAGAGAGAAACAAACACGCTCCAAATTTTGTTCACAGGAGTGTACCTTGCTAATTGTTAAAAGCTGAAGATAGTTCAAAAGAAAAGTCACCTTGACTCTGAGAAACAAAATAAGGATTGGCAATGTTTTAAGCAAAAAATTTTTAAAATATTACTTCAGTTTTCCATTAGTTCAGTCCATTCAGTTAACTTTTGTTCTGCTTGATATTCATGAGTATTTCAGCTCTTCATGAGTCCTGTATGTTTTTCCTTTATTCTAACATCACAATCTCCAAAGATATCAGAAACCTCATGTAAGAACACCTGTCAAAGTCCTATAGCTGATTATAAACCATCTTTTGAAAAGGATCAAAGCAAGACAACAATTGTTTGTAAATTACAAAATGTAGTTACAGTCAAAAACAATTAACAAAGAAATTTGGTTATTTCTTTGGTTTACAATAACTTAAAATAATAACCTTAATTATGATTGATAACATATATTCAGACATTCAAATTTTAGAAATCCCATACAATTTTGGAAGATATATTAATATTATTAATATAAATATAACCTGAAGAAAATTAAACCTCATTTTTATTTTGGCAATCCCATGTAACTAAACATGTTAAATAATCCTGTTTACATCTCTTTTGGATGCTTCAGGGACCTGCTATAGCATCCAAAAGTTAGAGGGCAGAAAAGACAATTTTTGAAGCTGAAGTTTGATTTTGGGAAGCCTACCAAACAGGTTAAAGGTGTAAAACACTTGATATCATGAAACAGAATTTTAGATGACCATAAATCATTTATTTTAGCCAAAATAATGATCCAAAAATTTTAAAACAAGGGAAAAACCTTTACTCATTAAGACAGAAGACTTAGCTTTCCAACCAATCTGTCTCTTATCTTCTTTTTTGGTAGTTTATTCACAAGGCAAACAAAAATCTTTCATTATCCTTTATTATTACATGAAAATCTTGCTCAAGGGAAAGAAAGTGAAATTTCACCCTTGCATTAGTTTGCTATTTATGTCAACCCCAATTTTTTAATGAAACCCTCTAGATAATTCTACCTAATCTCAACCAGTGTGACCATGAGATTAAATGCTTGTAAACCTTTTATAACCTTTTACACATTTTTGTTAAAGAGCATATCAGTGCCTTAAGAAAACCTTGTTGCACTTTTGTTTCAATGCTCAATTTATGGAAAACCCATATAATGCCTTTTTAATTCTTCTGCAAGCTTAATTTTTACAAACCTTCCAAAACTTGTTTAAACCTTCAGCTTTATTTTATCTGATTTAAAGCAATCCTTTAACCCTCTAAACTAGGCAAAAATTTACATTTCCATGCCTTCTTATAATATTTTACTAAAAACACATTTTACTTTCCTTACATACCTTGCATGTAAATCTATCTTCAGTAGTCTCAATTACATGTTATAATGTAACTCTTAGCAATTTTTAATTGTAATGTAAAGCATGGTAAGTTATTTTAATTATGTACTAGGTACAGCTAAGATCTGACTCTTTCCAGCATAGTTAGAGGCATGGTTAACTCCATATGTCCCCAGGCCTTACCAAACTATAAAGCAGGCAAGTCAAACAATTTTCAAAAGCCTAAGAAGCAATTTATAACCTTAAAGCATTTAGAAAACCTAGTATCTGACCTGCATAATTTAGACCACATATTTACATTTTGAAGACATTTGTATAATATTTTGCCAATAGTCTTTAAACCTGTTTTTATGTCTCAGTGATTAAAGTCACATGAACTAAAAGGCATTACAACTTTTATTTTCCTTCAAAAAATATTTGCTATAAGCACTTATTTTCTTTAAGCCAATTAACTAGAGCTTTTTAAATATAAACATCACACACATAGCACATATATAACTACACAGGCAGAGAGAAGAAGATCCAGTACTTATAGGATTTTTCATATGCCAATCTCCTAATTGGATTACTGGCCTCCAGGTGGAGCCCTTCAAAAAACAGGGCTAGGAAAGCATGCAGTTTCTAGGGCCTAATAAACAGGCATAGCTGGAAGACAAAAACAGATATTGAGAGGGATCTATCCTCTTTTAATTTTGGGATTCCATGAGGAAAACAGGTGTTTTTTTTTTTCTCTCAAAATGGGGTCTGTGGCACATTCTCTGTTTTTCCCAAAGAGTCTCATGCTCTCAGAAGTTATCTTAGGCCCTTTCATGCATGCATTAAGAGTGGCAAGGCAAAATGGAAAAAAATAATTCAGTTGACTGAGAAGGGGAAAAAAAAATCTTTTTTCAGAAAAACAAGATCCAAGAAAGAAAAACATAAAGGCCTTTTAAATATACCTATAGCTTGGATATCTACTTTTAAATAAGCTGATTTTTAATCATAGTAATCTTTACGAAAAATTCTTTTAAATCTCTTATTACCCGACTTTACCCACATCAAGTAGCCAATATTTCTGGCTTTTGAAGTTTACTAAAAGTAACCTCACAGGTGAAACCAACAAGCCTCAACTAAGGTTATGACTTAACTGTGAGTGTACCAGGTATTTTCAAAAAGGTGGTAAGTAGTTTTTACAAAATCTAGAATCATTAAAAGTAGCTCAGAGAAAGGAAGATTTAAGAAAGGAAGCTAGAAGTTGTTCACGGAGGGGAAGAGAATCAGCAAATGGTAAAAGTCACACAAATATTAACCAGAAAGCACTCATTCCCTAAGTCAGGACTGAACCCAGGTCGCCATTGTAAAATGGCAGAGACTAAAAGAAAGTACTGCCACATAGTTACAAGATTAAGCTCCCAAGTACATGAAACAAGAAGCAGACTTGCAGCAAAGTCTGCTACTGACCAGTTTGTCAAGCTAGCTTGAGCACTGAGCTTCTGGGGTCCTAGGCCCATGTTCTATCCTAAGGTATTCCTCCTTATGACAGAACCATACAGAAAGACACACAAAGCACACCAGACTGGCTACAGCTTAAGACTTGCCTCATAAATCCTTTTTTCCATTTATCAAAACCTTACAGAGGATATAAAATGTGATTTTTATCATTCATTCTACTGGTTTGCAGAGGGAGAGGAAGGCCAGAAGTCTGACTGGTAAAAACAACTTTTACCCTTTTGCTGGCATGTCAGGTTTCTGGATTCCCTTCCCCCAAGATATGAAGCCCTACATACCCTAGGCTCCTTGCAGGAGGCAGCATATGAGTAAGCGAGTGCAAGATCCAGCCAGCCACTCTGCTGACACAGGAGCAAGCTCTGTGAGGGGCTTGCAGCCAGAGCAGGCATATCATTTCCAGGGGAATGTGGCAGCACCCAGGCAAGGGCGCCCACTACCCTGAAGCCCCAGAGGGGGTGTTAGTATGTTAATTGGCTCCTTTAGTTCTGCCATCTACAACCTGATGGATGGCGGCATGTTAGCAGCTCAGTCGGCCCCTGGCCCCATTGTATGGGGTGACTGCCCTCCACTGGTGAGGGCAAAAAGCCAGTGTGACAGGCTTACTGGGTACCCACACTCAGTGGGTCCCGAGCTCTTGTCCGGTATCCAAGAATGAGGATGCACTGACAACCAAAGAGTGAGCAAGGCGGGGGGTTTTATTGAGTGATGAAACAGCTTTCCAGGAAGAAGGGATGCGTGGGTGGTCCCCTTACCCAAAGGCAGAGAAGTCCCCACAATGTGGCTGAGTCGGGGGCTTTTATGCACTCAGAATAGGGGAGGCATAGGCTGTAGGTGATATTGGAAAAGTCCACATTCAATTGGATAAAAGGTATTATTGAGAAAGAATCAATAAGGAAAGGGCAGGTAAACAGGAACAGAAGTTCTCACTCTGGGTTGCGGATTTCATCTGGGACCAGCAGTCTGGTCTTTCAGCCTTCAGGTTGTTTTTTGGCTTGAAGGTGGGAATTCACTGGGGACCCACCCCTATCTGCCTAGGCATCTGGCTGCCTCCTGCTGCTATCAAGGACACATGAACATTTTCCTTTCTGAAAGAACTATTTCAGAAAGGAAATACCACTGTGAGGCATTTTTGCTTTGCTTCGCAAGGTTAATTTCCTGACAGAGAGAGAATGAACTCACCAGGAACCTCCTAAATGCATAGGTTACATTACAATGCAATTTCACTATGAGCTCTTTTCAGAAAGTCGGCTCAATAGCAGTTGAACTTTTTTTTGTTTTTGTCTTTGTTTTTTGCCTCAAACATCTCTTTAAAGAAGAAGAAAAAAATTCCAACTCGTTCAAATTGCTTTCCACCTAAAATTTATGACCACAAATCCCTGATCACGTCAGCAGCCTCCTACCTCCCAGAACATCATGTTTCCCAGGCTCTAGTCACCCATATTGAACATGTGCAGTGACTGGGGCAACCTTCCACTTAGGCCCTTCCCAGCTGCATGTGATCAAGGTCCTTTCCTGACCTGGGCTACCATCGGGGCTCGTGAGCTCCAGTGTCATCCTCCACATACGGGCTAAGATGTGTGATTACTAGGATT
Source organism: Homo sapiens (assembly GCF_000001405.40). NCBI lineage: Eukaryota > Metazoa > Chordata > Mammalia > Primates > Hominidae > Homo > Homo sapiens. The sequence goes on from NC_000008.11 coordinate 126,224,486, forward strand.
TAAACCACAGAGATTAAAGTTTTGATCCTAACAAAGATGCAAATCCACAGGAGCTCTGGCAAGTTGAAGGAATGTGTGTGTGTGTGTGTGTGTGTGTGAGAGAGAGAGAGAGTGTGTGTGTGTGTGAGAGAGAGAGAGAGAGAACTGGCATCCTTGCATATGAAAAAAAGAAAAAGAGATTCCAAAACAAAAGGATACACTTCTGCCACTTGAAAATCTCACTTAAAATTGGCCACTCAGTGAGCCTGGAAACCTAGCAGAAAGTTTTTTGTCCCAGCTCCTTGGGAAATCATTGGAGGCAGGCACTGTCACATGGGAAGCAGGGATTATACATATTCTTTTAATGTGGGAGGAGTGGGCTCAGAGGTGCTGGAGGCGTGTTCATTATTGAAAGAGTAAATTTCTTATTGAATGGGACTCCCACTGGCCCTATAGGCTGTGTGTAGTTGAACCATTCACTCGCTAAGGCAAAAAAGTCAAAATGTAGTTGGGAGAGATTAGCTTAAATCTCATACTGAGCCCCTTAAATGGGGGCTCCATGTGCTCACTCTAGATTCATTTTACTTGCAGAGATCTTCAACTGGGGCAGCAGAAAACAGGTAATAATAAGTAAAGTTTATGTAGGTGTTTAGACATTACATAAATTATCCCAGTTGATTTTCATGCCAGTCCTGCAAGAGAAAGACAAGACTGTTGCTTAATTCCTTCTGAGAGAAAACTACTGAGATTCTAAATACCTTGCCCAAGCCAAGAAGTGGTAGGCCCAGATTTCAAAAGTCCTCAATATGTGTTCCGTTTTTCCCATTATAACTTTGACATAGGACAAAGACCACAAATGGAAATCCAACTAAATGGTGGGTCCTGGCTCTGGGTAAAGATAAAACTTTTCAGTCTCTCAGATACTGCTGTGGTAATGTAATAAATGATTGCACACAACACCTGATAATTCACTACAGTGTTTTCTTTTCTTCACCTTAAAAAAGATATACTAATTCGCACACATTCCATTTATTAGGTTGAAAAATTTTAAGATTTGATAATACAAAATGTTGACAAGAAGAGAAATAAATATGAACTACTATGTACTACCAGTGGGAGTGTAAATAGATATGACTACTTTGGAGACGAATTTGACAATGTCTAATAGAGTGGAAGATGCACATACTCTATGACCTAGTAATTTCATTCCTAAGTGTTTTCTCTGGGAAAACATCCATATATGTTCTCACGGTAGCATTTATAAGAATATTCATTGCAGCACTGCTGATAAAGGTTGAAGTCAGATTTGAAAACTGGAACAAGGCCGGGCACGGTGGCTTACACCCGTAATCCCAGCACGTTGGGAGGCTGAGGTGAGTGGATCACCTGAGGCCAGGAGTTCAAGACCAGTCTGGCCAACATGGTGAAACACCATCTCTACTAGAAATACAAAAAATTAGCCAGGCATGGTGGCGCACGACTGTAGTCCCAACTACTCGGGAGGCTGAGGCAGGAGAATCTCTGGAACCTGGCAGGCAGAGATTGCAGTGAGCCGAGATAGCACCACCGCACTCCAGCCTGGGCAATGGAGCAAAACTCTGTCTCAAAAAAAAAAAAAAGAAAAGAAAAGAAAAAGAAAACTGGAACCTATGACCATTCACTTATTGATATGTCTCTCTATTCATTCGTGTGTGTGCATTCATATACTATGTGCCAGGCATAGTTCTAGGTATTGGACATCCAATAGTGAAAGCGACTAAAAAAACACCTTGTCCTCATTTATATTTTGGTGGGAACAGGAAATAAAGAAGGAATCAAATAAATATATAATTTTAGGAAGCAAAGTGCTATGAACCAAAATTAAGAAGAGTCAGAATCTAGGAGGTATGTAAGTTAAAGAGGGACATATCATAGAATATGGGTGAGTCTAGGAGTCCTCTTTGTAAGGGTAACATTTAAGCAGATATTTGGCTGAATTTGTGCAGAGACCACATGCGTGAAAGAGGATCAGTGGAATACCTGAGGGGTAGTAGATGGTAGAGACTGAAACCCCCAGATATCAAGACCCTGAGGTGGGAGCGTGTTTGATATTTTCTGAAATTCAAATATGTAGGAAATAACCAGAGATTCAGGAAGTGTGAAAAATAAAAAAATTTAAAGAGTGAGAAATGCATGGCAGCAAGAATTTATTCAATAAGGTGTTAATCTCAGCTCCATAAGCAATACGAGATAAAAAATGAAAAATTGCCACTTTCTCTCAGGTTATTATGGAAGTGACTCTAGAATGCCAGTGATATTTGACATTTAATAACTGCTTAAAATGTGTTAAGCACTGTGCAAAACTTTTTCTCATATATCAATTCATTTACTTGATTTTTGACAATAAATTTCATTGTCTATAAGAAATCCTTAATGTGAGTATTAGCACCCTTGATTTGCAGATGAAGAAATTAAGGCTTGAGGTGTTGCCTAATGTGACCTAGTTAAGACGCAGTAAAGGCAGGATTTGAACCTAGCCCTGCTTTTCTCATAGCGTTCTGGCCTCTCCATCAAAGATCTGGGACGCTGGTGTTAGACCTGTTTTCTTCCTTGGCAGGTCAGATAATGATAAAGATGGAAGAGCACTCACCATCTGGACAACACCCCTTTTGGCTGATATTTCTCTGGAGGTTATCTCTTAAGAGACAGCGCATCTCTTAGGCTGACCTGCTGTTCCTGGTCTGAGAACAGCCAAAACACAGAGCAGAAAGGTAAATTTAGAGTCTGAAACAGTGTTCACAGGGCCAGCACTTTGAGAATGGCCAAGATTCTGCCCCGTCTTTCCTTCAATCTATTATCTCTCAAAGTAAGAGTCTTTACACTGCTGGGGGGTGTAGCCTCTACTGCTGCTATACAGTCCCAAAACATGGAGCAGGGAAGACAAGAATGACAATTTGGTTTCATCTCACATGCTCACTTCAATCAGTTGGTAGAGACTGGTATTGAGTACTCATTTAAGAAAGATTCTGAGAATTATAGATAATATGCTCAGCAGATAGAACAGCTGAGACAACTTGGGTAATGAACTCAATTTATTGCCACTGTCTGTGATCACACTAACAGGAGAAAAGCTTGATATACCTCATTTTATACCTCTTGAAAGGCAGAAAGTATCACACTTTTAAGCAGAACTCAATTTTGCTCCAGTGGTAATGTCATCTTTTGCAGGACAAACTCTCTCAAATACCTCTTCAAACTTTCTTCACAGGTAGATTTTATCCAAACCAGATCTCTTGTCCCTTGATTATTTTCTTCATCTGTACATGGCTTTGGCTTTTCTTGTTATAATATGACACATAGGAAGGGGCTCTGTTACCTAGGCAACTAATGTAATGTCTGTCCTGGTCCATCTTTGCTAGGCCTTGCCTGTGCTTGGAGGAGACTTTTAAAGCACTCTCGATTCACTCTGCTCTTAAGGCTATAAGATGTGAAAACAGTGAAGGCTCCTTCTCTATTTCATGGGCTGGGGTGACCTCACCACTCAGGCTGCATTCACCATAACTTCTAGTAGCAGATCTTTATTTTCACCACCTCAATATAAATTTAAAACTTTTACCGGCCTTCATAGTAGACCTGTAAAAGATCTACCTCATCGCACTATTAATTGCAATTTTGTAACTTCAATTATCTATTTTAAGGCATATTGATTGTACTTCCTAAATCTGACACAATTCCCTTTTCCAATGCAGAAGCTTCCTATTTTGATTAATACTTCCAAAAACACCATAATAAAAACTTCCCAGGTTGTAATAAATTAGAATGCCAGATATTGAAGAGACTCTACAGATCAATCATTGTTATACCTTCATTTTATGTATGAGAAAACTAAGGGGCAGAATGGTGGGGACCAGGACCTAGGAGAACCTTAGAGCCATAGTTACAAGGCAGAGAACTAGTTAGTAATCCGTTGTGTGTTATCTTAGCTACTCAGAATATATATTCAATTTCCTCAAGGAGAAGTTTAATCAAAATAACCGAGAAGCATAATCATGAGTCAAATCCTAAAAGGGTTAGAGTTAATCTAATCAAAGTTCAGGTGTAGATATCCACACTTGCATTCAGAAACCAAAACTAAAGTTACAAGACTTGAAGCAAGACGTCATGTATTTATTCTCATTTGAGTGAATAACTAGCTAGACTAGACAATCTTCTTGATCTCTCTGGTCTCACCTGTAAAACAGTAGTACAGTGCTAGATAGTCTTAAAAGTAGTTCCAAGGTATAAATCCAAAGAAAGATTTCATTCAGAATTACATGGGAAATTTTTAAATAATAGAGATATCCAGGTACCATGCTGGTCTGAATGAGTCATAATTTCCAGATATGGGCCTCAGGTAAAGAAAAGAATCTCTGGTGATTTTTTTTAAATTTTAGATTCAGAGGGTGCATGTGCAAGTTTGTTACATGAGTATATTGCATGATGCTGAGGTTTGGGCTTCTGATGGTCCTGTCACCCAAGGACTGAACATAGTATCTGGTAGGTAGTTCTTTAACGTTTGTCCCCCTCTCTTCCTCCCTCTAACTTTTTGGAATGCTCAGTGTTTATTGTTCCCACTCTGATGAATCTTGGATCCCTTGTGTATTAGTTTGTTCTCACACTGCTAATAAAGACATACTGGCAATCTCACAATCATGGCAGAAGGTGAAGGAGAAGCTAAGGCACATCTGACATGATGACAGGCAAGAGAAGTGTGTGCAGGGGAACTTCCCTTTATAAAACCATCAGATCTTATGAGAACGCATCACTATCATGAGAATAGCACGAGAAAAACTTGCCCCATGATTCAATTACCTCCCACTGGGTCCCTCCTAGGACATGAAGGGATTATGGGAGCTACAATTTAAGATGAGATTTGGGTGGGGACACAGCCAAACCATGTCACCATGTTTTGATCACTGTAAGTACCCCTTAACTGATTACCTCTTATCCCAGCTGCCTTCTCTTTACAACTAGTCCCTAACATTAACTGTCACAAAAATAATTTTTTTAATTGAACACTGTAACAAAAGCCTAAATATTCTGTATCCCTGGTAACAAGTAGTCACCAAACAAATTTTATCCCTGTTTAACTAATTAATTACAGTTCTATAACCATGGTAAAAGTAACCACTAGAACTGGTTTTACACACATTTAGTAACCAACAATTCACTTCCATGGACAAGCTTCCTAAAACCACTAGTCAGTAATAGCACCTTACTTTGAAAATCATTCAGTTGGGCACAGAAACTTCCAAAATACATCCAATCAACAACAGTCTCATCTGAGAAAGGATGTTTCTTCAATTGACTTTAACTTGCTTGATCCTGCTAGAAATCCACCAATCCCTGAACGTCATTCTTCCCAAAACCTTATGTAAGGGCAGAAACCTGCTCTGCTTGGAGAGACTGTACATGATGAGCATAGTGCTCCCTTACTAAATCAGCAATATATTAAGATTTATCTTTTTGTTTCAGATATTGAGTGGTGCTATCATCTTTTGGCAAATCTGGAGGTACCAGCAAGATCACTGTAAGCTTTCTATAGGACCTTTGGACCAACAGAAATGCTCTTTGGTTTTCTGGTGCCAAAATTCCATTTGCCCTTTAATAGTAATTTGACTTATAAATCATCATATTGGGTTCCCAGTGGTGACTTCCCTTTGGTATCCTAGGACTTGTAGCCAACAATATATGTATTATATAACACATTTGGGATTTAATTTGGAGAACTCTTGATTAGAAGGTGCACCATTTCACTTTTTTTTTTACCCAATAATGAGCTTATTCTTCACTGATTACTTTGCATTTTCTTTGGTTTGTCTCTTAATATGATGTTGTATCACCTGTGTGTGCATATGTGTATGTGTTTTGTGAATAGATGGCTATAATTGTTTTGCCCTGGACTATCCTGTTTCTGTTGCACCTATAAGCATGTGTTTCATAAAGAACAGATGAAGGCATAGGGTTGATCCGTCTCCTATCCCTCTTGCCCGTTCATGAGAGAAAGAACATTCCTTTGATTAGTTCACATTCCGAGGTGCACATTTTTATTTTTGATTACACAGTCCATTCCTAGCTTCTGTTAGGTTAGGGAATCCAAAACACATTCATAGTCACATTCTTGACCAACTGTAGTGGCCTTCTTGTTTTTCAAGGGTTTATCTAATAAAAAAAAGGCATAATCTCCTCCTGGCAGAAAAGCTGCTTCCCTATAAATTCCCATGATGATACTAATTTTTGTGCTTATCTTAGTAAATGGCAAATTTACTTTTAGTTTGAATAACAATAGCTATTATGTGGAACTTTTTACATGTCAAAATTTAGAGGAGCTTTAAAAGAATTAAATAACATTTAGCTTTTTCAATTGATATGCTGACCTCAAATAAAATTTCGACTCCAAGAAAATCACACAAAGATTATCTTTTTCACTGTTGTTCAAATTTTTGAAACCTATCTTTTTTGCATCTCTCCTTATCTATCTTATTTTACTCTCTTATTCCTTTTGCTCCTCCTTCTGATCTCTTAAATGTGCTTCGTTTTGGGGAGGTTGTTTTCCGGAAAGGAACAATCACATGTCACATAATATCCCCTTTAAAATTCTAAATCAGAAGGCAATATAGAAATGTTGCATTTAAGCTCAGATCTAGAAAAATTGAGAGTTATAATTTAAAATTTTCCCTAAACCTCTAGAACATATATAAGAACTATCTGGGATACCACACTTTAGGATTTTTTTAGCTAGTTATTTTTCTGGGTAGTCATTTCTGTTCTAATGTGTTCACTAAATTGCTACCCCTTTAGATAGAAAAAATTGTTAAAAGTAAGAAGAGAAAGATCAGGAGATAATTTATTTTTTATTTTTGTTTTTTTGAAGACAGAGTTTTGCTCTTGTTGCCTAGGCTGGAGAGCAATGGCGCGACCTTGGCTCACTGCAACCTCTGCTTCCTGTTCAAGCGATTCTCCTGCCTCAGCCTCCCAAGTAGCTGGGATTGCAGGCATGCACCACAACACCTGGCTAATTTTTGTATTTTTTTTTAGTAGAGACGGAGTTTCACCATGTTGATCAGGCTGGATGGTCTTGAACTCCTGACCTCGGGTGATCCACCCACCTCAGCCTCCTAAAGTGCTGGGATTACAGGCGTGAGCCACTGCACCCAGCCAGGAGATAATTTAAATAGCCTTGGCCTGGCCTGTCATCCCGGCACTTTGGGAGGCTGAGGTGGGAGGATTGCATGAGCCCAGGAGTTCGAGATCAGCCTGGGCAACACGGCAAAACCCCATCTCTACAAAATAAAACACACACACACACACACACACACACACACACACAGAGATATCAGCTGGGTATGATGGCACGCACCTGTAGTCTAAACTACTCAAAAGGCTGAGATGAAAGGATCACTTGAGCCTGGGGAGGTTGAGGCTGCAGTGAGCCGTAATGGTGCCACTGCACTCTGGCCTGGGTGACAGAGTAAGAATCTGTCTTAAATAAATAAATAAATAAATAGCCTTGATGTGCATATTTTAAGTGGCCCTGAGAAGATCAATTTTTTAAAAGAAAGTATAACACATAAAACCCATTTAAGAAACATTTCTTTTCTGCAGAAATCAGAATTCTTACCATGGTTTGAACCAAAAAAAAAGGAAGTGGGGAGAGGAGAAGGGTAGGATTGTCCAGCATGCTTGTATGTATATTTCAGAACCTTTTTTAAATATAAAAGCTGCACATTTCTGAGAAGTTCTGAATTTCTTTTGTTTCCTTTCTTCTTCAAGCATTTTTGCAGTGAGCTTCTTTTATATATAGCAAATAATTTGAAAGAATACAAAAATATGTGAATTTCACTAAAAAACATAACTACAGTATAGCATTGGTACAGTATACTATAAGTTTTTGATAAAACAGAAACAATAATAAAAGAATAAAAGATTTCCTTTTTTTTTTTTTTTTTTTGGAGACAGAGTCTTACTCTGTCGGCCAGGCTGGAGTGCAGTGGTACAATCTTGGCTCACTGCAGCCTCCATCTCCTGGGCTCAAGCAACTCAAGCAATTCTCCTGCCTCAGCCCCCTGAGTAGCTGGGATTACAGGCATTTGCCACCACATCCAGCTAATTTTTGTATTTTTAGTAGAGGTGGGGTTTCACCATGTTGGTCAAGGTGGTCTCCAACTCCTGACCTCAGGTAATCCATCCGCCTTGGCCTCCAAAAGTGCTGGGATTACAGGCTTGAGCCACTGCCCCAGCCAAGATCTCCATTTTAAATGCCATTCATACATAACTTGTGGATGAGAGCTATATGCCCTTACACACTTTTTTAGAGGAATCAATTATTGAATTACTTTAAAAAAAAGAAGCATCTCTCTTAGTAGTAGATCCATAAGAACTTAAAACTATAAGCCAAATAATATTGTGAATCCATAGTAGTCTTTGAAAAATAAACTTCATTAAACTCCCAGGCAGTATTTTGGGTAGACAATAGTCTAGGTTAAGGGGGGCTTGCCTTCTCTTTTCGTAAACAAGGTTTGACCTTAATTAAGGCACTTTATGAGAAAACCAAAAATGAAATGTGTAATTTCTAATTCAGAATATCTTGAAAATGTGAAAAAAACATTTTCAAAGACTCATAGAAAGTAAACAAGCTAGAAGTCAAAACAAACTTCAATTTAATAATATAATTTACTTTACAAATGGAAATTCCAGATAAAATGTACTGTAGAAGAATTATTATTAGAAGTCTCAGAAAACCTTCTAGCTATGATCACATTATACCTTATGTGATCACTAATATTTCTACATTATATATTTGAAGAAAAAATTAAATAAGTAGCTATAATCCCTGAATGTGCGTGGGTGGGCAAAATCCTCATGTACAGAGGTAGGACAATTACAGCAGAGCCCATAAGAATCCAGATCAATTTTTTTCAGATTAACATAAATCTTTTTTTTTTTTTTGAGACGGAGTCTTGCTCTGTTGCCCAGGCTAGAGTACAGTGGCACGATCTCGGCTCACTGCAAGCTTCGCCTCCTGGGTTCATGCCATTCTCCTGCCTCAGCCTCCCGAGTAGCTGGGACTACAGGTGCCCACCACCAGGCCCGGCTAATTTTTTGTATTTTTTAGTAGAGACGGGGTTTCACCGTGTTAGCCAGGATGGTCTCAATCTCCTGACCTCGTGATCCACCCGCCTCGGCCTCCTAAAGTGCTGGGATTACAGGCGTGAGCCACAGCGCCCGGACTAACATAAATCTTTCTTTCTTTTTTTTTTTTGTATCTGCTAATGTTAGGCCATACTCTAGAACTATTAACAACATGGTCCATTTCAAAGACCTGCTGGCTACTATAGATTATTCCTTGATCCAGTAGCTGAGGTATATCCTCTTTGCCTCACAGCAATTTCAGTCTCAATGAATTTATTCAATGTATCTTCAGATTTCATACCAATATTACCTTAATTCTGATGATACCACGTGCAGTTTACCTCTGTTGCTAACTGAAAACTACCAACATTTTTCTGCTAGTCAACTACCTAGTTATAAAATATTATTACTGGCTCCTTCAGTCAATCTAACAACTCTCATACCCTGATCCAGTGAAAGAAAATTTCTTGATTGTGTTTCTGTGGTTCAAGAAGAATTGAAGTCCAGAACAGATCTTTTGAATACGTCTTTAAATATTGACTTCATATATGGTGAGTCTTACCTGATAATATTAGCAATAATTAGTTCAGCCTCTGTCATAGAATCTAATTCCTTACTTGAAACCAGATTTATATAGCTGAAAAATGACCACTACTAGAATGCATCACATTATTAAAAATAAAAGGGTAAATATGTACTCTGATAGCCAGTATAATTTTGAAGTAGTTCAACTATCTTGGGATGCTGTACAATCTAAGAAGTTCACTCATCCCCTCAAAATTGCTGTCATAAAAAGTAGATGCTCATATTCAAAAAGATACTATATAATTACAAAATACGTTACCATATTGTCATGCTAAGTATATCACTCTAACTACAGTCCTTACATATAGACGCCTTGTATTAAAAAAAAAAAAATTTCATGGGAAAGTTAAAGAACTCCATTAGAGACACATACATTTTGACCCCAATTCTGAAATAAATACTGGGAACAAATGGATTTTAAGCTCTATGAGAAAAAATATCTAGCAAAGCCATGGTTTTTTTCTAGTACTAGATAAAGCCGCAAGTGGATACTGCCAGGAGACAACCCACAACATGGGAACATTGTCCACAATGTAAAATACCAAGGGGAAGATTTTCTAAAAGATGTGGCCAACCTAGGCTATATCTGCAACTAAAAACTGTAAAGGATAGACATGAGATGGATCCTTCAGCATTTCCAAATGGGTTTTATACAATTGCCCAATTGCCTTATTGTACAACTCATGAATATATGGTGATAATGATATGTTTATGACAATTATATGATGGGATAAAGCACACTATTGACAAAAGTCTTATCACTCACAGTGTCTATAAAACAAAAAATAACAAACGATTAAACTTTACAGCAACAGATATTTGTGAATTATACGTGCCTTTGACCTTTACTCTGAAAACCTCTGCAAGCTTGGAAAGGGCTTGATCAATATTGTAAATTTGTAACAATTAGAGACTTTGAATTAAGGTTCTTGGAGAACCACTAGAAATAATTGGCCCATGGAAGTCCTGATAGCTAAGATCTGACAGCCAAGATCATTGAAACAAACTGAGGACTGTGTGTGAAATAAACAGCTTGCAACTAAACCAACATTTTAAAAAAAGATCCTCCTAGATGTTTGAAATCACCAATTGTCACACTCTACATACTTTTTGTCCGTTATGCTTTTGATCATATGTCTCCTAGTCACTAGCTTTAGGTTTTCGTTTGTTTGTTTATTTGTTTGAGACGGGTCTTGCTTTGTCACCCAGGCTGGGGAGCAGTGGCATAAACACAAACGTGGCCCACTGCAGCCTCGACCTCCTGGGCTCAAGTGATCCTCCTGCCTGCCCAGTAGCTGGGACCAGAGGCACTTGCCACCACAAGGTGCAAAAGCAACTCACTTGGGGGGAAATCTGTGGAATGTAGGACTAAGCAAAGAGTCCTCACACCTGACACCCAAAACATGGTGCATAAAAGAAAAAATTGATAAACTAGGCTTCATAATTCAATTCTTTTTCTCTGTAAAAGATGCTGCTAAGAGAATAAAAAGAAAAGCTACAGCATGGGAGAAAAGTTTTACAAACTCGAAGGACTAATATCAAGATGATATAAACACTCTCAAAATTCAACAGTAAAAAAAGGTAATCAATCCATTAGAATATGAGCTAAAAATACAAAGGGACATTTTACTAAATAAGATATACAGCACAGGTGAAAAATAAGCACATAAAAATGCTAAACATCATTAGTCATTAGAAAAATGCAAGTCAAAACAACAATGAGATATTACTACATACTTTTTTAAATGACTAAAACAAAAAAAATAGTGACAGTACCAAATGCTGCTGAGGATGAAGAAAAACTGAATCGCTCAAACATCACTCGTGGGAATGAAAAATTATACGGCCACTCTGCAAAACAGTGTGACAGTTTCTTAAAAACGAAACATGCAACTGCCATGTAACCCAACAATTGCATTCACCCCAGAGAAAAGTTTGTATCTGTTCACACAAACACCTGTACACAAATGTTCATAGCAGCTTTATTTAAAATTGCTCAAAATTAGAAACAACTTAGATGTTTGTCGATGTATATATGATTAAACAGTATGTGACATACTGATACCACGGGATGCCATATAGGAATGAAAAGGAACAAACTACTGATACATGCAACAACCTGGATGAATCTTCAGAGAATTATGCCAGTTGAAAAAAAAAAAGCCAATCCCATAAGCTTACATATTCTTTGATTCCATTTATAAAACATTATTGGCCAGGCACAGTGGCTCACGCCTGTAATCCCAGCACTTTGGGAGGCCGAGGCGGGCAGATCACCTGAGGTCAGGAATTCAAGACCAGCCTGGCCAACATGGCGCAATCCTATCTCTACTAAAAATACAAAAATTAGCTAGGCATGATAGTGTGCGCCTGTAATCCCAGCTACTCAGCAGGCTAAGGCAGGAGAATCGTTTGAACCCAGGAGGCGGATGTTGCAGTGAGCCAAAATTGCATCACTGCACTCCAGCCTGGGCAACAGAGCAAGAGTCCATCTCAAAAAATAAAATAAAATGAAACTTTTTTTTTTTTTTTTTTTTTTTTTTTTTTTTTTTTTTTTTTTTTTTGAGACGGAGTCTCGCTCTGTCGCCCAGGCTGGAGTGCAGTGGCGGGATCTAGGCTCACTGCAAGCTCCGCCTCCCGGGTTCACGCCATTCTCCTGCCTCAGCCTCCCAAGTAGCTGGGACTACAGGCGCCCGCCACTACGCCCGGCTAATTTTTTGTATTTTTAGTAGAGACGGGGTTTCACCGTTTTAGCCGGGATGGTCTCGATCTCCTGACCTCGTGATCCGCCCGCCTCGGCCTCCCAAAGTGCTGGGATTACAGGCGTGAGCCACCGCGCCTTGAAATGACAAAAAATCATAGAAATGGAGAACGGATTAGTAGGTGCCAGTTGTTAAAGTGGAAGTGGAGGCTGGAGGAAATGAGTGTGGCTAGAGAAGGGATGCCGGTGGTGATGGAAATATTCTGCACCTTGAATGTGTCAGTGTCAATATCCTGGATTGCTATTTTACTATGGTTTTACAAGTTGTGCTACTAAGGGAAACTGAGTAAAGGGTACACAGGACCTCTCTATATCATTTCTTAAAACTGCATATGAATCTATAATTATCCTAAAATGAACACATTAATTGAAAATATTAAAGATTATACATTACTTACAAAGCAATTGTTTATTTTTAGAAATACCATGATCAAGAATGGTTTATAATAAAAATATTTTTTAGTTCCCTCTCAATTAATCAGAAAGTTTAAGAGGTCAGAATACTCTCTCGGTCTCAGCTGTTATAACAAAAAGCAAGGGTGTTTGTGTCTGGGCAGACCTAGTCCTAAATCTCAGGTCAATTTTGGACCTGTTACTTAAGCTCTCTGAGAAGTGGGCATCTTGTTCCTAAAGTGGAGATAATAATACCTATTTCATTGAGCTGATATGAGATCTGCATGAGATAAATTATGTAAAGCACAGAGAACATTGCCTAGCAAATTATATGGGCTCAACAAATGTGAGTTCCTATCTCTTCCCCATTCTGAGTAATGGGAACTCACTTTATTTTGCACATAAATCCAAATACAAGAAGAAGAGGAATGTTAGGCTATGTCTGCAGTACAAATTACCTAGGGAAAAGAAAATTAAGATGACTTCTAAGGATGAAAAATAATCTTCCCAACAGAGTTCAAAAGGACTCAGAAATGGTCTCTATGGGGAAAGCTTTCATTAAACAGAAAAACATAAAAGAGGCGACAGTCCTGCCCTGAGAGGGTAATGGCCAATTTGACCTATTAGGTGTTTACTGCATCAAGTTTATTTGTTGCCCTGATTAGAAACCACTAAGGGGACATTGGAAATGGGGGAGGACTGTCTAGGCCACAGGCATTCCTTCTAGATTCTGTCTTTTGAGGACTGGTCCCCACACAATGTTTCTAGGGTTGATAAACTCACCTCTTTTGACCTTCAGCCTTCCCTAGGATGACAGGATATTGAAGGAAATATATATTTGTAGTTGGTGGTAGTGAGGAAAAATATAAGATAAACTTCAGGTGCAATAAAAGGGAGTTGAAGTAGGAACATCCGAAAATTAATTTCCTGGCTCCAAGTGTTATTGGATTGTAGCTCAACAATCCACTTGGGACATGTTAGAAGCATATCATGGAAAATAGGTGAGCTGAGTGGATGGAAACACCAAATGATGAGTAATAGAACAATATCTGTATAGGCAAAGATCCTAGTAACCCCTGGATACCTTATTTGTCTGTGTCTATGGTGCAGAAGATTTTATGTTACCTGCTGTCCAGCTGCCTCAAATGAATCAACTGTTTAGAAAGCTTATTTACATTTTAATAGGAGGCCCAGGCATCTGTTCCCAGCACCTAGTGCCTCCTGCAGCATGCTTGGGGCTGTCCTGGAAGCTGCTTGTTGATTCCTGCAGGGGCTTGATTGTCTCATCAGATTATTAGAATTAACTGGGCAAAATCAGATTTCAAACTGGATTAAGACATCAAGAAAATGCTGCTGACCAATTTCTCTTCTCCCAGATCAGAAAAAAATGCCTATAGATGCAAGATACTTCATAAATGTAAATAATTAACCCTACATATTTGTACATACATTACAATTTACAAAACACTTCTTTAAATGTTGTGTTTAGATCCATGTGAACTCCTTGTAAAGTAGGCAGAGTATATGTTATTGCACAAATAATCATCTACAGATGAGGAAACCGAGGCTTGATTGCCTAATGTCACTAAAGAACAAAGTCAAAGCTAAGTATTCTGACCTCCAGAATACCACTGATATCTAACCCGTAGCCAAGAATACACAAGCATTTTGAAGCTGTGAATGTTTGTCATTACCCTTCACATTTTCTTTTTCTGTGGGAATGGAAGGTTAAGATGACATTGACTATGATGGTACAGCTCTTTAGAAGGCACTTTGGAAAGTACAGGTTCAGTCATGGTCACAGGCCTGCAAGAACTTTAATCTGGTTTGGGAATAGACATACAACCATTGAATCTTTCATAACTCTCAAAGGGGATATCTGAATATATGATGAAATGACAGCAGAGATAAAACTACTAGTGAAATTCCAACTAATAACATGTTATTATGAGCTAGAGAATAAGCAGAAGGTTTTGTCATGAAAGCGTCTCACAAAGATGTGCAGAATGACAGGACTTATGGACAAAGAAGGTAAGTGGGGTGGGAGATTCCAATGAAGATATAATTTGAGCAAACATATGGAGTGGGCTATATCTTTTAGCACCATAATAATGGGTATTAGAGGCTGAAATGAAACCTGTAGAGTAGATTTAAGAGAGGTAGCTCTGAAACCAGATTGTTGGAGTTCAAATCTCCATCACTCACTGAGCAAGCTATGTGACAATTTCTCTATCTGTCTCTGGGGATAAGAATAGTACCAACCAACCTCACAGAATTTTGTGATGATTAAATGAGATGGTACATTTACAAATCCTTCATTAAAATAGTACCTATACTTAGTTGCCATTTTAAAACAAAACAAAACTGTGTTATTGGTTTTAAAAAAATGTCAAGAGCTAAGGAGGTGGTTAGATTTGGGAGTATAAATAGAGTGAACATATGATTTTTTATTCAAGTCTTTTAGCCTTTGAAGCGAAAGGATCTGCTATTAATGCTTATGCCAGGACAGTAAGTATAGAGCAGTCAATGGCTTGCATAAACCA
This sequence comes from Homo sapiens, assembly GCF_000001405.40. Taxonomy (NCBI): domain Eukaryota; kingdom Metazoa; phylum Chordata; class Mammalia; order Primates; family Hominidae; genus Homo; species Homo sapiens. The sequence goes on from NC_000008.11 coordinate 126,239,897, forward strand.
GGTGTGGTGGCCCTGCATACAGAAAACCTTACTCTAAATTTTCTGTTGTTGTTTATTCAGACTTCCCAGGTATGTCACAAACTTTCATGATCAGATAGCACTACAGAGGTCAGGATCTTGTAAGCATTTTCCATAATATAATCCAAAGTGTTGAGCTTTGGATCAAGAATGTCCAAAAGATAAAGGATCTTAAAGATCACCTAATATTCCTTCTACATTTTCAGTTTTGGAAGGAATCTCATTGAATTCAGGTGCTGACACAATGTCTGTGGTTTCATTAGGCAACACTTATATAAAGTCCACCTAGAACTGGACAGGAGTAGCCTACACACTCATTGGAGACCATTTTACAGATTTCAAATTATTATGAAAAGTCCAGGGCTTTTTATACAGATGAGGAAATGGTTCCAGACTGGCTATGGGCCATATTCAAGATCTCTTAATATCCAGTTTGGTTTGTTTTTAACACAACAGTGTTTCCCAAAATATGTTTTATAGAACATGAGTCCTGCAGGATGCTCTGGCAGGGAGGGAGAAAGGGCAAGGAAGACCATGGCTGAATAAGCTTTGGGTATGATGCATATTATGTTATATTTTTGGAAATTCAGATTATACACTAAGTACTCTGAGAAGTCCTTGAAAAACAACTTAATCTTGTTCAAAGGAGCATTTCCCATATTTGTTTTACCATGAAACCTTTGTACAATACAAATTAACGTTCCGCACAATTAGTGTTCTGATGTTACATGCTTTGTAAGGGACTACACTGTATAATTTAGTACGACATGAAGAATTTCCAAACCAGTAAGAAGATGTAAATGGATCATTAGAACATTTTTGGCTTTCAAATAGATTTACATGTAGTCATAAAATCAACATCTCTCCAGTCAAATTCATTCTTATGGTTGTTTTATGTACCATATTTAATCAAGCTTATTTTTGTATTTTTTGCCCAATTAATCATTTTTTCATTATTGAATAGTTTGCTTTAGCTTCTGTCAAAGTAGCAATATTAATAGGATAAAGTAATTCTGGCTCAATTAAATATTGTATAACCATGAAAAAAACGGGGAGAAAATACTTTAATATTTATTCAAACCTATAGAGTGATGAGGACTTTTGAATTTTCAAAACAATGGGAGAATTTAGAAAAAGAAAAGGATTAACTGTGTAAAAATGTTGTATTTTCCCATGTCAAAAAAAGCCAATTTAGGAAATAGTAAAAAGGATTTATAGTTAAATGTGACAGCAAGTGATACCTATGTTAAATAAGGAAATGACTCACATAAATAGAAAAAAGGCATACACACTAATAGCAACTACAAAAGTCTCTAAGAGAACAATGGAAAAAGAACCGACGACATGAACAGAGGAAGTAGAAATAGAATGAATAAAGGTGCCACTTGACTTCCCTACATCCAGCTTCTCTACAGGCCACACTTTCCCCTGTATGCACTGATCCTGCTAAGTCACTTTTCATACACCCCTTTCCACTCTCCATTACAGGCTGAGTAATGGTCCTGAGTGATCTGCAACCTAGGGCTACAGCACCCACAGGAGCCATCATTAGTTATTTTATAATAGTTTTTGTTCTCTGAAAGGGAACTTCTCCTTATGTCTACAAGTCTATCGTTCAACTTAGAACCATTCAATTTGCAACACATATTTAAGAGTATATTATATACCAAAAAAGGGACTTTTTGTAGACATAGTGACCTTGGAGTAAACTTCCTTGTAAGTGTAGCCTTCCAGGTTCCCAGGACTTCAGTGCATGAGCTCATTCAAGAAATAGACCAGGGCCAGCCGCGGTGGCTTACGCCTGTAATCCCAGCACTTTGGGAGACTGAGGTGGGCAGATCACAAGGTCAAGAGTTTGAAACCAGCCTGGCCAATATGGTGAAACCTCATCTCTACTAAATATACAAAAATTACCCGGGCATGATGGCACGCACCTGTAGTCCCTCCTACACAAGAGGCTGAGGCAGAAGAATTGCTTGAACCCAGGAGGTGGAGGTTGCAGTGAGCCACGATCGTGCCACTGCACTCCAGCCTGGGTGATAGAGCGAGACTCCATCTCACAAAAAAAAAAAAAAAAAAAAGAGAGAGAGAGAGACACCACATAAAACTTTTATCTCGAACTGTCACCTCTGCTCTCTGTTGGTAGTACTTGATTAGCTTGCCTTCACATTTCTGGTACTGTCTTATGAAATTTTCACTGTTCATCTTCTGAGAAGACATAAGCCCCTGGTAACATGAGACAGTCTGTCATCCTCTATCTGAGGCACACATGTCAATCAATCTTCTCCTATGTTTCCCAGAGAGGGAATTTAATTACATTTCCTGTCTATCTCTGTTATCAATTGCTGCAAAATAAACCACTTCCACATTTTGTGTCTTAAAACAACAATTTATTATTATCTCTCAAGACTCTGTGGGTTGACTAGGGCTTAGCCGTGTGGTTCTTGTTTGGGTATCTCATGCAACTGCAGCACATCGTGGCTGAGATTGGTGTCATGTGTAGGCTACAGCGGGCTGAATGTGAAAGATGGCTCACTCATGTGTCTGATCCCTCAGTGCTCTTCCATGTCACCTCTCTTCTAGTGGCATAGTCAGGTCTTCTTATGTAGGGTCTAATTTACCCAAAAGGGAGTGTTCCAAGAGCCAGTGTTCTGAGAGATCCAGGCAGCAGCTGCACAGGTTCTTATAATCTAGCCTCGAGAGGACCAAAACATCACATCTGCTGAATTTTATTAGTCAACAAGTCACCAAGTCCAACCCAAAATTAAGGGAAGGGAAATTAGACTCCATCTTTTGATACACATGAACAGGTAGAGGAAGAAATGCTTTTTGGAATTCATTTGTGTTGAAACACTGTTGATTTATTGAGTGCTGGCTATATCATTGCTTAAGATGCTTCATCATCCAGCATGCTGCTCATTAATACCACTCAGTCCCAGAGTAGTGTCACTGGTAAAACACAGACTGTGATAATAATTTGAAAATAACTGAAGTCCATTATTTATATTTTTCAAGTTTCAATGATTTAGGAAACTTCTTAAAACTTATTCTCATATTTGCCCAAATACAATGTTTCACATATTCGCAAAGCTTCCCATTTCCTTCCTTGTCTACCATGCTTTTACCTTTCTGTCCTCCCTTTTCCCTCAGGTCTGTTCAATAAGGCATAAGCAGTGAGTCTTGCAGGTTTTACTGTGCTTTGTTGATGATAGCCACAAATGTAAGTGTTACCCAAAGTATGCAAGAAAGTGTAAATGATAATTCATGTTATGGTCATGTTATATCAATTATTGAGACCTTCATAACATAAAGACAGAATAACACATCTTTCCACTAAATCTTCTCTTAAACTCTTTAGTCCATAACCACTACCTTCCTAGAATGTGAACCTGTACATTGTTGTTGACCACATGACTGCCTTCCACACACTGCCACAAGCAGGGAGGACAGGCAGGGACCCTGCAAGTGGAGTACTCTACGCAGCTCCTTTAATAAAAGGAATGCCTGCCACTCCTCTGGAGTGGCTTAAAATGGACGGGGTAGTGTACTATGTCAGCACATTGATCAGAGGCAAGAAAAGACTTCAATCGGAAGGACCTATTGGCATTACCAAGAAAAGTTCTCAAAAGTTCTTGGAGGTAATATGCTTAGCTACCTGAATGCCTGACACATGGCATTGAGCCTCTGGAGAGGATAGGACGGCCACCTTAGGTGCACAGGGTAAAGGACAACTGCTGTCACCCTCATCACTCTCAGATGCTGTTCAGTGGTGGCATCATGGCAGGAACACCGGGGAATGATTGCTAATGATAGGCCCACACACATAGCTCAAGTCCATGGTTGAATGTGGACTATTACTAGCCAGGAGCCTTGAATTAGTTCAATGAATGAGAGTTACCCAAAACCAGTATGCCAGCACCATTCTGATATCTAATCTCACAGACATCATGATATACATACCATGTCAGACAATGAAATTAATCTGTTTGTCAGGCTACTCTCCTTGAACGAGGGTTCTGAACAACCCCAAATAAGTAAGTTCCAGATCTTCATGAGGCATATGGTCAACCCATGTGCAGGGTAGAGGGCTAGAGAAAAAAACTGAAGGGGAGAAAGAGGAATTGGGGCCAGTGCTGACTGTAGCTGGTTACAGGCATAAGAGAACAACTTAGAATATTTCAAAGAAAGTACCCCAAAATGTAGATGTGTTTCTTTGAAAACCCATTAAAATTGTGCTTAATCACTCCCTCCCATGCTGTGCTGGGATTATGCTTATTATATTATGCTGCTAATATGGATAAAGTCATACTTTCTTGGTGTTTATCATAATAATCTCTTTTAACATGTTGAGAGGCAGTTTAATTCAGGAAAATGTCAACTTTAGCGTTACTTATGATTTTAAAAAAGGAGCCAGGATCAACATATCATGTCTAATGAGAAAACCACGTACTGTTTGCACAGTGGTAGATGGTTGAACAGGAAATAAGGAAAAGTTTGGAAGAACCTCCAAGAAATGGATTCATAATTTCCACTGGACAATTTGGGTCACCTTTATACCAGAACTGTTTTAGCTAAGTATGGGCCATATAAACTGACAGATGTTCTCTATCTAGAAGGCAAGAAGCCAAGATCTAAAGGAGGGAGAATACTGAAATTCCCCAATATCCAGCTCTTCCTCAGACACCCTCAATGCTCTCTAATTCCTCTAGAACAGGGTATCTTGAAGTGTGGTCCCTGGAAATAACCAGAATCATCACTTAGACATTGCTAGAAACTCAAGTTCTCAGTCCTGCCTCCCACTTACTGAATCAGAAACTCTGTGGGTGGGGCACAGCCATCTGGGCACTAAGTCTTCCAGGTGATTACAATGAATGCTAAATTTTGAAAGGAGTGGATTCGTTTGCATTTCTAACAAGTTTCCCAGTGATGTTGCTGCTGATGCCATTTCTTCGGGGAGCATATTTTGAGAATCACTGCTCTAGAATCTAGAATGGGTTTCTCAACTTTGGTATTGGCATTTTGGATCAAATAATTCTTTATTGGAGAGGGCTGTCCTGTACACTGCAGGGTCCTTGATCTCTACCCACTAGAAGCCGGTGTTATCTTCCCAATCATGACAATAAAAATGTTCTCAGACATTGCCAAATGTCCCCTGGCGGTGGGGGAGCAAAATCATTCACAGTTGATAACTACAAATCTAGAACACTGATTTCCAAGTTCAGTCTCATGATCAGCTGAGAAACTTTTAAAAATTACTGATGCCTAGATTCCAAAACTAGAGACATTTTTTTCCTGATTCAATAAACATTTATTATGTACATAGTAGTGTTAACTTTTTATTTTTAAATAATGAATTGACAGGAGAGTTGCAAATAGTAGAGTGTTCCCATATATTCTTTATCAAGTATGCTCTAATGTTTACACCTTATGTAACAACAGCATATTTATCAAAACTGAGATAGTAACATTGGTACAATATCATTAATTAATCATATAGACCTTATTGAAATTTATCCCATTTTTCCACTAATGTCCTTTTCTCTCCCAGGATCCAGTTCAGGATACCACATTGCAATTCCCCTAATTTGTTAGTCTCCTTCACTCTGTGACTTTTTTCTTGTCTTTCATGATCTTGACACGTTTGAAATGCAATTGTCAGATGGGTTTTGGAATATTCTTCAGATTGGGTTGGTCTGATGTTTTCTCTTGCATAGACTCAGGTTGTAGGTTTTGAGAAAGAATATCACAAAGATGACTGGCTTTTGTCATTGTAACCTACCGAAGGACTCATGATATCAACATAGCCTATTAATGGTGATGTAAACCTTGATCACTTGATAAAGATGATGCACCTAGACTTCCCCACTGTAAAATTGCTATTTTTCCCTGTTCATACTCTATTTGTTAAAGTTAATTGCTATGTACAGCTCACGGGCAGAGGGTAAATTCAGTGCCACTTCCTAGAGAGACAGTAAATAATTCATGTTATATGTTAAAATCACCAAAATAACTAATAAACTTGGAGGAGATACTGTTTGTCCCTACAAATTTTCCCACTGATTTTAGCATTCATCAATAGATACTGTCTGTAACGTTTATTATTGTGGGATTCTAAGTGTGATTTTCAGTTTCCTTCTTCTTTCCACATTTATTAATTGGAACTCTTCATAAGGAAGAGTTTTCCCTTCTCTTGCATTTATTTAGTTATTCTACCATTTATTTATATCAGTATGAGTTCATGAATATTCACTTTATTCTTTGGATTAGAATCCAACGCTGTTGTTTATTATGTTTGCTCAAATTGTTCCAGCTTTGGCCATTGAGAGCGCTCTCAAAATGATGCTTGTTTTCCTTTAGCATAATCTGATCTTTTTTCTTTTTCTTTCTCTTTCTTTCTTTTTTTAAAATAATACCCCCATACTTACTGGCACTAAAAGATTCTCTCCTTCTCCTATCTCTAGAATCAGCCATTTCTCCAAGGAGCCTTGGTTGCTTCTATTGGAAAATGGTATTTAGAAACCAAGACCTGGGTGCTGAATGTACTCATAGTTACTAAGGTGTCACTGATGTCTAGGCTGTTTCTATCAACAGAGCTAGGAAATTTATGTATGTGTACAAACCTGTATATATCTATATTTTTGTATCTGTCTACCTGGAGAAGGGGTGTGTGTGTGTGTGAGTGTGTGTGTGTGTGTGAGAGAGAGAGAGAGAGAGAGAGAAAGACAGAGAGAGATTATAGCATAAACACGAGTCCATATTGATATCTCCAACTCAAATTCACAGAGTTCATTGTAGGCTCCCTCTCTCCTCTCCTGACTTTATTTATTTGTAACTTCTTTTTTTTTTTTTGACAATGAGGAACCTGGTTCCTATAAGCTATAATGTATTTATTTATTTGTGTGTTTAACCCCATTATAGTAGTTTTGGAATTGCTAAACTGTATCCTTGTGAAAAATAAATTTACAATTAGGCTACAGTATTCGTTATGCTTTTAATTTTGTCTTTAGCTTTACAATATCGAAACAAAACACTGTTTTCCAAAGTTACTTAGGCCAGCTCTTTTCCCCCTTCCCACCTCTTTGTGAAATTGTGTCATACATTTGTAATAAAGTTAAATTCATTTATTTTGGTCTGTATTTGATCCTAGGATCCTTTGATCCAATGGAGGGCGTTTTATTAATTTCCATATAGTTAAGTTTACTCTCTGTCGTATACTGTGCAATGGGTTTTGACATATGCATAGAATTGTGTACAATATATAACAATTTTATTATCCTAAAATTTTGTTTTCATGACCCTTTTTAAGCCAAATCCCCTCACAACACAGGCCAACTTTTCATCTCTTTCTGTTTCTATAGTTTTACCTTTTACTAAATGCCATGTAAATAGAACTATAAGATATATAGCATTTTGTTTCTGGTTTTTTTCACTTAACAGAATGCATTGAGATTTATCCATAATGTTGTGTGAATCAATAGTTCTTTCTGTTTTATTGCTGAGTAGTATTTTACGTAATGGATGTACCAGAATTTTCATCGATATTTTATCCATTCACCTGTTGAAGAACATCTTAATTGTTTCTAGCCCTTGATTGTAATAAAGCAAGCTTCTGTGAATATTTGTGTACAGGTTATTACATAAACATATTTCAATTTTCAAGTCACTTGGTTAAATAATGAGGAATGAGATCACTGACTCATACGATAAGTGTATGTTTAATTATATAAACTGTTTTCTAAAGTGGCTGTACCATTTTTCATTTCCCCCATTAGTGAATTAGAATTCCTGTTTCTCTGCTGTGTCTTCTTACCGGTGTTTGATATTGTCAGATATTTCCTCCCAGCCATTCTTATAGGTGTATATTAGTCATGGTATATCATTGTAGTTTTGATTTGCAGTCTCTACTGACTAATTTGTTTATCTGACACTTCATACCTTCTTCAGAAAAGTATATGTTTATACATTTTGCCTCTTTTTTGTTGGGCTGACTGTCTTCTTAGTGTTGGGTTTTAAGAGTTCTCTACATAGTCTAAACACATTTCCTTTATCAGTTATGTGATTTGTACATATTTTCTCCATCTGCTGCTTGCATTTTCATTCCCTTAACAGTGTCTTTCATAAAACAAATGTTTTTAATTTTTATGAAGTCCAATTTATCCTCTTTTTTTCCATTGATTACTTACACATTTGGTATTGCATCTAAAAACTTATCACCAAACCAGAAGTTACACCGATTTTCTCCTGTGTTTTCAACTTTTGTGTTATATTCAAGGCTAGTTCTGTTGATTGCCTTGCCTCTTGAAAATACGTTCATTTTTTTTCTTATTTCTTTATTGTCTTATAATTTTTGGTTGAAAATCAAACATCTTTTAGTGCAGCAACAAGTGAAGTAAATAATTTTATGCTTTGAAATAGGTCAACTCCTTTTTTTTTATTTTTTCTAGAAATTGGTAAAAGAATGTTGAATCAAGTAGCCAAAACCAGAGCTGGATTTGGGTTTTGATGCTGCTGTGTTTACATTCAGTCCACCACAAGCTTAAAATTCCTCCAGCAATATTTTCTGTTTAGGGATTTTTTTTCAAGTGATGGTTTCATCTTTAGCTTTAGGTCAGTCCTTTTGTCTCTCCTGACTCTAAATGCATTAGGTCCTTCTCACGCTCTTGACCTCCCCTAAACCAGCCTGGTGCCTGTGTGCTGGAGGGGAGGGGTTGTAGGTGTAGTGTTCACTATGGTCCAGCTTCATTCGTATGGCAAACATTCTAATTCTGGATTTCAGAGGTGAGACCCTCTCTGTATCTTTATTTGCCAATTGGTGAAGGATAGGTAGGGATCCTACTCCTCTTCCAATGGAACGGCATCTTTAATGTTCTAGTCACAGGACACATCTAGAGATTTGTTTCTGTTCTCTTCTCCCAGCTGCACTGGGTCTTGACCCGTTTCCTGAGGGCAACAAACTTTGAACACATTCCCCCAGAACCTTAAGGATTTGTTCCACAGGGGAGACAAAGGACAATAATCCAGGTAGAGCTCTGTGCCTTTTGCTCAACAGCTGCTATTGCTTATTCCAAGTCTTTGCCACAAGGGTTGTTTTATCCATACTCACACCACATCCCTAGACTTTTTTGGAAGGAGCTGATGGAAATCTGTGAAGAAGAGCCTGTGAGTGGATATAAATGCCCTTTGTTTTAGTAGCTCCCATGGGCATTATAATCCTATGCTCGCCCACAGTCAGCAATTTGTTAACATTTTTAGGTAAAATTTTTAGCTAACGTCTTCTTACTTGTTTGCATGGCATCTGGCAGCTGCCATAAGCACTTTCACCCATCTTTCTTTGCAGAAACCTTTTTATCCGAGATTTTGAAGTGGGTGGTTGTATTACGATATGATCTTTTTGGTAGATTCAAGAAAGTTGTGGTTTTACAAGTCATTTAGCTTTTTTAGTTGTCAAAGTAAGATCTATGCTCTTTCTAACTTTCTACATTCTAAGTGGAAACTGGTATTTTCCATTTTATTTTGAGAAAAAGAGAGAGTCATTAAAGACTTTTTAAGCTAGTCTGTGAAAAGTTCACATCTACATTTTTAGAAGAAAAAATAATATTCTGGTTGTACCATGCAGAGTAGATTGGGAGACTAAAGGTTTCCAGAGAAATTAGGAGGCTGTTACAATAACCTGGGGAAAAGATGAGCAAATCCTAAACACAGCATGGCCTGGGACAGAAAGTTAAAGATAAATTTGAGAAATTTAGGATTCAACAGGACTTCCTGACAGATTATGAACATGGGTTCCTGTAGGCATATTCCTGCACTTAAAAGTGCTGAAATGTGGTCTACAAGAGAGGAAAGATTGTGCCCATATTTCTACCTAGACAATGAGGAGGATGGTGGTAAAGGAGTCAAGACAATATTAAGATTTTAAGTGAAGCAGAGTTGTGAAGAGAATATGCAGGTAGGTGTTATCTTGTGAAAACAGGTGGCTAGTTCACTGAAAGGGCTGGGAACAGGCAGGACAGAGGACCACAAAATTAATTTTGGGCAAATCAGTAAATGGATACATAAATAAATACATAAAGAAATTGAAGCATCAATATGGAGCTATACCTACTTAATAATCACAATGATTTCTTTATTTTTTTATTCCAGCAAGGGCAATAGGTTTGGTCATATTTAAGAGTCCAGTGGGAATAATTTGTACAAATTGAAATGCCTCATAAAATGTGAGCTGAGCTACCGCAGCCTTTTCCTGGCTGAGATACTGAGGCATTGTCTCATGGCTCCCCCATCACTAGAATTCCCAAACACTGTGTGCTAATTGCATTGGCTGAATAGTATAACATTTAATTTGTTATAACCTGCCAGAGGCCACTTAATAAACCTAATATGTCAGCTTCAGGTTTGGGAACAATTAAGAGAAATTTATAGCGTGAAGGCATTTAAGGTCCTGGTAGTAAAGAAGAGAAATGTTTAATGCCAATTTCCTAATTCGTCTTTCAGAAGCCAAAAAGGGATTGTTAGATTTTAAACATGTTAATATAACAGTGTTTGTTATATGGAAAAAAATAAGGCAAAATGTTTATATCATGATGTCATAGACTTACCCTTCCTTTCTCTGTCTTGCAAGGATTTATGGAGCTCCATGTTATCAGACCTCCGTCTTTGGTGTTTTGAAAGCAAAGATGAGAATCTCTCTCTTGAAAGAGTCACGGCCTACTGGGAGGATGCTCACAACAAACATTTGCTAATGTAACATTATGGGTGTTAATCTCAGCGGAACAGAAAAGAGAAGGAAGGAGCTATACTACTTGAATTAGAATTGTAGAACTTACCCATTCAGATGAGCATTGTTCTTCAAAATAATCACTTTGAAAAAATTATGTACTTCCCACTCATGTTCTAATTACTTAAAATAGTTTAGAGACTTTGCTCTTGGCGTTATCTTCAGAAAATATTTGTAAGTTATAAAAAATTATTTGATGATTTTCTTCTATTTTTATCAAATTATAATAACTAGCTCAGTTTTTTTTTAGTAAGTGGCTAAATAGATGCCCCATGAAACATACTTCTGTAGTCAAATAAGTTTAAGAAAATCTACTCATGCTCTTCCCTCATTTGATATACATTAACAGATCCAATCTCTAAGAAGCGCTACAGCAAACTTAAAACTGAACTTTGTAGACCAGTGCTTCTGCAACTTACTCTATTTCATAAACTTTAAGATGTCATCTATTATAAGATGCACCATACATTTATGTACCCCCCCTCCTTTTTTCTGAGACAGGGTCTCACTCTGTCACCTAGGCTGGAGTGCAGTGGCGCCATCTTGGCTTACTGCAGCCTTAATCTCCCAGACTCAATTGATCCTCTCACTTCAGCCTCCTGAGTAGCTGGGACTACAGGTGTGTGACATCATGCCTGGCTAGTGTTTGCTATTCTTTTTTTTAGAAATGGAGTTTCGCTGTGTTGCCCAGACTGGTCTCAAACTCCTGGCCTCAAGTGATCCACCCGCCTTGGCCTCCCAAAGTGCTGGGATTACAGGCGTGAGCCTTCACGCCCAGCTTCTGTATCTTAAAAAACAAAACAAAACAAAAATGCCAATTAAGACTCAATGCTTTCTTAAGGTTTAAAGTTTTTTTTTTAATTTTTAGACTTATTGAAATAATTCTTTGCATATCACTTAGACAAATATTTTATTATATAGTATTCTTGAGGATATATCTACACATATATGTGTAAATATATACATATGTCATTTAAGATATTTCTAAAACTTTGTAAACAGACAATATCCACTCTTCTGAATGACTTTTTGCCCCAGAGCTGCTGATATCCATGCTTTTTCACCAACATCCCTATCTGTACCATGGAGAATATTGGTGACGCAGCTTTTTAAAATGTCTTTCACTATTGTCTCCATGATTTTTATCCAAGCCACTGACACCTATTCGGCAAGCATTGATTTATTTGTGTAGGGAAAACAAGTGCATCAAAACCACCACCTATTCATAGTAGCCAAGATTTGAAAGCAACCGAAGTGTTCATCAACAGATGAATAGTTAAAGAAAACCTGGTACATATACACAATGGAGTACTAGTCAGCCATAAAAAATGAGGTCCTGTCATTTGCAATAACATGGATGGAACTGGAGGTCACTAAGTTAAGCAAAATAAGTCAGTCACAGAAAGATAAACATATGTTCTAACTTACTTGTGGACTCTATAAATCAAAACAATTGAACTTAAGGACATAGAGAGTAGAAGGTTGGTTACCAGAGACTGGAAAGGGTAGTGTGGGGTTGGGGTGGGAATGGTTAATGGGTAAAAAAAAATAAGACCTACTATTTGAATAGCACAACAGGGTCACTATAGTCAATAATAATGTAATCACACATTTTAAAATAACTAAAAGAATATCACTGGACTGTTTGTAACACAAAGGATAAATGCTTGAGGGTATGGATGCTCCATTTTCCATGATGTAGTTACTATGCATTGCATGCCTGTAACAAAACATCTCATGTACCCTGTAAATATATATACCTGCAATGTACCCACAAAAATTAAAAATTTAAAAATTTAAAAACAGAGAAAAAATCACCTGATAGTGACAGTAAGGTGCATTTTAATTGTAGACATGTTAAAATTTGAAGTAAAAACAATTTGTTACAGGACCAGTGAAAAGGATTACATCCTCACAAGATCCTTGTTCATAAATCCAATGGAGCGGGGTTTTATTGGGAGCCTTTGAGAAAGCTGATCTATCCTGCTTGATCAAAGTTGGACTAAAGCTAATGATAGCCAATCTCCTATAAAATAATGATTTAATCACTGCATATCATAGCAACATTAAACTCAGGGAGCTCAAAACGAAGTTCCTGGAAGACAGTATACTGCAGTGGTTGTGAGTACAAAATCTGCAGCTAGTTGGTCTCAATTTGTATTCTTGCTTGCCCGCTTATTAGCTGTAAGAACATGGGCACATTACTTAACCTCTCCATGTGTCAGTTTCTCATCTCTAAAGTGGGGAGACTAAGGACACCTACCACATAGTGTTATTCTGAGGCTTTACATTAAACAGAAAAAAAAAGGCTACTAAAGCTCTTCGCATGGTCACTGCCTGTAGTCAACACGCTTTAGCTATTGTTATTATTTTCTCAGGCATTCATGACAAGCAACCACCTTTCTCAATTTAGCTCTGAAAGAAGCTTGGTTATTTCTGAAAATTACAATGACTCCTAGAGGGTTAATAATTTATCACGTGAAAAGGTTCTCAGCAATATGCTACAGGGTCTGATAATAATTAATGAAGTGCGGCCGTTTAAAAAATACTTTTGGCAATGACGGCATTATCAAAATAAGCACATGGCCTCCCACATGCCTATTATGAAAGTGACTAGATTCATTTGCAAATAGCAGTGTGATTACTACCATATCTCTTTGCACTGTAGGTAAATTGTATAGAAACTTGTTTTCTGTCTTCTGCATTCCATCTTTCTCGCCTCCCAGGTCCAATCCATTTGAAAGTCTTATGAAAGACAGTATGAAATACAATGGAAAACATGTTTTTTTTTCACTTCCTAAATGTGTAATTTGGGCAATCTAATTAATCTTTCTGGGCCCTGATTTTATCTATGAAATATGGATACTACAAATACCCACATCACAGAGTTGTTATTACTACTGGCATTGGTATTACTATCATGGTATTATTTTCTATTGCAGCTGTAACAAATTATCACAAACTTTGCAGCTTAAAAAAACACAAATGTACTATACTACTGTTCTGGAGGTCTAAAGTACAAACTGAATCTCACTAGGCCAAAATCAAGGTGTCAGCAACACTGGGTTCCTTCTGACAGTTCTAGGGCAGAATCTGTTTCCTCGCCTTTTCCAGTTTCTAAAGGCTGCCTACATTCCTTAGTTTGTTGCTACTTCCTCCATCTTCAAAGCCAGCAATGCATCACCATACCCCTCTGACACTTCTTCTCTTGCCTCCCTCTTTTCCTCATAAGGACCCCTGCAATTACATTGGACCCACTGGAATAATTTCCTCATTGCGAGGTCAGTTGATTATCAAACTCAATGCTTCCTTTTTATATAACAACATATTCACAAGTTCCAGAGATTAAGACGTGGACATCTTTAGAGGGCCATTATTCCGCCTATCATCCTCATTCTAACATTAGGTGTTGCTGCATAACACATTACCCCAAAAGGTAGTAGCTTAAGGTAACATTTATCATCTCACAGTTTCTCTGGGTCAGAAATTTGGTTGCAACTTAACTGGGTCCTCTGATTCAGAGCCTTTCATAGGTAGCAACCAAGGTGTCCATTGGCTCTTCAGTCATCTCAAAGCTTGACTGTGGGGGAATGGAGAGAGATCTACTCCCAAGCTCACTCATGTGATTGTAGGCAGAATTCAGTTTTTCCTGGGCCTTTAGCCAGAGATCTCCCCACTAGGTTCCTTGCCATGTGGGGCCTCTCCCACAGAAGATCTCACAACATGGCAGCTGGCCTCATCAGAATGAGCAAGCAAGACAAGAGAGAGTGAGAGACTACTAAGAGAACGTACAAAGTCACAGTATTTTGCAATAAAACCTTGGAAATGACACTCCATTACCTTTGCCCTATTTTATTCACTAGAAGCAAGTTCACTAGGTCCAGCCTGTACTCAAAGGGAAGGGGCTGCACAACTGCATAAACACCAGCAGGCAAAAATTGTTGGAAGCCATCTTAGAAGCCAGCCCACTACACTTGCTATGATTATTGTTCCAGTGATATCTATCCTCTTCAATTCCTAACATTTTAGCCCAACCCTTTACCAACTTAATATATCAGAGTATTAGGGATGGAGCCTCTGTGATTTTATTGTGCATCGCCTAGAGCCACAGCTCTTTACTGTGCCACTACAATAGTAATTTATTTGTGATGCACCATGATTGAGTCATTCTTTATTCAAAATCCCTTCACAACATTTTGTGTCATTTGTATTAGAAAGTACAAGCTCCATATTCACTTAGAAGTGCCTCTCTAATGAATACCTGCCTCTCCAACTTTGCTTCCAGCTGTCTCCACCTCCCTCACAGTATGGGCTCTTCTAATGCTTCACGGTTCACATCCTTCCTAAGCACTGGGCTGCTTTTCACTTCTGTGCCTTCGCCAATGCTGTGTTCACCCATCTACTCCAAGCAACCCCTACAACATACCTACTTTTTAAAAAGTTGTATTTCTTGGACAAATCCAAAGTAATGTTTATACAATGTTTATAAATATGTTTATAAAAGCAGTGTAAAGTATAATGAATCACAATAAAACAAACAGCTATGAACCCACAAATTAGCTTAAGGAAAGAATATTGTCTTTAACTTTGAAGTTTCCTGTGTGTCCCTCCTTATGTTCCATCCCTTTCTCTCCTTCACAAAAGTAATCACAATCCTAAATTTTATATTTACAATTCTCTTGCATTTATTTAAAATTGTAACATGTATGTTTGCATACCTAAATAAAAATATTGTTTAGTTGTGTATGTTGCATGGAACTGTACAATTATTAGAGCCATATTGTTCCCTGTAGCTGAAATGCAGCCATTTTTACCTTTTTATAGCAATCGGTTTTATGAACACGTCTTAATTTGTTTATCCACTCTCTGATTAGATGTGATCTACTCTCAGTGCTTCTACTATTAATGACATTGTTACTATAAAATTATTATCTATGCCCATTGGTACACATGTGAAAATGTTTTTCTGGAGTATACACTTAGGAATGGATTTGTTGGCTTATTAGTATGTGATGTTCAAATTTACTAGATACCAAAGGTTTTCCCAACATGTTTGAAGCAATATACACACCTGCTAGCAGTATATGAAAGTTCTTGCTGTTCCATATTCTTGCCATTACATCATATTGTTAGACTCTAAAAACTTTTTGCCAATATGGTAGATGCTAGTAGTTGCTCGTTGTGGCTTCAATTTGCATTGACCTAATCACTAATAAGTGGAAGAACTTTCCCCATGCTTGTTGACCATTCAGGTTGCTTCTTCTGCAAAGTGCAATCTGACTTGTTGTCTCATTTTCTTATAAGGTAGTCTTTTTAATTTGTAGGAGTTCTTTGTATATTTTGCACCCTAATTATTACATTTTGTAGTTTTTCTTTTATCCTGTTTATGGTGTGTTTTGATAAATAGATGCTCTTATGTAAAGGCAGTCAATTTGACTTACACTTTAAATTTTCACTTGCTTTTATATGTCTTCTTTAAGAAGTTGTCCTATTCAAGGTCAGAAAGCTCCTATATTGTCTTCTGAAAGCTTTAAAGTTTTGACTTCCACATTCAAATTTTTAATCAATTGAGATTATATCTTATGTATGCTGTGAAGTAAAAATTAAATTTCATCGTTTCCTTCATGGTTAATCAGTTGTTAGAGCATTATTAATGTATTAATTACATAGTCCATCATTTCTATTTATAGCCACTGGTTCATAAATAAAGTTAACAATTATTTTTCTTTTTCTGGGCTCTTGATTCTCTTCCATGTGTCAAATTTTCTATCACAGAACTGCATAATTTATTGCAATCATTATATTTTTATAATTATTTTTGTCTGGCAAGGCAAGTTCTTACTTTTTAAAAAAATTATTCTAATTATTCTTTAAGTTTTGCTTTTCCAAATTTTAGAATTAACTAATCATAGTTGGGATTTGAATTGTGGTGTATTCTGAATATTAACTCATGTTTGGAATATCAAGGGTAGGTGATACTGAGAAAAATTACTGAAAACATTCACACAGACATATACACACAGTGCAAAATTTACATTTATTTCCTTCAACACGCTAAGCAGGGAACTAATTAGTGGAGATGGGGCAAAGTTTTAAGCACTACCTTAATAAGATTGGCCATCTTTCTGCCCCAGCTACTGCTGACTTCCAATAAAGTTACATAGCGGCTTCTAGAAATATTTTTTTCTCTCAGTCTGCACAAGGACTGAAGTCATCTGATAATCTATGTGTGGTTCTAAAAAAAAAGAAAAACTCAGTTCAGCATTTTACAGAGAAACACAGACAGATGTGTATTGTATGCTTAATGGCACTCAGCAGACTGTACTTTAGTGACAAAATTTTTACTATGGGACTTGTTTACACTTGCCAGAAGTTAAGTGTGTATGCTCTTTTCTCTCAAATATAAAAAACTTATTTATGGTACTTTATTTTTAGGTATAAACTTTTTTAAAATAAATTCTTCTCAAAAATATATTCAAAAAATAGATTCACATAATCAAGTTTATAACATTTCTTAAGAAAAACATGCTTATAATTTGTCATAGTGAAGAGAAAATACTTCATTAAAATTTAGGTTTCTGGGGAAAAGGTGTAAGACACCTTTATAAATATTTATAAAAATTATGTATATAACTGATTAGAATTGTTCTGAATTAATAGAAGAATAGAAGAATTTGGAAAGAATTGTCAACTTTAAGAGATTGAGTCTTTCAATCCACGAATATAATATGTCATTGTATCTATTCAGGTACTCTTCAATGTTCTTAATAAAGTTTCATAATTTTTTCCTTAAAGATGTTTTGCATCCTTTGTTAAATTTAATCCCCAAATATACTTTGTATATATATCGACACTGTTGTAAATAATACTTTTTTAATTTTCTAACTGGTACTGCTATATAAAATTTTAATTAATTTTATATTGATTTTGTACCTAGAAAACTTGCTAAATTCTCTTATAATTGTAGTAATTTTTAATATATTCTTTTGCATTTTCTACAAAGCCAGTCTTATCATAGAATAGTAATAGGTCATATGTATTGCATATTTATTCCTTCTCTCTTTTTTTCTGTGATCAATCTCGTCAGAAGTTTGTGTATTTTATTAGTTGTATTAGTTTCCTATGTCTGCTGTAAAAAAATACCACAAACCTGGTAGCTTAAAACAACACACATTTATTCTTGTACTGTTCTGGAAGTCAGTAGTGTGCAATGAATCTCACAGGGTCATGATCCAATTGTTAGCAAGGCTGCATTGCTTCTGGAGGCTCTGGGGGGGATCTATTTCTTGCCTCTTCAGATCCTTGCCAATATATTCCTTGTCCCCAAGATCTGCCATTGGCAAGTTAGAAACCCAAAAGAGCTGATGGTGTAGCTCCAGCTCAAGTTCAAATGCCTAAGAACCAAAGTAGTTGGTGGTGTAACTTATAATATAATCCTGGCAGGATCGAGACCCAAGAATAATCAATGTTTTGGTTTGAAACAAGCAGGAAAAGACCAATGTCCCTGCTCACTTAGGTAGAGGACGTTCCCTCTAACTCAGCGTTTTTGTTCTATTTAGGTCTTCAACTGATTGGATGAAGCTCACCTACATTGAGAGGCGTAATCGTCTTTACTCAACCTACCAATTCATATGTTAATCTCATCCAGAAACACTCTGACAGACACATCAAGAATAATATTTGTGCAAATGTCTGGGTACTCCATGGTGCAGTCAAGTTGACACATAGAATTAACCATCACACTTGGCTTGTGGCTACATAATGCCAATCTCTGCTGCTCTTGTCACATTGCCTTCTTTCTGTGACATTCTTACCTCCTCATAGTATCCTGTGATTACATTTTAGACACAACCAAATAATTCAGGATAATCTCCCATTATCAAAATTCTTAACTTGTATCTGCAAAGTCTCTTTTGCCACAGAAGGTAAAATTCACAGATCTCAGGGATTAGGGCATGGATACATTTGGGGAAGGGGTTGTTCAACCTACCCCATTTCAGAACCACCTTTTGAGTCTGATGATACTTTCTCTTTTTTTATTATTATTATGCTTTAAATTCTAGGGTACACATACACAACGTGCAGGTTTGTTACATAGGTATACATCTGCCATGTTGGTTAGATGCACCCATAAACTCGTCATTTACATTAGGTATTTCTCCTAATACTATCCCTCCCCCAGACCCCCACCCCCTAACAGGCCCTGTTGTGCGATGTTCCCCTCCTTGTGTCCATATGTTCTCATTGTTCAACTCCCACTTATGAGTGAGACCATGCAGTGTTTGGTTTTCTGTCCTGGTGATATTTTGCTGAGAATGATGGTTTCTAGCTTCATCCATGTCCCCTCAAAGGACATGAACTCATCCTTTTTTATGGCTGCATAGTATTCCATGGTGTATATTTGCCACATTTTCTTTATTCAGTCTATTATTGATGGACTTTTTGGTTGGTTCCAAGTCTTTGCTATTGTGAATAGTGCTGCAAGAAACATACATGTGCGTGTGTCTTTATAGTAGCATGATTTATAGTCCTTTGGGTGTATACCCAGTAATGGGATTGCTGGGTCAAATGGTATTCCTAGTTCTAGATCCTTGAGGAATCGCCACACTGTCTTCCACAATGGTTGAACTAATTTACACTCCCACCAACAGTGTAAAAGCGTTCCTATTTCTCCACATCCTCTCCAGCATCTGTTGTTTCCTGACTTTTTAATGATCGCCATTCTAACTGGTGTGAGATGGTATCTCATTGTGGTTTTGATTTGCATTTCTCTGATGACCAGTGATGATGAGCATTTTTTCATATGTCTGTTGGCTGCATAAATGTCTTCTTTTGAGAAGTGTCTGTTCATATCCTTTGCCCACTTTTTGATGGGGTTGTTTGTTTTTTCTTGTAAATTTGTTTAAGTTCTTTGTAGATTCTGGATGTTAGCCCTTTGTCAGATGGATAGATTGCAAAAATTTTCTCCCATTCTGTAGGTTGTCTGTTCACTCTGATGATAGTTTCTTTGCTGTGCAGAAGCTCTTTAGTTTAATTAGATCCCATTTGTCTATTTTGGCTTTTGTTGCCATTGCTTTTGGTGTTTTAGTCATGAAGTCTTTGCCCATGCCTGTGTCCCGAATGGTATTGCCTAGGTTTTCTTCTAGGGTTATTATGGTTTTAGGTCTTACATTTAAGTCTTTAATCCATCTTGAGCGAATTTTTGTATAAGGTGTAAGGAAGGGATCTAGTTTTGAGTCTGCTGACACTTTCTACCTTTGTTTTCATTATTGCTTCCCTTTGGGTGTTATTGATTCCCTGTTTGCTTTAGTTGGAATGTGAAGTTTATCAGCATTTTTTCCATTTCTGATATTAGAATTGAGAGTTATACATTTTTCTCCAAATACTTCTTTGGGTGCATTCCACAAGTTTTAGTATATAAAATTTGTACTATTATCTAACTCTATTTTAAATTTGCCTTTGTGATTTCTTCTTTGACCTATGAGTAATTAATAAGTGTTTTTAAATTTCCAAACATATGAGAATTTTCAAGTTTCCTTTTCGTATTGAGCCTACCCTAAATGCATTATGTGATCTATAGGATATTAATTATTTTACATTGATTGAGAACTGGTTTATGGCACTATGTGACAAATTTTTATGTAAGATCAATGAGTACAATGTTCTGTACATACAAGCTCTACTCTAATCCTACTGATGCAGGATTTCTTTTCTCCATCACTTTGCAGGCCAGAGACCCTTGGCTGGTGACAACCCACCTGGGCCTCGCTCAGCCACACTGGTATGCCCCAGTGTTATAGCCTGTACCCACAATCAGCAGTTCCCAAGCTCTTGTACTGCACCCAAGAAGAATGAGGATATGGTGAACATTGAAGTGTGAGGAGGGTGGCCTGAATTTTATTGAGCGACGGAACAGCTCTCAGCAGAGGGGATGCAGTGGGGCGATTCCGCTACCGGAAGGTGGGCAAGTCTCCCATGTGGCTGGGTCCAGGGTGTTTTGTGGACTCAGAATGGGGAGTGCATGCTGACTGGCTTATAAGTATGCAAAGTGAAGACATCACCCAAAGGTGAGTATGGCAGTGTAGAAAACCAATTAGGAAAGGGTATATACATGTAAAATAGGTGAAGGGTGGAGATCAATCAGAGGAAAGTGCACCAAACAGGAAGACAAGTACTCAATCCAGTCCAAGGATTTAACCTGTAGCTTAGCTTTTAGGCTTTAAATTGTCTTTGGCTTGGAGGTAGGGTTTCACCGGCGACCAGTCTCTGCCAAGGCATTTGGCTGCTTCCTGTTGCTCTCACTACTCCCACTTCTAATCCTACTTATCATTATTCAGTTGGTTTAGATTTTTCTCTCCCAAGAAGCCTCCCCTGACTCCTGGGCTAAGTGTTCCCTTGTGTTCTTCCATTGTGCTCCAGGTATAACGAAGCAAAACATTTTTCAATACTGTAGCGCTGTCTCCTTCATTTAATCTCCTACAAGTTCATAAGATGCTCAAGGATAAGAAGTAGATTTTATTCGTGTTTGTCTTTTCTGTTCCCAGCACTTTATTTGCTATATAGGTACTTGGTAAATAGTTATCAACCTAAACAACCAAATGAAGCAAATTTTTTAAAAAGCTTCCCTGTCCCGCTCTCCTCTTTCATGTAAGCAATACTTATTGCACTCTAGGAATAATGCCAATCTGCCACAATAAAATTAGTGGAAAGCAGTGCAAATTTTCTTCTGTATTAAAAAAATACCAAGGGGGAAATCAGTATTTTATCTAAAAGTGTTACTTACCAAGGCAAAAGTGCTTATTTATCAAAGTCATATGCAGGTCAATGAAATGAGAACATGCAGCCACTGAATTTAATTTTTGACTCTTGATAAGTGCATATGCCTTAATTCTGCTGAAATTACAATGCTGCATGAACATATAGGTAAACTACAACGGAGATTACCTGTATGGAATCTAGGATATTATTAAGAAATAATAATGTTCATGTATTTGAAACAAAGAAAATTCTAACTTGAACTCGTTGTAGACTCACAGTCAGAAAAAAAAAAAAATTATAAACCTTCTAGCCTAGCCCAATTCTTACATACCTTTACTAAGATCCAAGGTAAAAAATGAAGTTTTGGCTTGAACATCTCCACCGATAGAATACTCACTACCTCTAACATTTTTAAGCTCAAAATTATTGCCTGTGAGCGATATGCTACTCTGATAGTGAATTAAATAATTCAATTAAATAAAGGAAATAAAGTAACTCATTTTCCTAAAATTCAGTAAAATTCCTCTTTTCCCTATACAAATAAATCTCTCCCTGCATCGTCTGTTTTTCCTCAGTTTTGAGTGTAGAAGTCATCATAGCGTTGTTTATCTGATATAAAAAGTAATCCCCACACCAACTAAACTTTCTATGAAAAATGTTAAACTTGGACTATTCAACAGAAGAAAAATCAATTTATTTTACAAAACCTGCAACATTAAAGAATCTCCTAATTTGGAGCATAGCAAGTATTAAATAATGCCATCTATTAAACTTAATTTGAATACAGTTAATCATTTTAAATTCCCAAATTTATGGAGAAAATTTTGAAATGTGCTCTCAGTTTAGGACTAGAGAATTCTAAAGTACAGGAAAATTTTTGTAATTCAAGGAAGGTTAAGTAATGTCGGAATGCCTTCAAATACAGGAGGTCCTAGAAGTGAAAATGTTCCCGAAGTGAGGTAAAGACAAGGATGGGGACGCTAGCAGATATTATAATTGGAAACACCTAGTACTGAGGCCACAAGGGCCATAAATATCTATCCTTTTTCACTGAAAGTTTTTCCCTCAGTTAATGATGGTTTCATTGCAAAAATGCAAAGTCCATGTTTTCACCTGTCCCTGTAGCCGTAGTCTTTTCTATGTAACTATGCAGTGCCCTGTCACTCTGACTCTGGGCTAGGCCACATGACTTGCCTTAGACAAAGGAATATTAATAAGTTAATATACACAGAAGTTTGAATAGTGCTTGGGTGTAGAGATTCATCTAGCTCTTCCACCTCTGTCTCTTCCATGAGATCATGCCCGGGCTATCTGGCTGGGGGGATGCAAGACATATGGAGCAAAGTCAAGTCTCTCCAGCCAGCAGCCAGACAACTGCAGATGCCAAAGTCACCATCTAACAGACATGCAAGTGCTTCCAGTTGAGACCACAAAAGCTGTTTGGGCTGAATTACTGACTCATAAATTTATGAACTGGTATTTATATGAAATAAATACTTATTTTTTAAGTCAAAGTGTTTTGGATTTAATTCTATTTATTTATTATTTTTTTTTAGATAGAGTCTTGCTCTGTCACCCAGGCTGGAGGGCAGTGGTTCAATCTCAGTTCACTGCAACCTCTGCATCCCGGGTTCAAGCAATTCTCCTGTCTCAGCCTACCAAGTAGTTAGGATTACAGGCATGTGCCACCACACCTGGCTAATTTTTGTATTTTTATGAGAGACGGGGTTTCACCATATTGTTCAGACTGGTCTCAAACTCCTGACCTCAGGTAATCCACCCACCTTGGCCTCCCAAAGTGTTAGGATTGCAGGGGTGAGCCACCACTGCTGGCCCCATCTCTTTGGATTTGATTCAATAGACACTTATTTCCTTTAGTTCTCTCCCTTGTCACTACAAAACACCCCATGATTTGACAGCCTTGGAAGTCAACTTTTAGGGTTACCAAAACAGCGTTCACAAGGAACAAGGAATTTCCCTCAAAGCAAGCATCAGGAATAGTGTGGTAAAATGGAGAGTAATAGGATCCAAAATAGTAATGGCAAAGGCTCTTCACCCATCAACACTATTTCTGCTGTTCTCACTTCTTCAGCACACATGGAAGTAGGACCTATGATTCAACCACATCTCCCAAGTTCATACTGCCCACCACAATTACTGATATTCTCAGTAAAAGAGGAGGGGGAAGCCAAGTACAGAACAAATATTAAAAACAAAAAAACAGCATGTGGAACAATTTATTCTGGCTGAAGCAAAATAAATGGACATGAGAAAAATAGCACTTTCAATCTTCACAATAAAATGTTCAAAGAAAGAAGTAAGGATATTGGAAATGTCAAGGAGAAAAAAGCAATTATAGAAATAAGCAAATTTAGAAATAATTGAAAATAAGCAGTATAAAAACAGAATTATTAAAATGAAGAGTTGACCAGAGAGGTTAAATAATATAATATATTCCATCAAAAAATGAAATACTGGCCTGAAATATCAAGTCTAGGACTTTCAGAAAAGGCAGAAATATAGCATTAATAGTGGAAAAAACTTAAGCAATATAAAGGATAGAAGAAAAATTTTTCATATCCATATAGTAAGCATTATAAAATCAGAGAAAAGAATAAAGGGGAGAAAATATATAAATAAAAATTAGCAATATTTCAAAATTAAAGAAATATATAAGAATCTGATTAAATGGGCTCATAGAGATTCGAAAAGTAAAAATTATAACTAATTATGAAATTTAAGATTATCTAACTCAAAGAGAAAATTTTCCATGAGTAAAAACAGATCACCCAAAAGAAAATGACAAGAATCATGTAGGCCTGAGATGAAAATTAATAGAGTAATAATAATGAAGTGGTAAAGGAAAGAATTTGCAGATGTGGCATATTATAACCAGCTAAATTATCACTTAAATATGATGCTGAAGTGCAAATATTCTCAAGAATTAATCTCTCAGAAATTTTAGCACAGCTAGACCCTCTCTGAAAAAAAGTCTTAGAGTAAGTAATCCAGAAAAAAGACAATGAAAGCAGGAAGATAGGGGAATTAAATCACTTAATGACTGATCCCCCCAACTATTAAAGTGTATCCATAGTACATTTCTAAGTAATAACTATATGGTGATGTAGAAGGACCAAGAAGAAAGACTAAAAGAAGTGAGAGAGAGCTTTACAGGTATTGATAAACTTAAGAGGCTGATTGGGAAAAATAAATAAATAAATATAAGTCCCAATAAGTTAGGAGTAGCTTAATGAAATTGAAAGAGAATAGAATACCTTCCAACTACCAGAATGATATTTAGTCTATGGAACTTAGTGAAAGAGACAGATAAAAACCAAAAATAAGGTAATGCAAATAGAAAACATGAAATGAGATTTCAGAAATAAGTGAAATTTGTAATAAATTTAACTGGGTAAATATGCCAATCAAAAGACAAAGATTTCAGCTGGATAATCTGACAGGGGCAATGTGAAGTATTTACCATACCCTATTTCTTCTTCTTGGGTACACAGGAAGAAAAGGTATATTCCAGTCTTCCTTACAGCTAAAGTGGGACATGTGCCTGATTTCTGAACTGTGGTAATTGGCCAGAAGTGATGTAAGCCATTTTCAACCCTGGTCCTTAAAAACGTGATGCTCTAATTGCCCCTTCCCCTACTGGATTGACTTAAAAACTTAGGTGTTACAGATCTTGTAGCATGTTCCTGAATCATGGAGTAGAACCATTTGGAGTAGGACCATGACAAACAGTTTTGTTTCTCCCATCAAACTAGATGTAAGTGAGAAATAATAAATCGTTGTAATTTTTTTGTTTTCTTTTTATTTGTTACTACCTACTAGCATAGCCTCATCCTGACTAATACTGAGAGAGAAAGGGCTCTCACCATAAATTAATTCCAAAAACAAAAAGTCCAAATAAAGAAAGATTCTTTTGAAAACTGTTAAGCTGGAAGTAAATATATTGTTCAAGGACACCATTCCCTGCATTGATAAGGATCTGGCCTCTCTGGTGCTGACTTATTTAAGAATCAAGAAAATAATATGCTTATATGCCTTCTCATAAAGTAAGGCAAGATGATTTCTAGTGTAAGCTCCTCTGGAATTGCACTGTAAGCCTGAATTGAAAATAACAGAGGTGCTATAAAAATTTAGCATTTTGCTCAACTCTGGCAGGACATAGGCTTCATGAAAAGTGTCTCTTGGCAGCCATGTACCACAAAGAAACAAAGCAATGAAACAGTCACACAAAGATATGCTGCTCTGTTCTTGGTTGCTTAACTACCTTGCTTCCATTAAGTCCTGATCCTCTCATTAAAGAAATCAGGAATATATGAATTTATAAGTCATACATTTATAGCAGGTATGTATTTATTCTTTTCCTACCAATTCATAAGCTATGTATAACACCAAACACACTTAAAATGAAAAAGAAGAGGATGGAAAATAATATATTGGGCAATGTGAAAGAAATATGATTAGCAATATTAATTTCAGAATAAATAGAATTTAAAGCAGAAAATCATTAGCAATAAATGGCGACCTTGTATTGAGCTGCTAAAAGGAACAAAAGACCTAAAAGATAAGATAATAAGTAATACATCAGCACATAAAAATATATACATAATCTTTGACATCAGCTGAGAGATTATGAAGAGAAATAGCTAAATCAGTAATTGTAGTTAGAGATTTTAATAGATTTGTATCAGAAACAGATAGCCCAAGGAAACATAAAAACTTCATATATATGATAATTAATAACTATAAACCAAAAGATACCTAACTAACTTCGTACCCAGTGAGCATACTTTTTCTTTTCTAAGCACACATGAAACATTCACACAATTCACTCCAGTATTGAGTAACAAAAAAAGCCTCAATAAATTGCAAAGAAGCAATATTTCAGAGAGTTTTCCAGTTATTATTTAATAAAATTAGAAATCAAAACTAGGGGAGGGTGGACCAAAAAAAAAAATTGAAACTGAATGAAAACTCTTAGAGAAACCCCAAATGCCTATAAACTAAAAACAGAGAAATTCATGAGTAAAAGTATTAAATTTACAGCTGAATGAACACAAAAGCACTACATGTTAAAATGTCTGGGAAACAGTTAAGGCAGGACTTAGACGGGCATATATTTTCTAAAAGTTATTCATCAGAAGACAAAAAAATTATAAATAAGTGAGCTAAATATTCCCCCAAATACTAGAAAAATAAACAAGAAAAATAAGTGAAAGAAGAAGTAATGAAGGTAAGGACAGAAATTAATAAAGTAGAGAAAAACAGATAATAATAGTGGCTAACATGTTTACAGTGCATATGCTAAGGGCTATTCTAAATGTTTTACATAGATTAATTCACCCAGTCATCACAATGCCCATAGAGATAGGTAAAATTATTCATTTTTTTATTTTACAAATGAGTAAAGCAATACCCAGGAAAATTACATAATTTTTTCAAGATCGTAGTCTAATCAGGAACAGAGATTGATTTATAATCTGTACTTTTATCCACTGAGCTACAGTAACCCAAAAGTTGATTTTTCTTTGGAGAAGTCTACTCAAGTAGATAAGCCCCCAGAAAGGCTGACTAAGGAGAGAGGAGAAAGAAAAGGATTCCTGTTTCATTCAGAGTAATTAAGGGTAGCTGACACTACCAAAAATCACTTGGTTTAACACAATGTTTATTTCTTGCTTTCCTCAGAATCCTTGGCCAGTCAAATCTACAGGGTATCTCTCCTCAAGCAGTAATCAGGGGTCCATGATTGCCATGACAGAAGAAGAAACAGAAGAATAATGATTGCTGGCTGTTAACTTCCTCGGCCTGGAAGTCATACTCTCTGCTCACCTCTCATTGGTTTGGACCAACCTACAGTCCCGTAGTGAGGGTAAGAACATAGAAAACACATGCATACTTTGGTGAGCACTAACAACCTCTGCAATAAATATAAATAAGGTAAAGGCAGACTACAAAAAGAATAAAAATCCATAAACAGATTTTAAAAGTATATTATCATTATTATTCAGAGAGTCTTCCTCTGTTGCCTAGGCTGGAGTGCAGTGGTGTGATCATGGTTCACTGCAGCCTTGACCTCTCACGTCAGCCTCCCAAGTAGCTAGGACAACAGATATGCACCCACCACACCTAGCTAATTTTGTATTTTTTATAGGGACAAGGTCTCACTCTGTTGCCCAGGCTGGTTGCAAACTCCTGAGCTCAAGCAGTCCTCCTGCCTTAGCCTCCCAAAGTGCTGGGACAAAAGGCATGAGCAACTGCACTAGGCCAAAAATATATTATTTTTACAGGAATGTTTGGAAGGCTACTCAACAATAAATCTGACAACCTAGCTTCAATAGACAAATTCTTGGGAAAAGATAAAGAACCAAAATCGGAACAAGAAGAATGTTAAAGAATAGCCAAGGCCAGGCACAGTGGCTCACACCTGTAATCCCAGCACTTTGGGAGGCTGAGGTGGGTGGATCACAAGGTCAGGGGTTTGAGACCAGCCTGACCAACATAAGGAAACACCGTCTCTACTAAAAACACAAAAATTAGCCAGGCGTGCTGGTGCACACCTGTAATCCCAGCTACTCAGGAGGCTGAGGCAGGAGAATTGCTTGAAAACCCGGGAGGTGGAGTTTGCGTTGAGCCGAGATCGCCAGAGCGAGACTCTGTCTCAAAAAAACAAACAAACAAAAAAACAAATAGCCATATGTTAACAAAAATGGAAATAGTAATCAAAAATCTCTCTCTATCCTTGCCTTGCTTCACAAAAAAATAAAAATAAAAATAAAGCCCCTGTTCCAGCTATCAACTAATTGTCCTTCAGCTGTATCCCTTCTTTGTTATCCTGCTTTGCGATAGTAAAGCTGGACCCTGTAAACATTTCTTCTTTTCCAGTTGGCATGGTGGTAAGTTTTGTCAGTAGAGAGCGCTGGGGGACACTCCCGGTGGAATGACTTCTCTCCTTGGTTTCCAAATGCCACTCCTCTCTTTTGCAGTGAGACCTTGTCCCTAAAAAATTATAAAATTAGCCAGGTGTGGTGGGTGCATACTTGGGAGGCTGAGGTGAGAGGTTGAGGCTGCAGTGAACCATGATCACACCACTGCACTCCTGCCTAGGCAACAGAGCAAGCACTTCTGCAGCACTCAGCCTGCATGAGGGAAACCCACTGGCACTCAGTCCTTCTAGTGAGTTCCTGTGGAACCCCCATGGTGGCATTCTAGTAGGCTCTACCAGCCTGCCAGCCATCCTCCCAGCCATCCTCCCAGCCAGCCTCTCCCAGCCAGCCTCCCAGCCAGTCTCCCAGGAGGGAGTTAGGTGTCATCTCCACAAGCGATTTTGTTGGCAAGTTCTGTAAGCTCCCAGCTGACATTCAGGATGTCTCACAGGCAATCCAGCAGACAGTATTCCAGCAAGTTCTGCTGCCCCCCAGTTCCCTTTCTAAATAACCTCACAGGCATCCCAGTGGGTGCTTCCTATTGAGTTTGAGCAGAACTCCATGGGCAGGCTTCCCAGAGGGCAGCTAACCTCCTGCAAGTTTTGTTTACACCCTAGACACAGTTTTCTGATGATCAACCTGGGCCTTTGACACCTCAGTCAACTTTTACACTATTCAGAGGGCTACAGTCACACCCTTTCTAACAAAGTCTAAATTAGCCCCTGTTGGAGGTGGGGGAACCCTCTTCCAAATTTGTTCCTCCCTTGGGTCCTCTGTCTTAGCCCTAGTAGTTGTGACTTTTCCATAGGGGGAATACATTCTACATCTGTATTCCTTGGAGTTCCTTCATTATCATTTAATAATTCTTTTCATTGCTTTTTCTGTTCAACTTATTCTATAACTTCTGTCTCCTGACTAGATCCTGACTGATGTAGCCCAAGACCCAGACAGTTTCAAAAGGAGAGTGCACCAAACGTCAAGGCACAGACAATCCCAATTTTACATATCATCAAAAACAAAGAAAAAAGGAAAGGAAATTTATTTTATGATTCTAGTGCAATTCACATTCTCAATCTAGATTAGGGCAATACATTAAAACACAATTTCATGTCCTTCAATAGGCAAATCCATAAATGAGCTATGGCACATCTGACAATAGGATGTTATTCAGTGATTTAAAATGTGAGTGTTCAAACCATTTTTATAGGGCAGGAAGGACAGCTGCATAGGTGAAGCAGAGGGGATTTTTAGAGCAGCATAATTGTTGTGTATGATACTGTAATGGTGGATACATGCTATTATACATTTACCAAAACCCAGAAAATGTGCATCAACAGTGAATTCCAATGTAAACTATAGACTTTTGTGAATAATGTAACAATATTGGCTCATCAATTGTAATAAATGTACCGTGCTAATGCAAGATGTTAGTAATAAGGGAAACTGGGGTAGAGTGGAGAGTATATGGGAACTCTCTGTATTTTCTACTCAATTTTTCTGAAACTTAAAACTGCTCCCCCCCAAAAAATAAAACACAATTCCAGACCTAACTTACTTATGAATATAAAGCATAAATGCCAACATGATGACATGATGTTTTTGTTTCTTTATTTCTTTTTTTTTTTTTTTTGAGAGACAGGATCTTGCTCTGTCGCCCAGGTTGGAGCGCACTAATGAGATCATAGCTCACTACAGCCTCAACCTCCTGGGTTCAAGCAATCCTCCCATTTCAACCTCCCAAGAAGTTGGAACTAAAGGCATGTGCCACCGCTCCCAGGTAATTTTTGTATATTTTGTAAAGATGAGGTCTCTGTCTCACCATGTTGCCAGGCTAGTCTTGAACTCCTGGGCTCAAGTGATCTTCTTGCTTCAGCCCCTGAAAGGGCTGGGACCACAGGTGTGAGCCATCACACCCACTCAAATGCAAAAATCTTAAAGCAAATATTAGATCAACAAACTCAGTATTATTTAAATAACTACATAATGATGAACTAAGGTTTATATCAGGAATAATATAATGAATTAGCATAATAAAATGTTAATATAACAATATATTAATAAGTAAAAAGGAAAAATAACTTGGTCTTTTTGATAGATTCAGAAACACATCAATGAAGTTCAGCACTCATTTATGACAAAAACTATCACAAACCAGGTAAGAAATAAATCTCCTTAATGTAATAAAGTCTACATCCTGAAACTCAATAGTAAATGTAATTCTTAATGGAGAATATTTTTAAAAGTAAGATAATGTAAAAATTGCCTTTATATTGAGAGGATATTATAATTTGCATTGAACATCCAGTAGAATCAACAAACTATTAGAAAGAGTTTATCAAGCTTTCTGAACATAGACAAGTGAGCACATTTTCTTATCCCAGCAATAAGCTATTAGAATAGTAGTAGAAAATAAGATACCACTGAAAAAACTACAAAGTATACAGAAATTAACCTAATAAAATGCACAAAGTTTTTATAGGAAAAAAATTTTAAACCCTATTGAAAGCCATACAGTAGACTTGAGTAAATACAGAGATTACTATATCCATGGAGGGTTTGACTTAACATTGTAAAGATGTCAATTCTTTCCAATAGTACTCTTTAAATTTCATTAGCACTGACTGCTGGCTCTTTCCTCCAAACTTCACCTGGTTAAACTACGAAAGAGGAAGGAAAGCACAGATCTGAGGATTTCACAGCTATAACAAAAACAAATGAACAGAAAGCTGTGAGAAACACATTGGAAGACAAAAGGTAACTCATGATTTAATGTGGATGGAAACCAGCAGCATGGGGTAGGTAAATGTTAATGCCACAGCCAGCAAATAGAATGGAGGAAAACTGTATTATTTTTAAACTTTTATCATAGAATAATTTTTAAAAGTACAAACATTAAGAGAATAGTATATGGTATTCCCTTGTAACCTCCTTCACCCATGTTCAACTCATGGAAAAACTTTTTCACTTATATTCCACACATCCCCTACTCAACTTGGATACTTTTGCCCAACTGACTTCAAAAGGCTACTGTGCACGGGCATGGTGGCCCATGCCTGTAATCCCAACCCTTTGGGAGGCCGAGATGGGAGGATTGCTTGAGCTCAGGAATTCAAGACCAGGCCAAGCAACATAATAAGGCCCTGTCTGTACTAGAAATCAAAAAAATTAGCCAGGTGTGGTGGTGCATGTCTGTAGGTATTCCCAGCTACTCAGGAGGATGAAGTGAGAGAATTGCTGGAGCCCAGGAGGTTGAGGCTGCAGTGAGTTGTGATTGTGCCACTGCACTCCAGCCTGGGCAACAGAGTGAGACCCTGTTTCAAAAAAAAAAGAAGGCTACTGTAGCATTAATTTTCAAATAATGACTGAGTAATAGAAAATCATAATCCCATTTCATTTATGAATGAACATGACATGAACATTTTAAATAAAATATTAGGTAATAAAATTTCATACTTACATTTAAAATAATATTTTTTAAATAATATGTTTCATAATGGAACCTATCAGTAGCATATGACACTGTTGATTCCTCTCTTTTTCTTCATTTTCTTTTCTTGGCTTAAAAGCTATAACTTTCTTTTGATTCTCCTCCTACCTAAGAAGTTACTCCCTCTCAAGCTTCTTCTTTGGTGTGTCCACACTTTCCCAACTTTTAGCATTAAATTTCACCAAGACTGTGTCTCAGACCTCTCCTTTTCTCAATCTAAACTTATTTTCCAGGTCATCTCAACCATGCTTGCAACTTGAACTACCATGACTTCCAAATTTATATCTTGACCTTTGACTTGTCCTTAAATGCGAGACTCATGTATGTAATTCCCTACTTCACATCTACACTTGAATATTTAATATACACTTAAGATATCCTAAATCATAATTTTGAGCTTCTCTCCTCTACCTGCCCACCACCCCACCAAGCCTTCTGCTCCTGCCCTCTTCATTTTATTAAATATCAATTTCATCCTTATAGCTGCTCATACCTACACCCCGAATATATCTATGATTCCTCTTTAATAACCTGTATCTAATTCATCAGAAATCCTGTTTAACATATCTTCAAACATATCAAGAATCAGACCACTTTGCACTACCCCATAACTACCACTGGTTCAAAACAATGATTTCTTATTTGGATTATGCAAAGCCTCTTAACTAATCTCCTTCAACTCATATCACCTCTTAAAACTCTTCTCCCCATCACAGCTAGAAAGTTTTATTTTAAAAGTTTTTCATAGACTTAATTTTTTAGGGAACTTTTGTGTTCACAGCAAAACTAAAGAGAAAGTAGAGAGTTCCCATATATTTCCTACCACTACACCAAAACAGCTTTCTCCACTATCAAAATCCACTCCCCAAACTGGTACATTTGTTAACATGGATGAGCCTACATTGGCACATAATTATCACCCAAAGTCTATAGCTTACATTATAGTTCACTCTTGGTATAAATTGAATGTGTTTTGACAAATGTATAATGAGCTGCATCCACCACTATAGGATCATACAGAGTAGTTTCACTGCCGTAAAAGTCTTCTGTGCACTGCCTACTCATCCTTCTCTTCCATCTGACCCCTGGAAACCACTGATCTTCTTACTGTCTCCGTAGTTTTGTCTTTTCAGAGTATCATAGAGCTCAAATCACCCATTATGTGCCCTTTCCAGATTGGTTCCTTTCACTTAGTATGCATTTATTATTCTTCTATGTCTTTTCATGGCTTGACAGCTCATTTGTTTTTTAGTGCCCAATAATATTCCATTGCCTGGATGTACCACAGTTTATTTTACCATTCACCTACTGAAAAACATCTCCTTGCTTCCAAGTTTTGGCAATTATGAATAAAACTACGATAAATATTTGTATGAAGATTTTTGTGTGGACATAGTTTTCAACTCATTTTATTAAATACCAAGAAGCATGATTGCTGAATTATATGTGAAGAGGTATGTTTAATTTTGTACAAAACTGACAAACTATCTTTCAGAATGCGTACACCATTTTGCATTCCCACCAGCAATAAATTGGAGTTTCTGTTGTTCCAAATTCTCACCAGCATTTCATAGTGTTTGTGTTTTGAATTTTTACTATTCTATTAATAACAGGTGTGTAATGGTATCTCATTGTTACCTTAATTTGCAAGCCTCCCTAATGACGTGTGATGTTAAACATATTTTACATGTTTGTTTTCCATCTGTAAATCTTTGTGAGATGTCTGTTCAGATCTTTTGCTCTTTTGTAATCATTGTTTCTTTTTAAATCATTGAGTTTTAGAGACTCTTTAAAAATGTATGTTAGATCATTTTACTCCTATTCTCAAATAAAAATAATGATCACATTTAATCTTCACCATGAACTGTTCTAAGTGCTATTCAAATGGCATTCCATCCATTTTAAGATGTATATTCCTTTTTCTCTTCACTTTAAAAATATTTTAAATTGGGATGTATCTCACTGCTGTTGGCCAGGGAGTAGTCATGATGTAACTGTCATTGCCTATTTATGCAAATAAAAACTTGCTAAAGATGTTGGTGTCATGGAAGAAAATCTCATAGACAATAATAAAACATAATTTTTAAAATGTTGCATCACCAGTGGTCTGAATGCAAACAAGAATGATATTGGGTAGAAAAAGAAAGACATAGACAATCTTAAATGTAAAAGTTAAAAAATCCTAAAAGTTACTAATTGTAAAAAATATTTTAATCAATTCATGCAACTTTTAGTTAAGACGTGGAATGGTGATGTCATAGTATTTTGGGAAAACCCTAAGTAAACCAACCCTCACAAAGGCTGAAACCTAGCATTGAATTATTTCAATACATATTTACATCAAGTTGATTCATCCCTACTCTATCTGACCACCAGAGAAAAGTAAATATCCCCTGGAGAAAGATAATATCATTCACAATCTCTCTAACTTTTACAGTCTCTAGAATGCAATAAAAAATTACCAAGCATGACAGCAGGAAGAAGTAACTAACAGAAAACCTGCAAGTAATAAAAACATAGGAATAATCAAACAAAAATATTAAAATCATATGATAAACATGTTCAAGAGAGTAGAGTAAAAGATAGAGACTATATCCCCTGAGAAATGAATCAAATGGGCTGGGTGCCGTGGCTCACACCTGTAACCCCAGCACTTTGGGAGGCTGAGGCGGGCGGATCACAAGATCAGGAGATGGAGACCATCCTGGCCAACATGATGAAACCCCACCTCTACTAAAAAAAAAAAAAAAAACAAGAAAGAAATGAATCAAACGGAAATTCTAGAACCATAAAAAGCAATAAAAAATTGAGAACTTGATAGATGAGGTTTATAACAAACTAAATACAGAAGAAGAAAGAATTCAAAAACTGCAAGTTAGGAGAGTACAAAATACTTAGAACTAACTCCTAGTTTAACAGCAGATAAAACAGGCCCAAAGAGAATAAGTTAATGCATCAAAATCATTATCACTATCTGGTGCCAGAGCTGAGCCTAGAGTCCCCTGACCTCAAGCTAAGTGCTCTGTCTACTACATCTTACACTTCACAATATTTTCTTCACCTCTTGAGGGCTCAGAAAATCTGACATCTCCAGAATGGCATACCCACAGGAATGCAGAGAAACCATGTGGGGGAAGGGAGAAGAAAGAGAAGTTCAGCAGGGGCTCTGATTGATTACTTGAAAGATAAAGAAAGTATCAAGGAGCATACTCCAGATGTGCTTGTTCCCTGGGGTACTACACCTGAATTAAAGTGTGCCAGGTCCATTAGGACCCATCTCCTTCTCCATCCATTGCAACCAGCAAGAAACAGGTACTCCTTAGTAAGGAAATCTACCAAAGGTTTACGTTTGCCTTAGAGAAAAAGCCTCTGTAGAGAAGCCTTAATAGCTAGAAACCCCAAAGAAACAGGTAGCTACTGCTCATCTGCAACCTCCTGGCTCTCAGGAGAGTTTTAACCCAGAATTATTAGTGAAATGTTGACTGTAAAATGTACCTGTGAAATAGACCAAGTGGTTCTCACTCAAGAATGATTCTGACCCCCAAGGGGTTATTCAGCAATATCTGGAAACAATTTTAATTTTTATGATTAGGAGGATGCTACTGACATCTAGTGGATAGCAGCCAGAGGTGCTGTTTTACATTCTTCAACACACAGGACAGTCCCTACAACAATAGCAAAATTATCTGATTCAAAATCTGTATAGTGCAAAGTTTTTTAAAACAGAAAACAGATTTAGAGAAAAAATGGATAGAAAGAAAGAGAGAATAAGATACATATGGAACACAATCGAACTGTCTAATATGAATAATTGGAATCCCATAAGAGGTAGCACAGAAAACGGGATGGAAGCAGGAATATTCAAAGGGGGATGGGACAAGATCATTTGAAAAATCATAGATGACCTCAAGCCACGAACTCAACATAGTCTTGAATCTCCAAGCGTAATACCCATCTCATCACAGCAAAACTACTGAAAGTTACAAAGAAAACACCTTGAAAATGTTTATAGGGGAAAAAAAGATATACTATTTTCAAATGAATAACAATAAGATTGACCACAGACACTTTGATGAGTTTATGGAAGTCAGAAGATAATGGGACAGCATCTTTAAAGTGCTGAAAAATAACTGTCAACTGAGAATTCTATACCTAGTGAAAATATACTTTAAAATAAAGGCAAAATAAAATGTTTTCAGATTTTAAAAAAAGTAAAAATACGACATGGACTAAAAGAAGTATTAAATGTGTTCTTCAAGCAGAAGAAAAATGATTCCAGAGCAAAACAGATATTCAGGAAGGAATAAAAATCATTGAAAAGAGTAAGCATGTGAATAAACCTAAAAGAATATCTATAATGTAAAACAACCATAACAGTGTCTTGTAAGGCAAATATTTAAAACTAAGTTGCTCAACAACAATAGCAAAACATGAGCACAGGTTAAACGGAGTTTGAGTGCTATTTAGAACTTACATTGTTCAGGTAATTATAAACTGCAAATTTAATTATATTTAATACACCAAACATATATTTCAAAATATCTAGCATACTCACTGAAAGGCAATAAATTTTAACCTACTAGCTAATAAAGAAATAGAGTTTTTAAAAAATAAAATAATTAATCCTAAAGATGAAAAGAAAGGAGAAATAGGGTAGAATAGATAGAAAACAAATATAAAGATGCAAGTCAATTTTATAATAAATTATACATGTAATTGTTGATTTAGACCTTCAAAATTAAATTACACATGGAACACCAACTTAAGGACAAAGACTATCAGATTTGATGAAAAATGGGAAGCCATTTATATGGTGCTTAAAGACACCTTAACTAGCATACACCCACAGAATGATTGAAAGTAAGAAGATGGAGGATATTTGGATATTTTTTAAATACTGACCAGCTCCTAGTGTGGCTATATTACAATATGACAAAGTACACACTAAGTCACACTAAGAAGGAGTACTTGCAATAAATAATAACATTTCACAATAAGTAATGAGTGAATTCAATAGGATGACATAACCCTAAATATGTAATCATCAAATAACGTGTTTTCAAAATAGATATACATGGACAGAAATAAAAAGAAAGAAAGAAATACACAGTGTAGAAGACTCTGACAAACCTTTCTCAATAACCAGTAGAAAAAAATTAAAAATCAATAAGAGTTTAACGACTTTAGATACCTTATATAAGTGGAATCATGAAGTTTTTGCTCTGTGACTGACTTGTTTCACTTAGCATAATGTCCTCCAGGTTCATCCATGCTGTCATAAATGGCAGAATTTCCTTCTTTTGTAAAGCTGAATAACATTGCAATGTATACATATACCACATTTCCTTTATCCATTCATCAGCTGACAGACACTTGGTTTGCTTCTATGTCTTGGCTACTATGAATAGTGCTGCAATGAACATGGGAGTGCTGATATGACTTCATTTCCTTTGGCTATATACCCAGAAATGAGATTACTGGATCATATGGTAGTTCTGGGTTTAATTTTCTGAGGAGCCTCCACACTTTTTTCAAACTCATAAAAGCAGAGAATACGATGGTTGCCATGGATTGGGGGTTGGGGGAATGGGAAGTTGTTGCTCAATAGATACAGGGTTTGAACCATGCAAGATGAATAAGTTCTAGAAATTGACTGTATAACACAGTGCTTAGGCAGAACCATCAGGATTTAATCCCTTCCTCAAAGGCCTCACCACTTAATCTCTACCCCCAAAGCCTTCCTCTTCCTAGGGAACTCTATTCACTGCTCTTCTGATACAGAGTACTGTAAATTACTATGCAAATAAGGAACTATTGGGGCCCACTGGGGCAGGATCCTAACTCCTCTGCCATTTTCCATCCCACGCTCAAAAATCGGTATCTACTTTAAAATGAACACTATGGAATACTAATATAATTAAAGAGAAATTTAAAGTTTTCTAAATTCTTCCATCACCAATAATTAAAAGACAAAATCACTCCCTTGCCCCCAACTTCCTTTTGTATTACGAACGATGAGTACATTCTCTGAGAGAATATAAAATATCTCTCTTTCACTTGTAATCTCTCTGGGGAAGTCATTTCAGGACTTTTTATTATTACTTTAAGGAAGATGTGCTAATAAGAATTCAGCATTCAAAGGGAGATACCAGGCTGTGGGCCTTAGGCCTTTGGAGACTTGGGGCATAGGGAGTTTCTGCAAGTGATTCTATTGACTCTAAAAACATTGAACAAACATTATCAAAAGCCTGGCATTCAGTGGGATATTTGTCTTTTTATCTGTCCATTGGGTACCTTCTGAGTAGAATCCTTGGTGACAGAATCAAACACCAAAGTGCCAACTTCTTTAGAACCAGGCAGAAGTGCAAAGCCTGAATAACGGCCTTTGATTCTTTTCAAAAAGCAAGTTGTTGGATGGGGGTGGGGGTAGGGGTAGGGGTAGGGCTGGAAGGAGAGAGGCCAAGACCCAGTGTCCTGTTCCACTGTCTAGAAAGCTTTGAGCAGTATTACTTTTGGTCTTTTGTCATTTTTGCTTCAAATGGGGAATTTTTCTAATGTGCTTAAACACTGGAGTAATACTGGTGATAGAATTGGATAACTTGTATTTGGGTGGAAATATATAGAAACTGAAGCAAGTTTATTATGATTGAGAAAGTAGGTGTTGTGTCTTGGGACTCATGAATTTCTTATTATTTTATGTTTGGTTTCAAAAAGAAAAGTTTCATTTTTCTACTACCTAAGCTGAAAAAAAAAAACCACAACTGTATAATTCTAAATTCTTATCTATTTCCTAGGATCCATTAACTATTAACAGGTCACATTCACATTTGCCATTTTTGTGTTTACGTAAATATTAACAGATGGCTTATACACTTTGCAAGGGAGAAAAGGAATCATATTGTGTTTTTACTTACATTTTCATCTTCAAGGCAATTTGTGCATTAGTTTTAATAAAATATTTTATTTTAATTAAGTTAAAAACTTACCTATTATTCTTAATTTCTAATCTATGATTAAAAATTGAATTTCAAATATAATTTTGAAAAATATAAGACTAATTTTATTTATGACTTTACTCAAGGTAGCATTCTGGTCATGCAAACAAGTTGGTTTGGGGAAGAGATAGAAATAGTCTTCCAAATTTTAATGTGTTCCATGTTCTGGAATTGCTGTCATAAACAAAATAAAACTTTCACTATTTCAAATACAAGAAGAATCTTCATGGATGCTTTAGAGCAGTAGCCTGATATTTTTTCCCATTTGATATTTTCTTTGCTTTTCATATGCTTTAATTATTGTTTACCATCTTGTTGACCCTTAAGTCAATTTCTTTACTTTAATGTTCTGGCCTAATTTTTCAAGGCAGGGAACCCTTCCTTTGATTCCCCTTAACACTGGTAACCAGTATTTTAAAAACCGTAATGATGTTACTGATACGGGATGGAGGGGGCAGGGAAGTGCTGGGTAGAGAAGATCAAGGTCTCTGGCAAGGGCTCCACCCTTGGGCCTGTGCCCACGGACCTAAGTGAGAATAGGCACTCCAATTTTCAAGCTCAAATGTTGCATTTTCCAAGACCACTCTAGCCCACCACACCCCCATATCCTGTGCCCATAAAAACCTGAAACTGTAGTGGGCACGAACGCAAGTGGCGGGACCTTGAGAGGAGCAGGAGAGCACACGAACAGACACCAGCAGACACTGGCAGACAGTGTTGACAGCAGAATGACGCAGATGCCGAGGGGAAATCGGCCAGGGGTGGTCAGAGGAGAGTCCGGCTGCT
Organism: Homo sapiens; assembly: GCF_000001405.40. Lineage (NCBI taxonomy): Eukaryota > Metazoa > Chordata > Mammalia > Primates > Hominidae > Homo > Homo sapiens. The sequence continues at coordinate 126,279,653 of NC_000008.11, forward strand.
GGGCAGCCTGACTCCAGAGGAAGACCACCTTCACACTCCATCTCCCTTCTGGCTCCCCATCCACCTCACTGAGAGCTACTTCTACCACTCAATAAACTCTTGCACCCATCCTCCAAGCCCACATGTGATCTGATTTTTCCAGTACACTAGGGCAAGGACCCAGGATACAGAAAGCCCTCTGTCCTTGGGATAAGGCAGAGGGTCTAAATGAGCTGGTTGACACAAGCTGCCTGCTGACTGCAAAAATGAAAGAGCACACTGTAACACATGCCCACTGGGGCTTCAGGAGCTGTTAACACGCAACCCTAGATGCTGCTGTGGGTTTGGAAACCAAAAATGCTCCCCACGACCTGCCCGTCTGCATGCTCCCTGTAGGGGTTTGAGCAGCCCGGTACTCAAGAAGTGAGCCACATCCCTGTTGCACACCCTGTGAGGGGGATAAAGAAACCTCCTGTTTCTTTACTGAGTAGTAGAGAGAGCATAAGGGAGATATGCAAATGAACCATAATAAGGATAAATGCAGTAAAGCTCTTCAAATACAGTCTTTATCATCTTTGTTAAGATTACCATATTTTTACCCCCCCAAAAAGTTAATAGGTATGCTGCTTATTGCTTTTGAATTCTCTAGTATCAGTCTGTGCTCTGTCACTTGAAAGATAACTTTAATTTACTCAATTTCCTTCAAGCAAAAGCTAAAGGAATGAGTACTCAAACCCTGCCTCCTCCCAACCCTGTTCCAGTTTCCTATCTGAGGGAGGACATCCATTCATTCAATACATATTTATTAAATGCTCACTACATGCCAATCAGTGTTAAGTGCAGTAAATAGGACAGATAATATCAATAACTCTCACTCTCGTGGGGCTGATATCCTAGTTGGGAGACAGGCAAAATCAAACAAAGAAACAAACGAATAATTTCTGAGAGTGACCTGAAAGCAAAACAGGGTGATATGATTGGGTGGTTTCCAGGGTCTTAGAAGGGGTGCTGCATTCAATTTGTTCAAGGAAAGCTTCTCTGAGAAGGTTGCAATTGATCAGCCATGGGTGTTGGGAGTAGGACTAACTGCAAAAATAGTAGGACTGTTTGGGCTAGATGTGTTCAAGAATGAAAAGAACAGTGTGACAATAGCTTGATGAGCAAAACCCACACACAAGACAGAAAACAGGCAGGATCCTATCCGGTAGGGATTGGTAGGTCATGGAGGGGAGTTCAGGTTTTATTCTAATTGCCACTAGAAGCACTAGGGAGAGGAGAATGATATCTACTTTACTCCATCAGAATAATTAACATTGGTTACTTTGGCAGATTTTTTATTTCAAACAACAGTTTACTTACGAAAACCTAACAAATTTTCCACAGTAAACATGCCTTATTTTATCATTCCCTACTAAAAGGAATTGGGATTTCTGGGAGAAATGGTTTATTCCAGGTGTGTTGGGGGACGGGAATACAGCAGGAGCCTGGAACATCTGGTTGTGCCTGAGAGCAAGGAAGTGCCCAGATTGGGTGCAGTGGCTCACGCTGGTAATCCTAGAACTTTGGGAGGCTGAGGCAGGTGGATCCCTTAAGTTCAAGAGTTCAAGACCAGCCTGGGCAACATGGCAAAACCCCATCTCTACAAAAAATAAAAAAAACTTAGCTGGGCATGGTGGTGCATACCTGTGGTCCCAGCTACTCAGGAGGCTGAAGTGGGAAGATCGCTTGAGTCCTGGAGGTGGAGGTTGCAGTGAGTCATGAACACACCACTGCACCCCAGCCTGGGCAATAGAGACTCTGTCTCAATTAAAAAAAAAAAAAAAAAAAAAAAAAAAAAAAAAAAAAAAAAAAGGATGTGCCACAGGCTAACAGTGTCACGTCAAAGCACATGGGAACCAGTTTGAAGGCAAGACTAAAATATTAGATAATTTAAGCATTCACAAAAAGATAACACATTATATTTTTTAAAGTCTCTTTTCTTAGTGAGAGAGGAAAAAAAGAGGAAAAAAGAGAAGACAAAGCTCTTCTTAATGAATGCAAAATAAATGTATAAGCTATTATATTATAATATGGTTTGGCTGTGTCCCCACCCAAATCTCATCTTGAATTGCAGCTCCTATAATTCTCATGTATTGTGGGAAGGACCTGGTGGGAGATAATTGAATCATGGGGGCAATTTCCCCCATACTGTTCTTGAGGTAGTGAATAAGTATCAAGAGATCTGATGGCTTGATAAGGGGTTTCTCCTTTTGCTTGGCTCTCACTCTCTTGTCTGCCACCATGTAAGACATGCCTTTTGCCTTCCACCATGATTGTGAGGTCTCCCCAGCCACCTGGAACTGTGAATCCATTAAACCTCTTTTTCTTTATAAATTACCCAGTCTCAGGGATGTCTTTATCAGCAGTGAAAACAGACTAATAGAGTAAATTGGTACCAGTAGAATGAGGTGCTGCTGATGTGGAAGCAACTTTGAAATGGAATAACAGGCAGAGGTTGGAAGAGTTTGGAGGGCTCAGAAGAAGACAGGAAAATGTGGTAAAGTTTGGAACTTCCTAGACACTTGTTGAATGGCTTTGACCGAAATGCTGATAGTTACATGGACGATGAAATCTAGGCTGAGGTGGTCTCAGATGGATATGAGAAACTTGTTGGCAATTGGAGTAAAGGTGACTATTGTTATGTTTTAGCAAAGAGACTGGCAGCATTTTGCCCCTGCCCTAGAGATTTATGAAACTTTGAAATTGAGGGAGTTGCTTTAGGGTATCTGGCAGAAGAAATTTCTAAGCAGCAAGCATTCAAATGGTGACTTGGATGCTGTTAAAAGCATTCAGGTTTGAAAGGGAAACAGAGCTTAAAAGTTTGGAAAATTTGCAGCCTGATGATGTGATAAAAAAGAAAAACCCAGTTTCTGAGAAGAAATTCAAGCCAGCTGCAGAAATTTGTATAAGTAACAAGGAGCCAAATGTTAATCATCAAGACAACGGGAAAATTGTCTCCAAGGCATGTCAGAGACCTTTGCAGCAGCCCCTCCCATTACAGGCCTGGAGGCCTAGGAGGAAAAAAAAGGTTTTGTGGGCCAGGCCCAGGCCCCCCTACTGTGTGCAGCCTAGGGACTTGGTGACCTGCATCCCACTAGCTATGGTTAAAAGGGGCCAAGGTACAGTTTGGGCTGTGGTTTCAGAAGTTACAAGACCCAAGCCCTGGAAGCTTCCACATGGTGTTGAGCCTGTGGGTGCACAGGAGTCAAGAATTGAGTTTAGGAACCTCCACCTACATTTCAGAGGATGTGTAGAAACATGTGGATGTCCAGTCAGAAGTTTGTTTCAGGGGCGAGGCCCTCATGGAGAACCTCTGCTAGGACAGTGCAGAAGAGAAATGTGAAGTTGAAGACCCCACACAGAGTCCTCACTGGGGCCCTGCCTAGTGGAGCTGTGAGAAGAAGGCCACCATCCAACAACCCCAGAATGATAGATCCACTGATAGTTTGCACCACGCACCTGGAAAACCCACAGGCACTCAACTCCAGTCCATGAAAGCAGCTGGGAGGGAGTCTGTACCTTGCAAAGCTGCAGGGCCAGAGCTGACTAAGACCATGGGAGCCCACCTCTTGCATCAGTGTAACCTGGATGTACAACATGGAATCAAAGGAGATCATTTTGGAGCTTTAAGATTTGACTGCCCCACTGGATTTTGGACTTTCATGGGGCCTTTAGCCCCTTTGTTTTGCCCAATTTCTCCCATTTGGAATGGGCATATTTATCCAATGAATGTGCCCCCATTGTATCTAGGAAGCAACTAACTTGCTTTTTATTTTACAGGCTTATAGGCTGAAAGGACTTGCCTCGTCTCAGATGAGACTTTGGACTGTGGACTTTTGAGTTAATGCTGAAATGAGTTAAGACTTTGGGGGACTGTTGGGAAGGCAAAACTGCTTTTGAAATGTGAAGACTTGAGATTTGGGAGAGGCCAGGGGTGGAAATGCTATGGTTTGGCTGTGTCCCCACCCAAATCTCATCTTAAATTGTAGCTCTCATAAAAGTCATGTGTTGTGGGAGGGACCCAGTGGGAGAGAATCAAATCATCGGGGCAGTTTCCCCCTACTGTTCTCATGGTAGTGAATAAGTCCAGTGAGATCTGATGGTTTTATAAGGGGTTTCCCATTTCACTTGGTCTAATTTTCTCTTGTCTGCCACCATGTTAAGACCTGCCTTTCACCTTCTACCATGATTATGAGGCTGCCCTAGCCAAGTGGAACTGTCAGTCTATTAAGCCTCTTTTTCTCCATAAATTACCCAGTCTCGTGTATGTCTTTATTAGCAGTGTGAAAACAGACTAATATATATTATTTTCTCAAAATTGTACCCCCGCCCCCAATGTAATAAGAGATTCAGTAAATGATCAAAAATGGTGATTTTCAGGTAAAATATTTTGAAGAACAAGATATTCACATGAAATTCAAAGTGTCATCCTACAGATAACTTATTAATTACAAGGGGAAAATGTCTCCTTATAATGAAAGGGATAACTCTACCAAGTGATCAGACTTAAAATCAATACTGGGAAAATCACAAAGAAACAAAACTCTGTCATTATATGCCTCTTGATGGGAGTGTGAGTAGATAATTTTCAAAAAGAGATCAAATTATGGCTGTCAGGCCTTTGAGCCCAAGCCTGCACCTATGCATCCAGATGGCCTGAAGCAAGTGAAAAATCACAAAAGAAGTGAAAATGGCCAGTTCCTGCCTTAACTGATGACATTACCTTGTGAAATTCCTTCTCCTGGCTCATCCTGGCTCAAAAGCTCCCCCACTGAGCACCTTGTGACCCCCACCCCTGCCAGCCAGAGAACGACCCCCTTTGACTTGTAATTTTCCACTACCTACCCAAATGCTATAAAACAGCCCCACCCCATCTCCCTTCGCTGACTCTCTTTTCGGACTCAGCCCGCCTGCACCCATGTGATTAAAAAGCTTTATTGCTCACACAAAGCCTGTTTGGTGGTCTCTTCACACAGACGCGTGTGAAAATGACTCTCATACAGATATAAAATAAACACATTACAAAGATTTTAGTTAACTCATTAACGCATGAGAGAACCAGTTAGACGTCATAACTGGTTCAAAAGAGAATTCAAACAAAAGACACATTTATAGATGATTATTGAAGTGAAAATGGTACAAAGGAGAGCAAAGCTGGTTTTTCCACTAGGGGAATAGAGAGGAGGAGAGAAGAGAGTCAGTTGAAACTCCATGGCACAGGATAGAATTTACAAGTCTATAGACAAGAATTAAGTGGCACTGCCCTCAGTTATCTACAACTTACAGAGTTGTAACACAGCTTCCATAGAATCAGAGTCAGATAACCCAGAGGGAGTCCTCTAGATAACGAAAGTGTTTCACTGAAGCACAAAATTTAAATGAGATGTAATAAGAAATACAAAATATCAATTATATAATGTTTTTGCCAAAAATGTTTAACCTGAACTTAGACAAAACTAGAATATAGCACATTCTGTAACTAGTCTGGACTCTCTCAAAAAATTGGATACCATGAAAAACTATATATATATTTTTTTTATTTATTCTCTTTTTTTTTTTTGAGATTGTGTTTCACTCTTGTTGCCCAGGCTGGATTGCAATGGCACAATTTCAACTCACCACAACCTCTGCCTCCTGGGTTCAAGTGATTCTCCCACCTCAGCCTCCCGAGTAGCTGGGATTACAGGCATGTGCCACCATGCCCAGCTAATTTTTTGTATTTTTAGTAGAGACGGGGTTTCTCCATGTTGGTCAGGCTGGTCTTGAACTCCCGACCTCAGGTGATCCACCCGCCTTGGCCTCCCAAAGTGCTGGGATTACAGGCATGAGCCACCATGCCTGGCCTGAAAAACTATAAAAAGGTAACAGGAATGTCCTCAATAATAATAAAATAAGAGGCATAATGACTAAATAAGGTTAATAATCCTTGGCTGGATCCTAGATTTAACCAAAGCTATAAAAGATAGTTGAGAGGTTATTCAGAAAAATTAATATATGGGTTACATAGTAGGTGATATTGTTGAATCAGTGCTAATATTCTTAGCTCTGATAATGGTTCTATGGCTACGAAGATAAACAGGAAAAATTATTATTCTTTGGTAATACATGCTGAAGTATTTAGGGTTGACATGTAATTATGTCTGCATACTTCAATTTTCTCAGGAAAACAATGATAAAATACATATACAGAAAGCAAATTGATCAAACAGGTTAATATTGGTGAATCTACATAAAAGATACACAGACATTTATTAAACCATTCTTTCAAATTTTTATTGATTTTAAATTTTTAACATAAAAACAGTTGAAAAGCTAAAAAAAGCTCTTCGAACAAAATAATGCTTACAAAAATCAGTTTAAAGAAGATAATATACATTAAATATGTCGCTATAAAAATACATTAACGGATGATAGTGAGATACAAAGAGAGAGTCAGATATGAGAGAAAGAGTCAGATATGAAAGAGAGAGACAGTGAGACTTAAAGAATGAGTTGTTAGCCATCAGATATTTGTCAACATCAAAGAATATCCTCTGTTTGGCCTTGATGTCAGGCTTCCCTTATCCCAGGGGGTCCAAACATTTTCTACCAAAAGATGTCTTTTTAATATGAAAAAAGTTGCCAATATTATGGTTGTTAATTTTTATTATCATTGATAAAAAATACATAATGGCAAATGTACTCATGAATTCAAGAAACACTTTAAAATGAATTTCTATGTCATTAAGCACAAGAACATTTACGTATATGTGTGCATTGAGAATTCCAATGTGAATGAGGCACAGTGTTTGTTTGGTTTAGAGACTATGTAGAATGTAGGATTATTTGGGGCCCAACATTTTTTTTTACCACACTGTAGACACAAAAAAATGAGTTCTAAATGGAAAAACTTAGATGGTAATAAAGAAGAGCTCATTTTTATTCTATCACCAAACATTCTCTTAGAAAGAAAGATTAAATTTTGGTTCACCTGTCCTTAAGACAGATGAGAGTTACCAAGGCAAGAACCCAGGTGCTAGAGTCAGGATGACATGGCATAAACTTTGATTCCATTCTTTGCTAGATGGCTGACCCTGGAAAAATGGTTCGGCTTCACCATGTCTTAATTTTCTCATCTGAGATTAAATAGTGATAATAGAAATAGAATACCAACCTCTCTGGGATAACTGCTTTTCTTCATTCTTTTAAATGCATACGTGTATTTTTGCTTTACCATGTTCCCAAAAGTATTTGAGGCAATATGGTGGTAGCATGGAAATTATAAAGGATTAATTTAAGGGGAATATATGTGTACATAATAGATATGCAACAATCTTAGTTTCTTCCTCCTCTTACTTTCTATTTTAAACTTTAGAATTTGATAACTCTGTGATCTTGAGCATTTAATGCTATTTCACTGCCTTAGTATTACTATACCCATTACTAAGTAAAGTGTCTATTACTAAGATACTCATTACTAAGTAAGGGATTAAAGTCACTAAAATCTTAAGATTTTGAAGTGAGAAGACCTGTTTCCATGAGCTTGAGCAAATCTTTGAATTTCATTGTGCCTCAAATTCTCATGTGTAAAATTGAGAAAATATCTGCCTTGATCAAAATGATCAGATGAAATACTGTAGTTGTACAGGTCTTTGCAAATACTGAATATATAACATGTAAGTAACAGTTACTCTACCAATAAAGCTAAGAAATGGGGGAGGGGGACAGGCAAAGTTGTGTGCACAAGTAATCTTTAGAATTATACTTCTAAAATTGTACCATTTTAAAGTTGGAAAATATTAGCTGCTTGGTAAGTCATAAATATATCAACAGAATCCCCATAAAATACTCTTAATTTTTTATTTGCATTTTATACCAACAAGACTTCAAAATGGATAAAAATGATAAAGTAGAGAATTTATCTTCTGAATTCCTATGGGAAAATATAGCATAACATTTTAAGATATTATTATGTTATTATCATTTTATAATTTTCATTATATTTTCTATTTGAAAATTAAATACATGATGAATATAACTTATCCATCATGCTGTGAGTCTCTGTGTTATCAAAGAGAAAGATATACTTTGTAAAGGAAAGCAAGGAAAAAGGATCATTCTTGGTCTGTCCTCTCTGTGGGAGAAGATATTATCTTACAGGCTCCCTGGTGATCACGATGGTTTAACTTATGCATATTACCTAGAAAATATCCATTATGGCTCCATCAGCTTGCATGTAATTTCATTCCATCACTGAAAAGTCAGTAGCCTATAGATAGTCAATGAGGGTGTAGGCGTTTGATTAAAGTGACTGCTGATCTTGCACCCTTAGAATATCAAAAGAACCGGAAATGATTCTTGCTAAATTCTATAGCTGCAATGACAATGTAAACTGCATGGGAAATTCTTAAAGATTTTGTATCTTAAGGCTATCTTACAGAGAAATCCTCAAGCTTTGCAATTTCCACAAGGATGATTAGTTTCAGTCATAAAATACAGCACAATGATCTCATTGAAGGAAAGGAGGGAGTGTGCAACTCAAAGAGGCAAATTCTCTTCGGGGTCCAAATCACTTCTTGTGGTGTTTCAGGAAGTGACACTAACTTTCAGGCCCTCAGAAAAACATATTATTGCTGCCTTGCACTAAAGTATCCCAGAGAGGTATGAGTGATTTTATTCACTTTTCTGAAAGCTTAATTTACTGAAAAGAATTGACCTATGGCTTACAGAGGAGTGGAACTTATATCTACTGAGCATATATGAGCATATTATGGTTCTGGCACTGTGCAATACACATTTATATATCTTCTTATTTAGTCCTCACTACCATCCAAAAATAGGTATTAATACCTTCAGTTTATAGATAAGACAATGGAGGATGGAGAGATGACAGAATGTTTTTATGGTCACAAACACAAGTAGCAGAGCTACATTTGAACACAGATTTTTCTGCTACTAAAGCCCATTATGGCTCAATTACACAACACTGTCACTGACAGAGCCCAGAAAGAAAGTTCCCTCCTTTCACAGTGTTACATTTAACCCTCCTCTACTCCTACCCTCAAACACACCTACCAGTTGGATATAGGTGTTGACTACTATCTGCCCTACTGGAAATCTGGGCTTGACGAAGGTTCCATATTTTTCATCAGGCCTGTGCATTTCTTGAACACAACAGTGATCTCTAAATTATTCAGCTAGCTATCCATCTATTACCAAAGTACTATTGTGGAAAATAAATGTTCTAAAGACTATTTTTGTTCCTACTCTATGACAAAAAAAGAAGACAGAACTGAAATCCAGTTGACACGATCAAAGAAGGCAGCAATGTCAAAGAAACCCTGAAGAATGAATAAGGCTGTAATATGTAAAGATGGCGTCAGAAGTAACACTCGCAGAATGGAGAAAAACAGGAAGAAAGAGGGAAACAAGTCAGGAACAAAAAAGTCAACGAAGACCTAAAGATGGCTCTGAAGTTTCAGACAAATTGGATAATCTGGTTATTAACTAAGATTAAGAAGAATGAGAAGTGGTTTGAAGGAGTTGACAAGCATAGCTTTGAACATACTGGTCATGTTGGTTCTGAGAGTCATTCTTCCAATTGCTGGGTCTAAATACTATGGAGCTAACCTTGATGCCTCTATTTTGCTCACACCACGCATGGCAATGCACTAGCCAATCTTGTTGGCTCTGCCTTCAAAGTATAGATATACACTTTGAAGTGTATATATATATACACACATTTTTTTGAGATCGAGGCTCGCTGTGTCACCCAGGCTGGAGTGCAGTGGTGCGATCTTGACTCACTGCAACCTCCGCCTTCCGGGTTCAAGCGATTCTCCTGCCTCAGCCTCTCGAGTAACTGGGATTACAGGCCCGCACCACCATTCCCAGCTAATTTTTGTATTTTTAGTAGAGACAGGATTTCACCATGTTGGCCAGGCTGGTCTCAAACTCCTGGCCTCAAGTGATCCACCCGTCTTGGCCTCCCAAAGTGCTGGGATTACAGGCATGAGTCACCATGCCCGGCCCAAAGTATATTTTAAATTGAACACACTTTTCACCACCGTCATACTAAACTATGGTTTTAAGCACCATCGTCTTTTACCTGGATTATTACAATGGCCTTTTAATATGTCTTACTGATTCTATCTTTTGCTGTAGTCACAACACAGCAATCAGAGGTAGTTTTTAAAATGTCCTGATAACCTCATCCTTCTCTTTCTCACTCCCTTTAGATTTGGGTCCACTGTTTTAGAGAAGCTTTCTGTGATGGTTCTTGCAGTCCTTCCACACTCAGCCACTCCTCAACCTCCTTCTGTTTTGATATCACCCTCTCCCACCCCACCACAGACATTATCACCTTCTTACATATTTTTCTTGTTTGTTTACCCCAACTAGAATGTGAGTTCCACAAAGACAGTGGAAGTATTTGTTTTATTCACTGCTGTAGCCTCAGTGCATAGAACCTTGTCAGGCACAACGGATGCTTAATAAATACTTTTTGTATTAGTGAATAAATTAATTTAAAAATTAGGAAATCAAGGGAGAATTCAAGAATAAAGTTACTGATTTTGAAACCTTTCATCATTGATGGGATAGTTAAACTGTATGACAGATCACCAAAGGAAGAAATGAAAAAAGAGGGAACATTGGGAAATGTTTGCCTTTATTTTGTAGGCAGTAACAAGAGATAGAAGATAAAAGTGAAGGAAGGTGCAATATATAGCATAAATACTACAGGATACATATATACACACACACATACACATATATATATAAAACACATATATGAATATATACAGCCTGAAAATGTCCTATATAGTGTAATACACACACACACACATATATATAGTATGTAATATATGTGAATCTATACACACATTAGTTCATTTATTCATTCATTCACTTGCATATTTATATGCCTCAGATGCAAAGGGCAGAGCTAAATAAATTGACCTCAGGTCCAACAGATTTGTTAAGCTCTCTATACTCTCTGTTTGGTCCAATAGTTTGTCTGTTGCTAACATTTTCTGTAAATAATCGTATCATTTTTAGATAATAATGGTTTTAGTTCTTCTCTTCCAATTTTTAAAGCCTTATTTGTTTTGCTTTTTTGAGTATTTATTATACAAGGCCTTCAATAATATGTTGAATAGTGGGAGTGGTAGCAATCTTACCTTGCAAATAAATTTAAATAAATTTATCTACAATTTCTCCATTGTTGGCTGCAGGTTTTTGTTGTTGTTTATAACATTTATTATTTTACAAGTTTTTAGTTATTTAAAACTGTAAATATTGGATTTTGCCATTTTTTGGCATCTATTGAGAAAACAATTGCATTTTCTTTTTATTCAATATATTTTTGTAGCTCATTACATTGATGGAAGTTTAAAATGTTGAACCCTTACTTGATCATGTTGGATTATTTAAAAATATACTTTTCCTTTTTCAATTAGCAAATGTCATATTTCATATCTTCACATTTATATTATGAAGAAATAAGCAAACAATTTTCTTTTTCTTGTTTGGAAACCACATGACACTAGCTTTATAAAGTGAACTGGGCAGCTGTCACTTTTTTCCTGCCTCTGGAACAATTTGCCTAAGAGAGGCATGAATTGTACCAATGTTTGGAAGAACAATCTGGGATTGAGAATTATCGGGAGAAGAGGAGTTTGACTACTGCCATGAATCATTTATGGCTGAATTTTGCATTCATTTCTTCTTCCTTCTTGTACCAATTTTGGCATCTACACATTGCCAAAAATTTATTCTTTGCACCTGCATTTTCATATTTATAAGCATATATTTATTGAAACTAATTTATATCATTTTAAAATCTATTGTTTCTGTATTTTTCCCTTTTATTCTATATTTTATTTATTTGCATCTCATTTTTTCCTTGATCAGCATGGTCTACCATCTATCTTATCAATCTTCACAAAGAATCAGTTTTTAGTTTTATTACTGTATTTGTTTTCTCCCTCTGGGTTTCTATCTCTCTTTTCCTTATATTTCCTTCTTTCTTTTTTTTAAATTTTGCTGTTTTCTTTTTTCTACCTGCTTGATTTGAATGTTTAGCTTGTTTGTTTTACATCTCATGTGTGCCCCAATAGATGCATTTGAAGCAAAACATTTTTCTCTGAATACTACTGTAGTTTTGCCCCACAGACATCAACATGTAGTGTGCACTAACTCTCACTTTTAAGGATTTTATAAGATTCTTTGTAATTTCTTTTTTAGACAGAACAATTCTTCATTTAATATGTTATTTACATTCCAAATCTAAGGAAATTTTAGCTATTTCTGTGGTACATTACTAAATTTATGGCACTATCTTTAGGAAATACAGTCTGTATAAAATTGGTCCTTTGAAGTTTAATACTGAGATTTCCTTTCTGGCCCAATATATAGTCTATTTTTAAAATATATTCTGTATTTTCTCAATAATAAAATATGTGCTCTGCTGGACAAAACGTTTATATAAATATAAACAAATATAGAAGATACAGATACAGATATATAGATAAATATGTGTCCATGCATAGAGATACATACAACTCAAATGTATTTGGATCTATGTTATCCCTGGTTTTATTCATGTTTCATTTTTTGATTTATCAGTTACTGAAAAGAGTGTTTTAATATCTCCTACTGCAGTTATTGACTTCTCTATTCTCTCTTCAATTCTGTCAGTTTGGGCTTTTTATATGACAGAGAATATATTTGTTATGATGGCTCTACCTTCTTGTTCGATTGTTCCTTTTACTATAGTATAATTTCCTTCCTTTCCGCTGCTTCTTGAAGGAGTTGTTAAATCTGAATTCCAACTCATTAATTCATTCTTCAGCTATTTATTCCATGAATTATGCTTTATATCAAATTTATAATGTCATACCTAATATTTCCTTGAGTTATAACTTCGTATTATCCCTTACCTTTGTAGTTTGATGGGTCCCCACCAGGTTACTTAAGAGTGTATGCCTGTAATCCCAGCACTTTAGGGGACCGAGGCGGGCGGATCACGAGGTCAGGAGACGAAGACCATCCTGGCTAACACGGTGAAACCCCGTCTCTACTAAAAATACAAAAAATTAGCCGGGCGTAGTCGCGGGCGCCTGTAGTCCCAGCTACTCGGGAGGCTGAGGCAGGAAAATGGCGCGAACCCGGGAGGCGGAGCTTGCAGTGAGCAGAGATCACGCCACTGCACTCCAGCCTAGGAGACAGAGCAAGGCTCCGTCTCAAAAAAAAAAAAAAAAAAAGAGTGTATGTTTGCTGCTTGAACCCCGAAGGCTGGGCAGTGAGCCAAGGCCAAGGTGCCTAGCCGAGGAGCAGGTGTCCCTAAGAACCCAAATATTCCAGCTGCAAACGTATCAACAAAAACAGTCTCATTGCACACATACGGTAGGCAAAATGCCAGAAAAAATAGCTTAAAATTAGCTTAAAAACAGCTAAGAGATGGGAGATGGGGTGTGTCTCTGGAGCTATCTCACTGCCACCCAGGAATGCCCTGTGCAGTGGCTCACTCCTGTAATGCCAGCACTTTGGGAGGCCGAGGCGGGTGGATCACCTGAGGTTGGGAGTTCGAGACCAGCCTGACCAACATGGGGAAACCCCGTCTCTACTAAAAATACAAATTAGCCGGGGGTGGTGGTGCATGCCTGTAATCCCAGCTACTTGGGAGGCTGAGGCAGGAGAATCATTTGAACCCGGGAAGAGGAGATTGAGGTGAGCCGAGTTCTTACCACTGCACTCCAGCCTGGGCTGTCTCTCTCTCTCTCTCTCTCTCTCTCTCACACACACACACACACACACACACACACACACACACACACACACACAAATTCACCTTCTCATCAAGCTGGACTTGTTTAAATTGTTCTTTGGTCTCCTGCACCTTTCCAGTTTGGGAGTTGGGGGGGCATGTTACAGTTTTAAGTTTTTCTCATACCAACCTCTTTTTAGTTGTTTTGCTTATTTTAAATTCTTGAGCCATCTGTTCCAATAATTCTTGTTTTTGGGGCGGGGGGGGGACGGAGTCTCTCTCTCTCACCCAGGTTGGAGTGCAGTGGCGCGATCTCTGCTCACTGCAACCTCCGCCTCCCGGGTTCAAACGATTCTTCTACCTCAGCCTCCCGAGTAGCAATTCCTCTTTAGTTGTATGCTTTTCCATGTGTATGTGTGTGATTTGTAGTAGTTATATCGATCGTTGTTCTCATTATGTTAGCCTGTGAGCTCGTGTTTCCCTGGAGACATTAGTAAGCTTCTCTATCTTGTAAAGTGTAGTGGGGAGGATCCAAAAGCTAGGTCCTGGTCTACATTCCCCTATGTGAATTTAAGAAGGAGGAGGGGCCCAGAGTGAGCCCAGGTCCTGGGGAGTTGATCCCTCCTATTTGCTGCCATTCTAACACTCACCTGTTCTGGAAGGCACACGTAAACTCTTAGAAATAAGCAACGCTGGAATGAGGCAGTCTCCAAAATTGCAATCTTTCAGTCCTAGGAGTTTGGAGGGGAATGAGGTGAACCAGAAATTGTTCAAAGGTGGCTATTTTATTCCCATCTATTTTCATCCATTTTTTTGCCCCAGCAGGTCTTTGCTCTGCCGTAACATCAACCCCATGAAGTTCAGTGGCCTGGGATGTGGTGGACAATGTCTGAAAGAGGAGGGAGTAACTATTGCTCTGAGACAATGTGGCGATAACAACGCAAAGGCTCTCCTTCAACCCTTACCCCCACCTTCAAGTCAGGACACCTCCATCCAGGCTGTTGTACTCAGAAAGCTTTCAGTGTCCCAGGAATTTATATCAGGCGATTGTCTTTTGCTTGTTTGGTTCTCTAGTTCGTGCTTCTATATTGCTTCCACAGTTCCTCCAGTGCTGATTGGGAGGAAGAAGTCATGCTAACTTGCTACCCTGACCATGTCCAAACAATACTTAAGCTTTCATCTCTGTCGGAAAATGTTCTGTATTCAAGCATGTCATAGAACCCATAGCAGATTTAGAGAATTATATCTATGAATCATGCCTAGAGCATAGGGCTGTCTCTAAGAGCTGGTATTTAATGGTATACAGAACTGACCAACATTTATTTGGAGAAAAACAACTATTACCCAGGACCTCTTCAGTCATGTCAGGCCAGCCACCATCATCACGCTGAGAAGAGTATTCTAAATTTTAAGTGTAGAGTTGAGTTTGCTTCATTTTTGTAATTTTCCCCATTGGCACTTCTGCTACAGATTTGTTGGAGGTCAGAATATGATATTCTTCATCTGAATAATCTCCCAGCCTTGACTGTAGCTATCACATTAAACACTATGCCTACTTTAAATGCACGTTTCTACAATTTCACCAGAAAACAGACACCTGGGACCGTTTGGGACCAGCATTATAAGTCTGGCATCCTCCACCGTGCAGACTCTAGCTCCTCTAAAGCCATGTGGAATCCTATTTTATGTAAATGCAGAATTTCTATTACCTTCTCTCAGACAGGTGATTCAGATACCCTTTTTTCTTTGTTTTCATCATGTTCAATTAGAAAAAGAAAGAGACTGGCTTTTTGAGTAATCATTTCCATATTACTATTAATACTAGTGATATAATGTTATAATATATATGATATATAATATAAAACTCATAATAAAAATATTTCTCATTAATGAGTCTACGGTATATGGAAATTGAATTTCAGAAGCATCTAAATTTCTGAAGAGTTATTTCAGGATGCCTTGTGCCTTCTAAACAGGACATTTGATAGCTCCACCCAAATATTAGTAGACTAGATAACTCTTCCTGTGATAGCAAACTACTTGGCATGGAAAAACAGAGCTTAAGTATTTTTAAAAACTGGAAGAGGTGCTTAGATAATAAATCTCAACTCTTTAATCTCAATTCCAAATTACCATAAAATTTCTAACTCTTACTGTTTGCCTACATTTTTCTAAGCTTTTATTCAAGAAAAGATGCTAGCCAGTTTCTCAAATATTTTTTTTCTAAATATATTGTATCTGAATAAAAGCATTATTTGTTAATGAGCATTACTTTTCAAACTCAGTAACAATTTTCTTTTCAAATAAAAGAAACATTATTTTATTTCCTAGTAGATCCAGGTCTCTGCTGAAAACACTAATGGCCATGGGACCAATGAACTGCGCCTCAAGGGCACACTGGCACCTCAACATATGGCCTCAAGGCATCTGGGTTAATAAGCCGTGTTTAAGGTTAATGCCTGTTCTTACATGGTCATCAATCTTCTTTAAAGAGCGCTGCCACAATAGGATTTGCCACACCTGTCAATCAGTTTTACTCAAGACACCAACAAGGGGCAAGAACAAAAGCTAACACCAGAGGGAAAGTCAAGGTCAAACAAGCTTGACAGTTTGACGTACATGAAACAGAATTTAACAGCAGCCTAACCTAAGTTGCAACTACTTTTTCAGGCTGTGTGTATATTTAATTGAAATGTATTTCTTCATGCCTTATAGTAGATTTGAATGAATTTTCTGTTACTGAAGTTTATTTTATGATATTACTCTCATGGAATATTTATAGTTACTATTATTAGGCAATTAGTGCATGTATTTTAATATATTCCAATATTTCCACTCGCAACATAACATAATGACCAATTCCAATATCATTGCTAGGTAGATCTGCCCTCATCCCCAAATCAACCTTCTCCATTTTCGTTCAGTCAACATTTAGTGAGAGTTTACTATGTATGCAACACTATACCAGGCTCCAAGGACACAAGGCTGATTTTCTCCCTTAAAGAGCTTAAGTGAGTGGAACATGATATACAAAATAGTCTTCCATTTATGTCATTACTCTATTAAATGTATAGTATTCAGAATTAAGCTCACATTGTATGTAAAACATTGTGAAAAGCTTTGAAAGAAAGCAAAATCTTACTGGGTGTCTTCAGTGAAAAGCTAACCATAGTCTAACAAAGTATACTTTTCTAGGTTATTTGATGCTATGGAGTCTCTGAATCTTTCATTGTCTTTGAGACATTTTACAACTCTACAATTTGTTTATAACTGATGGTTATGCAAATTGTTCTTGTCCATAGACAAAAAAAAATGTATTTTAATTAGGAGAAATACAACTGATTCTCCAACATAACCATTCCAAGCTTCTCAGCCTCACCCCTCACCCCACCACTCCCCCATTCCCAGCCATAAGTCAGCTTTGCATATATTTTAAATTCATTTCAGCACTATTTACTGCTCATATATGTGGTTCTTTGAATCTGCCTTTTGAACTCATTATATCTTATTAGCCCCCTCATTAATTGATGAGTTCAATAAAATCTTTGACACGCTTATTTGTATGAGAGTCATGATTATATCTTAAAAAAAAAAAAACTTTTAACAACTATCACAATACTTTAAAGCAGGCAACAAACTTTCAAAACAGCCTCAACATTTATCAATATTAGGCTGGGAGCGGTGGCTCATGCTTGTTATCCCAGCACTTTGGGAGGCCAAGGCAGGTGGATCACTTGAGTTTGAGACCAGCCTGGCCACCATGGTGAAACCCCATCTCTACTAAAAACACAAAAATTAACTGGGTGTGGTGGCATACTCCTGTAATCCCAGCTACTTGGAAGACTGAGGAAGGAGAATCGCTTGAACCTAGGAGGTCGAGGTTACAGTGAGCCAAGATCGCGCCGCTGCACTTGAGCCTGGGTGACAAAGCAAGACTCCATCTCAGAAAAAAAAAAAAAAAAAAAGATTGTCAGCATTTTCTCATTCCCCAATATCCTTCATCTACCAGGGGCTTTCAATATTTTTGCCTCCTTGAGCCACATTAGAAGAATTGTCTTGGACCACACATAAAATACACTAACACTAACAATAGCTGATGAGCTAAAAAAAAAAAATCATTAAAAAAAAAATCTTATCATGTTTTCAGAAAGTTTTTAACTTTGTGTCAGGCCACATTCAAAGCCGTCCTGGGCTGCCTGTGGCCCGTGGGCCATGGGTTGGACAAGCTTGAGCCACACATGCAAATGCACATACACATGCACACACATGTCTTCAATCTCTCTACATGAATATATATTCACTGAGCACATCATACACTTTCCCGTGTCACTGTTGTTATTTATGTTAGTGTTGTATACCATACAAACTGTTTTCACTTTATAACTTAGGTGTTTTACTCATTTATCAAGACTTAATTCAAAAATCTTGTGTGAACATCTCCCTGATTAGGTCAAACTAAATTTTCTTTCCTCTATGCTCTCCAGCTCCTCGTCAATTCCACCGGTATAATACCCACCCTGTTGCATAATAATGATTGCATGTGTGCCTGTCTCCCTTGTTAAACATAAACAGTAAGCTCCTGGAGGGCATGTCTCATTCATTTTTGCATCCACATAACTTGCTTAAAACCTGGCACATAGTCAATGTTCACCACATGTTTTACAGTGAATGAATAATGAAGTGTTTGAATTAATGAACAATTAAAATTCTCATCATTACTGTCACGTTCCTAATCCACTGCATACTCATTTAGTTCAATTAATGCATTGTGATAGACAGTCAGCATGGGAAGTTGGACACCAATAACTACAAGAAAATACATTTATAAACATCAGAATACAAATTGGAAGCCAATACCAAAGGAAAAAATAAAACCAACGTGAATATCAAAGAAAAGGAATAAATATAAAATCCCAAACTCCTAAATATGCTTTGGTCTCAAAGTTAATTTGTAAACTGGTTTATTAGAATTTCAGGCCTGCTGGCTCATAGTGACAGCATCATGCAATGAGTTTAGTTTCCCAGCCCAGCCTACCAAAGCCTCTTTAGCGTACAAAATATTCGAGACTATATCTATGTGCAATGATAGAGTAGAAAAGAAGGTCACAAGGCCAGGCGGGGTGGCTCATGCCTGTAATCCCAGCACTTTGGGAGGCTGAGGCAGGCGGATCACTTGAGGTCATGAATTCATGACCAGCCTGGCCAACATGATAAAAACCCATCTCTACCAAAAATACAAAAATTAGCAGGGCGTGATGGCACCTGCCTGTAATCCCAGCTACTCGGGAGGCTGAGGTAGGAGAATCTCTTGAACCTGGGAGGTGGATGTTGCAGTGAGCCGAGATCCCACCACTGCACTCCAGCCTGGACAACAGAATGAGACTTTGTCTCAAAAAAAAAAAAAAAAAAAAGAAGGTCACACATGCGTCAGAGGTCCTAGTACAGTAGCACAGTGTCCCGACACATACTAATACTTAGGATCATTAAGTGAGCACAAAGTGATATATAAAATAGTCTTCCATTTATGTCATTATTCTATTAAACATATAGTATTCAGAATTAAGTTTACATTGTAGGAAAAAATTATGAAAAGTTTTGAAATAAAGCAAAGCTTTCTGGGTATCTTCAGTGAAAAGTATTAAATCCTAACAAATAGGATTTAAAGGAAATAATCTTATTGGTTGAAATATTGCTTTCCTATTATTTTAAATATGGATATTTGAGGGGGAAGGTGGCTTTAACCCATTTATTCCTGAGGTTGCAATTTTTTGAATTTTTGCAATCAGACCTTGGCAATGACCTTGAGCAGTAGGATATAAATAACTCCCACATGCTTGTCTTTCCAATAATGAAACACTGGGCATAAATGGGTCAATAGAGCAGAAAGATAAATCTGATAAATAGCAGAGTACTTCTGAGTACTTTGACCTGTGCTTGCTTAGAGAAGCCTGATACTGAACTGTATCCAATTTCATTTTAAAAATTTTCATTAAGCAGGTGGCATTATCCTCATCACAATTTTTTGCATGCTTTTTTCTTAGGTTGATTTCTATGCTTTTAAATTTTGTTTGGGTTAAGAGAATGTTGGTTGTTCTTTACTTCATTGTAGGCGTTGTCATGGTGGTGGTTGTGGTGGTGGTGGTTTTCCAGAGGAAAACAGGGAGAGGAAAAAATTTTTTTAAAAAGTGGGAGAGAATGAGAAAGGCCTAAGAACAACAGAAAGAAGAAGAAGATGAAAAGTTCCTGAGAAAGAGGTAAGAAGAGGTAGTAATATGCTGGCGAGCTGTCTGGGGTGAGGGGAAGCTGAATTTGAATTTTTTGCCAATTTCCACAGTGTAATATTCTCACCATGGTTGATTTCATACTACTAGCATGATAGCGCTAAGTGTGGAATTAAAAAGAGAAGTGCCCAACTGCTCTTGCAAGCGACAGGAGTCTTATAAGTTGGCTGTAGAACACCACTGGGAAAGAGTGAGGAGAGAGAGAAGAAACAGAGGCAGAAGGACAGAATGTAAGAGAAATTTAAGAATGAGTTGAGGGAAAGGACTGGTGTTGAGATGATGTGTGTTTTGTGATTCCCAGGCTAAGAGCGTAATCATCCAAATACGATAAATGTTCCTCTTCCTGGAGTCCAGAATTAGAAGAGTCCCTACCCATGATTTAGTAAGAAAGTTTTCCCAGGGGGCTTTCATTGCTAATAGACACACTGTTTTCATAAGACACAGAATGAGTCATATTCTAGAGGCAGCAATGCCCTCCCATGCAGGTATTCCCCGAGAAGACCCACCCATAGAGAGGAAGGCACAATTCCTTCTAAAGCTGTTCTTTCATATTTGAATGTGCATAAAAATCACCTAGGGATCTTGTTAAATTGAGGATTCTGACTCGGTAAGTCGTGGGTAGTCCTGAGATTCTGCTTTTTGAAGGTTCCTAGGTGATGCTGATGCTGCAGGTGTTTGAACCACAGTTTGAGTTTCAAGGACCTAGTCTAGTCTCTCAGCATGTGCATCTTTGGGTGACAGACGTAAATCTGCATGTGTCTCATGAGCAAATCCTGCTCTTCATGAAGTGCCACATTCTTTTCTTGTACTCCAGAAGTAATGAACTAATCATCATAGATTCTAGATTCTGATTAGACACACACATGCAATAACAATAGTAATCATCTTCACTTCTATCTTCTAAGTGCCAATTTTGTGCCATTGACTAACTTCCCATCAATAGCTAATAAATGTTCATCTGCTTGCCCGTTATCATAAATACAGTTCATAACAAAGAAACCCTCTTTGCTTATATCTCATCTGACAGTTGAATCACTTATCTAACAAGTTCAGCTTACATTTGTATTTTTCATCCTTCTCTCATAACCATTGTCCTTCACAGTTAACCATGGTTTGAACATCAGGTTCCTGCCTCTAGACTTCAAGAAGTTGATAGGGAGTCAGGCAAAAGTCCTTTTTTCCTCCAAAGCCATCCTTAGGCTGGCTTCTTCCTATGGGCCTCCTACACCATCTTTTCTTCATGTGTTATTGTCAATCCATTTCAAAAATACCTTCCTCATTTATTAAATACAACAGTTTCATATTTCCCAACCATGAGTAACATTGCTTATTGAAAGCAAACTACCCTATCATCAATAGAAATCAAGCTAGGGAAAGAGCATAAACACCCTGAGGGAAGGAGGAAAGGTGAGGAAGAGAAGAAATGCTAGCTTTGCCAATTTCTCGCTCTGTCCACTAGGTGACATCGTCATCCACAGGTTGGAAGAAATGGACTTCGGACCACTGTGAGGGATGTAAGAGCTTCCAGAAATGCTTCTGTGCTATGTGATTATAAAAATGAGTGTTAGCGTTTAAACAAATGCTTATATTTTTATTCTAACTAAAGATTCCTGATACTGCAGTTGTAACCTCAAGAGAGGGCTTTAAAAAATGAGCATGGGCTTTCGAGTTAGATAGATCTAGCTTTAAGTACAAGAATCCATCATTTACTGGCTGTGACTGTGTCCTTGGGCAAATGACTTAAACACTCTGTCTTCATTTCCTTATCTGTAAATTGGTGATAATGTGAAGTCTGGTATCATAAAATACTTTTCAAGATTAAATTACCTAACAGTTAAGAAGTGGCTACCACATAATAGACATAACATAGATATTAGTTATTTTTCCCACTTTTGGTCTTTAAAAAAAAAAAAGAATGACTTTTCAATGCTAAAAATTTCAAGTCTTGTGAATACTGAAATTTTTTAGAAAGGGTGAAAACTTACTGAGGAAATAAATCACACATCATAAATCTTTTAAATGCAGACACAGACACATACACACACACACACACACAGAGTCTCCACACATATATTTATTTTAATATATATGTGGGCTGGGCGCAGCGGCTCATGCTTGTAATTCTAGCACTTTGGGAGGCTGAGGCGGGCGGATCACTTGAGGCCAGGAGTTTGAGACCAGCCTGGCCAACATGGCAAAACCCCGTCTCTACTAAAAATACAAAAAAAAAAAAAAAAAAAAAAAAAACTAGCCAGGCGTGGTGGTGGGTGCCTGTAATCCCAGCTATTTGAGAGGTTGAGGCAGGAGAATCACTTGAACCCGGGAGGCAGAGGTTTTAACGAGCAGAGATCGCGCCACTGCACTCCACCCTGGGCACCAAGAGGGAAAAAAAAAAATTTTTGACTAGGTAAAGTTTTGCTTTAAAAGTCCATTTTTAGGAACATTGTTGATCCCATTGTTTCATCGCAATAGAGTTCATTCACCATTTACTGCTATCATTATCTTTTTAATCAATAAAGGTGGTATTTATTATTTATAACATAATAATGTCTTACAATTGAACTTCTCTAAGATTTTAGATTCAGATTTTTTTTATTCAATCTTATAACAATTTCAGCAAGGTGGCAGATTAGCTATTATTATTTCTATTGCACAGATAAAGAAATACAACTTATGTAAGTTAACAAAGATCATATAGGACAGTGGAATGAGAAATTGATATGTCGGTTAATCCTTCAAGACAAATTCACTTATCTATGATATTCAGACTGGGGACTGTTGAGAAGTTAGGGAACTTGCCCAAAGTTACATGACTGATAAATGAATGTGGCTGGAAGAATTTGAATCCAGGTCTGTCTGACGCTACAGCTACACTTGTTTACTCTTCTATGGAGACAGCCAAGTAAAAAGCTCCCTGGCAGAGCCTCTGACCGGGCTGCATACTGGGAAGAATGCACAGTGGGGTGGAGCCTCGGGAATTTTGCACTGTTCACAGTGGGGAGGAGTTTGGACACTCCTGTTCTGGGGTTGGTGGGAAGTTCACCCCGTTCGCAGTGAGGAGGAGCCTGGACACTCCTGTTCTGGGGTGGGAAGTTCGCCCCGTTTGCAGTGGGGAGGAGCCTGGACACTCTTGTTCTGGGGTGGCACCTGGGATTCAATCTGTGAGGCGGGAAACCAGCTAGCAGGACTCTCACTTTGTGGAGAGCCCCTGTTTCCCTTTTCTTCCTTTTCCCCCAATAAATTCCATTTTTCTCACCCTTCAAAGTGTCTGCAAGCCCAATCTTTCATGGCTGTGTGACAAGGACCCATCGCTGAACTAAGGAGAAAGTCCTGCAACACTACTATTATCACCTCACACCTAAGGCTGTTTTAAGTTGGACAGCACTTTACATTAATGGCATATTTGCATATGTTATCTGGTTTTGAATGTTATCTTTACAACCGTTCTGTGAAATTAGGAACAGCAAATGTCATTGTAATTTTAATTTTAGAAATTTGAATGGAACTTCAGTTAGCAAATACATGGCACCCCTAAGTCACTAACACTGTGGTTGGAAGGTTTGGTTGGAAGAGAAGAAAACGCCTGCATGAGCAATGAAGTGCCTCCATGGGCAAGGCCAAGAATTTTACACAATTCTTCCCTCACTCCATGAGGCTTGAGACAATGTGCAAGCCCCTCAACGCAGACATCTTTGGAAGATGTTGTGTTGGAACTTGAGATTGGTGGCATCTAGGACTGTGGTCATATGTTTAAACATGCTGCCTGTTATAAACACAACTTGCTTTACTTGGCAAATCTCTTTTTATTTTTCAAGGAAGCAAGAGTTCAGAGCAGAATAAAGAACTACATTAACAGCAGTGCCTGAGAGCTTGCACCTGCCTCAAACAGACAGCTTGCAAATTAGCCCCAATCGATTGAATTTCCAGAGAGAAAGGGGAATAAAAAGACAATCAAGTCAACCCCCTACCCCTGTTCAGCCAGTGGGACACCACCATTCATGTCTCAAACTCAGTATGTGCTATTTATAAATAATTCCAGACCCCATGATGCCAAATAAACCCTCCACTATTTATACACCATTTCAGGGGAAGCAGGACAAGCTTCAAGTCTAGAGCCTGTAGACTTTTCTTGGTGTTTCCAGAAATTCACTGGAAATTATCCTCACGCCTTCTAACTGGTGGCTTTAGGATTTTATCAGGACACGCTGCATGAATGGCAGACCCCGGCTGCAAGCAAGAGATGTGAGGATGCCTGTTGAGCATTATGAATGCAGGTGAGAGCCAGGGGCCCTGTAGTGCTCAGAACTTCGCTGTTGTAGCCCAATAGCAAAATTGAGATGTGTGCCTCCTCTGGTAGCAACAGAGATAAGGGGCGCAGCTCTAACTGATGAAATGCCCATGTGTTATTCCTAAAGTATTTTCTTGGAACAGATACGCTTTGTATTAATTAGGGTTTAGTCAGGAAAAAAAAAAAAAAGTTATGCCTGGTTATGAGTGTGCTGAGATGATTACAAAGCCAATCAGGAGAAGGTCAGTATATAAGTTTGAGTCCTCCAAGAAGCAGACATCAAGGTGGGATTAGGTATGCAAAAGATTTATTGGGGGAAGCACCTGTAAAGTATAAAGCAGGAGGGTGAAGAAGGAGGAAACTGGAGCCTTCAGAAAGTCAGATCTGACACCAATAGAAGGAAGGACAGGATAGGAAGAGCCTCAGGTTGCAGCACAGTCTGGCCTCTCAAACAGATGGGTGGGGAGTTTCCAAGAAATAGTTGATCAATAGAAGAGTCCTGAATTAGGCAAGAGTAAACTGGATCTAATTCCCTGCCACGAGCAGTCATTGCCTGGGAGCAGCCTGGAGGAAACATGGTCTCCTCCAACTCCAAATGAATCCATACAGTGGTGAAGCAGCTTGGATGATCAGTCGACTATGTCACCCTTGCAGTTAAAGGAACATCTAATTAGCACTGTTCCATAGCTGCCAAGGTGAAGAAACACAGAGATAACCAACGATTAGGAAGCCAGTGCCAGTCCTAGGGCTACAGGCAAAGGGGAGAAGAAGCTGTTACATTGTTACAGTTGCCATTGCCCTGCAGGTGCTGGGGTAACAGAGAAAATGTGGGCACTCCAGAAGAAGAGGCAGAACAACAACAAAAGTAATCAAACAAATAAGCAAGGTAATTAAAGTCAGTGAAACGGACCCAGCCAGTCAGTCCTCCTAATTAGAATTGCTTTTTAAAAATTAACTTTTGAATAGTTCAAGTGGAGAAATTTCCCTTCTAGCCAATGTGGAGTAACAAGGACTGCATTTATCCAGCTGCCTGAAACAATTAAAAATTCAAACAAAATATATGCAACAATCATTCTCAAATCATTGGACCTCAAACAAAGAAGGGCAGTGATTCTGAGACAAAAAAAAAAAGATGATTCTCCACTAATGCTTCATATTACTACTTGAAGAAGGTTTCCAGGAGGTGGTACATGGAGTGCAAACCCATGCAGAGACTGGTGAACTTCCTGGGTTAAGGAAGCAGACATGAGAGTCTACAGGAGCAAAGACAACTGGAGTTTACAGGGGAGAGTGTTAGAGATAAGAGATCTGCAAAGAGAGAGCTGTTTTGGGGTATCTACAGAGGGTGCCTCTCAAATATTCAACTAAGTACAAATCAGTGAAGGCATGTGAGAAGACTCCCCAAGTCTAGTGAAAGAAATACCCCCAAATATTAGAGGGAATATATGCAAAGCACACATAGGCTATACCCACTAGCTAGAGGAGAGAACCACATAATTCATATAGCATCATGTGTAATACATGGCGAATTTTGTCTTAGTAGTGCTGGAAAATTAGCCCTAGACTAAATGTTCTGGTACCAGCAAACACACTTTGAAAAGATCAACCTGTTTCAAAGTAACTTAACCACATTCCAAGACAAAACTCAAAAATATTTATAGAGACACCAAAATATCCAGCATGCAGCAAGGTAAAATTTAAATAGCCTGGCAGCCAATAAAAAAATTTCAAGCATGCAAAGCAGTAGGGAAGTACTACTGATAATTAAGAAACAAATCAATTAGTCAAAACTGACCCCGAACTAGAAAAGATTATAGAATTAATAGACAAGGACTTTAAGACAGCTATTATAGCAGGATACTATACAAGAAGGTAAAGATTAAGTATGTTAAGAAGAGAAATAAAGACTATAACAATTAAAAATTAAACTTCAAGAAATAAACATTATAATATATAAGATGAAAAATATGCTAAATTGGATTTAAAATAGACTAGATATTGTAGAAGAAAAGATTTGTGAAGTTTATATACAAACTTTAAACTTTTAAAGTATGCAAAGAAATAAAATAAAATAAACCACACAAGAGAAAAAAAGAGATAGAAAAAAGAAGAAGAGAGCAGATCATCAGTGAGTTATAGGATAACTTCAAGGAGCCCAACATATGTGTAATTGGTCCTGAAAGGAGGACATAAAAATATTTTATAACACAGTGGCTGAAAATTTTCAAAATGTGAAGAAAACTTTAAAGCCATAGATCCAAGGATATCAACATACCCATGAAAAATAAATGTGGAGAAAATTATATCAAGGCACATCATAATCAAAGTTATTAAAACAAATGAAAGAAAAAGAGCTTTCAATCAGCCATGCAAATGAAGTGTATAACATACAGTGAACAAAAATAATGATAATAGTAAATTTCTCATAGGATATAGGGGAAGCCAGGAGAAAGTGGTACAAAATCTTTAAACTATTGAAAGAAAACATAAAACCAACTTAGTATTCTTTCCCAGCAAAAATATTTTTCTATAACAAAGATGAAGGAAAAACTTCTTCAAGTTTATATCCAGCAAACCTGCATTGTAAGAAATATTAAAGGAAGTACTTATACTTCAAATAGAAAGAAAATGGTACCAGATAGAAACCTGAATCTACAAAGAAATAGAAAGAATAGAAACTGTAAACACGTAAGTAAACATAAAACTACTTTTCGTATTATTTAATTACCTTTAAAAGATAATTATCTGCTTAAATCAATAATAACCACAATACATTGTGAGATTATCACATATGTAAATGTAAAATTTTTGACAATAACACAAATACCAGAAGCAAAATAGTGAAACTATACCCTTGTAATGTTTTTATAGTATATAACATATAATACCACTTGAAAGTAGATTGTGATAAGTCCAAAATACTCTAAACCCTAAAGCAATTATTGAAAGAACACAATGAAGAGTTAAAACTAATAAACCAACAAAAGAGATAAAACAAAATCATAAAAATACAAAATTCATCCAAAAGAAGCATAAAAAGAAAGTGGGAACCCCACAATAGAACAAACAGGAAAAAATGGCAACATTGCAAGTTTAAACAAACTATTTCAATAATCATATGAAACACAAATAAACATCATAATTAAAAGGCATAGATTCTCAAATTGGCTTCAAAAGCAGGACTTCACTATATGCAACCTAGAAGATACCTACCTTAAATATATAGACACAAATGTATTAAAAATAAAAAGAGGGAAGAAGATGTACTATGATAACACTGACCAAAAGTAACCTGAACTGTCTATATTAATATCAGAAAACATAGAATTCAGAGCAAAGAGTATTACTCAAGATAAAGAACATTATTTTATAACATAAAGGGGTAACACTCATTAAGAAGAAATTACAATAACACTCATGGACCTAATAATAAGACTGCAGAATACATAAAGTAAAAACTGATAAAACTGCAAAGAGAAATAGACCAATTCAAAATTTTACTTAGAGATTTTAAAACCTCATTCTCAATTACTCATAGAATAAGTGGACAGAAAATCAGTAAGAATATAGAAGACATGAATAACACAATGCAACCAAGTTGATATAATTGACATTTATAGATAGATCTACCCCAAAATAGCAAAATATACATTTATTTTTTCAAGCACACATGAAACAACTACCTAGATAGACCATATTATGGCCATAAAAATATCTCAATAAATTTTTGTAAATACAAGTTATCCAAGGTGTAATCTCTAGCAACAATGGAAAATAAATAAGAAATCAATAACAGAAAGATATCTATAAAAGTCCCAAATATTTTAAATCAGAATAACACACTTCTAAATCATCAAAAGTCAAAGAAGAAATTAAGTACAACCTCTGAAAGTACTTTAAACAAAATGAAAATAAAAACACAATATATCAAAACTTGTGAGATCAACTAAAAGAGTTTTTAGATAGAAAGTTATAGCACTAAAAGACTATATTAGACAAAATATAGTCATAAATAATTGGCCTAGATTTCACCTTTAATAAAGCAGATAAACAAGAGCAAATTATACCCAGAGTAAGCAGAAGAAAGGAAATAATAAAGATTAGAACAGAAATCAATGCAATAGAAAATAGAAAACAATAATCTAATCAGTAAAACCCCTAAACTTCAAGTTTTTTATTTGTACAATGGGACCAAAAAACACTACTGTAATAAATCTTAGCAATTCTATTTTGTAACCCCAAGGATGAATGGTAGCTGTCATTTATCATCAAAAATGCATTGTTTTTCTAATGACAAAGAAAAGGTAAAATAATAGTCAAATCTAATTTCCAGTGTCAAAAAAATTTTTATTCCACAACATCTTTATTCATGTTATCTGCTTGGCTCCTGAGTCATGGGAGTCTGAAATTCTTGGCCTATACCTTAACATGACATTAAAATATTTTCATAAGCTCGTCTTAGCCTCCTGGTCCTTTCTTATCTCCCATAATTTGCATCCTCTGTTACAGCTGGATTAATGACCTCACTGCCCCCTCTATATATGCTATGCTCATTCTTGCTGATAACTTTGCACATACCTTCCTTTCACCTCTTTAAATTCTACTAACCCAAGAAAGGCTCTTTGTTAAACCAATCATTTCTATGAAGCTTTTTGATGCCTGTTAACTGAACCTTCTTACATAATCTAGGTGTTGAGGGATTGTACAATCAAGCAAAGAAAATAACACATGAACAAATAAACAGAATATAATGTGATAGGTACTCTACATGTAACACAGGTATGCACAAAGTGCAATGGAATTGTAGAAGAGGGGGAAATAATTTCACCCAACAGATAAGAAAAGGATATACAGAAACATTCATATTTCCTATAGGCCTCAAAGAATGAGTAGAAGTTCAGTCACAAAATGAAGAAACCTGGACAGAAGAAGCAGCCTGTGTAAAGTCAAGAAGTGTAGCACTGCATGCTTATAGAACAGTGAGTAGCATGGAGTGGCTAGGCAAAGGATAGGGTCCAGGTACTTACCCTGTCCAAATCCTCTCTGTCTGCAGGTGCAGGTTGGATTCTGTGGAAAGCAGATGGAATCAGAGATTGGCATGTGGGCATTTATTGGGACGTGCTCTTGGAATTAACACCTGTAGAAAGGAGGGAAAGGAAACAGGATTAGGGAAAGGGAGATGTTGAATTTCTATGCAACCCCAGTGATTGGATTAGATCACACCATAAGTAGCTCTGGAGCTGAGATGACCCCACATACTTTTATACTCCAGCCTTTATCAGTCACTGGATGTGGGCTCTTCCTAGAATGAGATATGACATTGGCTGAGTGTATTAGTCCATTTTCATACTGCTATGAAGAAATACCTGAGACTGGGTAATTTATAAAGAAATAGAGGTTTAATGGACTCACTGTTCTACATGGGGGGTTGGGGGGAGACCTCACAATCATGGTGGAAGGCAAAGAAGGAGTAAAGGCACATCTTACATGGCAGCAGGCAAGAGAGCATGTGCAGGGGAACTCCCCTTTATAAAACCATCAGATCTCATGAGACTTAGCCACTGTCACAAGAGCAGCACAGGAAAAAACTCACCCCCAAGATTCAATTAACTCCCACTGGCTCCCTACCATGACACATGGGGATTATGGGAGCTATAATTCAAGATGAGATTTGGGTGAGGACACAGCCAAACCATATTAAGTGAGGCAATTTTCTTAACCAACAGAATCCTCGAGAAGGGTGGGAGACAAGGGTCATCCACTAGCAGCACTGCCAGCAGTTGAGACAATATGTTCTTCATCCCTGGAGGGGGGTCTGTGTGGTGCATCAAATGTTCACCACAGTCTGCCAACCTTGACAACCATATTTCCACCATTTTCCCTTTTCTTCTCAAGAAAAGGAATGGATTGAGGGGCTCTTAAATAAAGCAGCATTGATCTCCAAGGCTTGCCAAGCAAAGCTGAGAAATTTATAGCTCAAGAAGGAATAAATCTTGTTTCAGATATTTAACAAAACACTAGCTACCAATACGGGAAAAAAAACCTTCAGAAACCAGCTCAAGAAGTAGAAGTATCCTTCAACAAGCAACTTGACCAGCTAGATCTTAGTGATATCTTGGACTGTCTTAGTGATATTTTTCCAAGGAATAGTTACCTTATAAATATAGATACTAATTATCTTAATTTAAAGTAGCTCATGACATCATGGAAATTGTGGTGGACATAAGTAATCAAAATATAGCAAAATAACATAGCCAGACTTAATTCAAAATGCTCTGTATGCAAGTGCTAACCTTCCGCGTGAGTTTATTGATTTGCTACCAGCTCAGACTTCCATGTAATGAAGTCAAGTCACTGTGACAAACTGGTCCACTCTTCTCTGTAGCAGGCAGAATTCTAATATGATCACCAATGACCCATATCCTTGTGTAATCTCCCTCTGAGTGGGGTTAAACCTATGCCTTGTTTCTAACCAATAGTTTGTGGCAACGGTGATGAGATATCACTCTCATGATTATGTTATGCTATATGTCAAAGGTGAAGGGATTTTGCAGATGTAATTAAGGTGCCTAATCAGTTCAGTTTAAAGGAAGATTGTTAGAGGTGAGTCTTATCTAACTAGGTGTCCCATTTAGAAGAGGATCTAGAGATCAGAAATGAAATAAATAAAAGATATTTTATTTAAGACCCCCAAGAAACAGTCTGACTGGGCATGGTGACTCATGCCTATAATCCTAGTGCTTTGGGAGGCCAAGGGGGAGAATCATTTGAGGCCAGAAAAAAGAAGAAACAAGCTACCATGAGTCCTATAGCTTTGAGGAAACGAATTCTGTCAATAACCATGTGAGCATAAAAGAGGACCCTGGGCCTCATATGAGCCTCCAGACCAGCTGACACTTTGATTGCACCCTTGTGAGACATTGAGCAGAGGACTCAGCTAAGCTACGCATGAATTTCTGACCCACAGAAACAGTGGGACAGTTGGGTGCAGTGGCTCATGCCTGTAATCCCAGCACTTTGGGAGGCTGAAGTAGGAGGATTGCTTAGGGCCAAGAGTTCAAGACCAGCCTGGGTGACAGAGTAAGACCCTTGTCTTTACAAAAAAGTTAAAAAAATAAAAAAGTAGCCTGACATGGTGGCGTGCGTCTTTAGTCCCAGTTACTCAGGAAGCTGAGGTAGGAGGATTGCTTGAGCCTAGGAGTTCGAGGCTGGTGTGAGTTATTGTGCCACTGCACTCCAGCCTCAGTGACAAAGTGAGACCCTAGCACAAAAGGGAGGAAGGAAGGATGGAAGGAAGGAAGGAAGGAAGGAAGGAAGGAAGGAAGGAAGGAAGGAAGGAAGGAGGGAGGGATAATAAATATATGTTGTTTTAAGGCACTAAATTTGTGGTCATTTGTTATGCAGCAAAAGAATACTAACACATTCTGCCTCCGGGTGTACTGTCAACTTGAAATTACACAATGATTGCTATCTCATTTATTAAAAAATGTAGCTCAGTATGGTGGCACATGTCTGTAGTCCAAACTACTCAGGCTGAAATGGGAAGATCACTTGAGCCCAGGAGTTTGAAACAACTCTAGGCAACATAGTGAGACCTTGTCTCAAAAATAAATAAATAAATACAAGAAGCTGTGCTGATTTAAAAACAAATGTCCACAGTAAAAAGTCATACTCCACCAGCTGCTATAAGAGGGCTGAGTGGACATCTAGGCCCAAATCTCATAAACCTCATGACATATGTATTAGTCTGGGCTTTCCAGAGAAATAGAACCAATAGGATATATAGACGTAGCTATAGGTAAATATAGATATAGTTATAATTATAGATAAAGGAATTGGCTCATATTATCATAGAGGCTGAAAGTCTAAGCTCTGCAGTTGGCAAGCAAGCTGGAGATGCAGGTGAGTTAATAGTATACTTCTAAGCTGAGACTGAAGGCCTGACAACCAGGGGAACTGATAGTGTAACTTCCAGGCCACATCTGAGTCTGAAGACAGGAGAAAAATAAAGTCCCAACTCAAAGACAGGCAGTAGTAAGAATAATTTTTTTTTATTCAGCCTCTTATTTGATCCAGGCTTTCAATGGATTGCATGAGACCCACTCCACTGAGGAGGCAAATTTACTTTACTCAATCTACTAATTCAAATCCTGATCTCATTCAGAAACACCCTTCAAGGCTCACCCAGGGATAATATTGAACTACATATCTGGGCATCTCATGGTGAAGTCAAATGGACACATAAAATTAACTGCCACAACATTCATGATGGTGAAAACAGTAGGTGATTAGTGTAACATTTTAATATTCAAGTTATTATCAATATTATATTTATTCTTCTTTGATTGATATCAAGTTGGATCTGTGTAACCAACATATCTTTCACTTTTTTCTATTTATTTCCTTTGCACCATTATCTGAATAACTCCTTTGGATTCTACCTGTTGGGATTACTGGTAATTTCTTCATTTACTCTTAGCTTTAGATAGGGCTTTAGGACTCTACAGGTTGACAAAACAAAGTGCTGCCCAGGTCTCAATAAAAAGAGGCCTGGCCTATTAGCAATCTCCCAAGTCTCAATAAAAAGAGGCCTGAAAAAAAAGAGGCCTGAATCACAAGTCATCCAACAGTCTTTTGACAAATATGTACTACATACAACATTGGACATAAAAGAAGACTTCATCAGGTGTCCAGGATAATGGCAGAGGCTGACTCACATGTGCAGAGTACAAGCAGCTCATACTTCTATCTTAGTTGAGGGGCTTCTGTGTCTCTTTCCCCACAGACACTGCTGGAGTTCAGAATTTTTTTTTTTTTTTTTTTTTTTTTTTTTACATCCCATTAGGATGACTACAAAAGACTTTTAAAACCTTCTTATCTCTTTCAGGGATATCCCTACAATTACCACGCTATGTCCAGGCCATTATTCCTAAAACACAAATCTGCTATTGACTGTTCAATACTGTCAATATTAATAGTGTATGTGCACATGGATATGTATGCATATGGTCTATGAACAAGTATGAATAGTGAGATGGTTTGAATATTTTTTCCTTCCATGTTGAAATTTAATTCCCAATATAGCAGTATTGAATATTAAAACCCTCCAACACAACCCATTCCCTAAAGACAAAGGCCAAATTCCTCAGCCTCGCAGTTAAGACCATTCAACATATGGCCCATAGATTTCTTTTCTCCTTTAACTCTCAGGCATTCTAAGCAGCAGCCATTATCAATTTCTTTTTCTCTTTTTTCTTTTTTTTTTTTATTATACTTTAAGTTTTAGGCTACATGTGCACATTGTGCAGGTTAGTTACATATGTATACATGTGCCATGCTGGTGCGCTGCACCCACTAACACGTCATCTAGCATTAGGTATATCTCCCAATGCTATCCCTCCCCCTCCCCCCACCCCACCACAGTCCCCAGAGTGTGATATTCCCCTTCCTGTGTCCATGTGATCTCATTGTTCAATTCCCACCTATGAGTGAGAATATGCGGTGTTTGGTTTTTTGTTCTTGCGATAGTTTACTGAGAATGATGGTTTCCAGTTTCATCCATGTCCCTACAAAGGACATGAACTCATCATTTTTTATGGCTGCATAGTATTCCATGGTGTATATGTGCCACATTTTCTTAATCCAGTCTATCATTGTTGGACATTTGGGTTGGTTCCAAGTCTTTGCTATTGTGAATAATGCCGCAATAAACATACGTGTGCATGTGTCTTTATAGCAGCATGATTTATAGTCATTTGGGTATATACCCAGTAATGGGATGGCTGGGTCAAATGGTATTTCTAGTTCTAGATCCCTGAGGAATCGCCACACTGACTTCCACAATGGTTGAACTAGTTTACAGTCCCACCAACAGTGTAAAAGTGTTCCTATTTCTCCACATCCTCTCCAGCACCTGTTGTTTCCTGACTTTTTAATTATTGCCATTCTAACTGGTGTGAGATGATATCTCATAGTGGTTTTGATTTGCATTTCTCTGATGGCCAGTGATGATGAGCATTTTTTCATGTGTTTTTTGGCTGCATAAATGTCTTCTTTTGAGAAGTGTCTGTTCATGTCCTTCGCCCACTTTTTGATGGGGTTGTTTGTTTTTTTTTTTTGTAAATTTGTTTGAGTTCATTGTAGATTCTGGATATTAGCCCTTTGTCAGATGAGTAGGTTGTGAAAATTTTCTCCCATGTTGTAGGTTGCCTGTTCACTCTGATGGTAGTTTCTTTTGCTGTGCAGAAGCTCTTTAGTTTAATTAGATCCCATTTGTCAATTTTGGCTTTTGTTGCCATTGCTTTTGGTGTTTTGGACATGAAGTCCTTGCCCACGCCTATGTCCTGAATGGTAATGCCTAGGTTTTCTTCTAGGGTTTTTATGGTTTTAGGTCTAACGTTTAAGTCTTTAATCCATCTTTAATTGATTTTTGTATAAGGTGTAAGGAAGGGATCCAGTTTCAGCTTTCTACATATGGCTAGCCAGTTTTCCCAGCACCATTTATTAAATAGGGAATCCTTTCCCCACTGCTTGTTTTTCTCAGGTTTGTCAAAGATCAGATAGTTGTAGGTATGCGGCGTTATTTCTAAGGGCTCTGTTCTGTTCCATTGATCTATATCTCTGTTTTGGTACCAGTACCGTGCTGTTTTGGTTACTGTAGCCTTGTAGTATAGTTTGAAGTCAGGTAGTGTGATGCCTCCAGCTTTGTTCTTTTGGCTTAGGATTGACTTGGCGATGCGGGCTCTTTTTTGGTTCCATATGAACTTTAAAGTAGTTTTTTCCAATTCTGTGAAGAAAGTCATTGGTAGCTTGATGGGGATGGCATTGAATCTGTAAATTACCTTGGGCAGTATGGCCATTTTCACGCTATTGATTCTTCCTACCCATGAGCATGGAATGTTCTTCCATTTGTTTGTATCCTCTTTTATTTCCTTGAGCAGTGGTTTGTAGTTCTCCTCGAAGAGGTCCTTCACATCCCTTGTAAGTTGGATTCCTAGGTATTTTATTCTCTTTGAAGCAATTGTGAATGGGAGTTCACTCATGATTTGGCTCTCCGTTTGTCTGTTGTTGGTGTATAAGAATGCTTGTGATTTTTGTACATTGATTTTGTATCCTGAGACTTTGCTGAAGTTGCTTATCAGCTTAAGGAGATTTTGGGCTGAGACGATGGGGTTTTCTAGATAAACAATCATGTCATCTGCAAACAGGGACAATTTGACTTCCTCTTTTCCTAATTGAATACCTTTTATTTTCTTCTCCTGCCTGATTGCCCTGGCCAGAACTTCCAACACTATGTTGAATAGGAGTGCCGAGAGAGGGCATCCCTGTCTTGTGCCAGTTTTCAAAGGGAATGCTTCCAGTTTTTGCCCATTCAGTATGATATTGGCTGTGGGTTTGTCATAGATAGCTCTTATTATTTTGAAATACGTCCCATCAATACCTAATTTATTGAGAGTTTTTAGCATGAAGGGTTGTTGAATTTTTCAAAGGCTTTTTCTGCATCTATTGAGATAATCATGTGGTTTTTGTCTTTGGCTCTGTTTATATGCTGGATTACATTTATTGATTTGCGTATATTGAACCAGCCTTGCATCCCAGGGATGAAGCCCACTTGATCATGGTGGATAAGCTTTTTGATGTGCTGCTGGATTCGGTTTGCCAGTATTTTATTGAGGATTTTTGCATCAATGTTCATCAAGGATATTGGTCTAAAATTCTCTTTTTTGGTTGTGTCTTTGCCCGGCTTTGGCATCAGAATGATGCTGGCCTCATAAAATGAGTTAGGGAGGATTCCCTCTTTTTCTATTGATTGGAATAGTTTCAGAAGGAATGGTACCAGTTCCTCTTTGTACCTCTGGTAGAACTCGGCTGTGAATCCATCTGGTCCTGGACTCTTTTTGGTTGGTAAACTATTGATTATTGCCACAATTTCAGCTCCTGTTATTGGTCTATTCAGAGATTCAACTTCTTCCTGGTTTAGTCTTGGGAGAGTGTATGTGTCGAGGAATGTATCCATTTCTTCTAGATTTTCTAGAAGGGTTTTTTGAAGGGTTTTTTGTGTCTCTATTTCCTTCAGTTCTGCTCTGATTTTAGTTATTTCTTGCCTTCTGCTAGCTTTTGAATGTGTTTGCTCTTGCTTTTCTAGTTCTTTTAATTGTGATGTTAGGGTGTCAATTTTGGATCTTTCCTGCTTTCTCTTGTGGGCATTTAGTGCTATAAATTTCCCTCTACACACTGCTTTGAATGCATCCCAGAGATTCTGGTATGTCGTGTCTTTGTTCTTGTTGGTTTCAAAGAACATCTTTATTTCTGCCTTCATTTCGTTATGTACCCAGTAGTCATTCAGGAGCAGGTTGTTCAGTTTCCATGTAGTTGAGCGGCTTTGAGTGAGATTATTAATCCTGAGTTCTAGTTTGATTGCACTGTGGTCTGAGAGATAGTTTGTTATAATTTCTGTTCTTTTACATTTGCTGAGGAGAGTTTTACTTCCAAGTATGTGGTCAATTTTGGAATAGGTGTGGTGTGGTGCTGAAAAAAAATGTATATTCTGTTGATTTGGGGTGGAGAGTTCTGTAGATGTCTATTAGGTCTGCTTGGTGCAGAGCTGAGTTCAATTCCTGGGTATCCTTGTTGACTTTCTGTCTCGTTGATCTGTCTAATGTTGACAGTGGGGTGTTAAAGTCTCCCATTATTAATGTGTGGGAGTCTAAGTCTCTTTGTAGGTCACTCAGGACTTGCTTTATGAATCTGGGTGCTCCTGTATTGGGTGCATATATATATAGGATAGTTAATTCCTCTTGTTGAATTGATCCCTTTACCATTATGTAATGGCCTTCTTTGTCTCTTTTGATCTTTGTTGGTTTAAAGTCTGTTTTATCAGAGACTAGGATTGCAACCCCTGCCTTTTTTTTGTTTTCCATTTGCTTGGTAGATCTTCCTCCACCCTTTTATTTTGAACCTATGTGTGTCTCTGCACGTGAGATGGGTTTCCTGAATACAGCACACTGATGGGTCTTGACTCTTTATCCAGTTTTCCAGTCTGTGTCTTTTAATTGGAGCATTTAGTCCATTTACATTTAAAGTTAATATTGTTATGTGTGAATTTGATCCTGTCATTATGATGTTAGCTGGTGATTTTGCTCATTAGTTGATGCAGTTTCTTCCTAGTCTTGATGGTCTTTACATTTTGGCATGATTTTGCAGCGGCTGGTACCGGTTGTTCCTTTCCATGTTTAGCACTTCCTTCAGGAGCTCTTTTAGGGCAGGCCTGGTGGTGACAAAATCTCTCAGCATTTGCTTGTCTGTAAAGGATTTTATTTCTCCTTCACTTATGAAGCTTAGTTTGGCTGGATATGAAATTCTGGGTTGAAAATTCTTTTCTTTAAGAATGTTGAATATTGGCCCCCACTCTCTTCTGGCTTGTAGGGTTTCTGCCGAGAGATCCGCTGTTAGTCTGATGGGCTTCCCTTTGAGGGTAACCCAACCTTTCTCTCTGGCTGCCCTTAACATTTTTTCCTTCATTTCATCTTTGGTGAATCTGACAATTATGTGTCTTGGAGTTGCTCTTCTCGAGGAGTATCTTTGTGGCGTTCTCTGTATTTCCTGAATCTGAACGTTGGCCTGCCTTGCTAGATTGGGGAAGTTCTCCTGGATAATATCCTGCAGAGTGTTTTCCAACTTGGTTCCATTCTCCGCATCACTTTCAGGTACACCAATCAGGCGTAGATTTGGTCTTTTCACATAGTCCCATATTTCTTGGAGGCTTTGCTCATTTCTTTTTATTCTTTTTTCTCTAAACTTCCCTTCTCGCTTCATTTCATTCATTTCATCTTCCATTGCTGATACCCTTTCTTCCAGTTGATCGCATCGGCTCCTGAGGCTTCTGCATTCTTCACGTAGTTCTTGTACCTTGGCTTTCAGCTCCATCAGCTCCTTTAAGCACTTCTCTGTATTGGTTATGCTAGTTATACATTCTTCTAAATTTTTTTCAAAGTTTTCAACTTCTTTGCCTTTGGTTTGAATGTCCTCCCATAGCTCAGAGTAGTTTGATCGTCTGAAGCCTTCTTCTCTCAGCTCATCAAAATCATTCTCCATCCAGCTTTGTTCCGTTGCTGGTGAGGAACTGCATTCCTTTGGAGGAGGAGAGGCGCTCTGCGTTTTAGAGTTTCCAGTTTTTCTGTTCTGTTTTTTCCCCATCTTTGTGGTTTTATCTACTTTTGGTCTTTGATGATGGTGATGTACAGATGGGTTTTCGGTGTGGATGTCCTTTCTGTTTGTTAGTTTTCCTTCTAACAGACAGGACCCTCAGCTGCAGGTCTGTTGGAATACCCTGCAGTGTGAGGTGTCAGTGTGCCCCTGCTGGGGTGTGCCTCCCAGTTAGGCTGCTCGGGGGTCAGGGGTCAGGGACCCACTTGAGGAGGCAGTCTGCCCGTTCTCAGATCTCCAGCTGCGTGCTCGGAGAACCACTGCTCTCTTCAAAGCTGTCAGACAGGGACATTTAAGTCTGCAGAGGTTACTGCTGTCTTTTTGTTTGTCTGTGCCCTGCCCCCAGAGGTGGAGCCTACAGAGGCAGGCAGGCCTCCTTGAGCTGTGGTGGGCTCCACCCAGTTCGAGCTTCCTGGCTGCTTTGTTTATCTAAGCAAGCCTGGGCAATGGCGGGCTCCCCTCCCCCAGCCTCGCTGCCGCCTTGCAGTTTGATCTCAGACTGCTGTGCTAGCAATCAGCAAGATTCCGTGGGCGTAGGACCCTCCGAGCCAGGTGTGGGATATAGTCTCGTGGTGCGCCGTTTTTTAAGCCGGTCTGAAAAGCGCAATATTCGGGTGGGAGTGACCCGATTTTGCAGGTGCGTCCGTCACCCCTTTCTTTGACTCGGAAAGGGAACTCCCTGACCCCTTGCGCTTCCCAGATGAGGCAATGCCTCGCCTTGCTTAGGCTCGCGCACGGTGCGCGCACCCAGTGGCCTGCGCCCACTGTCTGGCACTCCCTAGTGAGATGAACCCGGTACCTCAGATGGAAATGCAGAAATCACCCGTCTTCTGCGTCGCTCACGCTGGGCTTCTTTTTTCTTTTCTTTTTTTTTTTTTTTTTTGAAACAGAGTTTTACTCTGTCACCCAGGATGGAGTAAGGTGGTGTGATCTCGGCTCACTGCAACCTCCACCTCCTGGGTTCAAGTGATTCTCCTGCCTCAGCCTCCTGAGTAGCTGGGATTACAGGCGTGTGCCACCATGCCTAGCTAATTTTCGTATTTTTAGTAGAGACCCAGTTTCATCATGTTGGCTAGGGTGATCTCAAACTCCTGACCTCAGGTGATCCACCCACCTCAGCCTCTCAAAGTGCTGGGATTACAGGCAATGCCCACCTCTTTTCTGATGCTATTTTCTTTTCTATTCATTCCCTTCACCCACTTCAAGGCCCAAACTAAATGTCACCTCTTCTGGGAATCTCTTTGCATTTCTGTAACGACCTGATAGAATTTCTTACATGCAAAATTAAAAAATAAACAACAATAATGTGGAACTTAGGTTCAGAGGAAGAAGACCTGTGCTGATTACTGGGTGCATGTGAGCCAGGGCCTGAAACCAAATCTAACTCTAGTATTCTTTCAGAACCAATTCTTTTCCATTTGGATTAGATCCAAGCCTACTCAGCTCAGTTCTTGAGTTTTCATACACTGGGCTATTTCCATGTATGTGTATATGTGCATGTATGTGTATATGTGCATGTATGCGTATGTGTGCATGTATGCGTATGTGTGTATGTGCGCATGGATATGTATCTGTACACCTATATTAGCTATGTAAAATTTTGTATGTTCCAGTATGTGTACACTTCTGTGTATTCACTGTTAGATGTACCTACGTATGGGCACAAATGTATATGAGTGTGCACATGCCTATGGTTTATGAACAAGTATGAATAGTGAGATGGCTTGAATATTTGTTCCCTCCCATGTTGAAATTTAATTCCCAATATAACAGTATTGAAAGGCAAGGCCTTTAAGAGGTGATTGGATCATGAGAGATCTGCCCTCATGAATAAATTATTCCATTCGTGGGTTAATGGATCATGTGAAAGGAGCTGATGGCTTTATTAGAACAGAAATGGATCTGAACTAGCACATTAGCACACCCAGCTCCTTTGCCATGTGATACCCTGCCCTGCCTGGGGACTCTACAGAGAGTCCTCACCAGCAAGAAGGCCCTCACCAAAGGCAGCCCCTTAACCATGGACTCCTTAGCCTCCATAGCAGTAAGAAATAATTTCTGTTTCTTTATAAATTACCAGATTCAGGTATTCTGTTATAAACAACAGAAAATGGGCTAAGATAGTTATATAACAATATATATGAATATGTATGTTGATATGTGCAGAGGCATGTTTATACATATATGTATGTGTTCATTCTCTAACTCCTGTATATTTAGCTACATTCTATGGGTACGCATGTGAGATGCAGCCAATTTGTCACTTACATTTTCTGCGTGGCCTCCCTTCTGGCTTATAGGTATCAAGAAAGAGCCACAGATATTTAAGTGGCTTTGGTTTCCCTTGACTATCCTGTGGTCCTCCATTTGATGCAAATTTAAATGAACTGAAATGGAGCATGAGATCAGGGCAGGATCACTGCTGATTTCATCTTTACTCCCAGCTGGGCCACAAATGGAGTCTGGTAATTCATCCCCAACTGCTTCCCAGGTCGGGACTCAGGGCCCCTTTCCATTACCCGTTGTTGATGACCTTGTCTTTGCTTTCTGGGCCCCAGCCTTGTTTCCTGACAATGGTTTCAGCAACAATCATTTGGTGAGTGCAATCTTTGGGGTCTCCTGCTGGAATAGTCACACCAAGTTGAAAGAAGCACATTTCTCTACCTTCTCTCCCTCAGAGGTTTTCTTTATTTCCTTCTAATGGATTCTTCTAAGTGACAAGTTTCCAGCTGTTGTCATGATTTGTCTGGTAATGTGGTTTGAGGCTCTTGAGGAACCTTTGAGCTTAAAGGCCACATTATCCTGGGGTGCAGACATACCCGTACGAACCTTAAACTCCATGGTCAACCCCTGCATTGATAACACTCTCAAGATGCACGGCTATTTGAGGTTCCCTAAGGATTTGGCAAAAACACATTCAAACAACAATGTCATCTTTGAGTCTTTTTATTGTCTTTTGCTTGCAAATTAGGGGCTTAGACATTTTTAGTGAGCCTGCCAGAGAGATGTGAATCAAAGAGTTAAACAACTCTCCAGTTAGCCTTTTAATTTCTCACGCTCCAGACTCCTGTCGGTTGTTCTTTTCTCTTCAACCAAAAAGGTTAGGGTTTGCTACCGCTATGACCCTATTGAATGACCTACAGCTAATTTATCAAACATGCCATGTTCTGGTGTTTGTCACCTATGAGAATCATTAACGAAGCAAGTTTTCAGGGTCCATTACTGGTATAATTTCTGGTTCTTCACATGCTGTAATCAGAGTGCTTTTAAAATGCAAATCTGATCATGTCACTGTCTGCTTAAAACTATCCAATGGTTTCCCACTGCTCCTAGAATAAAAAACAAAATTCTTTTTTTTAAATCGTGTCTTTTATTTTCAGACATTCTGATTGTTCGTTTTTTTTGTTTTTTTTTTTTTTAATACTTTAAGTTCTGGGATACATGTGCAGAATGTGCAGGTTTGTTACATAAGTATACACGTGCCATGGTGGTTTGCTGCACCCATCAACCCAACATCTACATTAGGTATTTCTCCTAATGCTATCCCTTCCCTAGTCCCCCACCCCCCAACAGGCCCTGGTGTGTGATGTTCCCCTCCCTGTACCCATGTCTTCTCATTGTTCAACTCCCACTTATGAGTGAGAACATGCGGTGTTTGGTTTTCTGTTCTTGTCTTAGTTTGCTGAGAATGATGGTTTCCAGCTTCATCCATGTCCCTGTAAAGGACATGAACTCATCTTTTTTTTTTAATGGCAATTCTTAACATGGCTTAAAAGACCTTGCATTTTGCCTTCCACCATCTTTCCAGGCTTCTCTCCTGCAGCACTCCTTGAGTTGCTTGCATTGAACACACTGGCTGTCTTTCAGTTTCCCTAACTCACTGCTTTCCGTGAGTGCTCCTTTAGCTCATATTGTTTCCTCTCTCTGGTAGTCTCTTTCTTTCCCTTCCCTTCAGTAGCCACTAACGTTCAGACCACAGTCCTGATGGCACTTCCTCCTGCACTGCTCACACCAGGCTAATCCCTTAGTCAGACTCTTTCAAAGCACCCTTCAGAGACCC
Organism: Homo sapiens; assembly: GCF_000001405.40. Taxonomy (NCBI): domain Eukaryota; kingdom Metazoa; phylum Chordata; class Mammalia; order Primates; family Hominidae; genus Homo; species Homo sapiens. The sequence continues at coordinate 126,322,252 of NC_000008.11, forward strand.
ATCTATTTGTCACCTTACGGGTCCTTCACTGGACTCTTCACAGTCAACAAGTCTGCATCTATTTGTGTGATTCTTCACTTAATGTCTGTTTTCAACTATACATGGGATAAGAACTATGTTAAGTCTGGCTCAGTGCTCTACTCTCAGTACCAAATATTGGCAGTTAGTTCATACTAGGTGCTCAAAAAAGACCCACTAAATGAATAAAGGCATATGTACATTGGGGCTTTACCTTTTAATTACAGCAAAGCCTGACCCTTGATGTGCCTGTTGTCCCTGTCACATCTTGCTGTGTCCAGTTTTACTGCCACACACCAAAATAACTTCCTTCTAAAGATATATTTATGGTGCTTTGTAGAGCTGTTTTGCTGATGAGGGAGAAAAATGTAATCCTCAGTATTCAAGCTGCCTTTGTGAGATAAGAGAACAATGCTTGTGAATCTTCTGCAAAGTTTGGCAATTTTCAATTTAAATATTTACCAGGAGTTCAATTATCATATTTGCCATAAATACATAACGCAAGAAAGATGGTAATAACCATTATAATAGACCTCAACAGTGTTATGAGAACCAAATAGGAGATTAATTTCTATTGGGGCAATCTGGGAAGGGCTTATGTGAAAGTTTTGAACTGGGCCTTGAAGTTTAGGTAGGTTGCAAAGCCAGTGTCCACCCTGTTCCTTTGGCCAATTCTGGCTAACTCTAACCACCTTTGCAGGTCAGCCTAAAGGTCACTTCCTCTTGCACATCTTCTCTGATGCAATCCCCCAACATACTCCCAATGTCCTTTTCCTATTATCACATCTTTTAATTGCCTGCCTTGCTATACACTCTAAGCCCCATAGTAAAAGGAACTCCTTTACTCAGCATTACATCTTCATGGTTTAGTACAGTACCTGACACAAGGAATTCAATCAATCAATAATGAATGAATGAATGATAGAAAAGTGGGGAGCAAAAGAGGAAATACCTAAACTGCTCTAAAATCAAGTCTCAAAAATTAAAAAAAATTGGAAACAGCAATGACGGTGTGGAGAAACACCAAAAGACATAAAAGAAAGGAAAATCAGGTGGGTACACCAAGTGTACATAGAGGCGACATTTGAATGGTTAAGTGTATCTTATACACAGGAGACATCATCAAAGAGAAGTTTCAAAGCCACTGGAGCCAGATTTTCAAGGGCCTTGAATCATAGTGCGTACTTTTTCCTTTCTGTCAGCAAGAGGAACCATAAGTTTCTTAATCAGGGGGATGGTAGCATTAGATTTGTGCTTTATGAAAGTCACTTCAGTTGCCAGGTAGTGGAAAGATCACAGGATGGGAGGAGAATAAAGGTGTGTAGAACTTTTAAGAAGCTACTAGAATTATCTAGTTCACAGTTTTTCAGCCTCTATGCTATTAACACTTTGGGCTGGATAATTATTTATTTGTGGGTTGTGGGTAGCTATTTTTTTACACTGTAGGATGCTTAGCAGCACCCCTGGCCTCTACTCACTTGATGCCTATAGTATTTGTCCCTAAGGTGGACACCAAAATTGTGTCAGACATTGCCAAATATCCCCCGAGGGACAAAATTACCCTCCATTGAGAATCACTGATCCAGGCAATGAGTAATAAACTATAATCAAATAAGATGGTTATTAGGATGAGAGAATGAGTCAGATACCAAGGACACTGAATGAAAGTGAATTCCCACCGAAAGCAACCATTTGTCCTTGTGCAACACAACAGGTGCACTGCCTGTGGGGGCAGGGCTCCTCAGAAGAAGGATAGACTCCTCTTACAATGACTTTTTTTCTCCTAAAACCATATGGATAGACAAGTTCTAGATATTTCCATCTATTACGTTGGATTTGGTAATCAAGAAGCCATACTTCTTTGACAGTGGAATTCTGATTCTTTTTGGCAGGGAGTGAACTCCTCCTGTTCCCAGTCCGTGGCCTTTGAGTGAGCTCCCATCCCTGGCTCCTAGGACGGGACAGCTAACACAGAGCTCCGAGTCAAGCAGACACAGTGGGTGCCATCCTGACACCTCAAGGGAACAGCACATCTGGGAAAAGTGTCTAATAGAGAAGAGGAGTCAAGAGAAGAAGGGGGAGAATCACAGCCCTGAGGACACCATCTATGTTCTGGAATTCTACCATGCTTAAAGGTAGGCCACCCGTGGACTCTTTAATTTAATGAGTCAAAAATTTGCATTTTGCTTAAGCCAGTTGGTTTGGATTATCTGAATAACTAAGGGTGGGTCACATTGTCCAAAGAAACTAGCAGTCTTCTGTAAATATCCAAGTAGCAGCATTATAGAATGTAGAAGGATCACTGGATGTAGAATCAGGCCTCAGAGCTGAATCTAAGCCCAGTCATACATTCTTGTATTTGTGTAATTATTAACTCACTGAATTTTTATTGAGTGTGTATTGTGTACTGGGCAATGAACTAGACTCTGGGGCCATCATGAGGCTGGTCTTCCCTGCAGAGAACTTACATTCTAGTGTTTAACTGATGAGTGTCAACCCTGATTGCATATTACAGTCACTTCTGGTAGTTTTTAAACATTCCGATGCTGGGGCTCCATGCCAGACAAGTTAAATAAGAATTTCTTGGGGTGAGACAGACATCAGTATTTATTGGAGTAATTCTAATGAAATGCTGGGGTCCTCTTTTCATTTTGCAGAGGAGGAAGCTAAGGCACAGAGAAGTTAATGTGCTCAAGACTATACCACTGGTGAGAGGCAAAGCAAAGATTTAAACCCACCTTGAGTTCAGAGTCTTCCCTCTTCTTAATAACTAAACTGCACCATAATTTGAAAGACACAGTAAGAAACACCATGGTATATTTAGTCCAATGTAATTTTATATGTGTGTATGTATATATATATATAATATATATGGTATATATTATATATATATGGTATTATATATATATAATATATATATGGTAAGTTTGTTTTCAGAATTCTCACCTTTTCCTTTTCCTTTTCTTGTTCCCATCCTCAACAATTTCAAACTCACACACATGTCTTCTGACATAGTTTGGCCGTGCCCCTGACCAAATCTCACCTTGAATTGTAATAATTCCCATGTTTCAAGGGCAGGACCAAGGGCAGGAACGTGGGGGCGATTTTCCCCATGCTGTTCTCGTGATAATGAGTGAGTCTCGCGATATCTGAGGGTTTTATAAGCATCTGGCATTTCCCCTGCTTGCACTTACTCCATTCTGCCGCCCTGTGAAGAGGGTGCCTGCTTTTCCTTTGCCTTCTGCCATGATTGTAAGTTTCCTGAGGCCTTCCCAGCGATGTGGAACTGTGAGTCAATTAAACCTCTTTCCTATAGAAATTACGCAGTCTCAGGCAGTTCTTTATAGCAGCGTGAGAATGGACTAATACACCTTCCCTATGCATAGATCTAACAAGTTCTCATCTCTGTCCTATTGAAAATATTCTTTCCAAAAATTATCTGCGACCCCTTATGTACAACTCAGAGTCATTTGTGCGTCCTTATCCAGTCAGAGTTACACTTGGACTTGGTGGTAGTGTGGTACAGCAGAAAGAGTTCTAGCTACAGAATTAGATGAAGATCTACAATCTCAACATTGTCACTCTAACTTAACTAACTCTGTAGTTTCTGGCAAATTACATAACACCTCTGAGCCCTGTATTCTTATATCTGAAGTGGGAATAATAACACCTCTTTTGCTATGTAGTTGTAAAGATTAAATTGAAATATACTTATTAACTTTTAGCATAGTGCCTCAAACATAGGAGACATTCAACTAATAGCAACTATCTCAATTAAGATTTCTCTAGATTTATATTTTCACATAGTGGAGGTTGTAAAAAATATGTAATAATAATTAAAACACCCAATATTTTCAATCACTTACTTTGTGCCTGACATTGGTATCATTATTTTACATGTATTTTCTCAGCTATTCCTAAAAAAACTTCATAATATTGGTACTACCATTTTCCACATTTTATAGATAAGAAAATAAAAGCAGAGCAATACCGCATGGCTCGCACAAGAAAGTATTGAAGACTTAAGTAATTCTAGCTCAAATCTTAGAAGTTTCCTTTTGGGGAACAAATATTTGCATTGTTATTACCATGTGCCAGGAATTTGCAGTGACTAATGTTTGCCTACATTGTCTCATTTAATTTTTACAATAAACCCACTTTACAAATACTGTGACAAAGGTTCAGAGAGACTATGTTGTTTGTATGAATGTAGTTAGAACACTTTTCTGTCTGATTCAAAGCTTATATGATTTCCCCTCTAGAAATGAAGGCTTAATTAAGAGTTTTGATTAATTGAGATTATACACACGCAAGAAAAAAGGCTTCATTTTGGATTTGAAAGCCCTAACTCACAGGGTAGGAATGTAATAAGTTCAATTTCTAAGTACACTATTTTGTTAGCCTCTAAGCACTGTTTTCTTCTTTGTTTGGCTAAACATTGCTACCTCTTCAGCACAGTTCTATCCAGAAAGCCTCCGCTTCTTGGGAGAACTCACTCAGCATCTCCCTCTTGAGTCCATTCCTTTTGCAAATACCAGCTACACTTGTCTAGTTTGTATTGGAAAGAGTTTCTCTATCTCAGATTAGAAAACTCTGCCTGCATTAAAAGAGAAATTCCAGCAATATGCTTGGATAGGGTAATCAGCCCAAGTCTATCACATTGAATTAGTGGCAAGATAGTTCCTATGACTTCATTAACTCTCCTATTATCAGCATTCATGTTGTCCAACTGAACCTCATCTAAATATTCCTGTAGAGCATCATTATTTAAGTTTAAAGGCACTTAAAATCAAGTCACACAATGGTTATGGATTGGAATCAGTGCAGGCTATTTATAGAAAAGCACTGAATAGACATATAGAATGGACAGAAGATGTGCTGTTTTAAAGCCTGCTGTATTTATGGCAACATCCCAACAAGGCTCATTGGGCACCTACTATGTGCAAGATACTAAATAATGCATTTCATTCTTTTTGCTGTACACAGGAAACCACACATTCAAAATAATGCTAACCTGTCAAGTTATTGATCTGCACTGTACATATTTCCTGGTCATAGGCAGCTTCCACACAAGAACATCTGGATGCAAATTAAAGAATTCAATTACTCAAGCCTAAGTGAGTATATCTATTTCCTGGTAGCTGGTAACTGACTTATAGTTGGCATCCTAGAGACATAGCCCAAGGCTATTTTGACAAACAATGAAGTAATAGATATTTTTTTTTATGCTGCTAAGGAAAAGATATTTGCAGTCATGCTTGACATTATTCAGGTAACCACCAAAACGTCCAAACTATAATTACTATTTGGTCACATTGAGATGCTACATAAGCCCTATGATTAATACGTCAGTGTAAAAAATCTGTCAGGATTTTGTCATAATATTGCCTGTTATTTTTCTGCTAGTAAATTTTATGAGACATATACTTATCCATGCATAAAACAGCTGTGGCAAGGTGGTAATTGTCCAGCAATAGGGGGAAGCCAGGAGTAGGTTTAGATTTTGGGTAACAGTAAATTTTAAAACACAGTTTTGAAATAATTTCTAATATAAAAATTCAATGTTAGAACTTTTATTTGGTAGCCTAGTCTCTGAAACAAGAATATACATTCAAACATCTTAAATGTAAAATGATAGGTCAATTTGAATTTTTTCTTCTTATTGACATGTTCATTTCACCTGATCTTTAGCCTCTCTGGATCCCTGGAATGCAAGGAGGTGAATTCATCATGTGTTTCATGAGGAAAGAAGGAATAAAGGAAAAGAGGGAGGGAAGGAGGGAGAAAGGAAGGGAAAAATGGGAATAGACACGCCTCTTCTTATATCCAAAAGACTTTGCTATGTAGCGTCATTCCCCTCTGTCAAGCAGCTTCCCACATAAAAACCATCTGTAAAGGGGAGGAGGTAGTAAAGCAAGTTGTTGACAATAATAGTCAAGTTCATCTCTGGCTTTGTCAAGAAGAGAAATGGAAAACAGAAGCTTAGGGTCGTTGATAATTTAAAATTAATTCAAATAATTCTGTATTGCTTTGCTCAGGTGATAGAGGAGACCTCGGCTACTCTGCCTGAGCACATCACTGCTGGATCTCAAAATCTGCAAGAACTTCCTAGGGCTTCAGGAACTTTCATGTGCATACCAGTCACCTGGGAATCTTGTTACGATGCATATTCTTTTTCAGTAAGCCCAAATTCTGCAATTCTTATAAGGTCTTAGGGGACATGATGTTTGCTTCTAGTGGTCCATGGTCTACTCCTGAAGGTCCACCATGCCCAGCTTCATCTCCCCACCCTCTGGAAACTCTCCTGTACCCAAGCCACTTGCTCTCTTCTAAATAGGCATTGTGTTCCCATGTTCCCATGTGTCTGCCTCTTTCAACTTCTCCTCTAAAAATTCTCCATGACCCCCAAGCATAAGCCTCCAGCAGCAAGCTCAAAAATGCTTTCTACTCTGTTGTGTTGCCCGGCCCACTTCAAGAGTAGATGCTCAATTCCTTCTTCCCCTAGTCGTATTTGCTGCTACTTTTGCAGGCTGCTGGAACACTTTCACTCTGAGGATTCTGATGAACACAGTTCTTGCCCTCTTCACTTTTCCAATCTGGTTGCAGGCACAGCGGGGGACAGCAGGAGTGCAACACAGTAACTTAATATAATATGGAGCTGCTATTATGGAGGGAAACATTCACTGCTCTGAAAGGACTCAACAGCTGAGTCTTAAAGAAGGATTTTACAAGATTGACAAAGAAATGGGTTATCTCCAGATAGGAAGGAAAAATCACAAGGAATAGTACAGCAAGGAAAGAGGAAACAGCACTGGACTTGGGGAAAAGGGAAATCCTTGAGATGTTGCTAAGGCATAAAGAGCAAGACAGAGAGTGTCAGAAGATGACACTGACGTCACCTGACTCCTGCTGCTGAGCTTCTCTGACATTTTCTCAAGGGCTCAAGGCTTGGATACCCTCTGATATGGTTTATCTGTGTCCCCGCCCAAATCTCACCTTGGTTTGTAATCATCTCCATGTGTCAAGAATGGGACCAGGTGGAGATAATTGAATCATGGGGGCAGTTTCCCACATACTGTTCACATGGTAGTAAATAAGTCTCATGAGCTCTGATGGTTTTATAAATGGGAGTTCCCCTGCACAGGCTCTTTTTGCCTGCCACCATGGAAGACACCCCTTTGCCCTTCCTTTATTTTCTGCCACAATTGTGAGGCCTCCCTAGCTATGTGGAATTGTGAGTGCATTAAACCTCTTTCCTTTACAAAATTACCCAGTCTTGGGCATGTCTTTATTAGCAGCATGAGGACAGACTAATACACCCTCTTTCAATACCTAAAATAGACAAAGCCCTATTTGGAATTTTGGAAAAACACAATCTAGTCTCCGAAGGTAGGCACAGAAGCTCTGAGCTGACACAATATTGAAGTCGTTACTTGCCTGGTCCTTAGGCATTTCCTAGTCCACAATCACACATCCACATCTTCAATAGCAGCAATTTCCATCTCCAGTCTTTGCTTTCCCCAGAAGCAGATCCTGAAGCAAGAAATTGAATGCAAGTAGTTTATTTGGGATGTGAAGACCAGTAGGGGAGTGGAGAAGTGAGACAAAGAAGGGAAGGCCATCAACACAGGGTGCGTTATCAAGCCAGCTATCAGTGTGGACAACTGTAGCTTACTCCCTTGAGGAATCCCTGGGAGTCAGTGTGAAACACAAATCCCTGAGTTACCCACCCACCCCTACCCCTAGAAGGGCAAGGGAGCTTGGTATGCAGGCATCCATTTCCACTAGTCATTGGCTGAGGGCTGCTAGTGCTGGGATGGTACAGAAGTTACTTCCCTGGCTCTTCCTGCCTGCTGTAGGTGGGAAAAGGGTCTCTTACAGCAACAGAAAGTCCTGAGGCAAAGAAATGCAGGAGCTGGCACCTGGAAGCCTTGGTGGGGTCGGGGGTGGTTTGAGCAGAGGGCCGCAAGGGTGCCACATGCCCCACAGAAAGCCTTCATCCGTTTGCCTGCCCCCTACCACACCAGCCCTGCTGTCCCAGAGTCTGACTTTCCTGATTCACTCTCCTGTTCTGTGTTTGGGGTTTTCCTTCAACTGAAGCTTCCCTCCCCACCAGCTACTCCAGTATAGCACACAGTGAAGTACTTAGAAAATGTTTGTTGAATTCTATCTGATGACTCAAATCCAATGGGCTACCTGGTGAATTTATTTTAACATGATCCTGAAATGAAACTGAGATGATTTTACACGAACTACTTATTTTATCTATAGGCCCACATTGATATTACTTCCTATTCCTCTGGTAATTGGTGAAACTGTGAGAGGAAATTTCTCTTTTTTTCTTTCTAAGCCAACATATTTTGATTCAATTATATCATCATGCTACACTCAGGGGGTTATATTACATTGCCTCTTCTCTGCCCCAATTGTGCACAATCCTGTAATATTAGGGAGGTTTTACTATAACTCCTAAGCCTCAAATATATTTCCCCAGTGGTTTGATTTTACATCCTCTTTTTGGGTTTTATAAATGGCATCAGATGTAGGAGCCTATGGTGCCAGCTGAAGTTTTTTCCTCTTAGCCATATTACCCATTTTCTGCTAACAGAAAAAAGCACTAATCTGTCCACTCCCAAAACATGTGTGTCAGGTGGCATTAATACCATCTGTGGCTGTAGCAGCAAGCATGTGACTCATGCCTGACCAATCAGAGCATCACATTGTTTTTGGCCACTGTGTGTGCATGTGACCCATTCAGAATCTGTGAAATACAATATGATATTTCCTAGAACTACTGAGAATACATTTTCTTCTTTTCTTCTGAACTTGAACCTGGCAGAAATCTTCCAGGAACTGCTGGCAGCCATCTTACTGTCAAACCCAAGCCTAAGAACAATGATAAAAGGAAGAGGAGCAGAACTAAGAGAGAAAGGGAGGCTGAGACTAGATGACAAATCCAGCTGAGAAAAGTTAGGGATCCTTCTGGCCTTGGTAGTTTCATGAAACAACAGACCACTTTTGGCTTCTGACAGTTTAGTTAGGTTTTCTGTCACTTGCAACTAAAAGATCTCTAACTGATACAGAACCTGACAGACCTGTCTATAAATCCCAGTCCTGCCTTTTGCTAGTTCAGTTTTTTAAGTTCAGTTTCATCTTTTCAATGGGGACAAAATATCCTTCTGACAGGGTGTTGTGAAGAAATAAAATGATATACGCAAAATCCTCTACACAATATCTGACCCAAATGTAGAAATCCATAAAAGTTAACTCCTTTTCTCCCTGTCCCCACCCTCCTCTCTGCCCTCCACACTGGCTTCCTCTGAGCACATAGCAGCCCAGGAAAGGGACATGTACACTGAGTGCATTCTGTCATTGATAAAGTCAGGGAAAATGAACATGGAAGCCCCATGATCAATATACCAGACTCCATGCTGAGGAGGGGAGTGATCCCCAGCTGGCCTCACACTGAGATTCAGGAGACTTGGGTCATTTTTGTGACTTGAACAATTTATTTCTCTTCTCTGGATTTTGTTTGCTTTTCTCTCAAATGGGAGGGATAGTATAAAGATGGCATCTAAGGTCCCCATCAGCTTTGAAATACACTAGGTCTCATTTCCTGAAATGAGACTCTAAAATCTCTGCACATGTGTTCAGAGCAGGACCAAGATGAGGATGAGATATGTGGGATGCCTAGGACAGAATATTTAATGAGACACTCACTTTCAGATGTGAACCCCACACCAGCATGGTGCCAGGAGTAAGCGCCTCTCTAAATTTTGCTCCCTAGCCACCAAGCCTGATCACACTGGTCTCAGCTCTGATAGGTTCCACTTACAGCAGTGCTTGCCTTAGGCTACATGAACACTAACTGCTGTGTCCACCACCATGGTTCCAACCAGCTAATGCTGTGAAACAACCTTGAATTTTGAGTTAGACCGAGGAAACCACATCCCTCCTGGACTCAAAGGAAGGCTTTTCCTGATTTATGAATTCTGGGACTCATTTTGATCCACCATGGACTGACTTATGAATCATATTGTTTTATCAAGAGTTCCAGTTTTTAATCCTAAATTAGCATCAGCACCATGAACCTCCCCCACCATCCACCAGGGCTTTTCTAGCACACCACAGGCACCACCATCGCCTTGACTTGTCAAAGAACTACTTGGAGAGCTTCTTCACGGGTAGTGTTTTTTATTGGGAAAATATATCGACTAAGCTTCTTTTAAAAACAAAAAACGCCTCTGGCTTTTGTTTTATTCTTTGGCAACACAGGTATTACATAGCCTTGAGAGAACCAAGAAGTTGATTTTATTCCATCGTGATGAGGTGTGTGAGCTTTATGTTAATTTTATGTGTCAACTTAACTATGCTAAGGGATACCTGGATAGCTGGGAAAACAGTATTTGTTTTAGTGTTTTAATGTAAATGATTGAAAAAAGAAATGAGCAGAGAGAGAAGATCCAAACACGGAGAGTAGTGTAAAAATAATGAGAAACTGGAAGGAGAGACAGAAATTAAGTACAAAGAAAGTCATTTCCAACCCTATCTTTGATGTAGATACTCACATGTAAACACACATATAAATGTATTTTGTGCATTTACAAAATACTAGGCACTTTACACATGAGGTCCTGTTTACTGCTTACAACAAAAAATGAGAAGGCATGGTTATTGACATTTTATAGGTAAGCAAATTAAAGCTGAGCCAAAGTCACATCACATGACTCAACTGTGGTAAAAGAATCTCAGTTGAAAATGAGATCTCTGGCTTTAAAGACGGCTAAACCCCCTTGAGGATTTTGCAGAGTAAATACAATTTTGATTTACTATTTGTCCTTTATCTTCCCAAAGGTTTCAGTGTTTCTGGTCATCAGCAAAGTTGTAATAGGAAGAAGTTTTAACTCCCTGTCCTCTAAGGGAGCTAGTTTAAATAGCCTGCTCCTGTGAACAAAGTAACAGAAGAGCTCTTTTTGAAGAATTAGGGACTCTGATTTCATGCCTGCGTTTCCTGCGAAGTTTCACAACTGTGGCTGCAGTCATCTTCACAGCAGAGCTCTCATTATTATGAGTGCCCACAGCAGCAGCTGTAATTTTCAAAAGAAACATTAAGCCTGTCTCCACCCCACCCCCAATGTCTATTAATATATCAGTAACAAATACCTTGCTGATAGCCCTGAATTTTGACAGCTCTAGGAGACGGCATCTTCCACAGTTATTGTCCTTTAAGAAAAGCAGTTTTATGAGGGGATTCTAGTGCAATTGGCATGGTTTCTTTACTAATCCGAAACCCAAAACTTGTCCCGTTTCTTTAGAAATTGAAAACCCAAAACAACCATCTCAAGGAAAAGTTCCAAGATGCTGCAGCTGCTATTTTATGGCTTTATGAAAAGGCATCTGTTTTTAAGAAACACAATTAATGTCATTTAGTTCCTTCCAAACACCCAATAGTGGATGAAGAATCACCAGAGGACAAAGTGAACAGCTCTTGGAAGGGTAATTGTAGGAAACATACATTTAGAGCCAGTGACTGGACCAGTATTGGCTCCTTCAGAAGGACAGAAGGATGACCTTTGCATCTGCCTGGGGTAAACATCCATGTTTCCCAGCCTTAGAGGTGTATATGGAGAGTAAAACCAACTACCTAAATGAATATGGGTCATTCTGGGGTGAATTTTGCCTAATGCTTGAACATACAGCTTGTCCTCATTTCAGACTGCTATTTGAGACAGATATTCACTTGCAAATGAGTCCCCATTATACAATGTAATAAAGGGAATAGCTACAGAATATCTTGTGCAATTGTTATGATCTGTTAGGTATTATCAATGGTCTTACAGCCTAAAAAAACTCAACAATCAGTTCTTATTAGTCCTTTTATGCTAGTTTCTGCACTGATTGAGCACATTTATTTATTTCACGATCTCCCATTAACTCCACTCCAGACTAGGATTTCCTTTAATACTCCACTGCATCCTCACTTAGCTGGGCGAACTCCTGTAAAGCTCTGGGTTCCTAGCACCTGGCACATTAACTGACCCTCAGCAAGCACTTCTTGGATGCGTTGACTTTCCAAACTGGTCTCCAACTACCATCAAGCATTATATATAATAATTCCTTAACAACTTCTCTTACAAAAATAGGGCAACCCTGTCGATCCACAGCACACACACACACACACACACACACACACATATGCACACACATATGCATACAAACATGATATTCCAGGATGGCCATTTGGCAAACTGGAAATAGGAAAATCTAGTTAGTCCTTGGTGTTTTCACTCTTTTTTATCTATTTTTTTTTTTTCTGTTTCTATTTTGTCTTCAGCTCTCTACTAGCAAGCTATCTACCCATTGGCATATAGCTTTTCCTTTCTGGCCATAGACTTGCTTGTGGGTTAGGTTTCTTTCTAGGTATTCTTTCTACTCTGACTCTTTATCTGATAGAAAGAGACCCAGTGCAACCAAGTTTTTCTGGGAAAAGGTATATAAAGAGGGTACAATGTCAATTAAAACCTAAAAGACAGAACTTACATAGGTTTCTGATAAGCTAAATTCAGATTTGTGTATGAATCTCCACACACACATACAAAAAAACAGAGAATTCAGAGTGGGAAGTGGGGGTGGCTATCAAGTAGGGTAAGACAGAAGTTTACAGAAGTGACCTAATTACAGAGGTTGTTTCTGGAGAGGCTACTTCAAGAGGTGAAATCGTTCATAATTCTAGACTCCACAGTGTTGATCATTGCTTAGGGAGTTTTCTTCTCATAAGAGCTGAACTTGGCTGGGTTCTTTCCTTACTGCCAAATTTACACACCTCCTAACTTTGTTTCTGCCCACATCCCACGCCTTGTTCTTCAGACTTCCAATTGATTATGAGAGCTAATCAGTAGCCTCCCAATAAAGTCGTTGTATGCCTAAGTTGGACAGAGTCTTGCAACCAAGATCCTTCACAAATTGGAAAACTAAGAAGTAAAGATGTTTAAAGGCCAGGCTCGGTGGCTCATGCCTGTAATCCCAGGACTTTGAGAGGCTGAGGCGGGCAGATCACGAGGTCAGGAGATTGAGACCATCCTGGCTAACAGGGTGAAACCCCATCTCTACTAAAAATACAAAAAATTAGCTGGGGCCTGGTGGCAGACGCCTATAGTCCCAGCTACTTGGGAGGCTGAGGCAGGAGAATGGTGTGAACCCAGGGGGCAGGTTTGCAGTGAGCAGAGATTGCACCACTGCACTCCAGCCTGGGTGAAAGAGCAAGACTCCGTCTCAAAAAAAAAAAAAAAAAAGTAAAGATGTTAAAAAAAAAAACACTTACTAAAAATGACAGGGAAAATGGCAGATAGGAGACAGGGCTAATACGTAGCTACCACGTGAATGGACAGAAGAGTGTGTGGAGACTAACAGTGTGATTTTTGCTCCAAGAACCACCAAAAGAACATACCAAGAAAACTGAAAGAATTCACGGATTCTTTGAAAGAAGTGGCATGCTGCTGAAAATTCCATAAAACACGTGAAAAAAATGAGTTCCCAAATTGTGAGTTGGGGGAAAAAATCCTGCCTCTGAACACACATCCCCACTGGAGAATCTGAAAATGCAGATCATGGGAGAAAGATTTAACCTTACCTAGAGATGAAATGGGTTAGGGAGTCACAAGAAATATATAGGTACGAGTAGAAGCGGGAAGTGCCTTGAACACACTCCCAGTCTCCAGCTTGAGCCCAGGGAAGCCAACCCTGCCTATATCTCACAGGGGCCCTTGGGAAAGGCAGCCAGCAAAATTGGGGAGGTACCATGGGGCAAAGGAAGTTCCCAACTGAAATTGGTTGTGGTTTGACTGGGCACAACTTTTCTTGAGTGGAGTCTAGGAGACTAGAAGGAGCTGCTCTGAATACGTGCAAGCCAGTATGCAAGCACAGGAGTGCAGGAGCTGCCACGGATGGAGTGGGCAGATAGGGAGGGGCAAGGTCCAAAAGCTGTACTTGCTTTCTTAGCAGGGTAGCTCACAGCCTGGGGCAAGGTTTGAGTGGGGCACTGTGGGAGCAATACCGGCCTCACCAACTGTGTGGGAGCTGGGTAAGCCTTCTCACTGCTGGTTATCCCCTACTTCCCTGGTAAACTATATAACACAGCAGAGGCAGCCAAGATCTCCTCTGGAACATAATCCCATTGGCTTGAGAACAACTCTCCCATCCCCCATAGTGGCTGTGGCAAGCCCCACCCCAGGAGACTCTGAGATCAGACCCTCCTAACCCTCCCTTCCCTGATAGTATTCCCCTACTCACCCTGGTAGCTGAACACAAAACATAAAAACTCTGGGAGCTTTATATCCCTGCCTATCACCTGAGAAACCAAAATACTTACCCTGGCTATCTTAGGGCAAGCTTAGAGCCCCCTACTATTACAACAGCTGGTGCTTGCTTGAAAGTGCTACCTCCTGGTTGGAGGCCAACGAACTCAGGTCATTACAGCAACTCATGACAGAATAACTCCTATCCCAAGAAGGAGAAGACAACACCTAATTCAACTGTCTGCAAAATCCTGGCTAACCAGAGGCCCTGAGGGTGGCCATGTGACAACTTCACTGCTAGCATAACCAGTATTAGAGAAAGCCAGTACACTAAACATATCTATAACCAAGGATTCTCACAGAGTCTACTTCATTTCCCTGCCACATCTACCAGAGCAGGTGCTGGTATCCATGGCTGGGAAACCTGAAGATGGGTCACATAACAGGACTCTTTGCAGACATACTCCAGCGCCATCACGGAGCCTGGTATTCCTGCTGGGTGGCTAGATCCAGAAGGGCAATAACAATCACTGTAGTCTAGCTCTCAGGAAGCCCATCCCCACAGGAACAGGAAGAGCATCACATTCAGGGATCACCCCATGGGACAAGAGAATCTGAACAGCAGGCCTTGAGCTCCAGACCTCTCCACTAAAGTAGTCTACCCAAGTAAGAAGGAACCAGTAAAGTAATACTGGTAATA
Organism: Homo sapiens; assembly: GCF_000001405.40. Taxonomy (NCBI): domain Eukaryota; kingdom Metazoa; phylum Chordata; class Mammalia; order Primates; family Hominidae; genus Homo; species Homo sapiens. The sequence continues at coordinate 126,337,264 of NC_000008.11, forward strand.
TGACAAAACAAGGTTCTGTAACACTCCCCAAAAATCATACCAGCTTCCCAGCAATGGATCCAAACCAATAAAAAAAATTTCTGAATTGCTGGATAAAGAATTCAGAAGGTTAGTTTTTAAGCTACTCAAGGAGATATCAGAGAAAGATAAAAAAACAAAGAAATTTTAAAAAACACAGGATATGGATAAAAAATTCTCCAGAAAAATAGGCATCATAAAGAAAAAACAATCACAATTTCTGGAAGTGAAAAGCACACTTAAAGAAATAAAAAATGCACTGGAAAATTTCAACACCAGACTAGAATGAGCAGAAGAAAGAATTTCAGAGCTCAAAGACAAGTCTTTCAAATTAAAATTAACCCAATCAGACAAAGACAAAGAAAAAAGGAATTTTAAAAAATGAACAAAGGCTTCAAGAAATTTGGAATTATGTTAAATAGCCAAACCTAAGAATAATTGGTGTTCCTGAGGAAGAAGAAAAATCTAAAAGTTTGAAAAATTTATTTGATGGAATAATTGAGGAAAACTTCCCTGGCCTTGCTAGACATCTAGATATCCAAATACAAGAAGCTCAAAGAACACCTGGGAAATTCACCATAAAAAGATAATCACCTAGGCACATGGTCATCAGGTTATCTAAAGTCAAGATGAAGGAAAGAATCTTAAGAGCTGTGAGACAAAAGCATCAGATAACCTATAAAGGAAAACCTATCAGATTAAAGGCAGACCTCTCAGCAGAAACCTTACAAGCCAGAAAGGATTGGGGTCCCATTTTCAGCCTCCTGAAACAAAATAATTGTCAGCCAAACATTTTGTATCCAGCAAAGCTAAGCTTCACATACAAAGGACAGATAGACTCTTTTTCAGACAGACAAATGCTGAGACAATTCACCACTACTAAACTAGCACTACAAAAAATGCTAAAAGGAGTTCTAAATCTTGAAACCAAAGCTCAAAATACACCAAAATAGAACCTTCTTAAAGCATAAATCTCACAGGGCATATAAAACAATAACACAATGGAAAACAACAATAACAATAAGGTATTAAGGTAACAACTAACATGATGAATGGAACAGTACCTCACATCTCAATACTAACATTGAATGTAAATGGCCTAAATGCCCCACTTAAAGATACAGAATGGCAGAATGGGTGAAAATCCACCAACCAAGTATCTGCTGTCTTCAAGACACTCATCTAATGCATAAGGACTCACATAAACTTAAGGTAAAGGGATGGAAAAAGATATTCCCCACAAATGAAAACCAAAAGTGAGCAGGAGTAGCTATTCTTATATCAGATGAAACAGACTTTTTTTTAACTTTTATTTTAAGTTCAGGGGTACACGTGCAGGACATGCAGGTTTGTTACATAGGTAGATGAGTGTCATGGGGGGTTTGTTATACAGATTATTTTATCACTGAGGTATTAAGGCTAGTATCCATTAGTTATTTTTTCTGATCCTCTCCCTCTTCCCACCTTCCATTCTCTGATAGGTCCCAGTGTCTGTTGTTCCCTTCTGTGTGCTCATGTGTTCTCATCATTTAGCTCCCACTTACAAGTGAGAACATGCCATATTTGGTTTTCCATTTCTGTGTCAGTTTGCTAAGGATAATGGCCTCCAGCTGCACTCATGTCTCTGCAAAAAACATATTCTCATTATTTTTTATGGCTGCATAGTATTCCATGATGTATATGTACAACTTTTATCTAGTCAATCATTAATGAGCATTTAGGTTGATTCCATGTCTTTGCTATTGTCAATAATGCATATCCACGCATGTGTCTTTATAATAGAACAATTTATATTCCTTTGGGTAATATCAATACCATTTAAGCCAGTAACTGGATTGCTGGGTTAAATAGTATTTCTGTCTTTAGGTCTTTAAGGAATCGCCATGCTGTCTTCCACAATACTTGACCTAATTTATGCTCCTGCCAACAGTGTATAAGTAT